>NC_000011.10:15060000-15685000 GCF_000001405.40 Homo sapiens
ACTGGCTTGGCAGAAGAGAAGGCAGTGTAAAGACATACGTTTCTAGTATAAACTCTATTAAGGTAGATAAATATATCAAGAAGCAAGGACTCTAGAAGTGCTTAGGGCTTTGAGCAATTGGTTGCCTCTGTTGGTAGGGTTACAAGATAAGCTGAAAGACGGAGCGATTGCAGGACCCAGGATTTCCTTTTAATCTTATGCAGTTAGATGACTGTCCCTCCTTATTCCCAGAAAAGACTGGAAGATTACCAGAATGAATGGCAAGACTCTCAACTTCCTTCCTTACTCATCAGCTTATACTCCACCCAACTTCCATCCTATTTCCCTCCATAGGAGATTGCAGGAATCCTCTTAAACCAAACAAGAAGCCAAAAGAAGACTTATAGCTACTGATAGTTTAGGGTTCACCTCAATAAAACAGCAAGATCACTTACCATCCAATCACTCTATATTCAGGTCCATCAATGGATGACTCTGCCATCCACATCTTCTGATTAGTACTTTATTGCCTCTCTCGCTCTCTCTCTCTTTTTTTTTTGTTTTTTTTTTTTGAGATGGAGTTTCACTCTGTTGCCTAGGCTGGAGTGCAGTGGCATGATCTCAGCTCACTGCAAGCTCTGCCTCCCGGGTTCACACCATTCTCCTGCCTCAGTCTCCCGAGTAGCTGGGACTACAGGTGCCCGCCACCATGCCCGGCTAATTTTTTTGTATTTTTAGTAGAGACGGGGTTTCACCGTGTTAGCCAGGATGGTCTCAATCTCCTGACCTCATGATCCGTCTGCCTCAGCCTCCCAAAGTGCTGGGATTACAGGCGTGAGCCACGACGCCCAGCCTACCTCTTTCTTAAATATAAGTCAGCAGCCCAGGATAACTAGAAATGTAAGAATAGCCTATAATGTGAAAAGAATAAAATAAGAAACATATATTTAATATCTTCAGAGAGCTAGGAGAGGATGCTGCACCCCACAAATAAAAACAGGAGGCTATAAAAAGTAACATTCTTAGAATAAAATAGCTTTTAGAAATTAAAAATATGACCAAAAGAATGAAAAAAATATATACACTTGAAAAAAAACCCTCCCAGAAAGTTGAACAGAGGGGGAGAGAGAGAGAGAGAGACAGAGACAGAGACAGAAAGAGAGAGAGAAGAAAATTATCAAAGAAACAAGGCAAAAAACCTTCCCTGTAGTGAAGGATATGAAATTTCAGATTGCAAGTAGTCCTCCAGTACTCAGAACAATCAATAAAAACAGTCCACACCAAGGCACATCATCATAAAATTTTAGAACACCAGTGAGAAGAGAGAAAGAGATAGATCTTATAATAATAATAACAACAACAACAACAAAAGAAAAGATAAAATGGGTTTCTCAACAGTGACACTGGAAATAGAAGACAGCAGAAAATGCTTTCAAAATTTTAAGTGAAAATGATTTCCAACCTAGAATTCTTCCCAGAAAAGCTACCAATCATATAATGGCAAATATGCTCCACCAAAGTGAGAGAGTAAACCATGTATGAGGAACAAATAGGATCCAGGAAGAGGGATAAACAAGTGATGGGCAGAAAGATAATTAAGCACATGAAAAGAGAGGGAGTTACTAACTCAAAATAAAACATATATGCAAGGAAATGTAATCAAAGGACACAATATGTCTCAGCTAGGAATAATATGTATATAATCTTAATAATGTAAACCCTGAATATATTTTTGACAAACAAATAGATGATGTTACTACATTGACAGCATGTGATTAGGGTAGGATGTGTTCTATTTGCAGGGAGGGGTGATATACAAGGATTCTTGTTAAGTAAGTACATCACTGAAATATAAGCACAGGGAAGGCAGGAGTTTTTGTTTTGTACACTGTGAATCCTAGTGCCTAGAACAATGCCTGGCACATAGTAGGTCCTCAATAAATGCATGTTGAATGAATGAAACTTTCTCCTAAGAACCACTTCTTCTAGGAAATTTGTAAAGAAATCAGAAAGTAAGCCAAACAAATAAAAATAAACTTCAAAATTATAGTAAGTGGAATCTGTTCCCAAAATGTTAAGACTACCATTTTCATACTTTATGAGTAATACTATAAGTTTATTTAAACTGAGTATCAAAATATTTAAGACACAATTTAATAGCTAGATATTCCTAGGAGACTATTGTCTATAAATCTTTATGGTCGTTTGGTTGGTTGGAGAGGCCTTGAGGCTCAGAACAGTTCCAGGGAAATCAAGATGCAATTTTCTCAATTTAAAAAATAAATTATTTTATTAACTTTTCCTCCCATTCACTCACTAATATCATACAAAGATGGACTGAGGGAAACTGCCTTGTTTTGCTTTGCAAACTGGCAGACTCCTGAAGACATAAAGCCCTCAGTACTTCCTCTCACATTTGATTCCAGAAATTTTTCACCAAGACACTGATAACTTTTATTAAAATAAAAAGGGTGCATCTTTGGATAAACACAATCTTCCCTTCCATCTAACAGATCTAAATTGTGTCTACATCCCAATTTAACTTGGGTGAACTTATTGTCTGACTTTTAGGGTAATGAACCCATGAATTGTTCATTCACTGCCTTGCTCTTTCTGCCTCATTGAGCATTTGCAGGAACCTATTATGTGCCAAACACTGTGCAAAGACGCTAGTGGAGGAACAAGACTAGGTCAAATAATCCTGGGTGCGCAAAGCTAAAATAGCTAGTCCCATAGAGACACTCAAGAAGACAACAAACGTGACTAATGGGGTGTGTTTGTGTTTAGGTTGTTAAACTTCCCTTGGTGTCTGGTAAGCACTCGTCACAGAGCAGCGTGCGGGGATTCCAGTCTTGGCAGCCTTAACAGAAACTACTGCCTAATCTGCCCCAGGCAGGAGCTGGGTGCTGGGTTGTGGGACACCCAATGCGTGCCTGTGAAGCAGAGGGCCTAGTCTGGGAATTGTGCCATGCTATGGCATATCGGGGGAACCTGCCCCCGATAATTCAATGTTATTTCATGTAGGTTCTTTTCTATTTCCCTAAGTGACGACCAGTCTGAGAAATAAAGGGAAAGAGTACAAAAGAGAGAAATTTTAAAGCTGGGTATCCGGGGGAGACATCACATGTCAGCAGCCACAAAACCAGCAAGTTTTTATTAGTGATTTTCAAAGGGGAGGGAGTGTACGAATAGGGTGTGGGTCACAGAGTTCACATGCTTCACAAGGTAATAAAATATTACAAGGCAAATGGAGGCAGGGTGAGATCACAGGACCAGGGCGAAATTAAAATTGCTAATGAAGTTTTGGGCACGCATTGTCATTGATAACAACTTATCAGGAGACAGGATTTGAAAGCAGACAACCGGTCTGACTAAAAATTTACTAGGTGGGAATTTCCTCGTCCTAATAGGCCTGGGAATGCTACGGGAGACCAAAGCTTATTTCATCCCTTATCTTCAACCGTAAAAGACAGACATTCCCAGAGCGGCCATTTTAGAGACTTACACCTGGGAATGCATTCTCTTTCTCAGGGCTGTTCCTTGCTGAGAAAAGAAATTCAGCAGTATTTCTCCTATTTGCTTTTGAAAGAAGAGAAATATGGCTCTGTTCTGCCCGGCTCTTAGGCAGCCAGACCTAACGGTTATCTCCCTTGTTCCCTGAACATCGCTGTTATCCTGTTCTTTTTTCAAGGTGCCCAGATTTCATATTGTTTAAACACACATGCTTATGAACAATTCATGCAGTTAATGCAATCATCACAGGGTCCTGAGGTGACATACATCCTCAGCTTACGAAGGTGACGGGATTAAGAAATTAAAGTAAAGACAGGTATAGGAAATCACAAGAGTATTGATTGGAGAAGTGATAAATGTCCATGAAATCTTCAAAATTTACGTTCAGAGATTGCAGTAAAGACAGGTGCAAGAAATTGTAAAAGTATTAATTTGGGGAACTAATAAATGTCCATAAAATCTTCAGAATTTATGTTCTTTTGCCATGGCTTCAGCCGGTCCCTCCGTTTGGGGTCTCTGACTTCCTGCAACATCTCTCCCTTTCTTTTTATATAAATGTGCCATGGCAATGAAGGCTTGTTCGTTCTCTCGATTTTGACGCAGGATTCTTTGACTGGTCTGGCATACTAAAGATAAGCTGATTAAACAGAGAAACATAATTCCAAAATTTGCTACAATCGAGCCCCCAATAGACTTAATCCAAGTTGTGGGGTTTAATCCAGAAAGATTTTCTGCCACCTGATCTAATGCCTCTGCTCCAGGCACAATGGATAAATGAGCTTGAGAGGCTTCAAAAGTTTGTTTCTTTAATTTAGTTATGTCCAGTGATAAATTATCTTCCCTACCTAGGAGGTGTCCTTTGACCATTTCCCATGAATGATCAGTCTAGTTATAGGAATACGGGGTGATACAGAAATCTGAAGTATTCCAATTGCACTGCATTTGCATGCAATGTTTGAGACTCACCACCCAATCTCCAAGCCAAATAACAGACTGTCTTAAATCATTAATTTGATTAGCCAATTTTTGATCAATGCCTTGTTGAGAATTCCACATTTGGGTGGAATTGGTTTGCCAATCATTAACAACATCAGCCGTTTGAATAGATTGGTGTAACGCCATTCCGGCAGTGGTGGCCAGTGCAGTGACTATAATTAGGCCCATGATCACAGCGATTAAAGTGAAAACAAATCTCTTAGATCTTTTTATAATTCGCTGTAACACTTCATTAATTAAATGTATTGAGGGGGAGGATTCCCAAGGTCTGGGCAAACTTACCGGAATCCAGATTCCTTCTTGAGCTTGAACCAACATTACACTTTTCCAGGAGTCAAAATAGGAGTTATTTCAAGTGTATAAATGACAATTAATGCATTGGACAGTTTGATTGTTTGTCCAAATTTTGATATTTCCCACTAACAGCATGTAAGGAGGCTTAACACAACTCTGTATGGGAACAGTCAGGTTGGATGTAAGTAAAATGGAATGTCTGGATCTACATTGATACTGAGGGAGAGGGACGGTATCGGAGACAACAGACAGAATAGTTTCCCCTTCCCATACTCGCAGTCCAATTTCCAAAGTCACAATAGCCAATTTCCAAAGTTCTGGATGTTCTGAGCTCAGAATGGAGAGTATCACACGAGGTCTCAGGGGGTAGGGGGGTGCGTAATGCCTTTATCTTCCCATTTTAAGGGAAAGAATGAACTGAACATCCTATGCAAAGTAGAATGATGATTCTCGTTCTCCCAATAAGAAATAAAATAAGCAGCCTCCAGGCATTCCCTTCCGCCAGAGGAGCAATTTTTTTTTGAATAGCCTTT
This sequence comes from Homo sapiens, assembly GCF_000001405.40. Classification (NCBI taxonomy): domain Eukaryota; kingdom Metazoa; phylum Chordata; class Mammalia; order Primates; family Hominidae; genus Homo; species Homo sapiens. The sequence continues at coordinate 15,065,316 of NC_000011.10, forward strand.
GGTGCCCAGTCTATTACTAAACCATATGAGTCATTTTTTAATATTACTGCATGTGAGTTAACACAATCTTCTCAAACTAAAGTTTTAGATGGGCCCTCAAAATTTTTAGGGCATGGTTTTCCTGCAGGTTTATATTGAAAGTATGGGGTATCTCCCATTACTTCCCCTTTCATTTGTTTTAAAGGAGAAAGGGAGAGGCTGGAGACCAAATGTCCCGGTTCCTCTGTAGCTGATCTCTCCGGAAGTTAAGCAGCCCAGACTTGAGTTTCTAGATGGATATAACCAGGTGCATGTCTGAGGCACAGAGGGCAGTATTTATAACTCATGATAACATTAAATGCAGTGCCTTCTTCTCCTGGTTGAGCAGGGCAATGATCATCTGTAGCTCCAGGCATCCACACACTATCTTTAGTGTAGATTTCTGCAGGAGCACCCATCCAGGTGAGAGGTCAAATAAGTGGAGGAAAAGACACATAAGCCCAGTAAGAATAATTTTGTGTAGCAGATAAATCAGTGTGAGAGGAAACTGGTGAGACAGAAAGTATAAGGAGGAGAATCATTAAATAAAACCTATTGTAGGTGAGATTCAGTGCAGAAGGAAGAAGAGAAGAACAGAGGGATGTTATTTTCAGGCTCACAGAAACGGTGAGATTTTTAGGTTTGTGAGCAGAAAAAGAAAGGTAATTAGAAGTGGGATTAGTTAGATGGGTCTCCATTGCCAACAGGGAGGATTGAATCAGATCCATTTTGATTTGGCGTGCCAGCTTCTGAGGAGTTGGCACAGATCTCACCACATCTGAGGGTGGTCTCTGACGCGGACATCTTTTCCCTGTGGTTTTCATTTGATGATCTCCTGGTGAAACACAAGCATGTCCTCTTTCCCATGTTAAGTAGAATCAGAGACAATATTTAAAGGTTTGGGGAAATCTTGTAAGGCAGTAATAACAGCACTTAACTCTGCCTTTTGAGCAGAGGTATAAGGGGTAGAAATAAGCTTGTTTGTAGGACCTATATAACCAGCATTTACCTTGCTGAAGCCATCAGTGAACACTGTAACAGCCTCAGGAATGGGCTGATCTTTGGTCAATCGAGGGACCACCCAAGAAGTCATTTTTATAAAATCAAACAGTTTGTTTTTTGGATAATGATTGTCAATAACACCAATAAAATTAATCAAGTGAACTTGCCATAGCACGGAATGTTGAAAGGCGATTTGAACTTTGAGCCGATTTAAAGGAACTACAATTAAATTCGGATCAAATCTGGAAATTTTAAGTATTCTACACCATGCCTGTCCAATTAAAATGGCCATTTGGTCCAGATAAACAGACAAAGTTTTTGACACAGAATGAGGAAGAAAGCACCAGTCTACTAAATCATTATGTTGAACTATTAGCCCAGTAGGGGAAAGAAATGAAGCGAAAACTAGAAGCTGAAAAGGCTGAGATGGCTGTACTGTAGATAACTGGGTGGTCTGGATTCTTTCCTCTGCGAATTCCAGTTTAGTGAAGCCTCAGGAGTCAAAGTCCTGGGACTGTGGAGATTGGAATCTCCCCGCAGCGTAGAAAACAAATTAGACAGTGCATAGGTTGGAATGCCTAAACTAGGTCTTAAATAATTAATGTTACCCAAAAGTTGTTGGAAGTCATTTTAAGTTTTCAAAGAATCTCTCCTCATTTGAACTTTTTGAAGTTGAATACATTGTCTATTGACCACCATTCCTAAATATTGAACAGGAGTGGTCTGTTGAATTTTATCCTGAGCGATGTGTAATCTATCCTCTGTAACACGGCGGCTCATAATTTGATAACAGTCAATTAATTCTTTATCATTGGGGGCAGCAATTAAAATATCATCAATATAACGAAGAATATAGGCCTGGGGAAATTGGGCTCGAACTGTTGAATGCACTTGCCCAACATAAAGCTGGCAGATTATAGGGCTATTTAGCATTCCGTGAGGAAGTACTTTCCATTGATAACAAGCTGCAGGCTCCTGATTATTGATAGATGGTACAGTAAAAGCAAATTTTTCACAATCTGATTTATGTAAAGGAATATGAAAAAACAATCTTTAAGATCAATAACTATGAGAGGCCAATTTTTAGGTATTAAAGCAGGGGCAGGCATGCCAGGTTGGACGGCCCCCATAGGTTTAATTACAGCATTAATGGCCCTTAAATCGGTTACCATCCGCCACTTGCCTGATTTCTTTTTTACTAGAAACACAGGAGAATTCCATGGGGAAAGAGAAGGTTCCACATTTCCAAGTTGTAACTGTTCAGAAACCAAGTGAGTTAAAGCCTCCAGTTTTTCTTTAGAAAGCAGCCACTGCTGAATCCAAATGGTGTGTCAGATTTCTATTGTAAAGGGATAGGATCAGGAGGCGTGGCAGTGGCCACCGTTAAAAACGATAACCTAAACCCGCCCTGTTTTCTTTTACAGTAACTGGGAGGGGTTTAGTAATCCCTTCATGTTTTGGACCGAGACTGAGTCCAGGAACAAACCCCATGTTTTCCATCATATGCTGACTTGGGAGCACTATAAGAGTTATGTGGAATATTAATTTAAGCCCCAGTATCTACTAGGCCCTCAAACTTTTTTACTTGAATGTGTATGGTGCAGGTGGGCCGTTGTTTAGAAATTACATTAATCCAATAAGCAGCTTTCTCCAGAGCCTATCCCAGGGCCACGTGTCTTATCTCCTTTGTTTAAAATGATATTAGGTAGTAAAAGCAATTGAACTTATTTAGCAGTAGTAAAAGAAACAGGAGCTTGGCCTGGGGCGCATAATTTATCCTAAGCTCTCATACACACCTTTGTTCCTTGTTTTGTGGTAAGAGCATCAAAGCCTAATTGGGCATAAGTATCAGAGAAACTATTGGAGCCTGTGAGCTGAGCCTGAGTAATTAGAATGCCATTAGTCCAATTTAGCTGAGCCTGTAGACCGGCCTCCTCTGCCCACCAGGCTGAGATGGGGTCAGAACAGCTTTTTGCCAAAAGATCCTAGTCTAAAGGAAGCAAAGTGACCTGTGTACAAAAAGTTTGTAATACCATTTTAACATAAGGAGAAGTAGGACCATACTGAGTACAAGCATCCTTAAGTTCTTTTAAAAAGATAAGATTACAAGGTACATAATGACACAGACGGGAATGACGGTGTGAGAAAGGGGCATTGAAGGAGCAGAAGAGGCAGAGATTACTGGCATCCATGTGTGAAGAAGGGTACAGAGAAGCAGGCTGGGTGGATGGCCAAGTGACTGGTTGAGGAACCGAAATGACAGGAGGGTGAGGGGCTGCAGTGGTTGGGGGAGGGCCTGGAGAATTATAGGTAAATTATAGGTTGGTCCTGGAGCCATTAGCTGATGCCAGAGGTTTGAAGAGAGAAGAATTAGCATATCTATGGTCCTGGGCTGTGTGAGTCAAGGCTGGGAGCTTCAAGTACCTGCTCTTGGTGAAAAGAAGTAAGATCAGTAGGGGGTAAATTTAAGCCAAAGTCACCGGAGTTAGATATTGAAGTCTCAGCATCATTAAATGGGAGAGGAACAGGCAAACGGAGAGGCTGATCAGATAATGAAAGCTGTGCAGGAGAGGAAAGTTGAGGAGGTATTAGGACGGCATGTACCAAGGCCCAATCACCCCAAACAGTGATGGGAACATAATTCTCTGTTGAGACAAGTTCCTGGAGTGTTGTACCAACAAGATCCTATACTTTTACATATATGTTTCCTTTTTCAGGAAACCAAGGACAGTATTTTTCCACCGCCCTGAATAGAGTGACCATATTTTCCATAGGCACTTGAACCTTTGCTGGTTTTAACAGGTCTACATCTAAGCTTCCTTTTTCAGGAAACCAAGGACAGTATTTTCCCACTGCCCTGAATAGAGTGACCATATTTTCCATGGGCACTTGAACCTTTCCCTGTTTTAACCGGAGTTTAATATAGAAGAGATAAGTATAATTTTTAGACTCCGTGTGACCCATAGTTAACCTGGACCATACACAGACTACTCACCAGTCGTCAGGGAGTCGAACAAGCATTTCTGTGGACCAAACCGATGACGTTTCTCTGCACCTACCAAAGGGAATCGGGTTCCCACATGCACTTGGGAAAAAGAAAAAACCATGTTGGTGGGCCAGATATCAGGAGAACCCACCCCAAATAATTCAATGTTATTTCATGTAGGTTCTTTTCTATTTCCCTAAGTGTTGGACGGTCTGAGAAATAAAGGGAAAGAGTACAAAAGAGAGAAATTTTAAAGCTGGGTATCCGGGGCACACATCACATGTCAGCAGGTTCCGTGATGCCCCCCAAGCCGCAAAACCAGCAAGTTTTTATTAGTGATTTTCAAAGGGGAGGGAGTGTACGAATAGGGTGTGGGTCACAGAGATCACATGCTTCACAAGGTAATAAAATATTACAAGGCAAATGGAGGCAGGGCAAGATCACAGGACCAGGGTGAAATTAAAATTGCTAATGAAGTTTTGGGCACGCATTGTCATTGATAACATCTTATCAGGAGACAGGGTTTGAAAGCAGACAATCGGTCTAACTAAAAATTTGCGAGGTGGGAATTTCCTTGTCCTAATAGGCCTGGGAACGCTACGGGAGACCGAGGCTTATTTCATCCCTTATCTTCAACCATAAAAGACAGACGTTCCCAGAGTGGCCATTTTAGAGACCTACCCCTGGGAATGCATTCTCTTCCTCAGGGCTGTTCCTTGCTGAGAAAAGAAATTCAGCAGTATTTCTCCTATTTGCTTTTGAAAGAAGAGAAATATGGCTCTGTTCCACCTGGCTCTCAGGCAGCCAAACCTAATGGTTATCTCCCTTGTTCCCTGAACATCGCTGTTATCCTGTTCTTTTTTCAAGGTGCCCAGATTTCATATTGTTTAAACACACATGCCTACGAACAATTTGTGCAGTTAATGCAATCATCACAGGGTCCTGAGGTGACATACATCCTCAGCTTACGAAGATGACAGGATGAAGAAATTAAAGTAAAGACAGGCATAGGAAATCACAAGAGTATTGATTGGGGAAGTGATAAATGTCCATGAAATCTTCAAAATTTATGTTCAGAGATTGCAGTAAAGACAGGCGTAAGAAATTATAAAAGTATTAATTGGGGGAACTAATAAATGTCCATGAAATCTTCAGAATTTATGTTCTTTTGCCATGGCTTCAGCTGGTCCCTCCGTTCAGGGTCCCTGACTTCCCACAACAATAGCAGTATGGCCATCTGTCCAAATACTTCAGAAAAGTCCTAGTGACACAGACCTGGCCTTTGGAGATAGTGCCAGCTTTTGAGTGCCAGTTCCAAAGGTTCAAATTTCCCTTCAGATAATATTTCTGGGCTTCTTGGGAGGCCAAACACCAATTATGACTCCTCTTGAGCTCCCAGCTTGCTTCCTGGGCCTTGTGCACCACTGATAACATAGACAGGCTGGGGAGCCCGCCACTCCAAGTTCTGGGGTCTTCCAGATTTTCTTTCCTACTCAGCTTCCTTTCCTCTCCTGCCAGGCTGGCCCAAGGGCCCTGCGAAGAGTGGTGCTTCCCAGAACTACTGGGCTACCAGTTCTGCCAGACCTCAGAGAGGGTGGTAGTGGCCGAGGAAGAAGTGGGGCAGAGGGCACAACCCTCATGCAGGTAGCACCTCCAAACTTTGCCTGTCCACTAGGCAGCCATTTATCTGGGCTGGAATCAGGGAGAGGGACACAGAAGTCTCCCCTAGAATTGCAGGGTTTTTGGAAAAAGGGCTCCCAAGTGAAGGCCGCCTTGGTGTCCCTCATTGTTTCCAAAAGCGAGCCCACCATCTAAAAATCTAAACAGTTGAACTCATGGACCTAGAGAGTAGAGATGGTTATCAGAGGCTGAGAAGGGTAATGGGTGGTGATGGTGGAGATGGGAATGGTTAAAGGGTACAAAAAAAATTGAATGAATAAGACCTACCATTTGCTAGCACAACAGGGTGACTATAGTCAATAATAACTTAATTGTACATTTAAAAATAACTAAAACAGTGTAATTGGATTGTTTGTAACACAAAGGATACATGCTTGAGGGGACAAATACCCTATTCTCCATGATGTGATTATTACATTGTATGCTTGTATCAAAACATCTCATGAACCCCATAAATGTATACACCTAGTATGAACTTACACAAATTAAAAATTAAAAAACAAAGCAGAACCAAAAACACAAAAGCGCATCCAACAGTCTAGACGTAGAGAACCTTCGCATACATAGAAATACTCCTTAGAGAGCTGCAGTTCCTGGTGTGGTACTACAAAGGTCCTGGAAGTCCTCCTGCCTTACTTCGAGTCCGCCACAGGCCGGAGCTACTTCTAGAACAGTTCTGACTGCCTTCCCAGGGGAGGGGGCGACTGCAGGTCACCCTGCCTCAGTGCACGCTGCGCATCTGAGTTGCAGGCCGGGCGGCAGTCACCCGAGTCAGCGGTCCCGATTCTTCGTGGGTGTTACCTGGAGTTTCCATTGCACGGGTGCTGGAGGCCAACCCGCCCTAGTCCCACCAGCTGGGTCCTGCCACAAGAAAAGGACCCAGAGGGCCTAGACAGATATCCCCTGAACTTTTTTCTGACCCGCAGAAACAGTGAGCATCACCTGCAGGGGTTCCGCCAGCCTCTGGCTTTGCTTCCTGCCCGGCAGCCTCCAGCAAGTTTTCCCGAATGCTCTCCAGGAGTGCAGTGGGCGCCGGCGGACTTATTTAGGGTCGCTGCTGCCAAGCGTCAGAGAGCGAACCGGAGGCCCGGGGCTGGGGGCTGTGGTGAGAGGCGCCCCTTTCTTTCTTGCCATCGCCCCTACCCCCAGCTCCTTCCTAGCCTATTCTGCCAAAGCTGGGATCTTCTCCTGGAACCCGGGAGCAAGAAGAGCTGGCAGTGCCGACTCCCAGAACCCGGCTTTCCTTCAGAAAAGATGGATAGGCCGAGTTTGTGTGCGTGGACGTGCATGTGTCGGTGTGCATGTTTAGGGGACAGTATGTACCCCCAATTGCATAAAACACGCCTGTTTTTGGAAACAGAAACACACGGGGTTGCTTTCGGGTATGGGTGTGGTTAGTTTGGGTTCCTGCGCACGCTCCCTTTTCGGAGCAGCTGGTGAGGGCGCATCTGTTCCAGTGAGTGCTGGCTGTCTGATGGACTGTCTGTGAATGCAGAAGGCAGAGCGTGTGGTGGGGGTCCTGCCATGTGAGTGATGATGCGCGCACTGGCTGGTCTGTAGTCGCGAGTGGAACTTGTGTGAAAATTCTCAGGCTGACTCTCGCGCTGCAGCACCTGCTCCCCTCCGTGGGTGGCAGCTGGACCCCAGCGCGCTCAGCTCTCAGGCGCTTCAGCGAAGTGGGGTAGGGGTGTGGAACGAGAGAGATAGAGACCCGGGCATAGACCATCTCCGCCAGGCAGCTTGGCAAACAGGTGGCAGAGTTGCAGGGCAGCTGTGTAAGCCAACTTCGGCGCAGCAGTGGAGGGTCCTGGCTTGGCGTGGGGGATGCTGGACCCGCGGTCGAGGATTTGGGGATATAGGGGAAGAGGGAGGAGGTGGATGCTGAGCCTTGTATGCAGGCTATGTCAGTTTAGCCCTCTCCCCAACCTCTCTTCGGCTCCTGCCCGTCCCAGAGGAGTGAGGTGGAGAAGGGCTGGCTGCCAGACTGGCACCAAAACAGCCTTCTTTGGGTGCCCAGGTTGCCAGGGCTCGAGGGGTCGGAGGATATCCAGGGAAGCACCCCAGGTGGTCCAAAAAGATCAAATTTTGAGGACCCCTCCCTCCCCTTTTCCCTCCCCCCCCCTCCTTCCCTGCCGTGGGCTCTTTCAGCTGTGGTCCCTTTAGAACCCAGGACTACTACTGCTCAACCTCGCTGGGGGTTCGGGTGGCTGGATTCGGGTCCCTCACTGGCGTGACAGGAGGGAGTGCGAGGCAGGAATTTAGGAGCCAAGGAGGTGAGAGCAGCTCTGGCCCCTCACTGTAGGTGACGCCAAACTCTCCTCGACTTGCCCCGACTCTTAGTTGAAAAATCTCTGTCCTCTCCCAGGCTCTCCAGCTTCCCAAGCAATGACCTCAATGAAAAAAATGACAGCGGGGCGGACTGCCCCCGCTCCAGAGTACCAGTGCCGGCAGTGCGAGCTATGACGCAATCGGAGCTCGGTCGGTCCTTTGATTGGCTAGTCCTGGCCACTTTGGATTGGCCGCGCGGGCTGGTGGGGACCCCCCCCCTCCAGCTATCTCTGTAATAAGAGCGGGGTCTCCGCGGGGAAGGCGCCCACAGCAGGTGTGGTGTTCATCCCGGGTCGACCGGCCGCTCGCGCTGCCCTGAAACTCTAGTCGCCAGGTGAGGAACTTCCCATTCCCCATTCCGCTCACTCGAATAACCTGCTTCTTCGACTAGTTCATCCAGTTTGCTCCATCTGCCTGTCTGCCTCTCCGCCGCCATCTGGTCCTACCTTACAGCGGTGGTCCTAGCTCTCTTCCAGGCCCCGTAGAAGGCGAGCGGTTAGGGTTGTCCTGGCAGTTTCTCCTACCAGTGCGAGAGGAGCCCAAGCATCCCCATGGCTCAGCGTGGGCGCTGGAAGCGCAGCGAGCGGAGGTAGGCGGGTCTGCAGCCCTGGCGTTGGGGCCTGGCTGAGCGCAGGATTCTGCAGAGTTGGGTCCGGGAGCGCCCTGCGCCGTCTTTGTCCTTCGGGAGCATGTTTCGTTCCCGGGAGGTCGGAACCCTGAGCTTTCCTCTGAGGCGCCTCCCTGGTGAGCCTTCCCGGGATTCCGGTCCGGATCTAAGGCAGTGTTGTTAGCGGACTAGAACCCTGGGCGCTCACCTCGCGGAGCTGCTGCTCAGCATCTGCTGCTAAAACGCGCTCCGGCAGAGGGCTGGCTTTGCGGGCGAGTCCTGAGACACCCGTAACTGGCACGTTAAAAATTTTTCCCAGTTCCAAGACTGAGAAATGAGCGCTCCTTTCCAATCCACCCTTCCCACCTTCCCCTCGCATGCGTTGGCGCGAAGCCCAGCAGAGGAGAAGGCGAGAAGGGGAGAGCAGGTCTACAGCAAGGTGCGTCCACGCCTGGTTTAGGCATAAATCAGGGCAGAAGTGTCTGTTTGTGTGCACGGGCGCGTGTGGCTTCTCCCTGGCCTTCAACAAAACAGAACCAAAATTCATCCTTTCTCTCCACCCTTCCCCTAGGACACCTTTTTCCGCTCTATCAAGCCATTCACTCACTGCAATGTGTCTCTTGAGATTCACAGCAGCCCTTCCTGCAAATGAAGGGAACAGAGGCTCAGGCAGCTGAAGTAACGTGCCTAAGGTCACATGGCAGTTGTGGCAGAGGCAGGACTGGAACCTAGATCTGTGCTGGTGCAGTAGTAACGTCATCCTTCCTTTACAGAGAGGCGGCATGGGTTTCCGGAAGTTCTCCCCCTTCCTGGCTCTCAGTATCTTGGTCCTGTACCAGGCGGGCAGCCTCCAGGCGGCGCCATTCAGGTGAGACAGCCTGGAGCCAGAGGCGCCTTCTGCTCCCACTGCCCCTAGGACCAGACAGCTCTGTGCCTCTGAAGTCACGCGTGGCTCCTGGTGAATCAGTGCCCACAGGTGGACCCTGGCCTCATGCCCGTCCCCTGGGAGTCGCGGTGGCCACATCCCCAGGGGAAGAAGCAGAGACCAGGAAGCCTGGCTGCCTATCCTGGGGAGGGTCAGTCAGGGGCTCACAGCCTGCAAGGAGTTTGCTTCCCTTCCACAGGTCTGCCCTGGAGAGCAGCCCAGACCCGGCCACACTCAGTAAAGAGGACGCGCGCCTCCTGCTGGCTGCACTGGTGCAGGACTATGTGCAGATGAAGGCCAGTGAGCTGAAGCAGGAGCAGGAGACACAGGGCTCCAGGTGAGGTTCCCCAAGCGCCCAGCACAGGGACTCCTCTCCCCGCAGCATACACAGGAAGGTGGATCCCAAGAGGCAGGAGAGAACACACTGGCAAGGGGTCCAGCAAGCTGATTTGTCCAGCAGGCTCCCTTTCTCAAGTTCCAAGGGAGACAGAGGTCCCAGTGCACCTGGAGGGACTGTGTGTGGTTAGACACAATAAAAAGCTCCGTTTCTGAAAGCTGTTAGAACATAGATGTAGAAGCTTTTTCTAGACATAGAAAAAACTCAATTTGTGAAAACTGATAGAAAATGAAATGGGGAGGTGTGGAATCGTTCACTGTGGAAATTGCTCTTGCAGTACTGGGAGATCTCCTAGCATTGGATGAGTTAAGACTGGTAAGGGTGAAGTCAGGAATAGACCCAATATCTCAGAAAGTTTTAGAAATTTCACATGTGCATGCCATTCTTTCATACCTGCAAGAAGCCTTCATTTCACATTTGCAAGGTGAAGATGAAGCCCTTGCAGGGGGTGGGGACAGAGCAGTGTCTGAGGTAGGTTTGAGCCTTTAGATGTGCAAGCTCTGTGGAGATGTGCATGTTGTCATGAGGCCAGGGAGAGCACCGTTTCCCAGACCCACATCCTTGTGCATGTTGAGCCTGAGCAGAGACCAACCCCTGGCCTGCTCCCAGCACTGCTGGGCAGAGGCATGTGTCACACCTACATTCACCCCGAGAACCTCTCTGTTGAGCATGAAGGGCTGAACATCATGGGAATACCAGAAAAGATCATCCTTCCTCATTCAGCCCTTCTCTACACTGCCCTGGCCCACTGACCCTCTCACCTCTCCTAATGGAGTGTGTGTGAGCTGCCCTCCTGCCTGCCCCACCTGCTCCCACTCGACATGTCCCCTGCCTGGTCCAACCTTCTGAGTGACTGCCCATGGGGACAGTCCCTAGTGCATGGTACTGTCTGGCATGTCCTTCCCTTGCAGCTTGAGCAGTCCTAGATTTAAGTAGCGTATAGTAATCTGAGTACCTGCTTGCAGGGCACATACTTGCAGTACCTGAAAAACTTTCATATGTTCCCTGGCATCAACTTCGGGCCTGAAATTCCTGGCAAGAATAGGGACATAGTCAACAGCTTGCAGAGGGACCACTACCCGACTCCAGGGTCCCCCAGATGGCAGCTGAACTTCTCTCAACTCTCCTGATTCCCCTTCTTGCTCCACTTTATGAACCTGATGCATGTGGATTCCTCTCTGATTTGTCTTCATGCTGGTATTGGTATTTTTGCTTATGACAGAGAATGTTTTGAAGACCTCAGGATGGAAGGGAAGACAGCAGGACTTACTGAACACATTAGAGATAAAAGAAAATAAGGGAAGCTTCTTGAGACTGTAGAGGGTGTTATGACAGAGGCATCCAATTTCTGCTTCTAAATGTACTACGATAAAATAAGCACGTCCTTAATGCCTTGGCATTAGATGAATCAATCTATTTTTCTAAAAGGAACTGAGCTGCGGTGCTCATTGCTCTGGTCCACATCCAGACTTGAGGGTGTCCAGTGCCTATGCTCAGAAGTAGCCTTAGCTTCAGGGTAGCTGGGTATGGGGCTTGGTGGGTCATCACTATGACCCAGCTCAAGCAGCAAGAACAGTGTGTGAAGGAGCTGGTAAGTACTTCTGGGAGAGGATGCTGCAAACCCTGTTCTCTGAGCTTCTTCTGAAGACTTTAGGGAATTTCATTTTCCTGTGGTAATGGGTAGTGTTGGTGCTTGTGGCTGGGGTATGGTCTCTGTATACTCCTCGTGTATCTTGGGGTGGGTCTGGGCCTCGTTGCCCACTTCCTCCTTGAATGGTAAGTGCAGGGTTTCAGCCTGTGCCCCGTGGCTTGGAATTGTTTTTTCTTCTTTCTTTTCATGATGGTCTTTGGGCAGAGCTCCTGGTGAAGACTGCCAGGCCATTTCCCCTAACAGCTTTGATAATTGCATTTTCGAGAAACACTTACTGTTAGGTGGTGTGTCGAAGTGTTGCAGTTCTCTTCATGAAGGCTCCTCCCCCAGCTTTTCACTCACAGGTCTTCTCTTCTTTCTCTATCTTGCAAATCAGCTCCGCTGCCCAGAAGAGAGCCTGCAACACTGCCACCTGTGTGACTCATCGGCTGGCAGGCTTGCTGAGCAGATCAGGGGGCATGGTGAAGAGCAACTTCGTGCCCACCAATGTGGGTTCCAAAGCCTTTGGCAGGCGCCGCAGGGACCTTCAAGCCTGAGCAGATGAATGACTCCAGGAAGAAGGTAACTACCCTAATGCTATGGGATAAGAGGGGGAAGGGACTTGGAGTTAAAACCTACATTTTGAAAACCTCTGCTCTGGTAGGTTCTTTAGGTTCCTTCTGTCCAGTTACATTGTTCCTCCTGAGGCAGTGAGTTCTTTCTAGAACCTAGCATGATGTCAGAATGACATCAGAGATGTAGTGTCATTTTTCTGATAAGGGAAATGGAAAGAAAATAAAAAGCTTGCTGGATTCAGAAAGGGAGAGGTCTGCAAACCTTAACCAGGGCCAGTCTTCATTCATTAGGCTGGTTTCAGAAAGGGCTCAACCCTTGACTACAGATTCAGGTGGATAAGCTGTAATCATAACCTACTACCAAGATTAATAGATGCAGTTGAATTATTTTAGTCTTCATTTGCCTTACAAGCCTGCTTACCTCTCATAACCATAATTCATAAATGCTGTTTAAAGAAACACTTCTGTAAATTAGTATTTTTTCAGTAATAATTGTGATTATTCATGACTTGTCTTCTACTTCTTTTTTTCTCTTCCTTCTCCTTTTCATCTTCTTCCTTTTTCTCTCCTTTGTCCTCCCCTTCTTCTCCCTCCTCTTCTTTTTTTCCCCTAATCTCAGGTTATCATGAAACTGAACTCACCATTTCTATTAATTTCTGTTGGTAAGAACTTGGTGAGAATGCCCCGTGGAAGATACACATGTTTGCATCCTAAGATACTGAAAAAAGGGCACCTTTGTCACTTGAAAGGAATGAAACTGAATGCAAAATAAGCTAATTCCATATTTGCTGTGCATCATTTTTATATTTAATTCTATGTCCAGTAAAAGTGATGGCATCTCTCATTGACTTATCTGGTAGCAAACTGGTTCTTTCGGAGCCATCCTGTTGATCATGCAGCTCCACCAAACCTTAGGGGGACGTGAAATCACTGCCTGTTGTGGTCTCCGAGGACACATGGTAATGGTGATGCTGTGCCTTGTTATCTAAGAACATGATTGTATAATTTGTTTAAGAAAATGTCAATATTGTGCCATTTGTGAACTTCATCAAGATTAAAAGCATATTTTGGGTACATTTGTTTCAAAACCTTGGTGATGCATTACAACTTGTTTTCTTATGTAATAATAATGATGATGATGATGATAATAATAAATATTTTTGAGTGCTTACTATGTATGGGCCAGATATTATTTTAAAACAGTGCTTTACACCTGTGAATTCATTTAATCTTCATGACAAAACCATGAAGTAGATGCTATTATTCATGTCCCTTCACCTCTGAGGAAACAGAGGCAGGGAGAAGTCCAAGGTCACACACAGATAGATAGAGGTAGACCCAGGTATTGGGTTCCAGGGCTTACAGTGGAAATCACTGCACTATAGGCCTTTCTACAGTGGCTCCTGATGTTTTTCAGAGACTTGTGAGCCATTCTTTGGCCTAGCTGCCTGATAAGGTAGACCCTCAGATTTTGGAGATGCATAACAAATTTTAAACATAAAAACAACCTAGTCTTTACAGAATATAATGAATTTTTTGTACCCATTTCTTGGCCTCAAAAATGATCAGTTGCCACTGTTGTTATGTCTGTATATCATCTATATCCCTTCCTCCAGTGTATTATCATGTCAATATATCCATAAGTAAATATTTCATCACGTATTTCCAAATGGGAAGGGCTTTTAAAATATAATCACAATTTCATTTAACAACTAAAATAAATTTACAATAATTTTAAAATTCTTTAATATTACACATCAGCCATGGTTCAAATTCTCTATGTATCATGTAATATAAATGATAAGATGGAGAATTTACATATATTTATATATATGTGAAACCAGGGCTCAAATTGAATCTTCACATTGCTGCTGGTTAATAATAAGTTTTAATTTAAGGCTCTTACAAATTAGAGGTTCCTCCCTCATCTATTTTCCCCCTTGCTGTTTATTTGTTGGAGAGACTAAGTTATTTATCCAATAAAGAGTTCTACATTCTGCATCCCTGTGGTGAGGTTTAACAGTTAAGTCCTGTGAATCAGCAATCGGATCTAGAGTGAGTGATTGGGAAAAGAAATAGGGGATGAGGCCAGAGAGTAGATGAAGGCGAAGACAGATCGTGTAGTACTTTGTAGGGCATAGGAAACACTGGCTTTTTATTAGTCAATCTCTAGTCAGGAAAACAGGAACTACCTGAGTAATTTTAACAGAAATAATTTTAAAAAGGAGTTGGCTAAATCAGTATTAGTGTAGTGACAAAGCGAAAGAAAAGGGTAGTTCAGAGATAGAAACCATAGGAAGAGGCCACCATCCTCGGGGCTATGGGAATAAAGAGAAGAAGGGAGGTAAGTAGGATCTAGAGCCTGCAGGAGGATTCTCAGACCACAAAGATGGGAAGCTGGCAGATGCTGGTATCTCTGAGGGGGTATCTCTTGTATCTCTGAGGCTATTCTAGAAGTAGGGAAAAACAAAACAAAAGTTAAAACTGGAAACAACCTCACTGACAGGGTAGAGCATCTCTGTGGGTGATGCCAGCAGAAATAGAAGTCGAAATTGGAAGGAACCTGTTTCTTTTTATTCCAGATGCCTCTTGTCTCCTCTTAGGACCTTCAATTAGCAGAGCCTAAAGGGGGTTCAGCTGACAGAGGAAAAGTTGGTTTGCAAAGTCCCAGCCCTAGTATTTCATAGTAAACATGTGATTTTAAATTTACATATAGAGAAGTTCATTTTTTGTGATATACCATTCTATGAGTTTGAAAAATACATTGTCATCCAATTACCATCACCATGGAGATATAAAGCAGTTCTATTCCTTCCCCAAATTCTTCCATGTTTCCCCTTTGCAGTCAATCACTCCTTCCACCCTCAGCCTCTGATCATGACTGTTCTGTTTTCTGTCCCTATAGTTTTGCCTTCCCGAGAATGTCATATGCATGTAGCTTTTTGGTCTATCTTTTACTCAGCAAAAGGCATTTGAGATTGATCCATGTCATTGGATATATCAATTACTTCCTTCTTTTTATTACTGTGTAGTATTACATTCTTGCATTGTGCCACAGTTGATTTATCAATTTACCCAAAGAAGGACACTTGGGTTGTTTCTCATTTGGAATTTATGAATGGAGGTGCTATAAACACTCATGGATAGATTTTTGTGTGAAGATGAGTGTAATGGGCTGAATAGGGCACCCAAAAGGTGTCCATGTCCTAATCACTGGAACCTATGTTTTTACCTTACTTGGAAAAAGGGTCTTTGCTAATGTAATTAAGAATCTTAAAATGAGATCATCCTGAATTATCCAGGTGTGTCCTAAATCCAATGACATATCCTTATAAGAGATTCACTCAGAAGACACATGTGGAGAAGGTGACATGACAGAGGCAAGGAGGCACAAGCCAAGGAAGTCTGTGTCTACCAGAAGCCAGAATCACAGAACAGTCTCTGGAAGAAGAGCAGCCCTGCTGACACCTAGAGTTTGGACTTCCAGCTTCCAGAACTGTGAGAGAATAATTTCTGTTGTTTTAAGCCACAAAGTTTGTGGTAATTTGTTATGACAGCCCTAGGAAACTAATACAATACATTTTCATTTATTTTGGGTAAATGCCTTGGAGTGGGATTGCTGGGTTATTTGGAAAGTGTGTATTTAACTCTGTAAGAAACTGCCAAACTATTTTCTGAAGTGACTGTACCACTTCGCCTTCTTGCCAGCCACATATGAGAGCTCTAGTATTTCCACAAATAGGTATGTAGCAGTATCTCATTGCTGTTTTAATTTGTATTTCCCCAATGACTAATGACGTTGAGCATCTATTTTACCATATGTTTATCACCTTTATTGAAGGGTCTGTTTAAATCTTCTGCTAAATTTTTGTTGGCTTGCTTGCTTTATTAGTGTTGAGTTTTTAGAGCTCTTTATATGTTGTGGATGCAAGATTGTTTTCAGATATATAGTTTGGAAACTTCCTTCCCCTGAATCTGCGGATTGCTTTTTCATTTTCTTAGCAGTGTCTCTCACAGAGAAAAAGTTGTAATTTGAATAAGATCCAATTCATCTTTTTTTTTCTTTTATGTATTGTGCTTTTAGTTCATGTCTAAGAACTCTTTGCCTAACTAAGGTCCCAAGGTCACAATAACCTTATTCTATACTTTCTTGTAAAAGTTTTATAGTTTTATATTTTATATGTAGATTAGTGATCTATTTTGAGTTAATTTTTGTATAAGGTGAGAGGTGTAGGTTGAAATTCATACCTGTGAATATAGATACCCAATTGTTTCAGTGCCATTTGTTAAAAAGACTGTTATTTCACCATTTAATTGCCCCTGCACCTTTGTCAAAAAGCAACTGATCATATTTGTGTGGGTATATTTCTGGGTTCTCAATTCTGTCTCATTGATTGATTTGACCATTCTTTTGCCAATGTCATACTGCCTTGATTAGTGTAGTGTTAAAGTGAATCTCAAAACCAGGTAATGTGGGTCTACCAACATTGTTCATTCTTGTTCAAAAAGATTTTAGCTACATCTAAAATATTTTCTACATCTTTTATACATTTTAGAATCAGTGTGTTACTATCTACAAAATTTCTGATGAGATTTTTAATGGGATTGTGTTAAATCAGTGGGTTAATTTTGGGAGAATTAGCATATTAATAATATTAAGTCGTTCAATTCATGAACACAATACATGTTTTCACTTATTTAGGTTTTCTCTGTTTTTTTTTTTTTAACAGTGTTCTCAGTTTTCAACAGAAATATTCTACACATATCTTGTTAGATTTTTAACTATTTTATTTTTTGGTGCTAATGTAAATGGTACTTAAACATTTTTGTTTTTAATTGTTCATTGCTAGTAGATAGAAATACAATATTTAAAATATTAACATTGTATTCTGTGACCTTGCTAAACTCAATTATTCATTCTATGAGGTTTTTTTTGTTGTTGTTTCTTTCAGGGTTTTCTATGTAGACAGTTACTTTTTCTTCTAGTAGAGTTAGTTTGAGTTCTCCCTTTTACATCAGCTTATCTTTCATTTCTTTTTCTTGACATATTACTCTGGCTATAACTTCCAGTATGATGTTGAATTGGAGTAATAAGTGCAGACATCCTACTCAATCGTTGTGGTGATATTAAAGAAAAGTCCATACATTCTTTGGTACTACTTCCTTTAAAATTGGGAGTCAACATCCCCTTCCCTTAAGTGTAAATTCTATTGACTGATTTGCTTCTAACAATAGAATGTGACAGAGGAGATGGTATGTGACATGTGCTTAGAGCAGCATATAAGGTATTATAATATCCTCCTTGCTTTCTTTCTTGGGTTACTTACTCTGGGGGAAGTCAGATGACTTGTGAAGACATTCAAGCACCTGTGAGAGGCCTACATAGCATGGAACTGAGGCGTCCTGACAATAGCCATGTGTGAGCAAAGTGGGGTTGCAATCAGCTTCGTTGGTGCCAGTTAAGCCTTCATATGACTGTAGCCCCAGTGGATACCCTGCCTGCAGCCTCATGAGAGACCTTGAACAAGCACCACCCAGCTAAGTCATTTCTAAATTCCTAACCCACAGAAACTATGACCAAAAAAAAATCGTTGTTTTAAGCCACTAAGCTTTGGGGTAGTTTGTTACATAGCAATAAATAATACAGTCTTTCAACATTAAACATATTAAGTATAAATTTTTTAATAGATGCTCTTCATCAGGTTAAGAACATTCCCTTTGATATCTAATTTGCTGAGAGTGTTTTTTTTATCATTATGGATTAATATGAGAACTTTTGTGGAAGCTAAATGATGAGAATACATGGACACACAGAGGGGAACAACACACACTGGGGCTTATTGGAGGGTGGAAGGTGGGAGGATAGAGAGAATCAGGAAAAATAACTAATGGATACTAGGTTTAATACCCAAGTGATGAAATAATCTATACAACAAACCCCCATGACACACAGTTATCTATGTAACAAACCTGCACATCCTGCACTTGTACCCCTGAACTTTAAAGTTAAAAAAAGAAAAAAAGGAAAAATTTCCAAGTGTTTTCCATGCATCTATTTATATAGTCATATTTTTTTTCTTTGGTTTGTTAATATGGTAAATTAATTGATTTAAAAATGTTGAAACAGCCTTGCATTTTCAGGACAAACTCCCCTTGGTTGTGATGTATTATTCTTTTTATATACTGCAGAAATCTACTTGCTAATAAATTTGTGGAAGAATATTTTGAGTTTATGTTCAAGGAGAGCATTAGTTTGTGCTTTTAATATTTTTGCTTTTAGGGTGTTAGGGTAGTGCTAGCCTCATAAAATTAGTTGGGAAGTATTCTCTTCTCTTGTTTTCAGGAAGATATTTTTTAGAATTGGTATTACTTCTTCCTTAAATGTTTGTAATAATTTACCAGTTAAGCCTCCTGGGCCTGGATTTTCCTTGTAGAAAAGTTTTCAACTATATATTAAATGTATTTAAAGCATATATAGGACCATTTTTATAATACCATTTAGGTTTTCCTTCCTGAGTGAGTTTTGGTAGTTTATGCCTTTCAAGGGATAGATTCATTTTTATCTAAGTTGATGACTTTATGGGCAGAATTATTCATAGTATTCCTTTATTATTGTTACTGTCTGTAGGGTCTGCAGTAATACCTTCTCTTTCATTAATGATATTGGTAGTTTGTCTTCTTTTTCTTTTTTTCTTGGTCATTCTGGCTAGAGGATATTATTTAATTATCTTTACAAAGATCAAGCTTTTGGTTTCATTGCTTTTCTTTGTTTTCTCTTTGTAATGTTATTGATTTCTGCTTTTATTATTATTATTCCTTTCTTCTTTTTTCTTTGGTTATTATATAAAAGTCTTTTTCCATTTTCTTAGGGGGAAAGCTTAGGTTGTTGATTTGAAACCTTTCTTTCTTTCCCTTAATATAAGTATTTAAAGTTATAAATTTCCTTCAAAGCATTGTTTTAACTATAAATTTTGTTATGTTACATTTTAATTTTTATTCAAGTCAAAATCTTTTCTAATTTATTTGAGAAATTTTTTTAATACATTGGTTTTTTAGAAATCTATCCTTAATTTCCAAATATTGCAGAAGTTTTCAATTTTCTGTCTTTGATTTACATTTTAATTCTGTGCATGATTTCAATTTTAAATATATATATATTTTAATTATTATTATTTCAATAGTTTTTGTGGAACTGGCGGTGTTTGGTTACGTGGATAAGTTCTTTAGGTATAATTTCTAAGATTTTGGTGCACCCATCACCCGAGCAGTGTACAGTGCACCCAATGCGTAGTCTTTTTTCCCAACCCCCCTTCTGCACTTTCCCCTAAGTCCCCAGAGTCCTTTATATCATTCTATGCCTTGCATCCTCATAGCTTAGCATTAATTTAAATTTACAAATTTTTAATTTAAATTTTTGGCAATCAAATGTATTAATATTTTCCTTTATAATTTCTTTCTTTTTTATCCTCAAAAACAGCTTCCCCCATGTGCAACTACACCAAGCTTTTATTTATATGTGCCTTAACTCCATGAATGGCAAAATTGTCAGAGACGGTTTTTCAGGCATATTATACTTATAATCCAACTGGAACTTACTTTGTTGTGTGGGAATCAGAATATTGTCTGCAACTTTTGATTAAGCTAAGCATATGAAGATGCAAAGGCATAAACATCATAGCATAGCGCTTGGTTAAGGAATAGCCATACTTTAAAAAATTTTAATTATGGCCATTTTTTAATAAAAAAATTGGCTGGGCATGGTGGCTTACACCTGTAATCCCAGCACTTTGGGAGGCCGAGGTAGGCGGATCACCTGAGGTTGGGAGTTCGAGACTAGCCTGACCAACATGGAGAAACCCTGTCTCCACTAAAAATATAAAATTAGCTGGGCATGGTGGCTCATGCCTGTAATCCCAGCTACTTGAGAGACTGAAGCAGAAGAATTGCTTGAACCCGGGAGGCAGAGGTTGCAGTGAGCCAAGATCATGCCATTGCACTCCAGGCTGGGCAACAAGAGCGAAACTCCGTCTCAAAAAAAAAAAAGGAAAAAAAAGAAAAAGAAAAAACTGATGGATGTGGTGAAAAGGGTACACTTTTACACTGTTGGTGGGAATGTAAACAAGTGAGACCGCTATGGAAAACAATGTGGAGATTCCTTAAAGAACTAAAAATAGATCTGTCATTTGATCCAGCAATCTTACTCCTGGGTATCTACCCATAGGAAAAAAAGTCATTATATGAAAAAAGATGCTTGCACACACATGTTTATATTATAGCAGCACAATTCACAATTGTAAATATATGGAACCAGCCCAAATGCCCATTAATCAACAAGTGGATAAAGAAAATGTGGTGTATATATATACCATGAAATACTGCTCAGCCATAAAAAGGAACGAAATAATGGCATTTGCAGCAAGCTGGATGGAATTGGAAATCATCATTCTAAGTGTAGTAACTCAGGAATGGAAAACCAAACATTGCATGTTCTCACTCATAAGTGGGAGCTAAGCTATGAGGATGCAAAGACATACGAATCATTCAATAAACTCTGGGTACTTGGGGAAAAGGGCGGGAGGGGAGTGAGGTATAAAAGAGTACACATTGGGTACAGTGTACACTGCTTGGGTGATGAGTGCACCAAAATCTCAGAAGTCACCACTAAATAACTTATTCTTGTAACCAAAAATCACCTGTTTCCCGAAAAGCTATTGAAAAGAAAAAAAAGAGCTGGGTGGCTACGGTAATATTAGACACAAAAGACTTTAAACAAAAAATTATACAAGAGATAAAGAGGACATTTTATAATGATAAAAGGGATGACCACTAAGAAGGTATAACAATAATAAACATATATTAACCTGAAAGCAGAACTCCAAAATTCATGAAGTGAAAACTAACAGAATTGAAGCCAGAAGTAGGCCATTTGGAAAAAAAAAAAAAAAAGATTAATCATGGGCATTCTTGCAGAAGTGAGGTGATAACCGCATTGTGATTTTGATTTGCATTTCCCTGATAATTAGTGATGTTGAACATTTATTCATATGTTTATTGGCCACTTGTATAACTTCTTTCTTGCTGTTTTGTTTGAATTCCTTGTAGATTCTGGGTGCTAGTCCTTTGCCGGATGCATAGTTTGTGAATATTTTCACTCACTCTGTGGATTGTGTTTACTCTGCTGATTATTTCTTTTGCTGTGAAGCTTTTTAGTTTAAGTCCCATCTATTTATTTTTGTTTTTGTTGCATTTCCTTATAGGTCCTTGGTCATGTACTATTTGTCTAGGCCAATGTCTAGAAGAGTTTTTCTGATGTTATCTTCTAGAATTTCAATGCTTTCAGATCTTAGATTTAAGTCTTTGATCCATCTTGAGTGGATTTTTTTACAAGGTAAGAGATGAGGATCCAGTTTCATTCCTCTACATGTGACTTGCCAATTATCCCAGCACCATTTGTTGAGTATGGGATCCTTTCCCCACCTTATGTTTTTGTTTGCTTTGTCGAAGATCAGTTGGCTGTATTTGGCTTTATTTCTGAGTTCTCTTTTCTGTTCCATTGGTCTATGTGTCTGTTTTTGTACCAGTACCACGCTGTTTTGGTAACTATAGCCTTGTAGTATAGTTTGAAATCAGGCAATATGATGCTTCCAGATTTGTTCGTTTTGCTTAGTCTTGCTTTGGCTATGTGGGCTCTTTACTGTTCCATATGAATTTTAGGATTGTTTTTTTCTAGTTCTGTGAAGGATGATGATGGTATTTTGGTAGGAATTGCACTGAATTTATAGATTGCTTTTGGCAGTATGGTCATTTTCACAATATTGATTCTGCCCATCCATGAGCATGGGATGTGTTTTCATTGGTTTGTGTTGTCTATGATTTCTTTCAGCAGTGTTTTGTAGTTTTCCTTGTAGAGATCATTTGCCTCTTTGGTTAGGTATATTCCTAAGGTTTTTTTTTTTCCTTCTTTCTTTCTTTCTTTTTTTTTTGCAGCTGTTGCAAAAGTGGTTGAGTTATTGTTTGATTGTCAGCTTAGTAGCTATTGGTGTATAGCCGTGCTAGTGATTTGTGTACATTAATTTGTATCCTGAAACTTTACTGAATTCATTTATCAGATTTAGGAGCTTTTTGGATGATTCTTTAGGGTTTTCTAGGTATATGATCATATTATTGGCAAACAGAGACATTTTGACTTCCTCTTTACCAATTTGGATGTCCTTTATTTCTTTCTCTTATCTGATTGCTGTGGCTAGGACTCCCAGTGCTATGTTGAATAAGTGATGAAAGTGGGCATCCTTGTCTTGTTCCAGTTTTTAGGGGAAATGCTTTCAACTTTTCCCCATTCACTATAATGTTGGCTGTGGGTTTGACATAGATGCCTTTTATTACCTTAAAGTGTGTCCCCTCTATGCCAATTTTGCTGAGGGTTTTAGTCATAAGGGGATGCTGGATTTTGTTATACGCTTGTTCTGCATCTATTGAGAAAATCATATGCTTTTTGTTTTTACTTCTGCTTATGCAGTGCATCACATTTTTTGACTTGCGTATGTTAAACCAACCTTGCATCCCTGGTATGAAACCTACTTGATCATGATGTACTATATTTTTGATATGCTGTTGAATTTGGTTAGCTAGTATTTTGTTGAAATTTTTTGCATCTATAGTCAGCAGAGATACTGATCTGTAGTTTTCTTTTTCCTTTTTTTGTTATGTCTTTTCCTGGCTTTGGTATTAGGGTAATACTGGCTTCACAGAATGATTTAGGGAGGATTCCCTCTTTCTCTATTTTTTGGAATAGTTTCAATAGAATTGGTATCAATTCTTTGAATGTCTGACAGAATTCAGCTGTGAATCCATCTGGTCCTGGGCTTTTTTTTGGTTGGTAATTTTTTTTTTTTAATTGCTGTTTCAGTCTCACTACTTACTGTTGGTCTGTTCAGAGTTTCTATTTCTTCCTGGTTTAACCTAAGAGGCTTGTATATTTCCAGGAATTTATTCATTTCCTCTAGGTTTCCTAGTTTGTGTGAATAAGGGTATTCACAGTAGCCTTGAATGATCTTTTGTATTTCTCTGGTATCATTTGTAATATCTCCCATTTCGTTTCTAATTGAACTTATTTGGATCTTCTCTCTTCTTTTCTTGGCTAATCTCACCAATAGTCTATTGATTTAATCTTTCCAAAGAATCAGCTTTTTTTAAATTTATCTTTTGTATTTTTTTGTTTCAATTTCATTTAGTTCTGCTCTGATCTTTACTATTTCTTTTCTTCTGCTGGGTTTGGGTTTGATTTGTTCTTATTTCGCTGGTTCCTTGAGGCATGACCTTAGATTTTCTATTTGTGCTTTTTCAGACTTTTTGATGTAGCCATTTAATGCTATGAACTTTCCTCTTAGCCTGCTTTTGCTGTATCCCAGAGGTTTTGTTAGGTTTTGTCACTATTATCATTCAGTTCAAGAATTTTTAAATTTCCATCTTGATTTCACTGTTGACTCAATGATTATGCAGGAGCAGATTATTTAATTTCCATGTATTTGTATAATTTTGAGGTTCCTTTTGGAGTTAATTTCCAATTTTATTTCTCTGTGGTCTGAGAGAGTACTTGATATAATTTCAATTTTCTTAAATTTATTAAGACTTGTTTTGTAGCCTATCATATGGTCTATATTGGAGAATGTTCCATGTCCTGATGAAAAGAATGTATATCCTGCAGTTGTCAGGTAGAATGTTCTGTAAATATCTGTTAAGTCCGTTCATTCTAGGGTATAGTTTAAATTATTGTTTCTTTGTTGACCATTCTGTCTTGCTGACCTGTCTAGTGCTATCAGTGGAGTATTGAAGTCCTCCATTATTATTGTGTTGCCGTCTATCTAATTTCTTAGGTCTAGCAGTAATTGTTTTATAAGTTTGGGAGCTCCAGTGTTAGGTCCATATATTAGATTATCTTTTTATTAAAGAGTTATGAGAGTTCTTTATATATTTTGGATACTAAACTCCTATTAAATAAATGATTTGCAAAGTTTTTCCCATTCCGTGGGCTATTTTTTTGCCCTCTTTTAAAGCACAAAGGTTTCAATACTGATGAAGTTTACTTTATGTATATTTATTTACTTATATATATTTTTTGAGGATTTGCTTGTGTTTTAGTATATATAAGAATCCACTGTAGGCTGGGCGCGGTGGCTCACGCCTGTAATCCCAGCACTTTTGGAGGCCGAGGTGGCCGGATCACGAGGTCAGGAGATTGAGACCATCCTGGCTAACACAGTGGAACCCCGTCTCTACTAAAAAATGCAAAAAATTAGCCAGGCGTGCTGGCGGGTGCCTGTAGTCCAAGCTACTCGGGAAGCTGAGGCGTGAAAATGGCATGAACCCAGGAGGTGGAGCTTGCAGTGAGCCGAGATCGTGCCACTGCACTCCAGCCTGGGCGGCAGAGCGAGACTCGTCTCAAAAAAAAAAAAAAAGAATCCATTGACTAATTTAAAGCCACAAAGATTTATCTATGTTTTCTTCTAAGAGCGTCATAGTTTTAGCTCTTACATTTAGATCTCTGATCCATTTTGAATTGATTTTTGTATATAGAGTGAGGTAGGGGTACAAATTCTTTTGTTTTTCATGTGGAAATCCATTTGTCCCAGCACAACTTACTGAAAATATGATTCTTTCCTGCATTGAATTGTCATGGAATCTTTGTTGAAAATCAGTTGACCATAGATGGTTAGGTTTATTTCTGGACTCTCAATTTAGGTATTATTTCAATGATATGTATATCGATCTTTTGGCATTAATACACATTTTAAAGAATACTGTAACATTGCAGTAAGTTTTGAAGTTGGGAAGTGTGAGTTCTCCAAGTTTACTTATTTTTCAAAATTATCTTGGCTATCCTGGATTTCTTGCATTTTTGTATTAATTTTAGGATAAGCTTGTCTGTTTCTGCAAAAGGGTAGCTAGAATTTTGATAGGGATTGTGTTGAATACATAGGTCAGTTTAAGGAGTATTGCCATCTTAACAATATTACATTGTCCAATTCGTGAACACAGGATGTCTCATTCATATCATGAATTGTTTTTCTGATTTCATTCTGCTTTCATTGAATTGCCTGTCTGTATTTTATTGTATCTTGTTGAGTACCCTTAAGATAACTATTTTGAGTTTCTTTTTCAGCAATTTGTTGATTTTTTTTTCATTGAGGTCTGTTACTAGGGAATGATTATATTCATTCAGTGGTGTCATATTTCCTTGCTTTTTCATTTTGTTGTTGTTGTGGTGGTGGTGGTGTGTGTATGTGTGTGTGTCCCCACATTGATGTCTGTGTATGTGGTGGAACAACTGCCTGTTTCAAACTTTCTAGAGTGTCTTTCACAGAGAAGAGCTTTCACCTACAGTTGGATCTTTGTGTGCAATTTGGAAGGATGTGGTGACTATTTCCAGGTGAGTGCAAAGGTATAGTCTTAGTGCAGCTTCTTTGGCTGCATTCAGCATCGGCAGTAACTGTGAGTGCCTCAGTGGCTTAGGCTATAAAAGTTTGTTGTATCTGAGGTGGCAGCATAGGTTGTTAACATCCTCAGGGACAAGGGATTTTGAGGTCCTCCTATTCTTGTTTTTCCTACAATGGGAAAAACATAGGTGACAGGATCCCTTGTGGTGTCAGGTCTGACATGTCCTATAAGCTGCTGCAGTGGTGCTGGATTCCAGGTACAGGTGCTCAGATTGGCTGTGAGGCTAGGGTCATAGGCTCAGTGTCTCCCAAACCTCTTGTGGCATCTGGATCTTAGGGTGCAAGTTCACTCTCTGTGGATACATGTTGCTCATAGAACCAGGATCTTAGGCCCTGAGGCAACTCCTAGCAACTCTGGTCTAAGAGATAAGGTTGTAGCTGTAAGTTTACCCTTAGGGGGCAGGGCACAGACCAGGCCCAACTCTAGGAAAGAAGGTGTGCTCTAGAGGCTTGAGCCCAAGGCAAATGGTACAGCTGCCATGCAGGAGCCTGAACCAATAAGGTTCAGTGACAACTCAGCTCCCTGGGGATGAAACACCATATAGTGGTGATTCTATACTCTGGGGATGGTAGGGCTTGGTAGTATCCCTGACTCTGTGAAGCCAGATGCACTGGCAGCAAGTACCCCAGAAGGGCCAAGCAAAGCTGTTATTTTGGCCTTAGGAGACAGGGAAAAGCACAGCAATGACTGTACTCTCCAGGGAGAGGGGTGTCTCAGCAGCTCAGACTCTAGGGAAGTAATCCAGTTCCATTACTAGAGTTGTTTGGCCTGTAGGGTGAGGTGTCTCAGCTCAGTCATTGCTCTGTTTCCCTGCAATGCAGAGTGCTATACCAGCTCAGTTTTGGACTACACAGCTGCTCAGCTTGACAAAGACACCAATTCCCCAGGGGACGAAGTGCCATTTCAGCTCAGGCCCTGGGGCCTTGAGTGTTCTAGGCAGCCCAGGCACCATTTTTCTGTTATGTAGGGCTCCATCAAAGCACTATGTCCCTGGCAGATAATGTGTAGTTTTAGTTTAGGCCCTAGAGGCAGGGTGCAGCCACTGTTGACAGAGGTAGATGAAGCTGTTCTGTCAAAGCATCATTTTCCAGGCGGGAGTGTGCAGCTTCACCTCTTGCCTGAGGTAGCCAGTTTGGGGATGCGGGGGTAGGTGGAGCAGTTTCATCACTGCTTGGTACCACCAAGAAGAGTGTGACAGTTGCCTGAAGCTTGGTTTGGGGATGCTGAGCCATCAGGTATGGGTGGTTTAATTGTAGTTTAGGCTCAGGGATAAGGGGTGCTGTGGCTACTCACCGCCAGAGCAATATTCTCCAGCATTAGTTCCCTTTTCAAAATGACATAGGGCAGTAGCTGCATGGGCCACAGGGGCAAGGCACAGTGTCAGCTCTTTCTAGGGGGAGTACAGCCGTGTGGACTCTAGGTAGATAGCTCCCTCCGGCAGGCTTAGTGTCTGTGAGGACTGCAGGAGACCCCAGTGGACTGTAGCTATCTGAGGTGGTGTTGATGGGGGATGCTGGGGTCCTCTTGCCTACCTTTTCATTGTAGGGAGAATTTCCTCCTGGTTTTCGACTGATCCTGGGGGTGGGGGTGTGGAATGGTGGAGGCCTGGCATTTTTTTAATTTTATTTTTATTTTTATTTTATTTTGAGACAGGGTCTCACTCTGTTGCCCAGGCTGGAGTGCAGTGGCCCAATATTAGCTCATTGCAACCTCCGCCTCCTGGGTTCAAGCAATTCTTGCGCCTCAGCCTCCTGAGTAGCTAGGATTACAGGCACGTGCCACCACACCCTGCTAATTTTTGTATTTTCAGTAGAGATGTGGTTTCACCATGTTGGCCAGGCTTGTCTTGAACTCCTGGGCTCAAATGATCCATCTGCCTTGGCCTCCCAAAGTGCTGGGATTACAGGTGTGAGCCAATGTGCCCGGCCATTTCCTTCCATTCTTTATATGGCTATCCTGAGTTTTTGTGCTCAGTAGGGTTTCTGTTCCTTTTTTGATGTACTCTGGCATTTACCTTTTGTTATTTTTGTTAAAAGGTAGTTTTTTATTTATTGTTTTGGCTGTCTTTTTTGGAGGAATGAGTGCTAGTGGCACCTAGTTGGCCATCTTGCTGACATCATCTCCAGGATGTCTTTTTACCAGTTAGATTTTCTTTATTTTTATATTTTTAGTTCCTCAGCATTTGTTTGGGAAAGTCTCTATTTCTCCTGCATGTTTGAAGGAGATTTTCACTGCATATAATGTTCTTGGATAAACAATTTTTTTCCTTCAGTACTTTATTTATTATTTTTTTAAAATAAAAAGTATAAACTTTATTTCTCAACATAAGCTCCATGAAAGGCAAGAGACTTGGTAGGCCATGATTCCAGCCATTTAGTCCATCCTCAAGAACTGAGGGTCCTGAGAATTTAACCATGTCAATGAAGTCTTTTTTTACATTATTAACTGAAAAAAATAGTGCTCTTTAAAGACGTTTTTAAGGTTAGAGAAGAAAAATAAGTCAGAAGGAGCCAAATCAGGATTGCAAGGTGGATACCTAATGATTTCCCAGCAAAATTCTCACAAAATTGTCCTTGTTTGATGACAGGAGTGAGGAAGAGCATTGTCATGGTAGAGACGGACTTTGTGGTGAAGCTCTTGTGGGTGTTTTTCAGCTGAAGTTTTGACTAACTTCCTTAAAACACTCTTGTAATGAGCAGATGTTCTTGTTCTTTCACCCTCCAGAAATCAATGAGCAAAATGCCTTGAGCATCGCCAAAAGCTATTGCCATGATCTTTGCCCTTGACTGGTCCACATGTGCCTTGACTAGCCCACTTCCAATTCTTGGTAGCCATTGCTTTGATTGTGTTTGTCTTCAGGATCATACTGGTAAAGCCATGTTTCATCTCCTGTTACAATTCTTTAAAAAATGCTTCAGGATTTTGATCCCACTTGCTTAAAATTTCCATCGAAAGCTCCGCTCCTGTCTGCAGCTGATTTGGGCACAATGGTTTTGGCACTCATTTAGTGAAAAGTGTGCTTAACTTCAATATTTTATTCAGCATCATATAAGCTGAACCAATTGAGATTTCCATGGTATTGGCTATTGTTTCTGCTGTTAATCATTGGTCCTTTTCAATTAGGGCACTGATAAAATTAATTTTTTCCTCACAAATTGATGTGGATGGCCTGCCACTGAGGGCTTCATCTTCAACATTGTCCTTTCCCTACTTAAAACAAGTTATCAGTTTGTAAACTGCTGATTTCTTTGGGGACATTGTTCCCATAAGCTTTTCGTAAAGCAACAGTGATTTCACCTTTCTTCCATCCAAGTTTCACCATAAATTTGATATTAGTTCTTGCTTCAATTTTAGCAGAACTCATATTTCTCTTACAGGGGCTCTTTTCAAACTGATGTCTTATCCTTCCTTTATGCCTCGAACTAGATCCTGTTCAGACATGTCACAACAAATGAGTACAAGTTTATTTTAGTGCAAAAATTTTTGAAGTTGATGTGTAGTTTTTTTTTTGGTTGTTTAAAAATTCAAGTTTATTTCTTTTTTTTTTTTTTTAAACTTTTATTTTATGTTCAGGGGTACCTGTGAAGATTTGTTACATAGGTAAATTCATGTCATGGGGGTTTGTTGTACAGATTATTTAGTCACCCAGGAAGTAAGCCCGGTACCCAATAATTATCTTTTCTGCTCCTCTCCCCTCTTCCACCCTTTACCCTCAAATAGACTCAAGTATCTGTTGTTTTCTTCTTTGTGTTAATAAGTTATCATCATTTAGCTCCCATTTATAAATGAGAACATGTGGTACTTGGTTTTCTGTTCCCATGTTAGTTTGCTGCAGCTCTATCCATATTCCCACAAAAGACATGATTTCATTCTTTTTATGCCTGCATACTATTCCATAGTGTATATGTACTACATTTTCTTTATCCAGTTTGTCACTGATGGGCATTAAGTTGATTTCATGCCTTTGCTATTGTGTATAGTGCCAAAATGAACATTCATGTGCATGTGTCTTTGTGATAGAGTGATGAAGTATGTCATGTCACTCTCTTCTGGCCTGTAAGGTTTCCACTGAGAGGTCTGCCAGATGTATTGGGACGCCTTTGTATATTATTTGTTTCCTTTCTCTTGCCACTTTTAGGACCCTTTCTTTATCCTTGATCTTTGGGAGTTTGTTTGTTAAATGTCTTGAGATATTCTTTTTTGGGTTAAATATGCTTGGTGTTCTATACCCTTCTTGTACTTGAATATTGACAACTTTTTCAGTATTGGGAGGTTTGGGAAGTTCTCTGATATTTTCCCTTTGAATAAATTTTCTACACCAACCTCTCTCTCTCTACTCCCTCTTTAAGACCAATAACTCTTAGATTTGCCCCTTTGAGACCATCTTCTAGATCTTATAGTTTTGTTTCATACTTTTTAATTATTTTTTCTTTTGTCTCCTCTGACTGTATATTTTCAAATAGCCTGTCTTCAAGCTCACTAATTCTTTCTTCTGCTTGGCCAATTCTGCTGTTAAGAGATTCTGATGCGGAAGGGGAACATCACACACCGGGGACTGTTGTGGGGTGGGGGGAGGGGGGAGGGATAGCATTAGGAGATATACCTAATGCTAAATGACGAGTTAATGGGTGCAGCACACCAACATGGCACATGTATACATATGTAACAAACCTGCACGTTGTGCAGATGTATCCTAAAACTTAAAGTATAATAATAATAAAATTAAAAAAAAAGAGATTCTGATGCATTCTTCAATATGTCAATTGCATTTATCAGCTCCAGGAATTCTTCTTGATTCTTTTAAATTATTTCAATCTCTTTGTTATGTTTATCTGATAGAATTCTGAATTTCTTTTCATGTTATTTTGGATTTTGTTGAGCTTCCTCAAAACAGCTCCTTTGAATTTTCTGTCTGAAAGGTCACATATCTCTGTCTTTCTGGGATTGGTCATTGGTGACTAATTCAGTTGATTTGGTAAGGTCATGTTTTCCTGGATGGTCTTGATGCTTGTGGATATTC
Source organism: Homo sapiens (assembly GCF_000001405.40). NCBI lineage: Eukaryota > Metazoa > Chordata > Mammalia > Primates > Hominidae > Homo > Homo sapiens. Next base: position 15,095,978 of record NC_000011.10, read on the forward strand.
ACTGGTATCTGGGCATTGAAGACTTTGTAGTTGTTATAGTTTTCGCAGTCTGGGCTTGTTTGAACCTGTCCTTCTCTGGAAGGCTTTCCAAGTATTTGAAGGGACTTGAGTGCTGTGATCTAAGTCTTTGGTCATTGCAGCCATATCTGCATTACGGGGCACCCCAAGCCCAGTAATCTGTGACTCTTCCAGTCTCATAGAGGTACTGCCTTAGTGGTCTAAATAAGATCTGGAAGAATTCTCTGGGTTACCAGGCAGAGACTCTTGTTATCTTCCCTTACTTTCCCCCAAGGAAATGGAGTCTGTTTCTCTGAACTGAGCTGCCTGGAGCTGTGGGAAGGGTGACATAAGCACCTCCGTGGTCACCACCACTGGAACTGCACTTGGTCAGATACAAAGCCGGTACAGCTCTGTCTTACCTAAGGCCCACAGTGACCATTGTCTAGCTACTGCCTATGTTCCTTCAAGGCTCAAGGGCTCTATAATCAGCAGGTGGTGAATCCAACCAGGCTTGTGTCCTTTCATTCATGGTGGCAAACTCTCCCCTGCCCTAGGCAGTTCCGGAGATGTCATCTAGGAGCCAGGGTCTGGATTCAGGAATCTTAGAAATCTATCTGTTGCTGTATTCTACTGTGGCAGAGCTGGAACACAAGCCACAGACAAAATCCTTCCCAACTTTTCCTTTCCCTTACCTCAAGCAAAGGAGTCTTTCCCCATGGTCACCACTGCTCCAGGCTCATGGTGAGTACTACCTGGTTACTGCTGATGTTCACTCAAGGACCAAGGTCTCTTTAGTCAGCTTGCGGTGAATGTCACCAGCCCCAAGTCTCTCCCTTCAGGGACATGGGCTCCCATCTTGCCCAGGCCAGCTGCAGAAATGCCATCCAGGAGCCAATGCCTAGAATTGTGGACCCCAGCAGCCCAGTTGGTGCTCTACCCCATGGTGGCTGAGCTGGTACCCAAGCTGCAAGACAATCTCCCCTTTACTCTTCCATCCCCTTTCCTCAAACATTAGCCTCTCTTCACAGCCACAATAGCTGGGAATGTGCTGGGTCTCACCTGAAGCCAGTATAACACTGGGTCTTACCCAAGGCCTATGATGTACTACCTGGATATCACTGCTGGTTATTTAGGACCCAAGGACTCTTTAGCCAGCATGTGATGGATCTTGCCAGGACTAGGTCTTTCCCTTCAAGACAACAGATTCCCTTCTGGCCCAGGGTGTGTCTAGAAACGTCATCCATGAGCTAGGACCTGGAATGGAGGCCTTAGGACTCTTCCTGGTGCCCTATTCTGCTGTGGCTGAGCTGGCATCCAATTTGCAAGACAAAGTCCTCTTTACCCTCACCTCTCCTCTCCTTGAGAAGGAAGGAGTTTCTTTTGAAGCTGTGAACTGCACTGTCTGAGGTTGGGGGAGGGTGGTGCAAGCACTCCATCGATTGCTCCAGCTGGTGTCTCCCTAGTTTGCATACACCTGAAATCCATTGGCTCTGAGTCCAGCCCAGCACCAGGACTTTCCCAGGAATTGTAGTCCTTGTGGCCTAGACCAACTTTCAAGTTTATTTGGAACCCCAGAGTACTTTATCCTGTGGTGATGAGACTTGCCAGAGCTCAGGTTCTGACCACAGGGATGGATGATTCACCTTTGGCTAAGGCTGGTCTAAATGCTCCATCTATGGACACCAGCTGAGTTCTGCCCCATGTTACTTTCTGCCATGACAGGGCAGCACTGAGTTCCAATGCCGAGCCCCACGATGACTGTGCTCTCCCTCTCCCAAGAGCACAGATTCTTCACACCATGAGGCTGATGCCAGGAGATGGAGAAGGGGTGGTATAGATGATTCAAGACTGTCTTTCCTACTCTCTTTAGTGCCTCTTTCCTTCACTTTTTAGCGCCTCTTTCCTTAATATGATGTTAAAACCTGGCATTGTGATCTCTCATCTAATTTTTGGTTGTTATGAAGGTGATTTTTTTGTGTGTAGTGCAGTGGAACTTCATACTGTCATGTTACGACATGACAGCAACACTGTCATGAGTTCTACTCATGCAACTACTCAAGCAACACTGAGTTCTACTGCAATGAGAATTTGTTTTTAACACTATCATGGAAAGTCCTTGAGTTTCAATGCATGCCTTGAGTTGAGAGTTTTGGGATGTAGAGACATAAGCATTTACCTCCACTCTGAGATCTTTGGAGTGTCCAAACTTTTCTATTTGATGAGAACTTAATTACAGGTAATCAGTTTTATGCTGAGCGTCATAGCTGCTAGATCTTTATTCTGGGACATGAATGAGCCTTTGTGCTATTTGTCATACATTAGCCAGATAAATGATCCTGTATTTCCCATATTTTGCATATTTTGCTAAACATTTCTTTCCTTCACTGCACTCATGGTATCAATCTCTGTATCAGTTAGGATTCTTGGCTGTAAGCAATAGAAATGGATTCAGGACCTCTTATGCAGAAAGGCAAATTTTTGGAAGCATATCAGAGTTTCATTGAATTATTGAGGGTTGGAAATGTGGGAGTGGCTTCATTGGGTGGTCCTGGTTCAGAGACTCTCGTGAAGTTGCAACTAAGATGTCAGACAAAGCTGCAGTCTTCAAAGACTTGAATGGGGCCAGAGGATGTGCTCTAAGGCTGCTAATGTGTCTGTTGGCAAGAGGTTTTAATTTCTTGCCATGTGGGCTTCTTCAAAAGGTTGCCTATGTCATGACTTACCTCAGAGTAACTGATTGCTGGAGTATAGTACGTGAGTGGGAAGAGAGAATGAAAGCACAAGATGGAAGTTGAATACTCCTTTATTCCCAAATTACTTTTGTAATATTCTATGGGTGACATTGACCAACCGTAGCATAATGCGGGAGGGAATTACACAAAGGCAACAGTACTGGGAGACAAGGATAATTAGTGAGTATCTTGGAGGCTGCCTACTACAATGGCTAAGTGGAGGACAAAGCTGAGAAATAATAAAAAAATCACCAAACAAACAAGAAGAAAACCTAGGGATGCTCCAAGGGCTGGACAGCAAAACTTCAGAAAATGTCAGAGGGGAGGAACAAAACTCATTATGTTGTTATTGCCATAAACATAGAGACAAAAGTCTTTATGTTGTTATTGCCACTGTAATGGTTATGACTTTTAGTCATTCTACATTTGCTCAAGATTGAGAGCCCTGGGAGAGAGCTGAGCCTACCTCATGTGCTTGCATCTCCATCATGCTGGGTTTGTGAGAGAATATCTATTTAATTCAGCTTCCATCACAGGGAGCAAGCACTACCTTCCACCAAGACTACACACAACAGGGAATTCTCCAAATAAGAGGTCAGGATGCTAACTGGAAAGAAGGGTTTAATGCTAGATACACCTGCCCTTTCCCAGAAAAGACAGTATCTAATAGAGTCATACAAAATTGAGGGACCTCCAAGTGGCTAATGTGATGTGTAGTCTGAGAGATCTATGTAAATAATTAAATGTAGGAGTCACTGGAATTTGAATAGGAGGTATTTGAGATTATGATAATACACAAAAGAGCTAGTGAGTGTTTGTAGAGACAAGACAAGAGGGCAAGAAGGAACACAGAATATTTGAGAGAGTAGGAAAAGTCAGGCTCATGGATACTGCCTCTTTTCTAATTTCTCACTGTTTGAAACACATCCAGGAACTGATTCACTTGTAAGTCCTTGCTGCTGTTGTGTCTCTTAGTTTTCTTTTGTCTGAAAGTGCAGTCTTCCTCAATAGGCTAGAGCTCTTATCAAGCAAGGACTGTCTCATTCACCTCTCTCTTCACTCTATAACTCAGAGTTGTTTAGCTATGTTTTAACCTGCCCAAGAGGAGGGGATCTAGCTATAGTTGGTTATCCTGCCCATGCAAAAGCTCAAGAGAAGAAGCCACTCCTGGATGTTAGCAAACAGCTATAGAAAAAGTGATTGATACTTTGCTTTAGAGGAGAATAACCTTTTTAAATTGCAGCATTCATTTGATGATTCTTCAGTAGCCCTCAGATCTAAACCTCTGGAAATATAGAAGTTGCTATGCAGACAGAGATAAATTCTCACTGTGTAGTATGACTTGTGTGAAGGAATAATATACTGCTTGTATAACTTTTAATTCTTAGTAAATGAATATTGTGGATTAAGCTCTCCTTATAAGGATGAGACAATAAGTAATAAAGCCAGGGGCCTTCTGTAGGAGATAAGGTCTCACCTCTAGTGTAAGCTTGTTACTTTTCCCAGTTATATGGGGCAATAGGCCTGCTTCTCAGATAAGAAACTAGAACTTGGGAGAACAGGTCTAGGTCACCAGAAGGGAATTGATCCCTTCTTCGGTTTGGATTTCAGGAAAGGGTTGTTGAGATATGTAGGAAAAGGCTCACTGACGATGGGTGTTAAGATGACACTGACCCCGTGGAGGTAGGCTGGAGACTGAGAAGGTGGGAACTAAGGGAACAGAGTCAACCCTTTGAAGCTAGTTTGATGATTATCTCTCTGGGATGGAAGTGAAATATTATAGAACTTTTGAGCCCTGAGAATGAGCTCCTGATGGTAAAAACCAGCCTTGGATGATAAAGCCAGACTTCACTTCCCTTTGGTATTTATTTACTTGTTGCCCTCCAACTGGGTTTTGTGAAATCTGTTCAAGTCCTGGATGAGACCTGGATGGTCTCAGCTAAGCTCTGAGGGTACCCAGGTTGACTCTTGTGTTCTATAAGAGTTAGAGTTATAAAGGAGAAGTCATAGTCCACTTGCCTTTGGCCATTAGAGCATTTGCAGTGTGGATGCAGAACAAAGCATGAACATGTTCCATGCCTCCCCGTGTATCACTGAGGCGGTGCCTGGAGAATCGCACCATCTCTGTGTGCCCTTCCTAAGCCAGGCTATGGTCACATTGCTGGTCCCTGCTTCTGCTGCCTCCTTGGCACCCCAAACCTGGATGGCATCCTCTAGAAAGGGTGCAAAGGCAAGAGACTGGCTTCTTATCACTTAGTTTCCAGAACTATGAGCCGAAGGCCTAAAATTTTTTCAAGGATTCATGAAAATGTTCAAGTTTACAAAGCATATTATTGGCTTCAACATATGAATATGGTAAGACAGGTAAATAAATGTTTATTTAAGTGTCTTCATGTCTGTTGGTCTACTAAACTCAACTATTATGTAGTTGTATAGAAATTGTATTCTATATGAGATATAGATGCATCTTATTATGATATTAGGTGAGAATTTCAAAATAAAAGGACTAGCAGCAGCTTAAAATACTGTCTCTCCCTCAGTCCGTCCCGCTAGGTGCAAAGCAGCCTCTTATCCACCAGAGGGCGGACTAAGCCCCGCTTCAGCTTCCTTAGCCAGGATCCCCTTCTCCCAGGCAGATCGCAAGCAGGTCTCCCAGATTCATCTCTAATTCTTCCTTCTTTCTGAGCCTTGGTTTTGTGGCCTGTAAATTTGAATTAATGGTGCCTCCTTCACAGAGGTGAGGTAACATTCTTCCAAAGCACTTGGGATTCCGGGGGCAGGTGGTAATGTTAGGGAGGAGGGAGGCTTGAAGTTTCCTCTCATCTGAGAAACCTTGCTGAGACATCCAGAGACTGAGAATACTAGTGAGACCCATTTTGTTTTATTCCTGATTTCCCTCAAAGCACAAAGGCTGGGGCAGAGATGGAAGAGTGGTGGGAGTGGGGGTCATTACGGGCATGAATGGAGATCCCCGAATTTTGACACAGGACTACTCTTCTTGAGCCTGTCCTTCCTTACTGAGATTTATTATTTCAAAATGCTGTCTGAGCTCAGAGGAGGCTTAGAGATCTCCTGGCTGGAGATGGGGTGGGGGTGGGTGAAGAAAAAATTAGGGAGGTTTTATGGAGGAGTTAGTCTTGACCTGAATGTGCTGGTAGGGTTTTTTCAAATGAAATAATTTAAATAACTTGTTTTCCTAATTATAAAATAATATATACACAATACAGAAAATTTTGAATATAGCATCTCTCCCCCCAAAAATATATGTGTTTCTTAGTTATCCCATCATTCAGATAAACCCACCATTAACAGTTTGGCGTATGTTCTTTCTTTTACATCTTATCTTAGTTTTGTTCCTGCTGCTATAACAAAATACCACAGACTGGGTGATTTGTAAAGAATAGAAATTTATTCCTCACAGTTCTGGTGGCTGGAAAGTCCAAGATCAAGGCATCAGCAGATTTACTATTTGGTTAGGGTTGCTCTCTGCTTCTAAGATGGCACCTGTTGCTACATCCTCATGTGGCAGAAGGGCAAAAAGGGGGACAAACACTGTGTCCTCACATGGCAGAAGAGATGGAGGGGGGAGCTCACCCCCTTAAGGCCTTCTATAAAGGTGCTAATTCCAGCTGTAATAGTGAAACCCTCATGATTTAGTCACCTCCTAAAGGCATTGCCTCTTAATACAATCACCTTGGAGGTTAAATTTCAACATATGAGTTTTGGAGGCACACATACATTCAAACCATACCACATCTTTATGTACATATTTATAAACATGTATAACATCAAACCTCTTTAAAGTCTGTCTTTTTCAGTGTGTATCTTTCTATGCTATACTTTGTTCTTCTATTATTTTTTGCTTATTTCATATTACATTGAATAGATGTGCCAGAATTTATGCAATGAAGCCCTATATACATGTAAGTTGTTTCCAGATTTTAATTATCATAAAAATGCTATAATAATCATCTTTGGAGCTAAATTTTGCAAAATGTTCATATTGTTTCTTAGCAGGGATACACATGGGGATAATCTGGGACCACTTTAATCTAATTTTAATCCAATGCGATACTATTTTTTATCCTTTCTAGAAATAGGATTGTATAGTCAAAGGGGAACTGCATATGTAATTTTGCTAGATTTAGGAAATGTGGCATTTTGTATTTCTACCCATCTTATATAACGGTTCTTCTTTCTTGCAGCCTCACCAACTGGATATGTTGTCAAATTTATAGATGAATTTCTGGATGACCAGATGTAGGAGGAACTAGTACAACTTAAGCAACAGACAACAGAAACAGACCCACAGGTTCAAATGTAGGGGGACCTAACAGGAAGAGAAATGTCAGCTCCATATAGGGAAGCACTTTCTGTCACCCTATCTGTCTAAAGGTAGTGTGAGATTCTCAGGCAGTTATAGGCTTCCTGTCACTTGAGGTGTTCAAGCACAGGCCAGATGACCATTCAGCAGAATGTAGTAGAGAAGTTTCAGCACCACTTTGGCATCTAGATCAAGGACCTTTAAGACTGGAGAAAAATACAAAACCATATTGATTGCTTCATTTTAAATACCTGAATCCATGATTATGAGAGACTTAATTAGGCCCTTATTGCTGCTATGGATTTGTATGTCCCTAGTCCTTTCACTCTCCCATTTACTTCTAGATCACTTTTATATACCTTCCTCAAACTCCCAGCACCCTCTCCACCATCCTTATTCTAAGCTTCTGACCTTGCTTGTTACTTCACTTAAAGGATGGCATCAATCAGAAGAGAGCCTCCACAGACTCTTAACAAAACATCTCTACACCTACTGGCATCTGAACATAGGTGCTCTTCTCCCTTGGTTGCCATCGATTAACTTTCTGTGCCCCTAGCTGGAGCCATTTCTTTTATTTGTGCAGCAGATCCCTCCCCTTTCCACTACTCAAAGGCATTGCTTCAGCCGTTACCTATCTCTGCCTTCACCTCGTACTCCCCTCACTCCTTTGTTTCACCTTAGTGTTCTTCCTGCTCTTGCTCAAAGATACCAGCCATACTCTTGCCTTAGAATATTTGCTTTCACTGATTCCTTTTTTTGGGAAAGCTCTTCTCACAGATTTGCATTATACATAACTCTTTCACCTCCATTTACATTGACTAGGCTTAAAAAATATCTAACTGTAGGCTTTTTACAGGAGTTACCTAAAACATGAGAATACAGAATGGCAAAAGAAAAAGAATGAAAATACAATATACCATGCAAACACTAACTAAAATAACGGCAGTGTAATTAATATTAATTTGACTAAAATTGACCATAAGACAAAAAGCATTAAGAGATAATGAGGGCTATCTTAAGATAACAAAATGTAACATTTCCAGCAGAATGTAATAATTGTAAACGTATATGCACCTAATAACATAGCCTGACAGTATATAAAGCAGAAATACACAATTATATTGGGACATTTTAATTCATCTCTCCCTTAATTAACTCCTCCTATGGGAATGGTCTATTTATATCTTTCTCCATTTACTAGGTTGTGAGGACTCCAAGGTAGAGACCCTGCCTTAATCATGGTTGTATTCCTAGTGATGTGCATGGTGCCAGGCATAGGATTGGTCTTTATTCATTAATGTTTTCTGTACTAGACTTTCTCTGGCAGTAGTGAGGTCACCATGTTCTGAAGCATTCTTTAGGAATGTTCTTACTCCTAGAAGGGACTTAGTCTTCTGGATTGAAAGCTGTCTCTCTCTGCACCCCACCCTCACTACCCTATCCTCATGGGCCTTGGGCATAGATGGGTTCTGGAGGGCCGGCGTTTTAAATCTTGAGTAGTGTTAATTGTAGGGAATTTAAAACAGATCAATTTTTTATTTCCTACAAAGTCCTGGGCTGGGCATGGTTTCTATTAGAAGGATCCTTTATAATGGATCCTCAATAATCTAATACATCCTCAATAATTTATCTGAGGGTTTGCATTAAGGCTTTTCAATTATTCAAATTGTCAGATTTTTCATCTCTTGGTGAAACTTTTCTGGAAGCTTCTATTTCAGTTGTTGCAAGTGCTTGATAGCATAGCTTCTGCCTTTGGCAAGCCCTTAGCCAAGGGCTGTAAATCTGGGCCTATCAAAACCATTATGGCAATTTAGAGGCTTTCTGGAGTTCAGTGCTTCTATACAGAGATTTAAATGAAGCAGTGTCTGTGGGGACTTAGAGAGTTTGTAGGTCTTGGTTTTTCTCTGGGTTCTGCTTATAAACCATTCAGCTGGGCATCCTCCCCCATAGCTTCTCTATCATCTCTGCTCTGCTCTGCATCTGGAAGAGCTGATCTTCAGACCGTAGCACCTGGACTCTCTTGTTCCCTGATTGGGTTCAGCCAGCAGAGGAACTGGCTGGAGATCAGAGGAAGGAGCAGAGACAGGTTAGGGAATTTCTTCTCCATTTCTCTTTGGAGCTATGATTTTATGATCACAGTTTCTTCTGGGTAGCCTCTTCCAAGGCTGCCCTGGAACACCAGTAAGTGATTTACCTGCTTGTCCCTCTAGAATTGGTGGTGGTAATGGGTTCCCGCAGTTGTCAGTCCCCGCATGCTTCAAACCACTTGCTATTATTTTCTTAACCCTGAACATAAATAGGCCTTCATTAAATTGTTGTCCAAATTTCAGCCGTGTGGCCCTCTTTCCCACTGGGACCTGCCTGGAATATGAAAATGAACAGAATATGCATTTTGCCTGAAAGATGGCCCCTTTCCTTACCATCTGTCAGCTCAGAGTCCTCATCAGATACACCTGGAAGGACTAGGTCTCAGGTGCTGTGGACTTAGGTGTGGAGATTCAGAGAAGGAAAAGACACTTGTGCAAGGTCAAAGAGATAAAAGATAAGCCTCAAGCCCTCATCCGCTGTGCTGTGTGCTTTCTGCTGGTGGGCCTTCTCTTTTAGCTGTCTTCACTGAGGAGACATGCAGAGGGGGAACAAGTGAGGACTTGTAAATTGGTAAGCAAAAGTAGAAAGCTCAAGCCAGCTTAAGGGAAATAAGAAAAATCTTGTTAGAATGTACAGGTGTCTCATGGGACCCCCAGGACAGGGAAGCTGTTGGTTCTCATAAACCAGGGATGGGAATGTCCTTCTCAGGGAAAATTATTGGAAACCCAAGTCCTCTTTCTTTTAAGGACTGGGTTTTCTGTTGGTTCTCTTTCTCTTTTTGCACCTGGTTCCTGGATGATCTCTGCCCCTCTTTGCTCTGACACATGGGGCAGCTACTTCCTCTACCATGCTTGAACCATTCCATGGCAGTTTACTAATATCTATTGTGTGCTAGCTACTGCACTAGAAGACACGGTCTCTTTTCTCATGGTATGGAAGGTGGGAGAGACAGACAGTAATCAAACAAATAAACAATCAAGGGAATTTCAGAGAGTGATAAGTGGCATTCATAGGAGAATGACCAGGGATGGTTCTTTGTAGGTCAGGGAAGATTTCTCTCAAGAAGATGATGTGACTTGAGACCCTAGAAGAGAGAAGAATTATGTAGGGTTTCTTGAGTCAGAAGAAAAGGTTTGCATTTTTTTTTCTAAGTGCAGTAGTAAGAAGCAATTAAAGAGTTTTAGGTGAGGGAGGACAAGCTCGTATTTACGTTGTTAAAGGATGACTCAGGCTGCTGTGTGGTTAATGAAGGTTAGAAGGCAGAAAAGGAGGCAGCGAGGTCCTCGCAGAAACTCTAAACAGGAGTCCAGGTTTGCAATGATAAGAAATGGTGGAGGGGGAGAGAGAGAGCCTGGAGGCAGAGCAGAGGACTAGCAGACCAGTTGGATAGACAGGGAGGGAAATAGTGGGGGTAAAGGGGAAGCAAAGGCAGCTCAGGTTTTTGTTTTCATCAGCTGGTGGTGGGGTGGTGCCATTTAATGACCTTCCTTGATGAGAACTCACAAGCAGTCCCAGAGCTGCTGCACTCTCCAGGTGGGGCAAGTTCTTTCCTTGTCAGGCTCCACAGCTTCCTGATGGCTCCCAAGTGCCCCCATGGGCTACTTCTATCTGCAGGCCTTGTTGTCTCTGGGATCAGCCCTTGCCCCCGCAGTAACTTTGTGACTCAGATCGGAGTCACCAAGTACCGGCTTGTACACATTGTCCTCACTGGTTTCATTTCAAATGTATGTTTTCCAAGCCCCAGCTGGGCTCCTTTTGTCATCCCTAATCCATTCCTTTCTTTTCCGTACTTCCCATGGGAGATGGTGTGTCCTATCCCTGATTCCTCAAGGCTCCACCCCCACTTATGCCCCTTTCTTCTCCACAAATTACCCGGCCTCCCACTTTGGGAAAAGGCCTTCTTATGTGTCTGCCCCCATCCTGCCCTTCTCAGCAGCAGGTGCACTTCCTCCTGTCCCAGGCGAACCTCTGCACTTGTATTGAAACTCGAGGGGCTGCCGGGCACAGTGGCTCATGCCTGTAATCCCAGCACTTTGGGAGGCCCAAGTGGGAGGGTTGCTTGAGCCCAGGAGTCCGACCAACATGGTCAACAGGGTGAATCCCTGTGTCTACTAAAAATACAAAAAATTAGCCTGGCTTGGTGGCGCATGTCTGTAGTCCCAGCTACTGGGGAGGCAGAGGTGGGAGGACTACCTGAGCTCAGAAAGTTGAGCCTGTAGAGCTGAGATCATGCTACTGCACTCCAGCCTGGGGGATGGAAGTGAGACCCTGTCTTAGAAAGAAAAAAAAAGGGGGGAGAGGGGAACAAACCAGAGGAGCCTAGAGTCAGGCAGATATGTTGATATGTTTTCATATCATATTGGGTTTGAATCTCTGATCTTCTGTAAACTGGCTGCCTGACCTTGGGAGAGCTATTTAACCTCTCTCAGCCTGCTTCCTTCCCTCTAAGTGGGGCTAGTAATAACTACATATTATTAGACGAAACATGGAAAGTACTTGGTACAGGCAGGGCTGGTATATAGGAAGAACTCAATACGTGGCAACGTAGTCACTGTTATTATAATTTTGTCCCTCTTCCCGAGACCTTACTTCTTCAGTTACCTTCATACCCATCTTTCTCCCTGAAGGGAGCACAGGAAATGGAAGAAACACTGGACTCTGAGCTGGAGAGGCCAAAATGGCTTTTGGAGCCAGGCTGTCCTCCTTCCAGAAGGACCTGAGAAGCTGTTCCAGACAAGACAGAGCAAGCTTCTGGGAATCTAAACAGCCAGGGAAGGTCCAATGTGAGTCACTTCCTCAGTTAGGCACCAAGGCAGTGACAGAAGTAGCATTTCCTGGCCATGACTTTGCTGAGGTTGTCCTGCTGTTTTTGGAAAGGTATTGCTTTTTAGGCTTCATAAAGGGGGACTGTATCTTAGTTCAGGATGCACAGCCACTGCTTAGTCTCTTGGGATTCTCCAGGTACATGGGGTTAAGGAAGCTGGGGAGGAAGTGGTGTGACCGGCCCTACACAGCCCATGCTGGTCTTACACCCTGATGGCCTTTCCTCCCTGACCTGAACAACCTTTATTTCATTGTTAGGGAGGCTAAGCTATGACTCCTCCCACTGGAGCAATTCTCAAAGTTTAGCAGACATCAGAATCTCCTAGGAGACTTGTTCAAATGCAGCTTGCTAGACGGTAGTGACAGATTTTCTGATTCAGTCGCTGTGGGGTGAAACCTGAGAATTTGCATGTTGTTATAAGATCCCAGGTGTTGTCAAGATAGCTGGTCTAGGACCACTCTTTGAAAACCACCACCCTAGAGAGTTGCATGTTTGCACAATAATTTGTCCTTTGGCATCCCGTCTGAGGGCAGGGCATGATGTAGGGGAAAGACAAAGGGGCAGGAATCTTGGGTTCTTATTTTCACTAATTTACTCTGTGGCTGTATTTCTGAAGATGGTCTTGATTGTGAGTAAGGGATTATTGCTTGTTACTCTAAGACACATATGGACATTGTTGGAAGGATACTAGGGACTCTCTCTAAATTCAAGGAAGAGATTATAGTTAAGGTTTGGGAAGGGCAAGGCAGCCTTGGAATTTATTTTCTGCTGTCCAGGGCACTCTGGTCAGGTAGTTCAAATTCTAAATGCTGATAAGAAGTAATCTATTTGGCTCACAAGCAACAGGACTTTCCTACCCTCCCCCACGTAGCCAATAAGCCTCAGCAGGTATTCAGTGGAGCAGACGTATACAGGACAGGGTCAAGTAAAGAGGCAGGGCTGCTCCCCAGCTCCCACCAACCTGAACTGAGCAGCTTACTACAGAGGCCATGACTGGGATTCTTCCCCTGCCTGGGCCTCAGTTTTCTTATCTGTACCATGAGGGGTTTGGGTTAGAACTTCATCACTAGATTAGTGTTTCTCAAAGTTGGCCTGCATCATAATTTCTTGGGATGCTAGAAAATAGAGACCCACAATGTCCCATGGTGTGCTACTAAGTGATCAACAACAGGCTTTCCAAAACAAAACAAAACACAACACCCTAATTTATAGCGTTTGCTCAATTTCTGTAGTGTAAATAAATACTTCTACCTTGGTCAAGTTCAAGCTAACAATGTGAAGTCACTGAACGTCACTCGGGAAGAGAGGTGCATGTGGGCTCCAGCACACCACCCACCTACTGACTCAGAAACACTGAGGGAGGCCTTGGACTCTGCATTTTGCCCCCCTTCAGGTGATTTTAGTGGATCGTAAAATTTCAGAACCCCTGCATCCAGAGATCTCTGAGGGCTTTTCTGTCCCTTCTGTCTCTCCATTCTAATTATATTACAAGTTCTCACACTGGCTTTGGGAATTGGGGATCATTTTCCTTCTTGTAAGAATTGCAGAGCAAGGCCTGGAGAGATAGATGCCATTGCCCAAGTGAGTTAATGATGCATCTGCACCAGCCTGTCTGGTACTCTGTCTCCTTGTCCTCTGTGAGGGCCCTATCTCTCCATCCTGGGGGCAGGGCAGCATCTTGATGTGCACGTCTCAGGGGGATACTGGAGGTTGCAGCTGTGGATACTGGGACCCATGCCCATTGCTCATCTCTAAGGGTGGGGCTGGATTTCAGCTGCTATCACTATGACCTTTTGATCTCTTATCTCCATCCCTGGAACTGAGAGCCTGCCTGGCCATCGCTATTTTTGTGCAGGTCCCTCATCTTGATAACTTCTCTGTGCAGATAGAGGACAGAGTGGAGGATGCTGTTTTTTGTCTTGAGGTGTGCTGGGGCAGAGAGAGCCATGACAGAGCCCATGAAAGACCCACCAATAGATGGCAGGGGTGACACAGAAGTTGGGAAGAGAAAAGTTAGGCAAAAAAGTGTACAAACTACTGAAAAGGTTAAAAATTCTTTTTTTTTTTTTGAAAGTGTCCTACTCTGTTGTCAAGGGTGGAGTGCAGTGGTGTGATCATAGCTCACTGTAACTTTGAACTTCTGGGATCAAGCAGTCTTCCTCCTATCCTCCTGCCTCAGCCTCCTGAGTAGCTGGGACCACAGGTGCACACCACTTTTCCTGGCTAATTTTTTATTTTTATTTTTTTTCAAAGATGAGGTATAGCTTTGTTGTTTAGGCTGGTCTTGAACTTTTAGCTTCCACTTATCCTCCCACCTCAGCCTCCCAAAGTGGTACTGGGATTACTGGTGTCAGCCGCTGCTCCTGGCCCAGGATTGTACATTTAAGGAGCTTTCAGAAGAGATCATCTTTATGCTGTAATTAGGTTGGAAATTTAGTTTTGAACTGGAATCATCCCTGACTTTCTCTTATTCTAGAGAGTAGTGGTTCTCAAAGCATGATCTCCAGATCAGTAGTATCAACATCACCTGGGAACTTTTTAGAAATGCAAATTCTTCAGCTCAGAATATCTCCCCATCTTAGAGCTATTGCCTGAATCACCATGATTCCTTATTCATTTGTGGAGATTAAGCACTCCTCCCTCAAAAAACTCTTCCAATGCTGGTGCCCCATGGGACTGCCATGCTGGGCTATGTTCTCTGACTACAGGGTGGATGAGCTTGTGACAACAGAAACAGTTGGGGAATTCTGGGTTGGGGATAGGGGAAATCACAAGAGACAATAGAGACTACCCTGGCTATAACAGGCCTTCTTAGGCACTTTCTATTGTGGCTGCTTAGAAGGAGGCCTGAGGCCAGCACACATCCTGCCCCTTGGAGATACCTAGCATAGCATGGCAACTTCAAGCAGTGGATAAGCTCCTGGCGGACTGAACTCTTTGGATCTCTCCTGCATGTCTGTCCTCTCAACTCTCTGGACTCAGGACTTCATTGCCTGTCCCAAAAGGAAAAGGACTTTTCTGCCCTCCCCTACGTGGCCAATAAGCCACAAGAAGTATGTGGTGGAACAAATGCAGGAGAGGGTGGAGTGGCCTGGCCCCAATCCCTGTCTCCTCTCGTTCCACCAGGGTTTTGCCATCTTCCTACAGTATAACTTCAACTCCCTCGGGCAACACGTGCTCTGCTCTACCCAATGCTTGGGCTCCTGTGCCAGGCCTTGTCCCAAGGGCCCTGTTTATATTCATCTGGGCCTGAAGGACAGGATCCTAGCATTGGAGGCTGGTCAGTGCTCAGAGCCTCGGAGGTGCTCCCTCCTTGGAAGTGCGATCCCTTCAGAAGAGTGTAGCTGAGGCTTCTTTCAGTGACTATCTAGGGAATACTGGGGGAACAATTTGGAGCTGAGGCTGGGGGTTGACTATGAACCTGGCAGACTGCAGTGTAAACCTGAAGTCTTTCCTCCATTTAGGTCTGAACTTGTCCTTCCTAAAGTGATGTGTGAAGCTGGTGGATCTGGGATAGGCCATCTGGACAGGAGAAGAATGTGGAGTCAGGCTGGAGGGGACCTTTGCCTGATACAGCTCTGGACCAGTCCTGAGGCGCCTACTTTGGTTTAGGTGAAATAAGCTATTTGTGGGTACACCTCTGAGCATGTGCATGTGTCTTTACCTGTGTGTCTTTCTGTGCATCCATAAGGATTCCCATGTGTATTTGTGTAGAGTCTCCATCTCACCAGCTGTGAGGCCACAGACAGGTGATTTAAACCACCTGGCCTCCCTTTTCTGTGTCTGTATTATGGGGATAATAATAACTTTTATAAAAGGTTACTATGGCAGCAAAATGAAACATGCACATAAGCTTCTTAGCACAGTTCCTGGTGCTCATGTGTTAGGCTGTTATTATCAATGTCTTGGGTAAGTTACTTACTGAGGCCCTCCCTGGGCCTCAGTTTCTTCATGTGTAAAATAGGGATAATACCAGAACCTAGTACTGTTCTAAGGATTAGAGCAATTGATACCTATGAAGTTCTCGTATATGCAATAAATGTTAATGATTAGAATGTATATTATCTTTGTGTCTGGATGTGTCTGGATGAGAATATCTGAGTTTGTAAATGTCTCTGAGCATGTCTTGCTGCTGGTGTGTGTATACACACATGTATATATGTGTTTAGGTGTGTTTATATAGCCAGACAGGCCCAGTCTCTCTGGTGGAGTTTGCTGTTGGCCCAAGCCTGGACTCCCTGAGCCAGCTAGGGCCGGCGCCGGGGATGGAATTTCCATTAAGAATTAAGCAGGACAGCACAGCATTGAGAAGTCAGGCAGACAGAGGGGAGGGGGTCGAGGGGGAGGAAGCTTCAACTCTGAGCTCCCTTGGGCAGCCTCAGTACTGAACTGCCTTGGACAAGCTTTGCCTTGAGTCACAGGCCTTCTCAGGGCCATGGCCCAGAAGGGTGGGCAAAGGGAAAGAAGCTGTTCACAGGGGCCTCTGTAAGGAGACTTGGAGTCGCTGCAGCCAAGGCTGGAGCCATGAGACGGCCCCCTGGCAATGGAGAGGCGGCCAGCGAAGGTCCAGGTGGCTGGGGTCTATGGGGAGTCCAGGAGTCCAGGAGGCTGTGCTGTGCCGTATGTATCTGGGAAGGTGGATGTGAGTGTGTGTGTGTGTGTGTGTGTGTGTGTGTGTGTGTGTGTGTGTGTATTGGGAAGTGGGGGGGGGGCATTTATGCCAAGTGCCTCCAGGGAACATCTAACAAACCAAGTCTGTTCCTCTCTTACCCTGAAACCCAGACACAGAGTTTGGGCCTGGAAATAAAAGAACTTTGAGGCTTTTTTGCTAACATCGATCTGTTTATGATCTAAGCCTCATTCTATTTCTAGCATATAATAAAATATCTTAGTTTTCCAGGTGCTTTACATCCTTGACCTCACTTCATACTTTCAACAACCTCATGAGCTGGGCAGAGATTTTTATGTTCCCCAATGTACATATGGGAAAACTGATGCTCAGAGAGGTTAAGTGATTTGTCCAAGGACTCATCACTAGAAAGTAGTAGAGGCAGGATGCAAAACAGGTTTCTTTGAGGAAGAATTGGAGACTTCTTTCCTTCCCTTCCTTTCCTTCCCTCTCTTCCCTCCCTTCCTTTCTTCCTTCCTTCCTCTTTCTTTCTTTTCTCTCTCTCTCTTTCTTTCTTTCTTTCTTTCTTTCTGTCTCTCTCTCTCTCTCTTTCTTTTTTGATGCAATCTCACTCTGTTGCCAGGCTGATGTGCAGTGGCACAATCTTGGCTCACTGGCTCACTGCAACCTCCGACTCATTGGTTCAAGCTATTCTCTTGCCTCAGCCTCCTGAGTAGCTGGGGTAACAGGCACATGACAACTCGCCCAGTTAATTTTTGTATTATTAGTAGAGATGGGGTTTCACCATGTCGGCCAGGATGGACTTAATCTCCGGACTTTGTGATCTATCCACCTTGGCCTCCCAAAGAGCTGGGATTACAGGCGTGAGCCACCACTCCCGGCTGAGACTATTCTTATCATACCACCTGCCCTACCGGAAACAGACTCAGAGAGAAGATTCTGCAAACAGTCTGTAAGACTGTGGTTTCAGTGGTAATGCCCAGCCAGGCGGCACCAAGCCCTGTCCCCAGCCCTAGACAGCACTTGTTGAAACAGGAACTGAGGCCCCTCTCAGGGAACTTGGGGAGTAGAATCAGGCTGTTCTGGATGACTGGAGGGTAGAGTTGAAGCTGGCTTGTCTGAGAGGAATGATTTGGCCACCTTCTGAGCCCTGGGCCCCCAGAGAGCTGAGGAGGAGAGTTAATATCAGAGAGCTACTGTGTGTGTTCGAGTCCAGGGAGCAGCAGTTAGCTTCAGCCAGAGCCTGAAAAAAGAAATAGAGATTATTAGCATTAAGGAAGAGAAGGCTGCAGTGGGACCTCGGCGTGGTCGTTTTGTCATGGGGACTGAGTTGAGCTCCTTCTCCCTGAATACATATTGTGAGCAAATTGACATAGTTTGCATGTGAGAGATTTAGGTTAGATGTCAAGGAGATCTTTCTGTCAGTAAGAGAGTTCAAGCTTTGGAACAGGGCTCAAGGGAGACCAGGGGCTGCCTTTGCTTGAGGACCTCCAAGAATAGGTCAAGATTCTCTGGGCTCTGGGAGCCTCATAGCAAGATGGCGGAGGCGGGGGAGGGGGAGTTGTATGAAATGATCTGGAAGCTTTCTTCCAGGTCAAAAATGCCACATTCCCGAGCTTTTGGGTAGGAATCAAGTTCCTCTAGATTTAGCTATTTGACAGAGTCCAGGACGGGGGTGGGGGGTGGGGGGTGGGGTCTGATCTTATGTGCCGAAGTTAGAAGGAGTTTCTGCAACAACCCCTCGTCATTTTTGGCAGGTCCAAGATGTGGAGGGTGACTTAGGTGTGTGTGAGCAAGGTTCCAGAGGGAAGCACCTGCGGTGAATAAACCGTCTCATTCTAGGCGTTTGGGGTCTATCAAAGCTGGGTGGCTTCCTCCTTCCTAGCAAGTGAACTGCACCCAAATCCCTCCTTGTTTTGTTTCAGCTCCAAGGGAAACGATCGCGGCACATTCCCTTCCCCTCTCCAGATGTTGGCATGCGGGGCACCTTGTGGGCGACCCCGCCTGGACGGCTTCGCGGCTCCCGGGCGATCACCCTGGTGCCTGCCGCCTGGCCCGGGGGAGCCCGGTCTCTAATTAGGCCTGACCGCGTCCCCATTCCAGCGCTCCTGCAGATGGGAGGGAGGGCCATGTTTCCCCCCCCAGGGGCACCGAAATAGCCTCGTAGTCCCGCGGAGACAGCAGGCAGCCGTGGCTGACGCGGGACCAAGGCTTGGCAGGGAGCGCGCTGCTGTGGAAGGTCCTTGGGAGGCTGCGACCGCCTCGGAGAGGGCGGGCGGGGGAGAACGGGGCGGGGGGTGGGGCGGGGGCCAGGGGCGGCCTCTCGGGCTGGGCCGGCAGAGCGGCCACTTTGCGCGCGGCCTCTGGAGCTCCAGCTGCGCCCCGCCACCACTGGCCGCTCGCACTACCAGCCTGTCTCGCACGCTAAGTAAGTAGACAGCTCCCCTAGCTGGATTCAGGGGGCTGGTGATGCCTCTGCTAGCCTAGTTGGGAACAGTGCAGGTTTGTCACTAATTGGATAGTAGGTGTAAGTGTGTCAGTGGGAGTGCTTGTGAAGGGGAGCTTGCGCCAGTGTGAGGGAGTGTGTCTGGATGGGATGTCCACATGTGGAATTTTCTAGCATGTGCCCCAGGGTGCGAGTGTGGGTGAACGAGTGTGTCAGAGTGTGTGGTGGCCTGGAGTGGGCCACAGGTATTTGCCTGTGTGGCACCTGCTGCCCTGGGTGCACTGTGTCTGTACCTGTGGAAATGCCTGTGTGTGTGGCAGGAAGGCCCCCAGGTGGGCTGAGCCAGTCCACATGTGGATGAGTGGATGTGCCAGTGTGAACCCAGGAAGGCAGAAATTGGGGCTAGGGAGTGTTATCTGAACTCAGGCTTTCTAAGGTGACCTGACTTGTCCCAGCTGGGGTGTCTTCTCTGTGGGTCATTCAGCTTTGGTTTCTCAGGGCTTGGAGAAGGACAGAAGCTCAGAGCCCTCACACAACACTGGAGTGAATGTGGCTCTGACTAACCCCATCTGGCTAGACCAGGGTCAGGGAGACAGCTTGGGAGACCCCACTCTTAAACCAGGAGAAGAGACAGGAGGCCAGGGGATGAGTGGACCATATGGCCATGGCCACCCACAAACACTCGCAGTGCACCCACGCTTACATGCTCAGCATACACACATTCCTGTCCATGTGCACCAGTCTTGCACACACTCTTCTCAGGATAGCCATGCAACCATTCACACTTTCAACATGTATACCTGTGGACAACGACATGTATGCAACATGCACCCACTTTGTTCAATGCATATGCGCAAATGTATCCCTGGTGTGGCCCCACCCTCAGCCGCTAGCCTCCTCCCACTTTTGCCCCTTTTAATCTATATATTATACCTCTGACAATGGGTCCAAGAAACTGGCCTCAGTGGGGAATATTTTAAGTCAGGGACTTTGGCTGTGGGGGTCAGGGCAGATGGTGATGTGGTGCCTTTGAGGGGTTCCATTGAATCTGAAACTGAGGCTGTCCATGGAGCTCAGCCAGAGAGCATCTTGTCCCTTTAGCTCTGGGACTTAGAAGCACTGTTCGCCCTTTTAGAAGTGAAAACTTCCAAACACTGCCTTTGGAAGGCAAGCCAGGTCAGGCTGGGATCTGACATGGAGCTCAGCATATATAATTTGCTCCATGCTGTAGTTTATACTCTGGATTACACTTGCTGCAGAGAAGCAGTGACCTTTCTGGGTTGGGTCCCAAGGCAACCATTTGGCAGGGAGGACAGTGAATTGAGCTGGGTTGATTCTTTCTCTTCTTTGGTTTCGTTCAACCCTACTTTGAGTCTCCCTCCCACAGGCTGGTGGAGGGATGGCATTTGCTCTGCTCCTTTCCTTTCTTCCAGTGGTTATCTTTTTTTCTGGACAGAATCTTCTCCATGACCTCCTCCCCCTGGTGACCACTGGGCACACACTATACAGCGCTTGGAAGAGTAGGTGCCCTAAAATACCAGCTGAGTGGTGGTGTTATTCTTCTTAGTAGAGCTTCTAGACCTGTCCCATCCTGGCTATTCTCTTCTGAATACTTCAGTGAGGTACCCAGACTAAATGTGCTCTTTCAGCTGGGAAGTTAGAAAGATGGTATTGAGCTTCCTTCCTTCCCTTCCTTTCTTCCTTCCTTCTCTTTCTCTCTTTTCCTTCCTTCCTTCCTTCCATTCTTTCTTTTTTTCTTCCTTCCTTTCTTTTCTTTTCTTTCTTTTCTTTCTTTCTTTCTTTCTTTCTTTCTTTCTTTCTTTCTTTCTCTCTCTCTCTCTCTCTCTCTCTCTCTCCCCCTCCCTCCCTCCCTCCCTCCCTCCCTCCCTCCCTCCCTCCCTCCTTCCTTCCTTCCTTCCTTCCTTCTTTCCTTCCTTCTTTGATGGAGTCTTGCTCTATCGCCCAGGCTGGAGTGCAGTGGCATGATCTCAGCTCATTGCAACCTCTGCCCCCCGGATTCAAGCGATTCTCCTGCCTCAGCCCCTGAGTAGCTGGGATTATAGACCCCCACCACCATGCCCAGCTAATTTTTGTATTTTTAGTAGAGATGGGGTTTTTCCATGTTGGTCAGGCTGGTCTTGAACTCCTGACCTCAGGTGATCTGCCTGCCTAGGCCTCCGATACTGCTGGGATAACAGGTGTGAGCCACCATGCCTGGCCTGAGTTTCTTCTTTCTTAGTGTTTATGGTTTAGTCTAAGGGGTGACTAAGCTCTCACCCACCAACTCCTCTAATATGCAGGAGAGCAAGTTGGGTTCAACCATTTTTTGAGGGGAATGCTGGGATCTAGCTTCTCTTTGGCCTGATCCTACACCTGACCCTTGGGAATGGTTAAAAAAGGGCAGGCTATGGTCAGTCCAGCAGAATAAAGGTGGCAGGGGAAGGAATTATTTTCCCATTGTGCTTCCCTTGTCACTCTGCTTGCTGGGAAGCTCTTAGTCCATCATATGGCTCTGTTGTAATAACTATGTTAGTTGGAACCATTGCTTTGACTTCTAATTTCTGCTTTATCAACTTTATAGAATACATATTTTTAACTGTAAACTTCCACATCCTTTGTTGAAGGAAATCAGAACAAATAAATGAAAAACCAGCAATTAAGCATTCTATTGGTCTCTGGGGATGGGAATCACACTGGATTTTCCTGGGACATCCTCAATTTCAAATATGTCATCTGGTTTTCAACTCATATGTCTCAATTTGGCTTCTGTACCTTTGAACTCTAATTGGTGACGATGTCTTGGAGGTTTTTTTCCTAGTAGCTCTGGGACATAATGCCCATCTCTGTGCTGGCTCAGACAAGGGGGATAGTTGAGAATGAATTGGGCCATTGATAAACACCCCCTGCTCCGAGTGTTTCAGCTGCCAGCTCTTCCCTGTCTCAAAAGCTCAAGTGTCTGGGTGCCCGAAGGAGTTTGACCCTTGCCCTAAGCCTGGCCCTGGCCCCGCAGCCACCCCTTCCTCATGTGACCCTGCCCAACTCAGGGCTCTCTGTGTCTCTTGGATCTGAGCCCTCCCCCAGTATGGAACACAACATCTCTGATCAGGGATGGCCCTTGTGGAACTGGAGCTTGGGATGGGGAGCTTGGACTTAGGAGTGTGGAGGAGCACATGAAGGGCTTTACTGCCTCCTTGCCTGGGTCTGTGAGGCTAAGTGGTCAGGGAATCATTTGTCACCTCTTATCTGCAGAGGTGCACCTCATCTGAATGCAGGGCAGGGTTCTAGCCACATTGCAAAGTTGGTGAAACTTCTAATTCACTCCAAGTCAAATTATTTTATGCTGCCCAAGACCACTCATGTTTGGAAAGGAGAAAGCTGGAGGGTAAAGCTTAGCAACAAAGAATGATTAGAATAACTTGAATGGTGGGCTTTCAGGCATTGCATTGAGGTCCTGCTTCTCATTATATCTTATGTCAACCCAAGCTGGTGGCCATTGCCTGCCTTCAAGATATATCCTCCCAGAAGCATTTGATCACAAGGTAGGAAAGAGGAAATCCCCTGTGGCCTGGTACTGAGTAATGTGCTGGTGGCTTGGTATGGGTGAGGTGTTTTTTCCTTCCCAGAAAAGTGTTATCTTAAAAAGGTAAGACTAAGACTGGACCACATCTCTGCTGAATTTTCACACTATTTAGACTCTGGTTGTCCCCTGGGCTTTAAGCTCAACCAAGTGAAAACAGGCTTAAAAGCCAGTAAGAGCATTGTGTGAGATAGTTAGGACTTCTGTGCAGGAAAGGTAACTCACAGTAACTCACTTTTATTTATTATTGACTACTGTCCAGCTTCCTTTTTAGGCTCTTTCCATCTTTTGTTTCATGAAACCTCTATACCAACTCTATGAAATAGTGAAGACTATTTTAAATATAAGGAAACAGAAACACAGCAAGGCTAAACAACTAGCCCAAGGTCAGAGCTAGCAAAGATTCCTTTCCAGATCTGTCTAACTCCAGAGTGTGTAGTGAATGTCCACTGACCACGAGAGATGCCGGCAACTCCCTCATTTCAAAGGCTTTCAAAGCAGAAAAAACTACTCCTTTGGGCAAATTGGGGAATGAGGCTAAGGGGCTTGACTTCTCTGTCTGTCTCCAGGACCTCAACGTGATCAGCATCATTGGCCTTTCCAGCCTCAGCTGGAGACTGTTGCTGTGTGAGAAGCAGGGATTGAAGGGGTGGGAAAGGCCTCCTGGGTTGTGTGGGGATCTCTCCCTCTGTCTTTCAACCCCCCACCAACATGCAGTGGGCAGTGTTGAACTTCTGTGCCTTCACTTCTCCATGGAGCAACCTCTGTCCTGGGAACCAAGCCTCTGCCCAGACTCTGCGATCTGGCCGGTCTGATCTCCCCTCCCCCAGCTCCAGGGTCCCCTCAGTGCCAAGCTCTGGGGGAGTCTTGGATGCTTTGAGGATGTCTTGGGGCAGATCAGACTCTGTTTGGTGTGATGCAGTGTCTGTAGGCGTCAGCAGTTTGGCTGGGTAGTTGTGTATACTGTTCACTTTCTGCTGGAGAAATGAAGGTTTTGTCTTACAAACCAAATATTCTGGGTTTGGAAACCATGTGAAATGTGGCCTGTGGTTGGAGGGTGTAAGCTACGTTGTGGGCCTGTGTGTGGTGCTGGATTTAAAGACACTGTTGAGGGACAGAACAATTGGCTCAGGCCATCTCACTTCTTTTGATGGAGGGTCAGAGGTGGGCGGTACATACTGGCAATGTGCGGAAAAGAGTGCACGGGCTTTGCAGCCAGACAGATCTGACTTGGAGCCTCAGTTTCCTCATCTGTAAAATGGGGTTCCTCATAAGGCAATGTGGTGCTTGAACTGGAAAGTTTATTTGAAATTCAGTGTCTGGCATAGAATAGGCAAACCATAAAATGCAATATCCTTCTTTCTTATGCCACCCACTTTCTGTGAAAGAACACCGGCCTAATTGGCACAAGATCTGGATTCCAGCTCTGACTCATCCTTGGGCACACTGTGTTATCTTGGGTTAAGTCACTTACCTTCTCTGAGCCTCCCTTTCCTGGTGCATAAAATGAGAGAACTCATTTCTCTCACTTCTCTGCATTTTCTGAGGATGATGAAAGAGACTAAAGTTAAGGGTTCTCTTGGAAGATCCAGAAAGTACAACCAAAACTGATTCATTTATTCATGCCTCAGTATTAATTGAGATCATTTGCTGTGCCAGGGTCTGTGCAAGGCGCTGGGGGTAGAGGTAAGTAGGAATATCCCGGGCTTCAAGTAGCAATCAGACCTTATGGCAAGGCAGACTTGTAAACAAATAAAGGCCTGTCTGTGGGGCATGATCAAATCAGGTACTAGAGGCACTAATGTAGCAGCAAGGAAGTGTTGTCTCCAACTGGGGCAGTCAGAAAGGCCTTCCCGAAAGTGTAAGTACTTGGTGTGGATCTTGAAAGATAACAGGAAGTTGCCAGGAAGAGGAGGACATTGTAGGTAGAGAGACCAGCACGTGTGAGGGCACACAAGTGTTGCCTAACGTGGTAAGTTTGGGGAATTTTAAGCAGTTAGCATAACTGGAGCCTATGGTGTGGGTGGTCAGTAGTGTTGGGGATGAGATGGAAGATGTTACAAGGAGCTTTGTATGGAGTCTGGTCTGGATTGCTGTCCTGAGATGTTTAGACTTTTTGTCATATTTATGGACAAGCACTGAGGTATTTTAAGAAGGGAGGGACATGATTGAATATGGGCTCACTTATTCATTCAACAAACATTTATTGAGTGCTTCCTATTTTTATGTCACTCTAAATTTTGACATATCAAATATAATAAAAATGTATAAGACTTATATAAGAAATCTCTCTTTATTCATGTTTCAACTGTTTACATGATCTTCCATTTACTTTATTAACTTTCATTCTCTCCAATCATGCAAAAATATTATTTTTATTATTTGCATATATTTTTATTGTTTATATAACATATTTCACTGTATATTTTTATAATATATTTATTGTTTTATTATATATATGAATACATTGAAAATGTTTATGTTTCTGATTAATTGAGGAGAAATTGGAGACATGATGCCTCTTTAGCCCCTATATCGTTAAGTATATATTTCCTTAAAAAGGATAATCTCTTACCACAGTGCAATTCGGTCCTAATAATGTCTTTATGGCTCCCCAATCTCCCTCACCTCAGTTAGGATCCAATCCATAGATTGCATTTAATTGTCATCTCTCTTTAGTCTCCTCAAATCCAGAGCAGTTCTGCTTTATTTATTTATTTTTTGAACTTTGTGTTTTTGAATAGCACAGGTCAGTTATTATGTGGAATATCTCTCAATTTGGTTATTGTGGATGGTTCTACATGATTAGATTCAAGCAATGCATTAGGGGCAGGAATACAACTGCAGTGAGGTTATGTCCTCTCCAGTTTTCATATCAGCAAGCACATGATGTGGGGATTGTCCCAGTGCTGGTGATGGGAGCTTTTATCACTTGCTTAAGAATAATGTCTGCCAGTTTCTCCACTGCAAAATTATTATTTTTTCTCTCTGGAATTAATAAGTAATTTGTAGTGAGATACTTTGAGACTGTGTATAACCTGTTCCTTATCAAACTTATACCCACTGATTTTATCATCGTTGATCATTTTGAATCAATTATTTCTTCCGTATTTAGTAGTTGGCATTCTACTTTAAAAAAATCTTTTCCCCACTCCCTCCCTTCCTATCACTAGGGTCTCATGAATTCTTCATTTATTCAATGGGTTATAGTCAATTATTATCTTTATTTTATCTCAATGTTCACATTGTCCCAAACTTGATTAGTGGGAGGCTCTGCAAGCTGGCTTTCTTTGTTTTTGATGCATCTCCATGATTCTCTGTGCTCTTCCTTACTATTTACTATAGCAAGAAGTTACAGGCTTAGTTTCCTTACTTTGCTACAGCCCTGGAATTAGCCATTTGTCTGAAGAGCCCTGGATCCTTTTAGTCGAAAATGGTATTTAGAAACCAAGATTTAAAGGCTACCTGTGCTCCTTGTGATTGGTGTGTCATCGTTTATATGCTCTCTTAGCAAACAGAGTTAGGACATATATGTATATTTATTTCTCCAATCAACCAATACAATACATTGTTACATGTTTTTAGAAGAAAAAACCCCAAAGACTGTGATAGAGAGTAATGGGGTAGGAATACTTTAGATTGGGTGGTTAGAAATGGCCTCTTTCAGGAGGCAATATTTAGACAGACAGCATGAGGTGGGTGAATGGATTGGAAGAAGAAAGAGCCTGGAGATTGTTTTAATTATTCATACAGTAATTACCAGGGCCTGAACTAAGTTCGAATGAAGAGGAGGTAGAATCAATAGGACACAGTGACCGGTGAATGCAGAAAGTGAGGGAGATGAAGGAGTCTAAGTGACTCCCAGTTTGATGCCTCAAAGGCCTCTCAAACTCAATGTGTCCAAAACAGAATTTCTGTAGTTCTTCATCCTACTGAAACCTGGTCCTCTTCAGGTATTTTAGATTTCGTTGAATGACTCCTTCGTCTGGGTAGCTGCACAAGGCAGACAGACCTGGCAGTCATCCTCAACACCTCTCTCCCTCAAAACCCATATCCAATCCGTCCCCATATCTTGTTGATATTAGCTTGTAAATATCTCTCAAATCTTTCACTTCTTTCCATCTCCACCAGCATCATCCTAGTTCATGGTACCATCTTCACATTTCTGGGGTACCACAAGAGCCCCCTGGTACCCTTATATCCACACTGGCTCCCCTCCAATTTGTTCTCCACACAGCAGCCAGAGCGCATTTCAAAACACAACTCTGTTCATATCATTTTCTTCCTTAAAAGTACATTAGTTGCCTCCTATTGATCTTAAGATAAAGACCACACTCCTTAATAAGTCCTACAAGGTCTTGCTTGCCTGGCCCTGCTGCCCTCTCCTACATCTCCCTACCCAGCACTCCCTCCCTGGCTCTCCCTGCCACACTGGCCTCAGCTGAGTCTCAGTCTCTAGGGCTTGTTAGGCTCCCTCCCACCATAAATCTTTGTATTTGCTGTTCCTCTGCTTAGAATGCTCGTTCTTCCTGACTCCACCTACCGAATTCCTGCTTTACTCTCAGTTCTCAGCTGAGTTGTCACTTTCATAATCTTCAGGACCAGGTCCAACCCCATTTTATAAAGTTTTAAAACATGTGCCTCCTTCAAGCCTTTATCATAGTTTCAATTTTACATTTATTTATGTAATCATTAATGCTTACTTTCTCTATATGATGATGAGCTCTGTGAGTGTTGGAACCATGTCTGGTTTTGCTCGTTACTTTATCCTAGCAGGTATCATGGTACCATGTTACTGACACATGCCACAAATATATGTTGAACAAATGAATGAATGAAGATTTATCATCTGAGTAACCAGATAGATGATGGAACCATTCAGTGGAATAAAAATGAGAAGAGAAGTAGATTTGAGGAGGAAAATGATCATTCATTTTGGGACACCTGGCATTTGGGGTGCCTGCCAACCATGTCTGTCCCTCAGAGACCTTACCATCTTCTGTACAAATTAAGATGTCACTAAGGAGCTTTTGGGAGGCTGGTGACAGGTACATCTAATTCCCGGATGATTCTAAGAAGGTCCCTGGAGGAGATGGCTAAGTCACAAGTGGCATCCCTGAGCTGTGGCTTCTCTATCTATCCTTATCTCTGGTTTGTAGACCATACAGGAGATAGAAGGGGTTCCCAGGTGGTCCTGACTTGGCTCCTTGGGGACTTGTATAAAATATCTTTACAATTCTATGGAAGACTCCTTGGAACAAATGATTCACATTTGTCAGGAGCTGTCAACCTCCTTCCTACCTCTAACACTGCACTAGACATATGCTTAAAGGAGAATACAGAAAGTGGGTCTTACTAAGTCCAGTGAGCCATCCTTTCAAAGATGTCATCAGCACTAGGACAGAACA
Source organism: Homo sapiens (assembly GCF_000001405.40). NCBI lineage: Eukaryota > Metazoa > Chordata > Mammalia > Primates > Hominidae > Homo > Homo sapiens. Next base: position 15,124,007 of record NC_000011.10, read on the forward strand.
GCCCATTCCATCCCTCTGACTCACTTACTCTTACATTCCTCACTCACTCATTCAACTTTCTATCTCCTCTTGTTCATTCACCCACACACCCATCTGTCACCCAGCTATCCATCCGTGAACAAGAGTTTATGTTGGATTTATAGCAGGACTCAAGGCTAATGCATTATCTTCAGCCCCACTCCTGTATCCCTCTTTTCTATGGTCCTCACAGCTCAGAATCCCAGGTGAGGAGACTGTCAGGGGTTGGGGAGATGTCACTGTGCTGGTCTAGGGCTGGGCTGGGTATGATTGCAGGGTGTCAGCAGGAAGAATGGGAGACCAGAAGTGGCCACACTGATTACTCCTCTTGGCTCACTATCTGCTTTTCTGGCTTCCCCTCTTTCATTGGTGATGAGAAATTAGAGATTAGGCTCCTTATTCAGGTAGATATAAGATAGACTGGGCTTTGCAGAGGTGTTAGGGGGCTCTGGCCTTAAGGGGAAATAGGAACACAGCTCCCCATGAGCCCTATGGTGGAAAAGGTGATGCTTTTGTTTTCTTCTTCATTTTAGACTATGATTGCACTTTGGCCCTGTGGAATTTGCAGAGAGGCTGGGGGAGGGTGGGAGAGTAGGATTTTAAAATGTGGCATTTAGAAACCAGGCAGTAGACTAATCCTGGCCCCATCCCCATAGAAGCTGTTCTTTCAGTTCTCTTAGGCTTGTCATTTACAAAGAGCTCCCTAGAATGTGTGCTGTCCATCTGCTTTGGCGGCTGACAGGGCTGGAATTGAGCAGGCATAGGACAATGACAGCCACATTAGATAACAGCATCTTGGAAAAATGCCTGAAGGTTGCAAGGGTCTAAGTTACAGACTCATTTGCTCATTCCCTCCCTCACGAATTCATTCATTTATCTACTTAGCACCTACCTAGTAGGTGCCATGTTTAAGTCTCAGCCCTGGAGATGTGACGGTGAGCAAAGCACATATTTCATGCCCTTAGAGGATTTGGTTTGGGAAGATGGACTGTAAACAGGGTACTATACACCATAAAAAGTGTGAATACCATGGAGAAATACGGAGAATAATAAGGGAGCTCCAGGGGTGGGAGGTGGTTTATATATTTATACAGGGTCAGGAGGTTTTCTCTGATAAGCAGGCATTTAAGCAGAGGCCAGGAGGAAGCTATGTGAATACTTGTTGGAAGAGAAGCCAAATAAAGGAAGAGTAAGTGCAAAGTCCCTGAGGCATGCTTGAGAAAGAGCCTGCCGGTCCATGTGATTGGAGTTAAGTGAGGGATGGGGAGAGTTGAAGGAGTTGAGATCAATGCAATAATGGGTGCCAGCTCATGAAGGCTCTTGTGGGTTATTTGAAGAACGTTGGCTTTTAATATGAGTGGTATAGTGAACATTGAAAAATTTCGAAGAGAGAAATGACATGCTATAGCTGCTATGAAAATAGTAGATTGTTACTGGGAGGAGAAATGAATTAGGAGCCTATTATAGTGATTTAGGTGAGAGATGATGGTGGCTAGGACCAAGGTCCACTTATTCATTCATTTATCTTTCATTTCATTTTCTATTCTACAGATGTCTCTGTAACCCTGCCTACATATGAGGCCCCTTAGCACTTTGTATCCATTCCTCTGTTCGACCCACTTCCATGATCTATCCAGCTATCCTTATTGCTTTCAATAAGTCTTTACCTGCTACTTGGAGAGCGTTGTGCCAGATGCTGGCTAATATGGGCATATTCTTGTGGGACTTTGGCCCTCTCAGGGAGAAAAGATGTACCCATAGGAGATCACCAGTCAGCTACAAAACGAAGCAAGTCTCTCGGGCTCAGGATGAATGGTGTCAACACTTCAGTGTTTTAGGAGCCCTATGGGCTGGAGGTCAGAGTAAGCTTCTGGGTGGAAGCCACATTTAAGCTGAGTCTTGACAGGTGGGGAGGGCAAGTCAGTTCTGAAGAATAACGGGAAAGTTGCTCTGAAGCTTGAACATAAGGGACCTGTTGGGGAATATTGGGTTGTAATGCTAAAAAGAGGTGGCATGGGCTGGAAACAGGGTCTGGAGAAGTACAAGCACCAGGCTAAGGAGTTCACATCTGAGTTGAGAGAGTTTGGGGAGACACAGGTTTTCAAGGAGATTTTACAATGAGAGCTGTGTTTTAAGAGGCTGAAACGAAAATCAGATGGAGGAATAATAGGCTGGGGACTCAGAGAGCAAGAAGACAATGGCCTTGTGTGAACCTGCTTGGCCTTTAGGCCAGCAGGAATGCTGAGGCTAGGAGTACTTCTGGGGCAGCTCCTAGATGCAATGGTGTGGGGCTTTATGGCTAACACAAACAGCAGGATATGGTAGTGGCAGTTCCTGGGACAAACCCTATAACTCGAAGCCACCTTTGAGCAAAGAACACAGAGAAGACTGGGTTCTGGGAAGAGCAAGCTGGAGAAAAATATTCAGGTCTGGGCTCTGGCCATGAATGACTCTTTTAGAAGCTTCTGGGGTCACTGGATTGTAGGAACATTAGATTCAGAGCAGGAGCTCATCTAATTCAGCCCTCTATTCTTATAGATGGGAAACTGGAGGCCCACAGTAGGGGCATATATTGTCTAAGGCACTATAGAACACTTGTTTCAGAGAAAGGTCAAGCATCTCATTGAACTCATGCTGGAGGAATTTCTATGTTTTATTTAATTATTCATTTACATATCTCTTTCAATGGGAATAAAATTTTAAGAAGAAGAAAATTGTTCTGTTCATCTCCTCTCTCATCTAGCTGAGGCTTGATACAGAACAGATGCTCTACCTGACCGCCAGGACCAACTGTCTCCCATCTTGACCCAGACAAAAGCAGGGTGTTAGGCTTGTCTCAGAGCTGGCCAGATGTGGAATCAGAAAGAGCTGCCTGTGGATGGGGATAGAGCCTGACTCTGGACCCCTTATGTATTCGTGAGGCTTGGCCTGTGACCAGTTTCTATCTCAGCTATGTCCTTGGTGACATCTCACTGGTGGTCCTGATCATGGCTGTTGCCATGAGGGGGCCTGCTGAGAGAGAGGAGAGGGAGGTTTTGGTGTGGCAAGGGGATATCTTGTGCCTGAGGCCACTGCAAGAGGAAAAAGCCCCTGCCCAGCTGGAGAGAGAACAGCCCACAGGGAGATTAACAGCCTCAGATAGGCACCTAGGATACATATTTAGGGCTTAAGGCCAGTGCTTGGTCTGGCCTGAGGCTGCTCCTGCAGGGACTTCACCAAACTCACATATTTGTTTTCTTGCTGTCCTAAGAAGCTTAAAGCCACTTCTTTAAGAACAGCCTCTCCGTGCAGTCTGCAAAAGTCTATGGCTTAACATCAACAAGATTTCAAACCGAAGTGTCTTTTGATGCACCTCCATCTTTGCATTTAGGATCCTAGTGGGGAGGGCTGAAGCTGGAGATTTCTTGAAAAGTCAGAGGGATTTGGGCCGTAGATCCTGCCAACCTAGGCACCAGGGTTCGCGTCAATGCTGGATGAGTAATTGGTTCTTAAGCTCTTGGTCAGCATCCTGTCCTGTTTGTCTTGTGCTGTATACTTGGCAGAGGGCTTCCACATGGAGAGTAGTGAGTTATACTTGTGAGCAAGCTTACTTGTAGGCACAGGAAAATAAATACTCCCTCATTGCGTTCCATGTTCCTCAGAGAATATCCTGGGGAGGCAGTGGTGTTTTCTTCAGTTGTGGGGTCATTATGCCCTTCGGGGTAGCAGTCATGGATCAAGCAAGGTGGATGGAACTTGGATGGGTGAAATTCTAGAGGGAGACTAGAGAGAACTTGAGTTCACAACATAGCAAAACCCTGTCTCTACTAGAAATGCAAAAATTAACTGGGCGTGGAGGTGTGCGCCTGTAATCCCAGCTACTGGGGAGGCTGAGGCAGGAGAATTGCTTGAACCAGAGAGGCAGAGCTTGCAGTGAGCCGAGATCGTGCCGTTGCACTCCAGCCTGGGTGACAGGGCGAGACTCCATCTCAAAAAAAAAAAAGTGAAAGAAAGAACTTGAGTTCTAATCTGGGTTCTACCACAAATTTGCTGTGTGACTTGGACAAGTCATTTATCCTCTCTGGGCCTCAATTTCCTTTTGTGCAAAGTACAGAGTTGAAAAAAAAAACATTTCTGAGAACCTTTTTTGTATAACATTCCAGATCTCTTGCTTACATTATGCCAATAGGAATTTTGGTTAGGACCCTGTCTTCTGGATTTCTATCCCGCCAAATGGCTGATTTTTCACTTTGCCTGAATTATATCTTTCACTCCTTTGGTCTTTTAAGAGATTTATTTATTTATTTTTTTCCACAGACCATATTGCCTAACAAAATCCCTCCTATTTTCATGGAATCATATGGGGATACAAAGTGGTGTCATAATGTCATATCCATTATTATATTTTAGTTTTTACAACAAATGTGCCAGGTAATCAAATGTATATTATTATCCCCAGTTTGCAAATGAGAAAAGAGGCCAAGAGAAGTTAAGTAACTTGACTAAGCTTATGCAGTTAGTTACTGGCAGAGCTGGGGCTAGGCTGAAGGTTTCTTCTCTGCTAGTCTGTGTTTGGTTGTATCACTTTTTGGACTTGGGAAGGGGCATCATAAGGACTGCATGGGATAGGGCTTGTGGGATTCACCAGGTGACAGAATTATCAGGATGAGAGAACCTGCCACCACATACCTGTACCATGTAAGGTTGAAATGTTCTTAGTCTGGGGTAGCCCTCACCCACCTGGACCCAGAGGTGAGGGGGTAGGCTGGCCCCTGCGCCCAGCTATGCAAAGATTAGGGCTGCAGCAAGCCCTCTGTGGCAGCTTTTACCGACAGTCCAGCCCTGCTGTCTGCTGTGTTAGCAGGGTGGTGGGTATCTGGCCAGTGCCTCTTAGTTAACCTTCCCTTCTTCATTTTAAGAAGCTTTTTTATCTGCTTGGTCCTGGAGCTAGGCTGGCTCTTTCTGGCTGCAGAAAGGGGCTTTTAAAGTAACCCTCTTAGTTTATTTCTCTCTGGGCCAATCCAGCCAGATCTTTGCTTGGGGCAAGAGGGAACCTCAAGGGTAGAAGTATGTGAGCAAGAAGGAGCTCTCCCCTCACATACCAGTCAAGAACGACTGGACATTTTCTGCCTCCCCAACCCCATTCACTTTCTATTTGTAATTTGGGATCTGTGTGTGAGAGCTCTGAATAGGTTGCCCCCCATCTTCCCCTCCTTTCTCATTAATCAAGTTTCCATATTTTCTTGGGTCTATTTAGGGGCTTGCTGTTCTGTTCTCTATGTTTATTCCAGGGTCAATATCCCACTGTATTTATTAGTTTTTAAAAAGTCTTATTATCTGGCAGGAAAAGTCTCTCCAATTTTTTTCAGAAATATTTTGGCTACACATTTCAGATTCAACTTGTCAAGTTCTAGAAAAAAATCCTATAGGGAATTGATTGGAATTGGACTGAATATTTAGATCCGTTTATGGCGAATTAACATTTCCCTATCATATATATGGTATTTCATATGCATGAATTATCTATTAACTTATCTTGGCCTTCTTTAATATCATTTAATAATGTTTTACAGTTTTCTCAAGAAGGGACTTGCACATGCTAAGGTTCATTTCTATGGCCCTCACATATTTTTGTTGCTTTGTTAATGACCTCTCTTCTAAATTTTACTCTGTTTATGCTGGTATCTAGAACTATACTTGACTTTTGAATATTCATTTCTGACCAACTTTCTAAAACCTTATATCAATTAAAATAATTTTTTTGTAGATACCCTTGGATTTTCTACATAGAGAATGAGGATGAATTGCTACTTCATATGTTTTCATAAGAATTAGGGAAAGGTACCGTGTCTGCAGGGACACAGACCCATGGACACCTGGCTTGCCAAGTGGACTGCAGGTCTGTGCCTGGTGGAACCAGCCCTGTGTTGGGGTGGCTGGATGAACACAGCAGAGGCCAGATTCAGACTCCTTGCTCTTCTGGCTGTGTGCTGTTATGCACAGGCAGATGTGGCTGCCTGTGGAAAACCACGTCAGCTGCAAATAATGACAGTTTTCTTTCTTCCCATTCTAATACATTTTCTTTCTTTCTGTACTAGCTAAGATCTCTAGCACTATAATGAGAAGAAATTGTTGAGAACTGGGCATCTTTATTTTGTTTCTGATCTCACAGGAAATGCTTTCATTCAACATGTCATCAAGTATATTTCTTGTGGTATATATTTTTCTTGGTAGATGACCTATAATCAGTTTAAGAGATGTCTCTTCTATTTCTAGTTTGCTAAAATATTTTATGAATAGCTGTTGAATTTTATCAAATTATTATTCTTCATCTGTTGAGATGGCCGTAAGGTTTTTTCCTTCTTTATGTAGTGAGTTTCACTGATCTGTTTTCTAATGTTAAAATAACCATGTATTTTTAGGCTAGATCCAACTTAGCCATGATATACAATCCTTTTCACATATAGTGGATTTTGCTTGCTAGTATTTTGTTTAGTATATTTTCATCTATGTTTCTATATGAGATTGGCCTGTATATTTCTTTTCTTGTGTTGTTCTTGTTCAATTTTAGTATCAAAGTTATTTCAGCCTTATACAATCACTTGAAGTGTGTTTTCTCTTTTCCTATTCTGTGGTAGAGTTTGGTTATTTTTCCTTTGAATGATATAAACTCATGCTTCTCTGGGTTTGGTGTTTTCCTTACGGGAAGATTTTCAACTATTGATGAATTCTTTCAGTGGTTATAGATCTATTTTTTCTTGAATCAATTTTGGTAAATTTTATTTTCTAGGAATTTATCTAACTTATTTATGTTTTCAATGACATTGCATAATATTCTCTTATCTCTGCTGCATCTGTAGAAATAAACCTCTTTTATTGCCAATATCATTTATTTGTTTCCTCTTTTTTCTGATTTTTTCCAGATCTTGCCAGCAGTTTATTTTATGTTTTCAAAAACCAACTTTAGTCATTTTGTTTGTTTTGTTTTGTATTTTGATTTGTGTTTTATTTAATGTTTGTTCCTATCTTAATTATTTTCCCTCTGATACTTTCTTTAGAATTATTTTCCTCTTTTTCTAAGTTTCTTAAGTTGGAGATTATTATGTTGGAGAAGTTGGAGATTCTTTGAATTTTCAGATTTTTTTCTAATTTAAGTATTTAAGTCTATAATTTTTGTTCTCAGTTCTATTTTATCTATATACTACATGATTTTTAATATGTCTATTTTCATCATCATTCAGGTTTATTTTCTAATTTCTGCTGTAATTTCTTCTTTGACCTATTGCTTGTATGTTTAAAAATATACAACTGTATGGGGTATTTATGTTGGGGTAGAGATTGCAACCCCAGTGTCAATCTTCTGAAATTTGTTGAGGCTTGCTTTAAGGACTAGAAAGTAGTTGATTAAAAAAAAAAGAATGATTCATGAGTGCTTGAAAATAATGTGTATTCTGGGTGTTCTATTCATGAATATTAATTCTAACTTAAATGTGCCATTCAAATATCCTATATCCTTACTGATCATTTTCCTGCTTGATCTATCACTCAGTGACAGAATTGTGTTGAAGTGTATGTGATTCAGGACTAGTTCATTTCTCCTTGAAGTTTTATCAATTTTACTTTGCATATCTTAAGACTATGCTATTAGGTATATCATCATTATTATATTTTCTTAATGGGCTGAACTTTTAATTTTTATATAGTGAATCTCTTCATTGCCTTAAAGTTTGTTTTGTATTATATAAATACATTAGCATCAGATTTCTTTAGGTAAGTATTTTTATGGTATATCTTTTGTGGCCTTTAACTTTAAGCTATTTTAGGTCTTTTTGTTTTAGGGATATGTCTTGTAGCTAGCACATAGCATGCACAACTTCCAACCCCCTCCATGTAATGCACCCTTAATAATCTCTGCTTATAACTGGATAGTTTAGCTCATTTCCCCTTAATGTGATTACTATTACACATTGATATTCCCTTTTACATACTTTCTTTCTTTGTTTGGATTAATTTTTAAAATTTATTACTCATTTATTTTTTCCTCCTCTACATAGTTGGAGGGAATTTTCTCTTTCTCCATGTCTGTTCTTTTAGTTAATTACTTTGGATATTATAGCATTAATAATAATCTAAAAAGCCTAAATTTAATTTATATCTCTATTTTTCTTCCCCCAAAATAGAACCTTGGAGCACTTTAAATAGCTTTAGTCATATTCTTCTAAATTCTATACAATATTTTAGATTCATCGTTTCTTATCTCAAAAATGAGGGATTATAATTGTTTCTTTTTTCTTTATTTGGAGGCAGGGTCTTGCTCTGTTGCCCAAGCTGGGGTACAGTGGGGCAATCACAGCTCACTGCAGCCTCAACCTCCTGGGCTCAAATGATCCTCCCACCTCAGCCTCCTGAGTAGCTGAAAACACAGTTAGGAGTCACTGCACTCAGCTAACTTTTTAAATTTTTGTAGAGATGGAGCCTGCACTATGTTGCCCAGGCTGATCTTGAACTCTTGGGCTTAAGTGATCCTCCTGCCTCAGCTTTCCTAAGTACTGGAATTACAGGCATGAGTCAACGTGCCCGGCCCTGTAATTGTTTCTTAGTTAAAGTTTCTTTGGATTTACCCACAGTTTCAAGCAAGTTTGCTCATCACTCTTTCTTGTATCTCAAACCTTCCATATGATATTACATTCTTTCTGCCTGAAGCAAATCCTTCAGAATTTCCTTTAGTGTGGGATTTTTGGTTGTCTGAGAATGCTTATATTTCATACTTATTCTTGAAAGATAATTTCTATGGATATGGAATTTTGGGACAATTATTTTCTGGCATAATATATTTTCCTGTTGTCTGCTGAGTTTCATCATTGTTATTAAGTGGTCATCTGTCAATCTAGTTTCCTTTTTCCTTTGATTGCTTTCAAAATCTTTTGTCTTTGGTGCTCATTAATGTTATGAGTTGTCTAGGGTGTGTATGTATATGTTTTGTATTTATCTTGCTGGGGATTCATTGGGATTTCTGAATTTGAATATTGTTTTGTCTTTCAAAAAATCCAGGGAACTGAAATTTCAGCCACTGATTCTTTGAATATCACCATTTCCCCCATTCTCTCTCTTAACTTTCTTTGCAAATATGATGAAATACTTGTTAGATCCCATCACTCTATATTTCTTAGCTTTAGTTCTCTCGTATTTTTTCTCTCTTTGTCTCTCTGGACTGCGTCTTGGTTAAGTTCTTTTGTTCTGTCTTTTAGTATACCCATCCATTTTTTAGCTGTGATTAATCTGCCCAATGAGTTTTTCATTTTAATTATTGTATTTTAATGTAGAAAAGTTCTATTTGGTTCTTTCTCAAATTTTCTTGGCCATATTTTATAGCCTTTGTTCTTCGAAAATGTTTCCATGACTCTCTTTTATTTCTTTAAATTCTCTAATCAAGTCCCCTGTCCCCACAACAGATAATGTAAATTCAGGCCACAAGCCTATCTGAGGCCCATATTGTGGTCATTAATTCTCAACTCTCATTGTTGACAATGTTGACATAGACGGTTTATTTTCCATTTACTCTTAAACTGAGTTTCTGGTTTTCTGGATCCCTGTTTGATTCCTCCCCTTGGAAAGTTCCTAGGCTTTATCACATGTCTCCTTGCCCTGTACACATAGGAAACAGAAGTCCAGAGAATACAACATTCAACAGATGTTCTCAGGAAAAACAAAACAACACAACAACAAAAAACTCCCTTGAACTCTTGCTTAGGTTTCCTGGTTCTTCTTTTGCTTTACTTTTGGCCTCTCCAGATTTCTTACACTTTTGCCAGCTCAGTAATATATTTAAAAAACATTAAAAGCATCATTATTCATCCTTTAAAATTGTTCTTATGGAGAAGTATTTAAAGTATCTGGGCTACCATATTGTTGGAGATAACAATCTTGTATGAGTTTACTTTATAAGGAGAAGGATTAATTGTCAATTAAAAAGCAGGTGCTAAAAATAGTGGCTTGATATGCCTCTCTAAAAGAGAAGGTAAGTCTTCATCCTCATCCAGCATGTTAGCTGTGTACCTTAGAAAATTATTGAAGCTCTCTGGGTCACCATTTCCACTTTTTAAAATGGGGATAATAGTAGTACTGATTACTTTGGACGTTTGGAGGAATATGTGTAAGACACTTAGAAGGGTTCTTGGCACATAGTTAAGTGCCTAATACCATATTTCATTGGATTTAAGATGCTATATATTGTAAGATCCCTGTTACTTCATGAAAAAGAAAATATGGTTCCAATTGAACGATGACACAATGCCAAGATGCCATTGACTGAAGCATACATCCCAACTTTGGTTGTTAAAATATGAAAAAAAGATATCTTAGAATGACCTGACTATAGTAAATTTTAGCTATTACTATGAATGGATGCATATGAGCAAAAAAGGCAGTGGTTGAGAAACAGAATCTTAGTCTCAGAATTGATAGGACTTAAATGTTTGTAGGTATTTACTCCATTCCACCATGATCCCATTAATTTTTGGACTCTGGCTGTATTGTGCACGAGTTTACTTCTTTGTCCAGAGGGCTGTCATTAGACAAACAAAATATTCCACCATCTCCTCCAGCACTGAGGAAGAAGTGACTTCCATGTGTGTAGCACATTCATAGGTGCCTTATATAGAGCATTTACTTTAGTTCTCACAATTAGTCTCATTAATTAAGACTAGTTGCTATGACCCCCCAATATTAGTGGCTTAACATGTTGTTTATTTCTTGCTTACCCCGCAGATTGATGTGGATTAGGTGGCTCTACTCCAAGCTGTGAGTCAAGTCTCATCTTCCTCCTTTATTTATTTATTTATTTATTTATTTATTTTGCTTTGCCATATTGTGGCTTTCAGGTTGCTTTGGCATCACTCAACAGGTAGAAAGGGGAAGAGAGAGGGAGCATCAAGAAGGTACACCTTCTATTATAATATAATTTAAAATTCTTTTTTAAGACCTTACCACTTTCTTTATTCCTATTTGGAGGGAGAAATTAGTGTAAGTTAGGGTGTTTGAAGAGAGCTGCCAAATGAGGTGAGATTAGAGATGAGTCCTGAGGCATTGGAATTACTTGGAGATAGAAAAGAGAATTGAGGGATTTCAGTCAGGATGTGCTGGGGTGCCATGACCAATGCATAGAATTGTGGAAGTGCAAGATGTTTTTGGAGCATCATAGAACACTCTGTTGGTGGAAAGATTAACATTTATTGGGCTCCTACTCTGTGTTAGACACTGTGCAAAGCACTAGACCTAAACAAGTCTTGATAAAACAGTATTCTGCAAATGGGTTGTTTTTCATGTTTGATCCATTCTGTGCCCCAGATAGATGTGGATCATGTGGCCCATGTACCTTATACCCCCTGTTTCCAAACATAAAGGATTCTTTAACTGAAGATGTTATAACAATGACAACATGATTTGCTGAGAATGATTGTGTTGTGCTCACACTCTGGGATATTCTGTTATATACAGTGGTTGTAGAATAGGTGATGGTTCTGTCTTTTGTCCCTTTCTGTTAATGAGCTGGTGAGAACTCTTCACCCTTGTGGCCGAGCCAAGGTTTTGGTTCAGTCTGGATTCTCCTTTGAATGTCCCATACTACTTTGGTCACATAGGATGTGAGCTGTGATATTAATTGTTTCTTCTGGGTCAATTTTACTAATCACAGAAAATGTCTTAGTGTTTTTGTCTGTGTTTATTCAAAACATGGTTTATTTCTTAGTCCATTTTGTGCTGCTATAACAGAATGTATAATAGAATGGCACAGACTGGCTAGTTTATAGTGAACAGAAATTTATTGGCTTACAGTTCTGGAGGCTGAGAAGTCCAATATCAAGACGTCCATGGGTTTGGTATCTAATGAAGCCATTCTCTTCTCCCATGGTGATGCCTTGCATGCTGTGCTCTTTGGGGGAAGGAAGACTAGATGCTCACATGACGGAGGTAGAAGGGCCAAGAAAGTGAATCCACTTATGTAAGGCCTTTTTCTAATGGTATTAATTCATTCATGAGGGCTCTGCTCTCATAACTTACAGGCATAACTTGGAGATATTGCACATTCAATCCCAGACCACTGCAATAAAGCCAATATTACAATAAAGAGAGTTACACAAATTGTTACATTTCCCACTGCATATAAAAGTTATGTTTATACTATACTGTAGTATATTAAGTGTGAAATAAAATTATGTCTATGTCTAAAAACAATGTACATATATAATTAAAAATACTTTATTGCTGAAATGCTAATGATCATCTGAAGCTTCAGCAAGTCATAATCTTTTTGCTGGTGGAGAGTCTTGCCTGATGTTGATGTCTGCTGACTAATCAGGGTAGTGGTTGCTAAGGTTGGGGTTGCTGTGGCAATTTCTTAAAATAAGGCAACAGTAAAGTTTGCCACATCAATTGACTCTTCTTTTTATGAAAAATTTCTTGGTGGTATGCGGTGTTTGATAGCATTTTACCTATAGTAAAACTTCTTTCAAAATTGGAGTTAATCCTCTCAAATCCTGCCACTGCTTTATTAACTAAATTTATGCTATGTTCTAAATATTGTCTCTTCACTAGGAGTAGATTACATCTCAAGAAACTTCTTTCTTTGCTCATCCATAAGAAGCAACTCCTCATCCATTTAGTTTTGTCATGAGGTTGTAGCAATTCAGTCATGTCTTCAGGCTCCACATCTAATTCTAGTTTTCTTGCTATTTTTAACCACATCTGCAGTTACTTCCACCACTGAAGTTTTGAAACTCTCAAAGTCATCCATGAGGATTGGAATCAACTTCTTCCAAATTCCTGTTAATATTGATATTTTGACCACCTCCCATGAATCATGAATGTTCTTAATGATATCTAGAATGGTAATTGCTTTCTAAAAGGATTTCAATTTATTATGCCCAAATCCATCAGAGGAATCACTATCTATGGCAGCTACAGCCTTACAAAATGTATTTCTTAAATAATAAGACTTGAAAGTCAAAATTACTCCTTGATTCATGGGCTGCAGAATAGATGTTAGCAGTGTGAAAACATTAATCTCTTTCCACATCTCCATCAGAGCTTTTGACAACCAGGTGTATCATCAATGAGCAATAATATTTTGAAAGGAATATTTTTTTTCTGAGTGGTAGGTCTTAGCAGTGAGCTTAAAATACTCAGTAAAACATGCTATAAACAGATGTGCTGTCATCTAGGCTTTGATGTTACATTTACAGAGAATAGGCAGAATATATTTTGCATAATTTTTAAAGGCCCTAGAACTTTTAGAATGGTAAATGAGCATTGGCTTCAACTTAAAGTCACCAGCTATATTAGTCCCTAACAAGAGAGTCAGCCTGCCCTTTGAAACTTTGAAACCAGGCTTTGATTTCTCCTCTCTAGCTATGAAAGTCATAGATGGCATCTTCTTCAAATATAAGGCTGTTTTGTCTCCATTGAAGATCTGTTGTTAAGTGTAGCCACCTTCATCAATAATTTTAGCTAGATCTTCTGGATAACTTGCTGCACTTCTCCATCAGCACTTGCTGCTTCACCTTGAACTTGTATATTATGGAGATGGCCTCTTTCCTTAAACCTCATGAACCAACCTCTGCTAGCTTCCAACTTTTCTCCTGTAGTTTCCTCACCTCTCTTAGCCTTAATAGAATGAGATTGTTAGGGACTTGCTGTAGATTAGGCTTTGGCTTAAGGGAATGTTGTGTCTGGTTTCATTTTCTATCCAGACCACTCAAACTTCCTCCATATCAGAATAGGCTGTCTTGCTTTTTTGTCATTCATGTGTTCACTGAAGTAGCATTTTTAATTTCCTTTAAAAATTTTTCCTTTGCATTAACAACTTGCCTAACCGTTTGGCACAAGAGGCCTAGATTTTGGCCTATCTGGGCTTTTGACATGCTGTCCTCACTAAGCTTAATCATTTCTAGCTTTTGATTTAAAGTGAAAGATGTGTGACTCTTCCTTTCACTTGAACATTTAGAGGGCATTGTAGGGTTTGTAACTGGCCAGATTTTAATATTGTTGTATCTTGGGGAACAGGGAGCCCAGAGGAGAGGGAGAAAGATAGGGGAACAGCAGGTTGGTGAAGTAGTCAGAACACATACAAAACTTATTAGTTAAGTTTGCCATCTTATGGGGGTGCAATTTGTGACCCCCCCAAAACAACTACAATAGTAATATCAAAGATCACTGATCACAGATCACCACAGCAGATACAATAGTAATGAAAAATTGGAAATATTATGAGAAATTACTAAAGTGTGACACAGAGACATAAAGTGAGCACATACTACTGGAAAATTGGCACTGATAGATTTGTTTGATGCGGGTTTGTCCCAAACCTTCAATTTGTAAAAAAAAGAAAATAAAAAAGCAGTATCTGCAAAGCACAATAGAGTGAAGTGCCCCAACTCCCAACACTGCCCCACTGGGGATTAGGTTTCAACCTATGAGCTTTGGAGGGGAAACACTGAGCCACAGCAATCTCTATGTGCTAGGTTTTAAATCATATCTCTTCTATGGGACGCTTTGCTTCTTTCCAACATATTTAATATATTTTGCTTTTTAATTCTCTCTAGTGGAAAGCAGCTCTTTGGATCTGAAGTCTGGATAGGAAATGGATCCTTCATTGCCACAAAGATGGATATCATAAAACTTCTTATGGAGTACCATTAACTAGCCTGCTGGGTCAAAGTAGCTTCTGGTATTATTATTTCACTTTCTCTGAAATATCATGCAGGCTACATCATCTTGTGTAATTTTGACCACAACCCTGAGGATAGGTTTTTTTCCCATTTTACGGATGTAGAAGCTGAAGGTCAGAGAGGCCTTAGTAAGAGGCAAAACTGGGATTGGAATCCCAACCCTGAACTTTTGGATTTTCGAGACCTCACCAGGCTACCTTCAAATGTTATTGAGCAAACTCCAATTTAGAGGATTTGAGGAAGAAATAAAATCAGAGAAGATTGGATTATCATGGTTGTTGATGCAATGCTGTCATTTGCTCAAGGCTTTAGATTTCAGAGAAAATCATATTTGTGAAGCTATAAGAGATTGTACAATTCTTTCTCCTATGTCATTTTCCCAAGGGTATAAAGACCCCTCCAACCTGGGTCCTCATAATGACTCAGAAAGGGAAATAGCTTGCCCAGTGTGCCCTTTGAGTATGATTTATGAAACAGGATGTATCCAAATTTTCACCACGTTGGAGCGATTCAATTTTCTCTAATGGCCTTTATCTGAGAGTTATGTCTATTCGTGGCAGTCACAACCAGTAAGTCATTAGCTTAAAGTATGCTGATTGTTAATTTTAGCACCCTGGGCCCTGGGCCCAGTGGGAGAGGTCTCTCACTTTTGCAAATCGAAGCTAAGGAACATTTGAGCAGTTGGCAAACATTCACATTAGGAAAAGTTAGAAAGTAAGAAGGAATAATTTAAAAGTTAGAATAAGAAGCAGTAGAATTGTTGGAGCTGAGGAGGCAACAGGATAGCTTTTTTCTGGCTGCCTCCCAACTGCTAGGCGCTGTCCTCACCAGAAGAGAGGTGGAACCAGTCTTTAGATCAACACCTACTGTGTGCCAGGCACTTCACATATGTGAGCTCACTAATGTGCCTAGCATTCTTATTTTATCCTTATTATAGATCCCATTTTATAGATCAAAAACATAATGCTCAAGGTCACACAGCTATTAATGGATGGAGCTCACATTTGAACCTGGGCAGTTGACTCCTGAATCTCTATTCTTAACCAACAGAGCTCTGGATGAAGGTGGCTAAAAGGGCCAACCAGGCCTCCCTTGGAGCTACATTTTGCCTAAGATCTTGAGATCTGGGCACCAGATTCTCACTTTTGATCATTAAATAATTTTCAGCTCAGAGCTAGCTCCCAGAATGCCAGTAAGTGCAGCTTTCTTCTGTGGCTTAGGGCTGGGAGCTCCTCTGATGAGTAGCTGGTCAACCAGAGCCCCAGAGCCAGGAATGGCCCACCCTGAGACACAAGGTGAAGACAGCCATGGCTTTCCTGATTCCAGGAGCCTGAGCTTTCCTCTGAGATGGCCACACAAGCTCCTTCGGGGGTGCTGCTTGGACAAGCTGGAGCTCTCTAGAGGATGTGTATTCATATAAACCAGGTGCTGGCACACATGGGCATCAGTGAGGACACCTTGACACTGGGCTCCTCTCTCTCTGACCTCTGGGGACTCATGGGCACTTCTGAGTTAACCTGCCTGTCCCATTCCAGAGCTGAGCTGAGTCTGAACAGGAC
The DNA here is from genome assembly GCF_000001405.40 of Homo sapiens. Lineage (NCBI taxonomy): Eukaryota > Metazoa > Chordata > Mammalia > Primates > Hominidae > Homo > Homo sapiens. The sequence goes on from NC_000011.10 coordinate 15,140,286, forward strand.
TCATTAATTTCCCTGCCCACTCTTTATTTCCTCGTACTTGATAACCACAGCAAGGGAAAAAGTGCAAGCGTACTTGCGCTTTCCCAGTTTTACAGGTGGAGAACTAAGGCTCCATTGACTTCCTATGGTAAACCACTCTGAGGTGCTGGTGGGCCTGTTCACTCCAGCCAGGCAAAGCCTTATTTGGATTTCCCATGGTTGGAATGAGGAAGCCTGTGTGCATGTCCCAGGTGTAGCTTGGCTTGCTGTGTGACCTCAGTTGGTGTCTTATTCTTTTTTTTGATTTCTTTCTTTCTTCTTTTTTTTTTTTTTTCTTTTAGAGGTAGGGTCTTGCTCAGGCTGAAGTGCAGTGGCATAATCATAGCTCACTGTAACCTTAAATTCCTGGGTTCAGGCAGTCCCCCCACCTCAGCCTCCCCTGTAGCTGGGACTACAGGAATGTACCACCATGCCCCATCTAATTTTTCTTTTTCTTTTTTTGTAGAGATGGGGTCTTGCTATGTAGCCCAGGCTGGCCTCAAACTCCTGGCTTCAGGTGACCCTCTTGCCTCGGTCTCTCAAAGTGCTGGGATTGCAGGTGTGAGCCACTGCACACAGCCTCTGTTCTTCTTTTGAACTTGTCTCTCCATTGTCCATGTTAACCCGTCTGTGCTTCTGGCTCCTCATCTGAAAAATGGAGATAACAATAGTGAACTACCTCATGGGGTTATTTTGAGGACTAAATGTAAAGCATTTAGAACAGTGCCTTATACACAGTAAACACCTAAGAAGTGTTTCTCCCTGTCTGCCTCCTCTTCCTCCTCCTCATTATTATTATTACTACAAGGGGGTAATCTCTAAGGCCCCCCTACTAGTTCTCATACTCTGAGAGTATAATGTGAGCTCCTCCAAGAAGGCTGCCTGGACATTGCCCAGGAGCTGTAGTCTTAGCCCTGTCAAGTTGATGGACATATTTGTGTAGATGAGATTCCTATTGCCTTCTAGGTGAGGCCTAAAAGGTAGATGTATCCAATTAATCAGGTGGAGGCTTGGGACCTTGTCTGAGCTTTGTTGAAACTATTTTGGCTCCAGAATTGAGGGGCGGAACAAAGGTCTGGGTGGGGCCCGCTCTACCTGATGCAAGTCGTTCTGGGCTATCCAGCCAGGGTCTCAGGTCCTGGAGAGGATTCAGCCCTGCTCTGTGAGTCCTGAGGTCTGTTCTGCCTACTTGTTGGGCTCTGACACCTGACAGCTGTGAGGGGCTATTGGGGCTTCCTCCAGGGAGCTAGAGCTGTCTATATTTCATGAGGCTCAGTTCATTCAGCAGGGCTGAGTGGCAGCTTGCTTGGTTTCTTGTGCCTCCCCTGGGAACGAGGGGTGTTAAAGTATCTGATTGCTGCAGGATGCCAGCCACCACAGCTAGCAATAGCTCCAATGACTATTGCCACCCTTGCACAGGTCACATAGAGGTCCAGAGTAGGGTGGGGAGGGATATATGTTGTGATTACCTCCTAGAGCTCTTTGCAGTCCTTCTTTCCACTCCTGGGTTCCTACCTCTCCACCCCTAGGGCTTTAGTGCTCTGACTGAAAGCTTGCACCTGCCTCTTAAATTAATCCTTGTTGCTGGTCTTACTTTCTGGAGTTCATCCACTCCACTGGTTACCATGAGGACTGAAATTCCACTCTGATCATTTCACTCCCCTGCTCAAACACCTTTGATGGCTCCCTATCACCAACAGGACAGAGACTAAATAATCAGTTCCTTTCACAGTCAGGGCTATAGAAGCACCTTCCCTCCAGCCTCCTGAGAGAGATCTGGGTCCCTGAATACTTGCTCCATTTTCTGGTTTCCTCGCTATGGCTCACACTGCTCTTGGCACTGAATGCCCTTGTCCCATCTTCCCCTGGCAAAATCCCTCCCTCCATTTGAGGGCCAGCTCAGGTGTCACCTTCTCTAAGGTGAAGAAGTCTTCTGTATTTCCCTAGCTGAAAGTGACCACTCCTTTTTCTGCATTCCCGTGCTACTGAGATAGTTTCCTATAAACTCCACCACCAGGCCAGAGTGCTCCAGCCTTCTTGAAACACTTGCAGTTCCCTAATCTCACCATGCTCATGATTCTGTGTCAAATGCTCTTCCTTGTGCCCTGCACGCTCTTCCTTTTAGCCTCCTTTCCATCCTCTGCTTTTTCTACATTATTCTTTCAAGTTTCAGTGTTGCAGTGATGCCCTGAGAAACTTCCCATGACCCCTTCTCACCACCTTCCATTCTGATCTGGTACTGCTTAGAAGCTTGTTTGTCCCGCTTCGGGGGAGGGTGACATTCCCTTGGTTACCTGTCATTGCAGTTTTTGCACAGCAGTGTGACTGTCCACTGATCCGTCTGTCTGTCCTATGGGAGAACTTGATGAACACAGAGCTGGGAGTGGAGAGGGAGGCTGCCTAGCTGGGTACGACCACGCAGTGAGGACTGCAAGAACTCAGGAGGGACATGCAGCTTTGTCTCAGTGGATATTAGGATGCAGAGCACTTTCTTTTTTTTTTTGTTTTTTTGTATATATATTTTTATTATACTTTAAGTTCTAGCGTACATGTGCACAAAGGTTTGTTACATATGTATACATGTGCCATGTTGGTGTAGAGCGCTTTCAACGCACAGTGCATATGGTATGCAAAGGCTCCTCCTTCCCACCGTGAGTATTCATCTTACTGAATACTCATCACGGCATGCTGAAATAGTTACCATTGTCTCCAGTTTATCTGTGAGGAAGCTGAGCTTCCTTCCACAAGAACCCATCCAGTCAGTGAGCAAGTGTCTATTGATATTATGCACAAGCCTATGTCAGGCACGGGGGGTATGGCAGTGAGTGGCACATTCCTCTAGTCCCTGCTCCCCACCTTCGGGGGAGAAAGACATTAAGCTCTTATTAAGCCCCTAATGTTACAGTTAATTATTTAATTACAATTGTGATAAAGTCTATGGAGGAGAAATACCGAGGGGACTAGGGAATCTTATAATGAAGGACATGACTGAATCCATGGGTCAGGGAAGCTGCCCTGAGGAAGTGGCATTTGTTCTGAGCTCTCACCAAGGAATAACTTGGTGAGAGGAGACAGAGGAGAGGTTGTTGGGGTCAGAGGAAGGAGTACTATGAAGGTGTTTGGCAGGGGGAGGCGTGGCTTGCTGCAGGGATGAACAGCAGCTGGCGTGGCTGCAAGGCTGAAGGACAAGAAGGGTGGTCAGACAGGGACAAGATCCATGTGAGGCAAGTAGGCCATGGCAGGGTTTGGTCTTTGTCTTAGTAGCAACAGGAAGCCATTGAAGGATTTTAAACAGTGAGTTGATGTGATTAGATTTGTGCTTGAGATCACCCTGGTGGTTGTGTGGGGAACAATTTAGAGAGGGGCATGGCTGGAAAGGGGCAAGTGATGAAAGGAAGCCCTTGCAGAGGTCCAAGTGAGAGATGCCAATGCCTTTGACCAGGGAGGCAGTCATGAATGAAAAAAATATGATGAGGGAAAGGGATGTATCCAGGATAAGTCTCAGGCAAGACATCCAGATCTAGCCTCTGGGCTCTAAATCCTGTGCATTTTGCATAGACTGGGGAAGTCAAATTGAAAAAAAGCCTACAATGTAGTCCCATTTTAAGGTGTAATCTGCATGCCAGGTACAGAGGAACTTGATTCTTCTGCAGGTACCACAAGGCCTCAGAAAGAAATCTCCTTTCAGTCTCAAGCTCCTAGTCCTGTGCACCTGATTGGTGAATCCTAGATCATGTGCTTCTGCTCTGTGTGCCTGATTGGTGGCACCTAAGTCATGTGTTTTACTCTTGCTGCAAAGGATTCTGGGAAACAAGTGCCTGGCTTTTTAAGTTTCTATGTTGGGAGGCAGGTTTCCACTTCACTAAGACTCTTAAGCAAAGGGATATTTCTCAAATGTAGGAAATGGGTTCATATGTTAGAGGCCAGAAAGAAAGATGAATGTTTACCCATGGATTATCTTGGTGCTCACAACAATCTTGTGAGGTTGTCTATTTTTGCCCCATTTTACTGATGGGAAACAGATATGGAAACACTGGAAAAGGCCTGATTTCTTCCCCAGTAAAGCAGTGCTCTCTAAGGGCCTTTTCAGCTCCAAATGTAGAGATTCATAATGATGGGCTGACAGGACAGCTCTGTTGCTTCCAGCTCTTGCACTTTCTGAAGTCTTTGAGAAAGAGCCATATCTGTCTGGTGCTGTCCAACTCCTCTTCAACTCCCAGCAGCCTCCTCCCTGTTCCTAGAGCTGCCGCCAAAGCTTGACTACTTTCCACAATACTTACTGTCCCCTGTCCCTTCCATGTTGACAGCCCTAATATTGACAGCCCTAATGGGATTGCAGATTAAGCAATCCCAGACATGCTTGGAGCTGTACCTGGATTGGCCCATTAGACAATGGCAGAAACCACCTTTGCTCCTGATTTTAATTGAATAATTTACTGTAAATAGCCTCCATTTCCTCCACAAACCCTGTGTCGTTAGCCAAATGGAGGTGAGCAAAGGCTGCTTCTAATGGGATGTGGGCGCAGAGATGAGCTGTCCAAACGGAGCTGTTGTCACAGCAAACATTGAATTAAATCAGAGACACTTAAGACTTCAAGTCTTTCTTGTAAACTAGTCACTTCTGGTGGGAGCTACATAGCCCAGAGCCCTGAAGAAACAAGGCTGCAGGATCCATGGTGGGATTTTCAGTGAATTAGGAAAGGCCCTGGGATAGGTGATGGAGGGATTTCTTCTTCCCTGCTCACTCCTACATGTGTCCTTTTCACCTCTCTTCCTGGGAAAAGCAGCAACTCTGCTCTGAGATGTATTTCTTAACTCTTCCTTCCAACAGGAAGGGTACTTCTTCTTGGAGACTGCTATATACCAAGCACAATATCTGGGACTTTTGCAAGTAATCTCATTTAATCCTCATGATGCTCCTGGGAAGTAGGTATAATTGAGGAAACCACATTTTCCGTGGGTTGGCAATTTTCCCAAGGTTATGTACTTATCAGGTCAGGATCTGTACAAGTCAGGGTTTGAATTTATCAGATTCCAAAGTTCATGTTCTTTTTGCAACACCAGTGAGGACACAGCACAGGACCAAGGGCTTGTCTTGAACTCAGTTTTGGTTTCCTAACATTCTGTGTAGCTTTGGAAGGGGTTTATTCTTCAAGTCTGCTCAACAGGATGAGTCTGACTTAGGGCTATGGGAGTCGGTGGGTGCAAGGGCTTCAGACTGAAGATGGAACTTTGCAGTAGGAGCTTCCCTGAGGATAGCATGCTTTAAACAGGTCTCTTTGCAGCTTTAACTGGGACTATGATCTCCCCTCCCCTGATCCCTTTAGGGCCTATCTCTGTCCATATGACTTTCACAAAACTGCCAATAAATGAGGAACAAAAGAGAAATGTCCCCATTGTCAAGCCACCCTTCCTCATTCCATATGACTGCAGTGTTTGCTTTTCTTCCTGAGGGCTGTGTCACTGAGGGCTGGCACTAGGTGAAGCTGGAAGATTTACAGTCAAGGAAGTGGGAGCAGTAGGCAGTGCTGGTGAGAGGGAAGAGTGCTGGGCTGTCTGAGAAGGGCCTCCTGGGGTTGGGTGTTGCCATTCGGGAATGGAGTCAGGGTGTCTGTTAGCAAAGGCTGAACACAGGCTCTTATCTTCATCTGCTCCAGCACCTCCCCTTCAATCATCAAACCTGGATTCTAGTCCTCTGCCACCTACTAACCAGTGCTTCCCACTGAATTTAAGAGGTCTCATCTGTAACAGAGGATGATGATGGCATTAAACGAACTAATACTATATGAAGCATTTAGAACAGTGCCTGGCACATAACACATGCTCAGTAAATATTAGCTGTAATTATTATTGTTACAGACACTTTCTAAACATCAGGTGGGCTAAACAAGTATTTCCTATCTCGCCTTCCAGATATTCTTCCTCATCCCTAGTGAAAATGAGCTGTGATTCCTCTGAGAGGTAATCTGATTCACAACCCAGACTCTTGACCATGCAGGTCTTTGGGTCAGGACTGTTCCTAATCCCACATTCAGCAAGATTTGGCTTTAGACATTAAGGAATCTTATCCTTTTGGGGCAAAGAGGCAGCCAATAATGACATAGTCTGTGAATAGGGCAGTGATGCATATGCAATCAGATGTCCTTAGGGTGCCTCCCCAGCCTCTGGGAACACAAGAGATCACATGAAGCAAGGTTTTGTGAGCTGGCAGCTCCCCCTGCATAACTGCTGGGAAGCTATGGGTCAAAAAGATGAATGATGGCACCTCACTGGGGTGCTTTAAAAAATCAAGATATATTAGGCTTATTGCAGTTTCCTCAGCTAACAGCCCAGAGGCTCCTGAAGGAAAAGAAGTCGATTGTTTTGCCTTGTTCCTGCTGTGTTCTAGCTGGCTTCTTGTGCTCACTGCTTCTTTCTGAAGGGTTCACAGGTCGGTGATCCAGAATAGGCTATTGAATGTACAGTCACAGAGCTGTATTTCCGGAATCTGCCTCTTAGAAATTCAGAACAATTTCTTGCATTCAGGCTTCTGCTTATGACAACTCTTTTTTTTTCTCTCTGGATCCCTCAGAGATGACTTGAATCAGAGTCAGAGTTTCCTCTAATACTCTATGGTATGCATGCTTCACCTCATCCTACAGTTTCCTCTTGGTTCAAACTTCAAATGGCCCTGGAATTTTCTTAGTATTTTCCTGTCTCCTCTCCTACCTTAGACTCTAATCCCCACTTCAATATTTTTACTTTGCCTCTTTTCTTCTCAATGATGAAGATGTTGAAGTAAAACAAAATCTACTTGCTCCCTGCCATCTAATCACATCTTAGTTTTACCCTGAGAAGTTGGTGTTTTCCTTTTTTGTACTTTAGTCAAACATATCAAAAGGGAGCAAACGCCTCATTTTATTGTTCCTAGTTTTTCTTTTGCGCCATCCCTTTCAGCCTACTGGCTCACCAGATTCCAAAAATATACCTTCTCAATAATGACAGTAATGATGGAAATAACGATGGTGATAACATGCTTGTTGAGCCTCTCGCTGTGCTAAGTGTGTGACCTGCTGTATCTCATTTTCTGCATCTCCCTTAGCATAGCTGACCAGAGAGCTGAGCACATAGCAGACTCATAGGACATAACAATAATAACAGCTAACTATTTATTTAGCTCTTACGTTGGCCATATTCTTCCACGTTCCTAATCTCATGTCATCCTTATACTAGCTCTTTAAAATAGATATTATTATCCTCAGTTACAGATGAAGAGATGGGGCTCAACATCAATGTGTTAAAAATTTATCCCTCTTATTCTTTCAACAGACGTGTAGAGTGCAGGCTATGTGCCTGGCCCTTGGCTCAGTTCCAGAAACACATGTGGTGTCTACCCTCAAGAAGCTCACAGTCTAGTAAGCTCCACAGACCAAGAAACAGGCAACGGCAGCAAGTCTCTGGAATTATCTAGCACCCTAGTTTATTCTGGGCTCCTGCCTCCCCACACTTTTCAGACTGACCATTTTCTTCTTTCTTCCCAGCATTATGAGGAGTGCTTTGTGTTCACCCACATCACTATTAAAGTGCTCCTCCTCCATTCTTTTCTATAGGGCTCCCGTGTAATCATGGAGTAAGACTCTTCTGTTGATGTGCCCAGGCAAAGGTGACAGAATCTGCATATTCCTCAGGGAGGGCTTATTCATGGGCTTGGGGGAGTTGGCAGAGAGAGAGAAATGAAAAAGAGAGATTGTGTACAAAAAGGCCTCCAGGAGCACAGCAGGGACAAGGCGAGGGAGAAAAATACAAACAGGTGGGTAGCTGGTTTGGGTTTAAATGTGAGGCACAGGGAAGCCAGTTGCATCCTCAGTGCTGGGATTGGGAGTCCCTGGAACCTGGGTTACTCTTATTCATTAGGATGCTTTTGGCTGTGTAGAATAAAAACCCTCACTCAGACTGACTTAAACGACAAGAGCTTTTATTTTCTTAGATAATAGGAAGCCTAGAGCTGGGCCAGACTCCAGCATTAGTTGATTCAGTGGCTTAGTGATCAAGGACCCAGCATTTTTTTCTTGGTATGCTAACTTTGTTCTCCAGCTAGTGCTGCTCGTGATTGCAAGATGGTCTGTAGCAACAGTGAGGTGAATATGCTCCCTTGTTCGGGTCCAACAGGAGACATACTGCCTCATCTTGCAACTCTCTGTTGGGAGAAAGAACGCTTTTCCTAGAAGCAATCCTGTCATGGCTCATTGGCCTAAATTGAGCCACATGCCTATTTCTGAACCAATCACTGGCAATTTGGGTGCAATTACATCATCTGAAGTGGAATGGATTTGGGAAAGCAACCACTATGCCGATAACAGGGTCACATTTTCCAGGACACACTTAAGCATAATCACAGTGAATAAGCGAGTTCTACAGTGGTAACAGCCAGGGAATTAGAATGTAGAATTGCCAGTTTTAGCAAGTAATACAGGATGCCCAGTTAAATGTGAATCTCAGATAAACCATAGATACTTTTTAGTACAAGTATGTCCTGTGCAATACGTATGGGCTGTGTGTCCCAATATTTGATACATACCAAAATAAGTCAGGCAAATATTTGGCAATTGGAATAAGAAAATATTTTAGAGATATAAAGTGGGCTAGGGACTTAGAAACAAGATCAAATCTGGGTTCTGCCTTACTTGTGTGAGGATACTGGAGTGTAAACTGGTTCAACAGAAGAAGAGGGCTAAGAAGTCTTACCTCTTTGTCTGCTTTGGTTCCTTGTGGCCTGGGACTGGGAGAGAAAGTGATTGTGCCTCCTCTTTTAGGATCTCGTTGTGCCATCCTGCCCTCTATTTTCAGGGTCACGACCGCTGCAAGCAGGCTTTGCTGCAGATTGGGATCAACATGATGGCACTGCCTGGAGGTCGCCACCTGGACTCCGTCACCCTGCCGGGTCAGCGGTAAGTCCTACAGCTGTCACTCCAGGCCAGGCCTGCCCCATCTGAACCGTGACTGAGGCCCAGTTCCAGCATCCTGAGGCTGCAGGTGACCCCATCTTCCCACGCAATTTTCTGGGGAGGATGCCGAGCATAAGGTATTGGGGATGTCATGTTCACTCAGCAAATATTAATGGAACTGGGCCCTGGGACACTGAAGAATCAGGCATATCCCAGTCCCTAATGAGCTGAAGTCTAATGCTGAGGCTGACCATGAAACAAAGAATCGAATGGGTGTGCTAGTAACATAGAAGATGTCATAGAAGGTGACAACCTAGAAGGTGTCATTCTACCCTTGGATGTCTTCTCTTTTGCCCAGAGCATCAAGGAGAAAACTGAGCATAGAGCTGATCCTTGGGAAGTACTTGTTGTCCTGAGTTGGGCAATGAGGGAGGGTGGGAAAGGCACATACTGAGAAGAAGGGGAAGCCCGGATAACGAGGGGAGAGGGGCTGGAGAACATCCTGTCTGAAGAAGGAGACACTTGGGGCCACCAGAGGTGCCTCCACACAGCTGGAAGATGTGGTAAGGCAGGTACAGGTTTGATGTGGCTGGTCCTGGAGCCTGAACCCTCTCTCTCTCCCACTTGCAACCTCTTCAGAAGTCTTAAGGTCACAAGAAATTAAATTACATGAAAACGATTTAGGAATCAAATTATTAGGAGGCAAGGCATGATTTCTAACTGATCTTGCACAGCAAATCAATTGGGAGGAAGACTCCAGACTGACTTAACATCAGGAATTATGGCTGGCCATAAAAGATGTAGCTTGTGAAATCTTTTTTTCACAATGTCTTCATCCTCACAGTTCTGATAGGGTGAGGTGAGCAACAGAGAGAGGGTGGTATTTCCTTTAATACGTTCAAAGCCTAGCATTGCCAGGCCTAGCCAGAACACTGAGGGAATAGAATCCCTGGATCTAGCAGCCTGTTAATTGTGTATGTACTAGGGGCTTATGCATGGTCCACATACACAGAGAAGGCGCATGTGTAGTTACAGGATGTCAGAAGTGTTAATTTGCCTATGATGCAATCTGAAGCAGCATGATAGGCAGATAGTAGCAGCCATGTCTTCTTTCCTCCTGTTCCAAGCTGCCAAGGCCTCTCTTGTGGGGAATAACACCATGGTTATTGTCTCCAGATAAATAATTCATGCTGGATAATTGACTTCTTTCTGTTGTGTTCCACTGAAACTGAATTTCATTTTGCAGTGCCATTGTTCACCTCAGTGCACAAAAATAAATAAACAAGTACTGCCATGTTGCATGGAAGCATCCAGCAGCCTGGGTAAATCATATGGGTGAGGCCATTGGTATTTGAGACCCTTGTGAATAAATAGCAGCACAAAGGGCTGTTCTAGGTGCAGATTCCTAGGCGAGAGTAGAGGTCAGGAGCAACAGCCTCCTAGGCCAGGGGTTGGGATCCCTTGCTGAACTGGCATGATTGACAGGAAGTGGTCTGACAGGGTGTGGTGGTTCTCAGCTCTGTATCTGAGTCTCCTGGGATGCTTTCATATTTAAAAACAATAAAATAAGCAAAAGAACAAAACTCTACTCTTGGAATCTCTTATGTGGGGCTAAGTGGTTGAAAGCATGTAGACCTTGGAATCAGACTTGGGTTCAAAGCCCAGTTCACTTCCTACCAGCTCTGTGACCTTGAGTGGCTGTTTAAGCTGTCTATGCACCTGTTTTTTCTTCAACATAGTGGCAGTGACAGCTGCTTTAAAGGGTAGTAGAAGTGCTTGGGTCCAGGAGAGAAGGTCTCTCTAGAGCCTGAGGGTGCTTTGCAGTACACAAGCTTCACTTTCCCAGGTCATAGAAATCAGTGGTCCCAACTCCTGGTCCTTAGCCTGTTAGGAACTGGGCCCCCACACAGCAGGAGGTGAGTGGCCGGCAAGAGCAAGCATTACTGCCTGAGCTCCGTCTCCTGTCAGATCAGAGGCGGCAGTAGATTCTCATAGGAGCGCGAACCCTACTGTGAACTGCTTGCGTGAGGGATTTAGGTTGTATGTTCCTTATGGGAATGTAATACCCACCACCCACAGCCTCCCTGCATGGAAAAATTGTCTTCCACTAAACCAGTCCCTGGTGCCAAAGGTCCCTGGTGCCAACAAGGTTAGGGACTGCTGGTATAAATAACAGTAATAATCTCTCTCCCTCCCACCAGGTAGTGAAAACGATACAATCTCTGGTCTGAGTACCTCCCTGGGGGGTGGTCAAAGATTTACTGGTGGAAGTGAAGGGGGTCAGAGACGAGCTTCCTGGATAGCAGGAGACTGTGGCTGCTATGTCCCTGGCTGGTCTTCATTTGCTCCTCTGGCCTCCTATCTTTCCATCTGGGATGCTGATCTTCTTGTTGGTTCTGGGCATGGTGGTGGTGCTGCTGGAACATAGCCATGGTGGTCAGCATGTCGGGCCCAGGCTTTACACTCCCAGGGTTGTGCCCTCCACCATCACAGCCTGGCCTTCATATTCTGCCAAGATCCAGATGACCTAGTCCTTTGGTTTAACTTTCTTTATGGGAAGGCTTCTGGGGTGTAAGCTGGAGCCCAGGGTCCACACAGGGCTGGGTCCAGATGTCCCCTTCCTTCCCCACTTCCTTCTATAACTTACCTAGCCCACAAATCATCTATGGCATTTAGAATTTTTCTCTCCGAATCCCTGCCAGTGAAGAGTCAGGGTGGCAATACTGATTAATAGGCAGGCCTTTGCAAACCCCCACAACAAAGTTGGCTTATGGTTTCAAGTACTTGTTATGGGATGGATACTCCACACAGCTATTCATTTAGTCTTCACTATGACCCATGTGTATAATTATTATTATCTATATTTTGCAAACAAGAGGTCATAGGTTGAGTTATATGGGAACAGCCTTTTAGGTGGGGTTTAGAGTTCAGAGTGGTTTTTAGTGACCATCTTTAGGATCAATGCCTGTGGAAGGGGGAGGAAGGAAGCAGGACTGGCTGGAAGGTGAAGTTGAGCTGCAAAACCTGGCTCAGTGATGTCAACTGATCTTGTAGGAAGATTTGGAATCAGTGTTGTTGTCCATTGGCCAAAATGTCCAGGGCCTTCATGTCCCACCTTGATCTGTCATTGGAGTGTGTTAGAAAATATTTTAAACAGGGAAGCCATTAGGCTGGGGCTGCTCCAACACTTTAGGTTTCTACATAGCAAACTGAAGCCCAACATCAACAGTAAAATGAAACTAGAAACTTTACTGATCAGAAGTCAACTAACCTTTAACTAGGATCTTTCCCCTTTAATCATTATATGCATTTTCCTTGTTTTCCTTTTGTGTTCAGCCCATAAAAGCTTGTCGTCCATGCTGCTTCAGAGGAACTCTCCAGCCTCTTCTGGCTCTGAGTGCTGCCTGATTCATGAATTGTTTTTTGCTTAAATAAACTCTGTTAAATTTATTTTGTCTAAAACTTTTAGACATCTTTAGGAAGGATGTGTTCTTAGGTGAGGTGGCTCTGAGAACATCTGGAGGGCCTGAAAGCTGAAGGCTGTTGGCTAATGATACTCCCAGCAGCTGGGACAATAAATCCTGCCAAAAAGAGGAATCTCGGTACCACATCACAATGTCTATCTCATGAGAGAACTGAGCCTTGAGGAGGTGAAGTTACTTGCTCAAGAACAGAGCTGACAGGTAGAGAGCTAGGATACGTGTTTCTATATGGTGCTTAAACCTGAGTGCTGGGTAGTACTCTAACCAGTCTCTGTCTTTTCCATAAACAAATCATTTACTCATTTATGCAGGTAGTTGTTTATTCATTAGCTTTCAACAAAGTTCTTCTATAAATATTTATGGAGTGCGGGCCATCTGCCTTGTATGGTGCCGTGTACTTGAGGACATGTTGGTGACCTAGTTGGTGACCTAGTTTCCTGCCCTCATGGAACTCAGTTATTATTCAGTAACTTCTCTTTTGGCCTGATCAGGCCTGGATTTGTAGCAAGTATACAGTTTGGGGCTTTCATCTGTGACTTCTCCCTGTGAGTGAAACACTTTTTCACATGGTTTCCATTCAGCTTGGAGTATGAGATGAGCCTGGACTGGATGCAGCTGCAGCTTGTGGCAGGCAACCTCCTGGTTGCCCATGGCTAGCTGGGGAGATAACCAGCTTCCCTGAGCCAGTGGGGGCCATTGCAGGCCAGCTTGTCTCCATGTAGATAATGGCTTGCATATGTGCACCTCTGTTCTGTGGCCAGTTTTCTGCTGCTGGGACATTTTCTATGCTTGTGGTGAGATGTGCAGACTGTAATTGTGAATGGGATAATTGGATATTTTTCTGTTGTTTAAGCTGAAAAGAAGGCCAATCAAAGCTAGACTTGAATTCCATCCTTTCTCCCATTTCCAAAGAGAAATCCACAGAAACATAGGGTGTGACCCTGAGAAGGCAGAGGGACAATGATTCAATAGTTATTTTTAAGAAGAGAGGCTGGATTTATACTTTTGTACAGTGCTGGGAACCGAGTTCATAGAGGCATTGGATATTGTTGCTAGAGTTTCCCCAGAGTTCATCTATGCCATCCCTTCATTATAAGATGGGGAAACTGAGGCCCGGAGAGGGGAATGTAACTGTCACAATACTCTTCAGGCTGCTTTCCCACCTTTTGGAGTCTTGCCTCCCCTGGGTTGTGTTTCTTAAATTAATGCTGTCACTCAGCCTTCAGTAAATCTTAGAAGCTCTGTGTCCCCACTTTAGTGGAGTTCTCACATAGCAATTATTTGTAATAGAGAAATCAATTTCATTCATTCATTTGAATGAGATTTACTTTGGACCAAGAACTTACTTTGAGCCAAGCCTGGGGTAGGCCAATAACAATTTATGTATATGTCATCTTTTCTGCTCAAGGATAAATGTTCTAAGGGCCTAAGGGCTAAATTCATATTTGGTTCATATTTATGCTCCTGACTATGATAAAATGCACACAGTAGGATCTCAATAAGTGATTGTTGAGTAAATAAATGTTTAATAGCTGTTTGATAAATGAATGATGAACTCTTGGCTAGGGAGTTTCAGGTGATGGTGAGAAATTAAATTAAGTAGCTTGGATTGTGTTTTATTCTCTAAGACACTCTTCTGTCTCCAGCAAGCTATTCTCATTTTTTTAGTATAAAATTGCTGTTTGGAGGGAAAGGGTAAGCCAGAGATTTATCCTGATTAATTTAAATACGCCCTTTGAGTGGGAGCCAAAGATTTAATTGGTTGAAGGAGTCAGAGAGTTGAAGAGGCTTTGTTTCCTTCTAATGAAGAATAATTAAGAAGTATTTTTAGTCTTTGCAGTTAAGTTCACTGGAAAAAAGTTTGCAATCTCATCATCAAATCCCCTGCAGGAGAGCACAGTGCAGTGGGGAGCATGGATTAGGAGCCAGGGGCCAGACTTCCACTGATATTCTGTGTGTTCTTGGACAATTTTTCTCTCTCTCTGAGCCTTAGTTTCTTCATCTGAGGATGAGGAGGTAGACAAAAGTATCCCCAGGGACCCTTCCAGCTTTAACATTCTAAGTCTGTGAATAAGTTTTGAATGCTTTTGTCCCTTTTTTTTTGGACAAAAATAACCCATGTTAGTGCCACAGGGATAGGAAAGCAAACCCATTGACTAAAACAAGTTCTTCCCATTCTTTCCTGTGAAATGTGCAAAGGGGTCTTGTGTTTGCCTTGTGGCTGGGATGGACATTTCAAGGCATAGTAGTTTGGGAGTCCTCTTAGGATCTAAAATGTGCCCTGTTCAGGTTTTATAGAAGCCCCTTGGTATAGCCAGGAGAAGTATTCTATGGTGGGGTTGTGGGGTGGCCTAGGGTGCCCTGCCTTGATGGAATATAATGCAGATAAACACATGGATCCTAGCATTCTAACATTCTGCAAAATTTGAGCCAGTCATTTTCAACTTTACCTCCACCCCTCTGGCTACACTTAGCAACTTGCCATTTTCCCAACACATGAGTCCATGGTTCTACTCCTTTGCACATGGTGTTTCTTCTGTTTGAAACTCTATCCTCTTCCAATACTAACTCTTTTCCTGGGAAACTTGAGGGCATCCTTTAAAGACTAGCCTGGAAAACCTACTGAGATATTCTGGCTTGGGTTACATATCTCTTCTCTGTGCTCTGCTAACCCTCTGTGTTAACTTCAAAATGCCATTTGCAGCACAGTGATCCATAATGGTTTGTTTACAATTATTTAGTAAATCTTTATAGAGTGCCTATGAAGTACTGGGTGCTGTTGTAGGTAGAGGGAGTATGTCACTGTGCAATAAACGATCCTGCCCTCATGCGGACCATATTCTCACATCTCTCCTCCGTAATCCTAGCACACAGGCCCAGTGCCTGGCCCATTTGGGGTGCTTAGTACGTTTTGGAGGTCACTTCCAAGTGTTTCAGGTATAGTAAATTGTTCCTTTACAGAGAACTCCCCACTTCACACAGAAGGTAGACTAAAGTAAGGCAGAGAAATCCAAATTCCAGAATTTGAAGACTTTTAAAGTTCCATTCTAAATGAAAAGAAATTAAAATGAGCCAAGAAAAGAATAGGCATAGATTTCCACAAACTATTCACCCTAGAGTTTTGGGGACACTGGACACCAGATCAGCAGGATAAGCTGGGAATAAGGAACTGGTACCAGTAGATGGAGGCCAGGTACAGATCTTCTGAGCTGGGAAAATTGTTCTCTTTGGCCTCTGAGGGGTCAGGCACAGTGACCTTCTCCAAGTGGTAGGCTTTGGGGAATGAAGGAGGCGGTCCACAAGGCAAGGGCAGAGGCAGGGCAAGGCCACTGAGGGAATGAGGAGACCTCTAGGCAGTCAGGGTCCCATGAGGATATCTCCCCACTGTATCACTACTTACATGGTCTTCTGGGCTTCCCTGCTGCTGCTACAAATCCATCAGAGGTCTGTGATGTTGAGGCCAGGGTCAGAAGTTCTGTCCTGAATGTTGAAAACATGCACCCCAATTTTCCTCAGAAAGAAACCAGACAAGGGTTTGAAAAAAGACCAGACACTCCATCGTCTTTATATGATCATAAACTATAAAAAGGCAACTGTATGTCACCTAAGGGCAGTCTTGCATAGCAGAAAGAGCTCCAGCTTTGGATTTGAGGGTTTCAGTATTAGCTAAATTGCTGAAAACCATCAAAGAGCACAGCATAATAATTAAGAACAAGGCTCTGGTCTCACATTGCCTGGATTTTTGTTTCCACTTATTCATTGTGTGATGTTGGCCAAGTCACCCAGCCTACCAAATCTCAGTTCTGGGAATCTCATAGGATTGTTTTGAGGGTTAATTAAGCCATTAAGATTGAATCAAGCATTTAGCACACTGCCGAGAATGTAATAAGTACCCAATCAATTTTAGCTTTATTGCCACTATTAACAATGAGGTCTTAGACAAGTTATGTAATGCCGCTAGGCCTCAGTTTCTCCATCTGTAGAATGGGGATGGCAATCTCCAATCATCAAACCACAGTGAGGCCTGGAGCAGAAGGTTCTTGGTACATCGAAGATGCACTATAGGTGGCAATCCTCCCTTTTTGTTATGTGGGTTAATTCCTTCTGACTTTGGAATACCCCTGAGGAAATATAGTAGGAAGAACACTGTTTCATACTGCAATTTCTTGGTATGAGACTTTGCTACTCCCTTCTCCCACCCCAATTCCACCCTGGATAATTCCAGCTTAGAAAAAACTTACCTGGCCTATAACCTGGTATGTGGAGATGATTGTAGTTGCATTTTGCTTTGTGTTTGAGTCTGCCAGACTTCAGAAAGCCCAAATTTTAGGACTTGGTCCCCTCATTCCAGATGTTCAGGACAGCCTCCATCAGAATGCAATGAAAAGGGCTACTTGAGGAATAGGCAACTTCTGGGAACTGGGTAGGACTCCTGGGAGCCACGTTCACTGTCTTGGATGCCCTTCTTGCTCTCCAGGCAAGGGGACAATCTTAATAGCATCAACTTCAGATTTCAGTTCACTGTGGAGACTAAGGAAATCAAACCCAAGTCCTGGCCCCTGGCCTCTCCAGCTCCTTGGCCAGGGACCTTACAAGCTCCTGACTCTGGTGGTTTTCCACCATGAAGGGAATGTGACTCATTGCCAGTCCATCTGCCTTTACCTCAATTTTCAATTCCCGTCCTCTGTGTGAGTAATAGGATCAGTTGTTCGTACTTGCAAAGGAAGGATTTCATGCATGGTGAGATGGCAGCTCGAAGTTTATGGCTGAGGACAATTGACCCACTGGGAGTTGGAAGGGGCAGGGGCAGCAGGCAGCCCCCACCACACAGCCAGAACTGCTCTGTGTAATCAGACTTTTCATAGTGGGGTCAAGCAGCAAATCCAGTAGGAGAGGTGGAGCCCAGAGAGTCAGCGAGCTAATGACAGAGAGTCAGGCAAGCTATGCAATTATGGGATGTTCAGCACTAACACAGTCCAAACCTTAATGAGCCACAGTCCCTAGACTCCCAAAATTGAGAAGGGCACTTATTATGTGGCGGCACCGTGACTGTGGCTGGTATTAGATGGGCTTGTGGTGGGGCCATGTGGGATTCACCAGGTCCAGTCTCCTTCCTGAGAAAGCTGGGGCCCCCTTCGATGGGCCCCTCTGCAAGGCCTGACCCCCACTTCTGCTGTGGCCCTGTGCTCTCCACTTGTCAGAGGCCACACCCTGTAATCAAACCAAATGAAAACAGTTCCTCCCTGGATGTGTTTCCTATCTCAGCGAGGGCAGCAGCTTCAGGAGAAACCAGGGGAGTCAACTTCGATTCTTTCCTTTTCTTCACACTCATATCCTATCCTGTCCCTCCCAGATCTTCCTATCCCATGCCATTGCCTTAGTTCAGGCTTCTGTCTTTCTTCTCTTTCTGTTTTATAACTATCATTTCCCAACAGGCTACTCTCCTGCCTAGGATTTAACCTGGCTGTGATTAATTTTTTACTGATTCTTTGCACAATTGTTGTCACTTCCCTGCTCTAAAATGCTTTTCGTGGCTCCAAGTTGTCTTTGGGATTAAATCTACATCCCTGATCATGGCATTCGAGATCTTTGATCAACTAGTCCCTGTTTCTCTCTTCAGACCCGTTCCTGGCCCCACCCTCAGAGGCCCCTGATGTTATAGTCTAGTGAAACTTCTTGCCATATGACTTTTTGACCATATGCCTCTGGGCCTTTGTACATGGTGTCTCCCCTATGTGGAAGTCTTTTTGCCTTTGTCATCCTGGCAACTCCTCTCCTCTAAGAACTAGGGCAAATGTCACTTCCTTTGTGTAAATATTCCCAGGCGAAGTCAGGCCCTCTGTCTTCTGTGATCGTAGTCTATCCTGCTCACATCTTCTTGGTAGTGTGGTGTTTAGGTGATAGAAGCTGAGACTCTGAACTCTAGAGGCCTGGGTTTGAGTAATGGCTCCATTATTTACTCACCATGTGACCTCTCCAAACAAAAGTCTCCTCATCTGTAAACGGGGGTAATAATACTACTTCCCTCACATGGCTGTGGGCAGGCTTAAAGGAGATAATATATAGAGAGGGCTTGGACACTGCCTGACTCCTTGCTGGAACTCAACACTTCAACTGCTCTTATAATTATAACCAGATGAATTGTTGGTGGTTTTTTTTTTTTTTTTTTTTTGCCTGTTTGGGTCTTGGCTGAGCTCTATGAAGGCTGGAATTTTCTCCTGTTCAACTTTGTAGCCTCAGCTCCTAGAACAGGGCTTGTTCTGAGCAGGCCCATGGAGAACACCAGGAGACTAGGTCTCCAGGCCTGGCCCCAGTGTGCACTGGCTGTAGGACTTGAGACAGGCAACTTCTCCTGGCCTCTTGCACCTGGGGGCCCGTTTGGAGGGCAGAGCTGCCAGTGCAGCCCCAGGTGAAGGATCTTTTGTCCCTGGGTCTGCCTACAACTGAAAATAGAGAATCCTCCTTAGGAGCCTGAGGCTTGGGAGTGGAGCCAGGGCATGGTGGAGGCAAGGTACCCAAGTGATGGCTGGAGGCTGATGGAGAGTTCTGGAGCCTTGTAGATGGTGGAGAGACTGGCTCTTGGAAACCCTCTAGTGGTGATTTCTATACCCTCACCTGCATTTCACAGAAGCATGCAGAGGTATCAGGATGGTAATGGGCACATTACGTCTGTGAATTATCCTAAATGTCCACTTTGGCAAATGAAAATATTCTCTTTAAAGTAGGGAGAAGAACAGAATAGAAAAAACAAAGCTAAACCATTTGTAGTCTATACATCAAATCCCATGTTACTGCCATGAAAATTCATGACAAACAATGGGAATAGCTGGATGTGTGTGTAAGAATGCATTTAAAATTTTTACCTGACAGTACTGCACATGACATTGGAACAGAGCACAGCCTAAAGCAGTTTAACATAACACTTAAGAACATACAGTCTAGACACTGATGAGCTGGGTTCAGAGCCAAACTTTGCCACTTGTGATCTGTGTGATCTCAGATATGTTATTTGGCCTTGCTAAGCTTCAGTTTCCTCATCTGTAAAAGTAAAATCATAAGAGTACCCTCCTCACAGGGTCATTGTGAGAATCAACTGAGATAATACATGTGAATCAATCCACATGATAATTGGCATAGGGCCCGTCCTCAATTAGTGCTATTATAATGATTATGGATTTTATCCCCCTGACCCTCACAACCCGATGAGACAGGACAGCAGCATAGGTTATTATTATTCCCACTTGAAAAATGTTTAAATGTAATTAAGTTCCATACATATACACCAGCTGCATCATTGGTGTGTCAGGTCCATTGCCTTGCAGATACTGTAGCATGTAGCATGGTGGCTTGTAGGTAGGACAAGACAGACACAAGATCTGCCCTGCATCATCTAGGGGGTAAGGCAGACATTTAAAAGTTGTTAAACAATTGAGACCAGTATAGATCAGAGGAGAGACAGAGTGCTTACAGACGTGTGGGGCACATGGGACATAAATTTGTTGAGGAGTCACAAAGGACTCCTTCAGAAGAGAGATCAAGGTCAAGACCTCAATGATGTGTAGAAGCCAGCAAGGTGAAGAGGAAGTGGGAGAGAGGGACCAGCATGTGCAAAGCCTGGGAGGCTGGAAGTCACAGTAGCAGGACTGAAATAACTCAGGGCTGGGACAATGGTTGGAAATAAGGGGGCAATGACCAGATCAGGAAACTGAGGCTCAGAGATGACAAGTGTCATGTGTAGGGGCACACAGCTATCAAGAGGAGGGAGTGGGAGGAGGGCACAGGTGATGGCTCCTAATCAGGTGTTCTTGTGGCTTATATCACCATAATGACTCTCATGCTGGCAATACAGATACACACACATACCATTTTTAGAGGTTAAAAAATAAGTCATTCATGAGTTAATGAAAGATCATAGAGTGTTAACAATGTCTTCTCTCAATCAGAGGGCATCTACAATGCTGGAGTTTGACAGTTAACAAGATGGGGCTCTGAGTCATTGAAGAGAAGGCAGCTGTCAGATGTACACATTGGCTCATAAGAGTGAAAACAGTTACCTGGAGCTAAATTCATGTTCCTTGGCTTTCTGAAACCGAAATAACAACAAGTTCCATTAGGGTGCTGGACAAACTGCAGAGGTGGTGAGAGCACAGACTTTGGAGTCAGGCACTGGACTGAAATCTGGCACTGTCAGAAACCTCTTTGAGCCTCAGTTTCTCCTCCTCTGTAAGATGAGGGTAATAAATAGCATTTTACTGAATACTAGTTAGATATTGTATGTGCAAGTTCTTGATAAGTGCCTGCTATGCAGAAGGTACTCAAGAGATAGTTTCTTTCATAGTGTGCTTGGAACTATGCTACATTAAAAATAATTTGTTAGAGTAGTCAAATCTCTTCTTTGCCCTCAAACCCTTCTACCAATTGAGAGAGGGCCACTGCCTGGAGAAATGGATGTGATAAAGTGTTGGCAGTGCCATAATCCATGCCCATGCCACAAATTACTCTCAGTATTAGCTTCAAGGTGGGTTGGTGGGTCTCATTTTGCCTCCCCCAGGACCCCTGGAGTTATACCATAGGATTTACTCTCTTACTATATTATACTGAACAGTTTGATTAACAAAAAATGATATAGAACACGTCAGAAAATGATATGGAACACCAAATGTTAAGTGAATAGGATGAAGAGTGAAAATGGAGATTTCTGAGTAATGTTGATCTGAAAACTTTTTCTGCTGCTACAGCTTGGAGCAGAGGACTAGTGCATGGAGACAGGAGAGAACACAGAGAAGCTCAGAGGAAAAGGGGGCATTTCCACTATAGGTGGGCACAGGAGGCATTTTGTAGAGCCCACTGAAGGAGAAAAAAACCTTCTCAGTGTTTCTGGTATTGCACAGATGGGTCAGTGGCAAGTTAGAAACATGCCTGTTGCAACCTGCTTAGCACCAAATGCTGGGGCAGGATTTACACTTAAAATGTGAACTTGGAGTGCTTAGGGGTGGAGAGAAGAAGAATTGCCCGCCACTTACGTAAAAGCCCCCATGCACAGTAAGGCCTATGCTGATGCAGCTCAGCATGGGATTCAGAGGCAGATCAGAAGCAGAGAAATGAAGACATCGAAAAATTTGATCAAGATTAGAGTAGTCACATTTCCTTTAGTCACATTTGACTGGGGCTTCACAAGAGCCTTGGTGCAGAGGGATGGGAAGTTAATAGCCTAACCATGCTGTAAAGTATTTATAGCTTGTTACATAAATAATTATGGTTTAATTAGCTGTTTAGTAAACAGTTTATAGTTCACTGCATAGCAGAGGTTAAGTCATTCTAAAGTCATCTATGTGTTGTTTTTATAAAGCCCTCACTGAGAGAGTCTTCCTGTTGGGTTATAGAGAAGTATATGGGCTAGATGGACCCAGCTGACATCTGGTGACAAGAGTTCTTGGGGGACCTGGGAAGTATTTTGTTTACTCAGAATAAAACCCAAAGTGCTTACAATGGCTTCCATGGCTTTATGTGATCTGGCCTAATCCCTTCTATGAGCTCCCCTCCTACTAATATTTCTGTTGTTCTTTCTACTCTAGCCACACTTATCTCCATACTGTGTCTCAAACAAAGCAGGCATCTCCCTCTCAAGGCCTTTGCACTAGGCTCTGACCGCCTGCAATGGTCAGTACCCATATTTCAGCTAATTCTTTCACCTCTTTGAAGTGTTTGCTCAATCTTAGCTTCTCAATGAGCCCTGCTCTGACCACTTATTTAAAATGAAAATTACTTACCTGCTTTCCACTTGACGATTGTGGTACCCCTTATTCTACCACTACTTGTTAATAGAAATCATCTGCTTTTAACATACTGTATTCATTTTTATTTATTGTATTTATTATTGTTGTCTGTCTTCCCCTGCTATGATGTACTCTCCACAGGGGCTGGAATGTTCGTTCGTTTTGCTTACTAATATATCCCAAGTAGCTAGAACAGTTCCTGGCACCTATTTAGCCCTAATTAAATATTGTTGAATGAATGAGACTTGTGAGAATATTCAGGGTGAGACTTGTGACAGTATGTTGGCCATGCACTCTGTATGGATGCTGGGAGTGCCTGGAAGTTTTTAGAATAAAGTTCTATGAGAGGGCAGTCCAGTAAGAGGGACTGGACTTCTTGAAAAGAAGAGATGTTAGGTCTATTAGATTCACCGTGTCACAAACTGAACCTATCATTGTGTCTTCCAAATTTATTTCTCCTATCCATTCAGCTGCTCAAGTAAAAAATCTGGTTCTCATCTCTTCACTCTCTCTCATTCATCATCTATATGAATCAGTGTCCAAGTCTTACTGATTTTGTCTTCTTAATTATTCTTGAAGGATTTTTGCCCAACATCACTCTGTCATCAGAGCTGAGAATTTCTACTCACCTTACACTTGAAAGTCATTTTGAATGAATATAAAATCACTGGCTCACACTTTATTTCCTTGAGTATTTTAAATATGTAACTCTACTTTTTCTGATATAAAGTATTGCTCTCAGAATCTGATGATAGTGGAATTTTCTGTCTCTTATGGGTAACATGCCACTTAGTTTTAGATACACAAACAATTTCTTCCCTCCCTGCCTCCCTGCCTTCCTTCTCATTCTTTTCCCTTGTGCAATAATCTTACTATCTTACTACAGTATGTCTTGCATGTTTGCTTTTATGTATGTAGTATATTCTTTCAATGTGTAGTTTTAAGTCCCCTCCCCCACCTGAAAGTTTTCTGATTTATAGTTTTAGTATTTACCCTGTTTCTGTGCTTTGAATTCCTTCCTTAGGAACTTACATTGTGTGTTTGTTGGATCTTCTTACCTAACTTTAATATTTGTTGTTTTCTCTCAAATTCTTTTTATTTTACTTATGTATTTATTTTTTTGAGATGGAGTCTTGCTCTGTCGCCCAGGCTGAAGTGAGTGCAGTGGTGCGATCTTGGCTCACTGCAACCTCCGCTTCCTGGGTTCAAGCGATTCCCCTGCCTCAGCTTCCTGAGTAGCTGGGACTACAGGTACCTGCCACCACGCTCAACTAATTTTCTGTATTTTAGTAGAGACAAGGTTTCACCATATTAGCCAGGATGGTCTCGATCTCCTGACCTCATGATTCACCTCGGCCTCCCAGAGTGCTGGGATTATAGGCGTGAGCCACCATATCTGGCCTCCTTTAATCTCTTTCTTCATTTTTTATTTTCAAAGTTTTCTTAATTTTTGCATTTGATTTTAAAGGCATTATCTTATGTGTTTCTTCTTGTTTAGCCTTTGTTTCTAAAATGACTTTCCCCTCTTTATTTCTAATTCCTTCCTGAGTTGGGACATTTCCTTTCTGATAATTTATGCTTCTTGTTCCTGTTTTTTATAATTTCCTTAAAATTTTAAGCTTATTTTGTTATAGTCTTATCTGTTTTAAGAGTACATTTTTTTTCTGGCATTTTCTCATTGTAGAGATATTATTCTGCTCTTTATTCTCTTTTTAAAATAACTATATATGGGATGAGACTACAATAACTTTCTGTTGCTCACTTTTAAGTGAAATTAGTTTTCATGAACCTTTAGAAGAAGGCAGGGTTCAGGAAACCTATTCTAACTTTATAGAACTCCACCTTCTTTTGTTTTAGTATAGGGTCCAAAAATATGATGACCTGCTCTCTGAGTGTTCCTATCTCTGCTTTCTTCCCTCACATTGATCTGAACATCTCGTTCCTGTGCCTCTGTTGTCCCTGTCCCACTGAATTTGGATTCCACTCTCAGGAGTTTCTCCTTAATGTGGTGCTTTGTTGTGGTAGAGATTCCTGGTGGGTCAGTTTTGAGAGTTCATAAAACACCCTATACTCAGCTATATTGGAAAGGCAAATCTCCTTCTAGTTTCAGCCACTGTTCTCAAATTCCCATACTATGCTTTCCAGTAAATACCCAGAGGCTATTTTGGGTTCTCCTTTCTCATGTTCTTCAGATGCCACCTTATTGCTTCTTTCTTCTTCGTCTCATAAGATAATATGATATGGTTTGGCTGTGTCCCCACCCAAATCTCATCTCGAATTATGGCTCCCATAATTCCCATGTGTTGTGGGAGGGACCAGGTGGGAGGTAATTGAATCATGGGGGTGGTTTCCCCCATACTGTTCTCATGGTAGTGAATAAGTCTCACGAGATCTGATGATTTTATAATGCCTGCCACCAGTTAAGATGTGCCTTTCGCCTTCTGCTATGATTGTGAGGGCTCCCTATCCATGTGGAACTGTAAGTCCTTTAAACCTCTTTTTCCTTATAAATTACCCAGGCTCAGATATGTCTGTATCAGCAGCATGAAAATGGTCTAATACATGATACCGAGCAGGTCTTACAGCTGTTGGTGGTTTGTCCCCACTTGCTGGTATTTCGAAGTTTGTGGGGATAACTTATGATCTAGTTTCATTATAAATATCATCCATGGGGTAGGGGTTGTCATATAGTTACTCTGTCAGTTTTCATGTGGGGGTTTGAAGAGATTGGAAAAATATGCGCCACCACTGCCATCTTTCCAGAATTTTCTTCATGTTTTTGACTTTTAAGTAAAAAAGGTTTGATGATACACAGGCTTTATTAGAACTTCTCTAATAGAGACTAACACTTAGAGTATTACCCATCAGGCAGTATATATTATGTGTATATACACATAATATATATAATCACTTCACTTAATAATCACCAAAAGCCCAGAAGTTAGTTATTATTATCTTTCACCATTTGCTAGTGAGGAAACTGAAGCACTGAGTGGTTGTATAACTTGTCCAAAGTTACGTAGCTAGCCAGTGGCAGAGCTGGAATTTGAATCCAGGTAAACCAGCTATAGAGTTTCTGCTCTGGTGGGAGCAGTGGTAACCAACAGGAGTCTTCACCATGCCTAGAAGACCCAGTGGCATGCCTGGTGGTGGTACCCTGGTACCTAAGAGAGGTAGCAGTAAGAGAAGAAGTGATGAATGTAACAGTCTGAGATGTCCTGTGGAGTCCAGAGAGCATGACATTCACTGGAAGGAATGGCAGCCATGCTGGGTGGACATGGCAGGGCATGGCAGCTAGGATCATGCCCAGTGTAAGGCTGCTAAGGAAGAAAGGGTGTCAGAATCATTCAGTTCCACCTTGTAGTTGCTGAACCAGTCTTTTGGGGGGTGGTGGGGGAACATATGTTAGATGAACTCTGGGGACTCTTAGATGCACTTGAGCGAGCCTCATGACCCATCATGATGGGATGAGAGTGAAGTTGGGCTATCTTTCTTATGTCTGTCTCTTCTGCTCGACTATGTAAGCTTCCTGGGGGCAGGGATCACCAGAACAAGGCCTGGAACATTGTCAGTGTCAATAGTGTTTCATTGAATTAAGTTGACCAGGGATTGCCTGAGAGATACTGCTTAATGTTTTAAACCTTGTTGAACTGGTTGAGAATATTCTATGTTGGTTCCTGGTGTCATGTGGGGACAGACACTTCTCAAGGGCTTGAGAATATATACCCACAACTCACCAGAGCACTGTTTGCCTTTACATTCAGGCCAGGCTCTGAGAATTGGGGCAATGGTTTCTAAGGGTCTAAGCTCTACCCAACCAGAGCATTGCTTAGTGGAAGACAGGAACATTTGCAAAAATGCCTTGAATGAGAAGTTTCTCTGGTTCTAATGACATCAGCTTCAAGTATTTCAAAATCTTTATTATCATACTTTTTGTGGGATCTAGTTACTTGCCCAACACTTAAACTTTTACCACAGGGCTGGGAACTCACCTATATTTTGTCTGACATCCTAGCCAAAGACAAAATCCATACCTCCTAAAATTAATTCTAGAGCAGAGGATAGGGTGGGTTTGGGAGGTTCCTATGTGCCAGTCCAGGAAACTCTTGCCTGTCTTGTGTAACTCCTTGCAAGTTTGGAAAATATTTTTTTCAAATAATCTGGCTTGGCAAGGCATACTATGCATGTCTCCCAGGCAGTCTTAGGCTTATTTGATTCGATTACATATTTATTGATACCTACTGTGTGTCAGGCCTTGCGCTGAGATGAATCAAACAATGACTGCTTTTGAGGATATCTCAAAGTCTGGTGGAGGAGAGACACAGATGGGAAGATGAATAGTGTGGTCAGTAACACAGTCTCTGGAGCCAGGCTGCCTGCATGGAGTTCTGGCTCTCTCAAGTCATGTGGCCTTTCTACACCTCTATATTTTCACCTGTAACATGGAGTGAATAAGAGAGTAAACCAAGTAAGGTTGTCGTGAATAAAATAATGCATGATAAGTGCACAGCTCTCGAGGTACTGTAAAGGTTCAATAAAAGTTATTATTACTGGTGGATTTTTTTTTATTTTTTATTTCACTGTGACTTCAGAACTGCTTTTTGTCTAATTCTGTCTATTTTTTTTTTTGCTAAACACAAAAATATTATTAACACAGTAGTTTAGTTTAAATGTGAGCAGCTTGGGTGCAAAGCATTCTGGGAGAAGTCAGGCTGGGTGGGGGTTCTCGAGCAGCCAACCCATTTTTTCCTTCAGCTGCTAATAGGCCAGAGCCTCCGAATGTCTTCCCTGCCCTGGACATAAGCGGCATGCACCTGCTTGATGGGCCTGGGGATTGGTCACTGAGTAGAGGTAGGCGGAGGCAAGGATTCCCGCACTTACTAATTTGTTCTATGTTTTCTTCTCAGTATGTCTGGTTGCTGCTTGGGGAGAAAGAGTTGCTGCTGTTTAAACAATCTCTATAAATAACAGTTATTTTAAACTCTTCTTTTAAGAGAAAGGGTCTCACTTTGTCACCCAGACTGTAGTGCAGTGGCACCATAATAGCTCACTGCAGCCTTGACCTCCTGGGCTCAAGTGATCCTCCTGCCTCAGCCTCTTGAGTATCCTGAGTAGCTGGGACCACAGGGAAGAGCCACCATGCTCAGCTAATTATTATTAATAATAATAATTATTATTGTAGAGATGGGGGTATCGCTATGTTGCTCAGGTTGGTCTCAAACTCCTAGTTTCAAGGGATCCTCCCACCTCCACCTCCCAAAGTGTTGGGATTACAGGCATGAGACATCACACCTGGCTTAAGCTCATTCTTAAAGTAAACCAGATTCTGCTTTTCCCCACTGGCACCTTGTCTGTCCTCATTTCTAGGACTGTTACCGTGAAAGGCAACTCCTGCAGCTGGACAGCTCTGTGTGGCTTTGGCCTGAAAGCAGCAATTATATCTTGGCGGCTCATGATTCTTGCCCACTCTCCTCTCCCGAGCTGTAGGCAGGGTCAGGGGCTCACAGTTTCCCTTCATCTTCCTTTGCCCATAGCAGCCCCAAGTTGTTGCTTGGGCAAATGGTCCTCCCCATCTGCCTATGTTAAGGCTGCCTCATCCCTCTCTCTGCTCATCTACTTTATTATTTTATTTCATTTTATTTTAAGTGCTGGGATACACATGCAGGATGTGCAGGTTTGTTATATAGGTAAACGTGTGCCATGGTGGTTTGCTGCAACTATCAACACATTACCTATGTGTTAAGCCCCACATGCATTAGCTATTTATCTTGATGCTCTC
Source organism: Homo sapiens (assembly GCF_000001405.40). NCBI lineage: Eukaryota > Metazoa > Chordata > Mammalia > Primates > Hominidae > Homo > Homo sapiens. The sequence goes on from NC_000011.10 coordinate 15,168,265, forward strand.
CCTCCCACTACCCCACTGACAGGCCCTAGTGTGTATTGTTTCCCTCTCTGTGTCCATGTGTTCTCATTGTTCAGCTCCCACTTATAAGTGAGAAAATGCAGTGTTTGGTTTTCTGTTCCTGTGTTAGTTTGCTGAAGATAATGGCTTCCATATCCATCCATGTCCCTGCAAAGGACATGATCTTAGCATGGTGCTCAATGCATGGGATATGCTCAATAAATTCCAGTCATTATTATATTTCTAGTTATTGTGACACGTGTGAAGGTGTTTTATATGGGGAAGAGCAGCACAGAGAACTAACATTTTTGAGTGTCCCCTTTTGTGCCATGCAGTGTGCTAGGCCCTACACATTCATCACTTAATTTAATTCTTCCATCAACCCTGTGTGGAAACCTCTATTATTATCTATTTTGTGGATGAAGAAATTGAGGCTCAAATTGGTAAGAAGTTTACTCAAAACACAAACTTATGTTGTTAAAAGTCAGGATACTGGTTATCCTGGTTGGGGAGTGACTAGAAGGGGCTCAAGGGAGAGTTCTGGGACAATGGTAATAGTTAGGTTTCTTTATCTGGTTGCTGAATTCATGGATGTGTTGACCTTATGAAAATGTATTGAACTGTAGCTCAATATTATGATGTGTTCACTTCTATGTACATATGTTATATTTCGATAAAAATTTCAGAAAATGGAAAAAAGAAGCAGCAGCTTGCCTAAGGTCACACAGATTATGAGAAGCAGAGCTAGCTCTTCCTACCCTTATGCCAGTGTGCAGGCCTTGTTTGCTTGTGTCTGGATACATCCCCCTTATGCTCAAACTCGTAGACAATAGGCTACTCAGTCCCAAGGAAGCTGTGGCTCAAGGCCTGTCTGTTAAGGTGGTTAAGGAAGGAGCAGGGTCATTATGAGCCATCATGAGGGGCCTCAGAGGGAGGGTTCCCGATGTAGCTAGGCATTGAAGGCACAGGTCCACGAGGCTCACCTGGGATTCATCTGTAGGACAGATGATGAGGGCCCGACTGGAAGACAAAGCTACTGGGAGTAGCTATGTTCCTTTCCCCTGAGAGAACAACTTCCACCCATAGCCTGACTGGTGACCGCTTTTCTTTCCACTTCCCAGTTCTTTGAGGAAGGCTCTGTTCCTGGCTCTTTAGCCAGGTTTCACCTATCATCCTGGAGCTTGGACTCTCAAGGTGTTCCCTGCATGAGGCTCATGATATAAAACCAGAGAGACAGCTAGTCTGGGCTCACAGTTTTTGTTGTTGTTGTTGTTTGTTTGTTTGTTTGTTTGTTTTTTTAGATGGAGTCTCACTCTGTCACCCAGGCTGGAGTGTAGTGGTATGATCTCTGCTCACTGCAACCTCTGCCTCCCAGGTTCAAGTGATTCTCCTGCCTCAACCTCCCGAGTAGCTGGGATTACAGGCGTGTGTCACCACACCCAGCTAATTTTTTTTTTTTGTACTTTTAGTAGAGACAGGTTTCACCATGTTGGCTAGGCTGGTCTCGAATAGTTATAGATTTACAGAAAGTTACAAAGGTAGTACAGAGTGTTCCCATATACTCCACACTCAGTTTCCCTGATTGCTGACGTCTTATATTACCATGGCACATTTGTCACAACTAAGGGACCAGCATTGGTCCATTACTATGAACTAAACTCTAGACATTGCAGTTGTCCCTTGGCATCCATGAGAGATTGGTTCCAGGACTTCCCACAGTTACGAAAATGTGTGAATCCTCCAGTCCCTGATATAAAATTGCTTAATACTTGCATATAAGCTACACTTATCCTCTTGTATACTTTAAATCATCTCTAGATTACTTATAATACCTAATACAATGTAAATACTATGTAAATAGTTGTTATACTGTGTTTTTTGTGTGTGACATTTTTATTATCATATTGTTATTTTTTGTTTTTTTGAATAATTTCAATCTGCAGTTGGTTGAATCCATATATGCAAAATCTGTGGATATGGAAAGCTGACTGTATTCAGATTTCACTAGTTTTTTTTTCATGAATATCCTTTCTCTGTTTCAGGATTCCACCCAGGATATCATATTACACTTAGTCCTCATGTCTCCTTAGTCACCTCTGTTCTATGACAGTTTTTCAGTCTGCCTTTGTTTATGATGACCTTGACCACTTTGAAGAGTATTGGTCAGGTGTTTTGTAGAATGTCCCTCAGTTTGGGTTTGTCTGACGCTTCCCTCATCATGAGACTGAGGCTACGTGTCCTAGGGGAAGAATGCTACAAGATGAAGTGCACTTCTTATCATATCCTTTCAGGGGTACATGCTAGCAACATGCCTTATCCTTGGTGAGGTTAAACTTGATCACTTGGTTAAAATAGCGACTGCCAGGTTTCTCCACTGTAAAGTTTCTTTATTTCTCCCTTTTCTATACTCTTTTCTTTGGAAATGATTCACTAAGTGTACCCATGCTCAAGCTCCTCCACCTCCAGTTTTTAATCATCCAGTTTATATGAGGTAAGTCCTGTAAACACATATACAGTCATCTATTTGCGCAAATAGGGATATACAGACACACAGACAGATACAGGCATCCAGATAATATAGACAGGCACCCAGATGGATTCATATCCACAAACACAGACACTGGTAGGCACAAACACGCAGGGCTTGAAGAAATCAATAGTTCTGTCACTCCAATTCTCCTACTAGCAGAGTGCTGAATCGATTAGGAGTTTAATTACAGCTTCTGAAATCTCACTTTCTTTTTAATTCTTACATAGCTTTAAAAACAATAACTAAGTATATACCTCCTGTGTGCATTGGGGTGGAGGGCTTGACAAAAATGTGAGTTGTGGATCTGAGCAGGCCTCCCAGGGCCTTGTTCTCCTTTCCTACCTCTACCATGGCTGTGGGGTTGGGTTGGTTCTTTCCTTTCCAGGCCAGAGGTAAGGGGTGTGAGTGCCTCCATTCAGAGGATGCCAGAGCTCTTCCTTGGGGAGCAGTCCCAGCACACAGGTTTCCTTTGAGCCAGGTGGTGGTCCCAGGTGCTGTAATTTGGCTGTTTTCCAGTCCTAGCCATCCCTACCTCCCCTGCCCTGCCCACCCTCCAGTATCTTCTCAGGGATCTCAATGTGAATGGCCAGCCCCTAATCTGGCACCGAAGGCTTCTCACAATCAGGGCCTTGGTGTACCTTTCTGGCTTTCCTTATCATGGTTCCCTCTCTTCCAGAATGTACAACTCTAGAACAGGGGACTTACTTATTGTCCCTTTGACTGCCTCACCCTGGAATATGCTCTCACTGTCTTGACAAGTCCAAACCCTACCCAGGATATGACCACCTCCTCCAGGCACCTGCCCCTGATCTCCAACGGAAAGGGGGAGTTCTCTTCTTGGAATTCCCAGCAGATCCTTACTCTAAGAAGAACACCAACTCAACTATGTTTAGTTATCTGTGCACTTGTGTCTTAGAAAATGTTCTTTTGGTTACAAGCAATAGAAATTAACTCTTGGACTTGTCTCCCCACTCCCCAAGTGATCCTGGAGGTTCTCATGGAACAACTGAAGTTGCCATTGTTAACATGTCCCATGTACAATAATCCCTGTCTGTATGAACCTTGGTTCTACGTTTCACAATTTGGGGCAAGGAATTGGATTAGTGCAGCTTAGTTCAGAAGCCCACCGCTGGATCAAGCACCAATTGTTTCCAGGGGCATTTTAACACAGACTAGACATGGCCACAGATGGCCAGGGGATCACCCCTGTGTTTGGGAGGAGGGGCCTTTAGCAAAGAAGAGGGAAAAACTGCAGCCTGGGTAGCCATCCCAAGAGGTAGCTAATGAAACTTGTCTTTATGATTGACAGAAGAGACAGAAAAAGATGCTGGAAAGATAATGTAACAGATGTCCACTGCAAAGTGCTTATGCAGTGAATGAGTCAGTGTGCAAGTGATTTGTTCATTTGTTGCCTCTTAAAAGCCCCTAGGTCAGTTTTCCTCCCATTTCTATGTCTTTAGAACACAATAATCACAGTTTTTCCATCTTTAATAACTCCTTTTCCATCGTGTCAATCTCGGGGCACTCTCTGTGTAGCCTGTGTGATGGAGGCGTATGAAGTCTCTGCATAGGTACAGACCTATGGCAATAAATGCCTGACACTTGGCCACTCAACAATGGGCATACATTTTCTGAATAACTGATATATGTCAGACACTGGCAATAAGCCAGGCACAAGAGACTGTTCCTCACAGGACTTGGGGAGTTCAGGCACACACACCAATTGCAGTAGAATGTTACTAGTGCCCCACTGAAGGATGCAGAGGCCCTGAGGGGGAACTCATGAGCTCTGGCTGTAGTTTTTTAGAGGAGGTAATATAAGAGTCAGGTCTTGCAGGGTGAGTAGAAACTTGCCAGGTAGAGAAGAAGAAAAGAGGTTTCTAATCTGAGGGAGAACTTCATGTTCAAGGCTGCAGAGGATTGTGAAAGAGAGTGGTATGTTCGGGAAATGGGGAGGTTGAATTTATCTGAGGTGTAGAGTGTGTTTGTGGCAGGGGCGCTAGGAGTTGGGGAAGATGGACAAGGGAGATGTGTGAGAAGGGAGGCTGGGGCCATATCACGGAAGCTCTCTCATCTTAGCCTCAGGAGTTTTGACTTATCCAGGGAACGGTGGTATGGGGGGCGCAACTGAAGGATTTAAGCAGGGGAGAAACATATTTTAATATCTATGTAGAAAGCCCTAATACATTCTTGGGGGAATGTGAAGCATTGGGGTTTTTGAAAGTCAGTGTGGCAACATCTATTGAATTACAATTCAGAACATATGAATGAGAGTGTTGAATGTTGCATTGTTTATAGAGGTCAGGAGCTGAACAAAAAGTGAATGCCCAGGAATGGGAAAATGGCTTAATAAGTTGTGGAATATACGCAATATGGAATAGTGTTCAAACATTGGAAAGAGTGTTTTAGGATTCTGCTGGAGGACTTGAAAGATTTCAAAGTTAAGTAAGAAGATCAAAATGCAGCAAGATGTGTATATACTATGGTCATATTTACAAAAAAAGCAATAGGTCAGAAAACCTTATAAATGTATATATACTTAGATAAAAGTCTGTGTAAGAATGCATGAGTATGGAGAAAAATATAAAATGATACTTACTAGGTTAAAGTTAGTTGGCTGAGATTGGAAGGGGTGGGCAAATATAAGGGAATGGTAATAAGATGCAGAAGATTAGAAGTTGTCTGCAATCAAACCGTACATGAGATGTGATTCTACTTAATATAAAATTAAATATGATTTCATAAGGATATATGGGCAGTAGGGTGCTGTGATTTTTGGATTTAATGGGTTTCTCTCTCTCTCTGTGTGTCTGTATACATATACATATATGTATGTGTTCACATACATATGCATGTATATGTATATGTTCAAATTCTTTACAAAATGTAATAGCTATTTCCATGAAGGGAGGCAGAGACAGAGAAATCATTGGTTATTTTTTAAAAACAATTTAAAAAGCAATTTCCTAAAAGAAATCATATGTTCAATTTCATAATTAAACATAAGATGTGTGGTTAAAAATTACATTTAAAAGCCTACAGTCAAATGGTTACATATTTCAGAAAGTCTTGCTCCTTCTCATTAAATAACTGTAAACATGAAGACATGATTTTTTAACCTCGATAACTGGAGTCTGCCTTATAATTTCAACCCTACTTGGTACCTTTGCTTCACCAGGCTGGCCTCATTGGTGCCCTTTATTTGCTATACTGACTCAGAATAAAAGCCAAATCTCCACCTTGTCCAACACAGCCCCATAGGATCTACTCCCCTCACCCCCACCTCATTGCTCTCAACTCATCTTCCACCTTGGCTGACTATTCCCATGCTACTCTGGCCTCCTTGCTATTCCTTGCACATCTCAGGACACTTCTGCCCCCAGAGCCTTTGCACTTGCTGATCTCTCTCCTTGGAGCAATTTGCCCTCAGATAGCCACATGGCATCCTTCGTCGTGTGCTTCAAGTCTTTGCTCAAGTGTCTCTTTCTCAATGAGTCTCCTCTGATCCTCTTATTTTAAATTGTGAGGTCTACTCCCCCACCCACCCCTAGCACTCTCTAGTCTTTTTTTCTGTTCTCTTTTCCTTCCTAGCATTTGCTACTTGCAACATATTACATACATTGCTCATTTATTTTGAAAATTGACTGTTCTCTCACTTGAATGTAACATTGGCTAGAGAAGTGATTATTTGTTTGCTGCTACAGTCTAGGTCTTAGAACAATACTTGACATGTTGTAGGTACTGATATTTGTAGATGAGTGAATGAGCTGGTGGCAGGTGAAGAATGTTTGAGGCAGGTAAGATCAGCGGCAGAAAGACTAATCAGAATACTGTTACAAGCCAAAGACAAAGGAACTTGCACTCAGCCTTAGTCATTAGCTATGCATGTCTTCTGTTGTGAAATGATAGTGAAATTTGTTATTGTCTTTTTAGTTTAGTTTTGTTTTCAAGCTTTACTTTTAATTGACACATAACAATTGTCTTTTAACTTCTCATTAGTTTATCTTGATTCTTTAGGCAGATCAAAATCTTTTCGAGAGTGGAGGCTTAACATCTTCATATCTGCTTTTCCCACAGTGCCTGGCACTTATATGAAATATAAGGGACTCAACAAATATACAATGCTTTATCAATGATCTGATATTACTGACTTTTACTTGACTCAGTGAATTTTAGAGTGCATTTTATTTGATTAAGATCTTAGGAACTAATCTATGTTCTCATGCTGTTGTACTAAATATAGTTAATTTTGTTCCATTACAAAAGTAATATACATGCTCACTATAGAAAATTTGGAAACTAGAGAAAAGCTGAAAAAAATGAAAAAGACTTTAGTTACATTACTCCTTAAGAGCCTTTAGCATTGTAATGTGTTTCCTTTAAATATTTTTCCTAGATGGAGCTTTCTAACATTATTGTAATAATTGTGTGTTTACATTTCCATTTTTGCATATTAGCACACACATTTTTCTTAGCTATAAACTTTTGGAAAGCATCATTTTAAATAATTGCGTACTACATAATCATAGCTATACCATAGCTCACTTAGTGTAACCATTATTTGATATTTAGGCTATTTCCATTAACTTTTTTTAAAGAGATGGGATCTTGCTATGTTGCCCAGGCTGGTCTTGAACTCCTGGCCTCAAGCAATATTCCTGCCTCACCCTTCCATTTCCCCCTTATTGTAAAGATCATTGGCTACTCTGTCAGACATAATTACCTGTTGCTTGTTAGTCTGGTCATCTGCCCTTAAAACTTTATGCTTCAGACTTCTTATCCATAAGATGAAGAGAATGAGAAATGACTGAGAATATCAAGGTGCATGAATGGGAGAAACACTGCTAAACATATAATAGGTGCTTAGTAAATATCAGATGGCCTAGAATTGAGACCTTTGGAAATCATGGGGTGTTGATAATTATCGTGGTGCTGTTTCCTGGTTGCAGGCTACACCTGATGCAGGTGGACTCAGTCCAGCGCTGGATGGAAGATCTGAAGCTCATGACCGAGTGCGAGTGCATGTGTGTCCTGCAGGCCAAGCCCATCAGCCTGGAAGAGGATGCACAGGGTGACCTCATCCTGGCAGGTGGCCCTGGCCCTGGAGACCCCCTGCAGCTGCTGCTCAAACGGGGTTGGGTCATTAGCACAGAGCTGCGCAGGATCGGGCAGAAGCTGGCCCAGGACCGCTGGGCACGGGTGCACAGCATGAGCGTGCGTCTGACCTGCCATGCCCGCTCCATGGTCAGCGAGTACAGTGCTGTCAGCAGGAACTCCTTGAAGGAAATGGGCGAGGTCAGCTGCCCTGGGATAGGAGTGGGCGGGAACTGGAAGTCAGGGTGCTTTAGAGAAGAGTGGGTTTGAATCATGTGGTGTCTGAATCTTTTTTGCTCCAGAAGCCTTTCTCCCCTTCCAGTAAAGGAGGAAAGAAAGAGAGTGGAATCTTTACTGAGTGCCTACTATGTGGTGGACATTGTGCTAGGTGTTTTTTTTTTACATGTATCTCATTTAACCTGCACAACCTGTGAGGTAGGTGCCACTACTTTGAGAAGCTGTGCAGTGGTTGAATATATTGACTTTAATGCCAGACTGCTTGGGTTGAAATGTTAGCTCTGCTATGTGGACCTCAGCAAGTTACTTAACTTCTCTGTGTCCCAGTTCCTTCATCCTAAAAGGTATAATAATATAATTTATTTTATAAATTTGTTGTGAGGACTAGATGAATTGTTATATGCAAAACACTTAAAGCAATTGATTAAAAATGTTAGGATTACCTTTATTTTATAGATGAGGAAACAAAAGTTCTAAGAGGCCAAATAATTTATTTAAAGTTACGCAGTGAATGGTGTAATAAGTAGGGTCCAATCTAAGCTTTTCTGAGTCCACAGCCCATGACTTTGAATCTTCTTCTCAAAGCCCAAGGTGAACCATTAAAAATCTCCCTTGTTATTAATTCTCTTTCATCATTCTCATTTCACATTAGTGCTTTGCCCTTTGCCTCGAACTTTTCCTTCCTTAGCTTTGCAGACATTAAAACTTCTCTTCATTCTTCAAAACCCAGCTCAAATGCCCCTTCTTTCCTGAAGCTTCCCAGCTTCCTCAGCATAAATAACTGCTCAGTTTCATTTTCTTATACTCCCAAAGCAGCCTACCGTGAGCTCTTTCACCACCTGTATCACACTGTGTTATATTTTAACTGCCTGTTCCCCAAGTCACATTAATTGATTCTTCATGTTTAATGTCCCCGTGTGCTCAGCACAGCAGTTGGTCCTCAGTTAATGCTTACTGAGTTGAATAAAATGGACTTATTTTTCTACAGATTGAGAAGCTGCTAATGGAGAAATGCTCGGAGCTCTCGGCAGTCACAGAGAGGTAAATTTGGACCATAGATCTCCCAGGGTCTGCCCACCCGACCTCTGGCAGGAGAAGGGGCTGGTATCTTCTCCCAGAGGGAGAATGGGAATGGGAGGCGTGGTGGTGGTTTCAGAGTTTCCTTTTTCTGACTTTTATCAGAAATCTTAAAATATTCTCTTGAAATTTTCTGCCCCATGTTCAGGCCCTAGGGATAGGGTAAAAGGCAGAGGAGAGGCCTGGGCATAGGAAGAAAGAGGATTTTCTAGGAGTTGGTAACAAGGAAAAGGTTTCCCACAGCTTTGGGAAGACCCACAGATCCCCAAAGTCAAGGCAAGAGTCAAGGCAAGGTGAAAGCCGACACTCACACCCTTACACACGCACATACACATAGACTTCAATGCCCACACTCACTTTCTCATATACAGATATATAAACACATGCTTGGACCAGCACAGAAATACATTCACACCCTTTCCTCCATATTTCACACACATAAACCTACATATGTTTATACTCAGATATGTACACACACTCAGCCTCACATGTATACACACCCAGGTGTGTGTTGACTTTTTCCTTCACCCTTCCCAGAGCCTGTGTCCTGAAGATAAAACCTGAGCTCCCTGAGGTCTTTTGCTTTCCTGGGTAGAACACTGTCAGGCCACAGGAGTAAATTGGAACCTGATCCCCCTCTGTTTTTCTTGTCTGGGAAGAAAATTCTCAAGGCTCTCTGCACACTCTAGGCAGCCATTTCTTAAAGGGCCACAGGCATTGCTATCCACCTTTTCAGAGCTCACTAGCAATACCTGGCACTTGGCACCTCTCTTTGAAGCTTCTTGCCCCTTCATCTCCCACCCCAACATCACAGAGAAGATAGACCCTGGCTGCAATGATGGCAGATTCTGCAGGGAGAAGCCCAGAGGTATAGATTTTCCACATTCTGATGGCCTTTCTTCCTGTTGATGTGGACTGGTAGTCCTCATCTCAGGCCAGCACATCTCTGCACACTAAGAGACCAGTGGGCAAGCCAGCTGTGGAATATTCCATCTCTGACTCCCAGTTGCCAATGTCTTCAGCACACACCAGGCTTGTAGCAGGTCCAGTTCTGGCCCGTGCAACATTTCTGGGCTGACCACATGCCCTTTCCAGTGGCCCACCCCATGGTTTCTTCTCTTCAGGTGCCTTCAGGTTGAGAATGAGCATGTCCTGAAGTCAATGAAGGCCTGCGTGAGTGAGACCCTGAGCATGCTGGGCCAGCACTTTGGTCAGCTGCTGGAGCTGGCCCTGACACGGGAGGTTCAGGTCAGTGCAGGCTGGGCTGCAGGGAGGGGTGCTTGTGTGGACCCTTGGAGGAAAGGAGAGAAAGAGGGGCTGAGCCAGGCTTGGGGAAGCTACTGATGTGGACTTTATTGGGAAACATCTTACTCAAACCACCAAAGTCAACTCCAGCATTTGTGAAACAAAACTGTCAGAGCTGGGCTGAGGCTTCCTGAGCACCTAACCCAACTCTGCATTTTCCAGATGTGAAAACTGGAGCCCAGAGTGGGGAGAAACTTATCCAAGGTCACACAGCAAGATGGTGGCAGAGCCCAGCATCTCCCAATTCTACTTTCATTATTACTCCCACCCTTCCCAGAGCCTGTGTCCTGAAGATAAAACCTGAGCTCCCTGAGGTCTTTTGCTTTCCTGGGTAGAACACTGTCAGGCCACAGGAGTAAATTGGAACCTGATCCCCCTCTTCTCTGTTGAGTTAATGTTCACAGTTTACCCGATGGGTCCTTACTATCCTGAAAGAATTGAGGCACCTGCAGGGAATAAGCTAATTCTAGAAATCCTGACAACAGAGAAGAATCTAGAAAGATCATATAGTCTAGCCCCTGCCTCTAGGCAGGCTTGTGCTTGATTCCAGAAAGAGGGAGGGATTTGGAGCCTGGCCTATCTACTTTCTATCTGTGGTTCACCATGGAGCCTCAGTTAAGTTCCTGAACCTCTCTCAGCCTCGTTTTCCTCCTCTATAAATTGGTAAACCTTCTCCAGAAGAAAAGTGAGAGGACTAAGCAAAGGCATATGGAAGGTGTTTAGCACATAGTGTGGGTTAAATACATGTTATTTCCCTCCCTTACCCTTTGCTATTTTAAAAACCTCCCAGTAAAGCAGATTCCATAAGGTTTTCATTATGAAAGGTATTTATGGTTATTTATAGTTACAGAAATATTGTGTTACATATTTGCCATTCTTTTCCCACCACCAAATAAAAGCCTACCACAAATAACAAATCTCTTTCCATGTCGGCTCCTCTCCAAATTCAGCCTCTCTGCCGAGCCCAGGGTTTGCTTTCTCTCCTTCCTGAGTGTTTGGTTGGTTTGGTGCAGGCCCTTCTGGCTTGACTGACATGCTGGTCCTGCCTCACCCCCACTCCTCCCACAGGCCCCCATGTCAGTGCAGCAGGTCCTGGGTATTATCACCCCCGACCCCAACAACAGGAAGGTCCTCAAGGGCCACTCTCCATGTCTTGACAGGGACAAAGGGAAGGAAGGGCCACAGGCTGGGGTGCTGGGGCAGCACTTGGAGCTGATGAGCCAGTGCTGACAATCACATGCAGGGGCAGGTGGTGATCAACCATCAAGTCCAGAGGGACCCAAGGGACACAAGGACCAAAATGGACAAAAAAGTCGAGGGACTGATGAGCAAGAAATATTGGAGTTAGTGGTGGAGAGGGAGACCTGGAGCAACTTCTGAGCAGGGGTACAGGTGCTGGCTGTTGCTTTTTATGCCATTTTTGTGACCACTTTCCTGAAAGTGCCAGGTTCAATTAAAAGGGCTGAAAATGGCTGGACGCAGTGGCTCACGCCTGTAATTCCAGCACTTTGGGAGGCCAAGGCGGGCAGATCACGAGGTCAGGAGATCGAAACCATCCTGGCTAACGTGGTGAAACCCCATCTGTACTGAAAATGCAAAAAAAATAAGCCGGGCATGGTGGCGAGCACCTGTAGTCCCAGCTACTCAGGAGGCTGAGGCAGGAGAATGGTGTGAACCTGGGAGGCGGAGCTTGCAGTGAGGGGAGATCGCGCCACTGCACTCCAGCCTGGGCAACAGAGTGAGACTCCGTCTCAAAAAAAACAAACAAAACAAAACAAACAAACAAACAAACAAAAAGGGCTGAAAAAGAGGTGTTAAACTGTGAGTGAAAGCCAGCTGGGTTTGGAATTAGTCATCAGTGCTTTCTATGAGGCAGCAAAGAGGCAGGGTATCTTTGATGCTTTAGGTCAGAAGAGCCTGGGAAAATCTCCCTGGGCTTGCTTGGAGCCTACTTCCCTGGCCTTTGGGCTGTATAGTTGAATCCATTCTGCTATTTCTTCATTCTGATCATATTCAGGGTGAAATTCCTGATCTGGTGCTCCTACTTCCCCAGCTGTTCCCTGCTCTATTGCCAGGTCTGACCACCTGGTTCATTGATGCCTGGCCTGGAAGCTGAGTAGACCAGCTCCTGCCCTGTTAGAGTGGGTTCCTTATTGGCCTCCCTCTCATGGTAGGAGTGAGGGGGGGGGCGGGGGGGGGTGGTGGCCACAGAGTGTTGTCCTCCATTCATCTGCATATTAGTTTTCTTCCTGATAACCCCCATTCCTGGTGCTTTCCCCCTTCCCTGCCAGCAAGTCCCATGATTTCCTCCATGCCCTTTTAAGGGCTGAGCTTACCATGCTCATAATATATTTTTGGCTGATCTTTGGCTTCTTTTTATATTAGAAAGTTTCCATACAGGGCAGCAGTGACATCAGGAGATATATTGACTGAAGACAGGGTAACTTGTGTTCAGTGTTGTAAGCATGTGTTTCTTAAACTAGTGACTCAAATATTGTTCCTTAGGATGTTAGTAATTATACCAGGATCTTACATTTGTGCCGTCTTGATGTAAATGAAATCAAATCTATTTCTTTACATCAAAATTTGTCTTATGATGTGCCGGTCTGCTTTGCAAATCTTCCAAAAGGTCCTCAAGCACTTATAGTATTTCTTGTCTGACCTGCAGCTTCCATAGGCAGGGGTTTTGGTTTGTTTTGCTCGTGCATATATCTCTAGTGACTAGAACAGTATCTGGCATAGAATGTTAAGCAACATATTCCAAACTTTCAGGGTCACAGATTTAAAAATATTATTAAAGCACCTATTTACTTCTTCTGAGATGCTGGTGTTTTAGGAAATGCAATTCGAGAAACATTCTTTTAGCACTAAGAAGTCGTGTGGGCTCTTGAGCAGAGGAACAAATCTCCCCACCCCCTTCACCCCAGTATTAAGGGCTTTTTGGACTCCTTCAATTATGGTTGGAAAGAATGGTACAAACTGAGAAGTCCTGAAGGAACCTCCCATTGTTGTACAGACAGCCTGGACTAAAGCTGCTGAAAGAAACCCAGCTCCCCACACACTGGAATGAGGCCTTCCTGGCTGAGATGAACAAAGTATAAAAATTGAAGTGATTGTATTAACCCAAGAATCTGGGACTTTGGATTATTCCTAGAGTAAAAGGATTTAAGTTTTTTCTTTTCCTTTATTTTTTCCCAGGTAACTTTAAAATGGGATAGGAGCATATCAAAATTTTGGAAATCTTTATGTTTGTCATCATGCAAGTATGTTTGGATTATCTTTGTATTGCCATTTACTCTCGTTGCAGCTTCTACTTACCTATATTGGGCAACATGGCTGAGCAAAATCTGCTCAGTGGGAGAGTGGGAAATATAATAGGAAGCAAATTTCAATCTTTTTACTTTTAGGAATAATCCAAAGTCCCAAATTCTCAGGTTAGTACAATCTCTTCAATTTTCATACTCTGTTCATCTCAGCCAGGAGGGCCTCATTCCAGTGTGTGGGGAGTTGGGTTTCCTTCAGCAGCTGTAGTCCAGGCTGTCTCTTCAATAATGGGAGGGGTTCCTTCAGGACTTCTCAATTTGTACTAGTCTTTCCCAGCCATAATTAAAAGGGTTCAAAAAGCCCTTAATTCTGGATACATAATACTATCACAGCACTACACATATATTCTGAGAAAGTTACAATAAGCTGATCCTCAATGCCTACAGAACTCCAGGAACTTCAGGCAACCTGTTGTCCCAGGATGTCATCCTTAGGGTTGCCAAAGGCCTTAACAGATACATGCTCATCTGTAGCCAATAAAAAAAAAAGGATGTGACTGAGACTGTCTTGGTTGCAGCCTTGGTAGGATGTCAGTCAGTTTATTTCAGTTGTCTATAGTCTATAAAGATTTGTGAACATACACTCACTGGGGGAAAACATCCACCACAGGTTAATTGTGGTACTATGTTTACCATATATGGGGAAAAAAATGCCTCCTTTCTCATTGACGGGCATTTGAACTGTTTTCCTTTTCCTGCAAAGTCAGGCATTTGCAACTTCTTTACTAGGACTTGCTTGATTTGCATTCTTTCCCATTCAGCATATTCAAAACATCTTAATTTTTAGCTCCCTGAAAACACTGTGTTTCTGCCACTCCAGCATGCATTGATTTGGGCTTCTTGAAGTGACAGACCAGTAGTCTTCAAACCATTTCAAATGCACTGCATTCCCCAGGTTCTCAAAGATTTCCCAGGAGAAATGCAAGCACATACAGTTTTAAGGAAATCTTATTTCCAGATCTTCAATTTTCATTTGTTTTCTTTCTTAAAAATGATCTTCCCAATAATTCACTGAGTTTTTTATAGGCCTTCTATTATTTTCCAAAAGGCATACTCTTCATCCATCCCAAATCTTATAGTACATTGCCTTGCCATACAAAAATCTTGGTATGGGAGTGGAGAATCAAGCAAAGGAAAAGCTTTCATTCATGAACCATTAAGACCCTTAAGCTTCCATGAATTATTTCCATGCTTTATACATATTTATGTTGAGTATGCCATTAGAAATTGTGTATTTTGGCTGGGTGTGGCGACTCACGCTTGTAATCTCAGCACTTTGGGAGGCCGAGGCAGGCAGATCACCTGAGGTTGGGAGCTCGAGACCAGCCTGACCAACATAAAGAAACCCTGTCTCTACTAAAAATATAAAAAAAATTAGCCAGGCATGGTGGCACATGCTTGTAATCCCAGCTATTTGGGAGCCTGAGGCAGGAGAATTGGTTGAACTCAGGAGGCGGAGGTTGCCATGAGCCGAGATCTTGCCATTGCACTCCAGCCTGGGCAACAAGAGCAAAACTCCATCTCAAAAAAAAAAAAAAAAAAACCAGAAAAAAATAAATTGTGTATTTTTCCAAGTGTGAGCAGCTTCTCAATTCAGATATATTGTAGTGTGTGTATGTGTGTGTGTGTGTATGTGTGTTGTTGGAGGGATGATTATAAAAGTTTTCAATTTATTTTATCCCTTCCATCCATTTATTCTCAAACAGTGTGTGGCTCTTGAGGGACATTCTCCTTAGACCAAAGCAAAGAGAGCACTGGTAGGATACATCAAGCACTAAAAATTGCTTTTTTAGGACACACATTAAAATGCAGGCAATTCCTTTCAGCTATTTTTCACACTCATCCCTAGGATGTGATATTAGCTGGGAAAAATATCTTTGAAGAGCCAAAGACTCTAAAGGTTAATGACACTGATTCTTTTAAATGTAACTGTAACATGCTTTTGAGAACAACCAAAAATTTCAAGATATATTGGATAAAATACAGATACAGGTTTTACATTTTTAAAAAAATGTGGTGCATATTATTTAAGATAACAATTAAAGTCTATTTTGCCAAAATATTTTCTGAAATATTTATACTACTTTTTACTGCCTGTTAACAAAAGAAAAAATTAATTGCTAGCAGTTATGCTAATTAGATTTAAGCAGTATATACCTTTCTTTTTCTTTAAATACATAGAAAAATTTGACGATGAGAGCTACTAAAATTAATTGAATTACATATGCTTTTTAAATTCTCAGTTCTTATTTAATGATTCCCTAAAGACACCAAAGTTTAATATATATGTACCTATTTACTAAAGGAATACTGTGCTTTTTAAATCATATTCTTAGATTTTTTATTAACTTAGAATGTTAGCTACATATTACTTTGCATTATTACAAATTTCAGTAAATTATTTTATCTTGGTTTTATAATGTATACAATTAAATCAGATTTTATTTTAGGTCTAATTTATTTTAATATTGACAGTTTTTGGATTTTTTTTTTCCCATAGAGAATGATCTTCACAATTGTTTGTCACTAGGTTTTTGCATTTCTTGAAATACATATAGAAATATTTCTTTTCTTTTTGTTTTTTTTTGAGGTGGAGTCTCACTCTGTCACCAGGCTGGAGTGCAGTGGTGCAATCTCGGCTCAATGCAACCTCCGCCTCCTGGGTTCAAGTGATTCCCCTGCCTCAGCCTCCCAGGTAGCTGGGACTACAGGCACACGCCACCACATCCAGCTAATTTTTGTATTTTTAGTAGAGACGGGGTTTCACCATGTTGGCCAGGGTGGTCTTGATCTTTTGACGTCATGATCCGCCTGCCTCGGCCTCACCAAGTGCTGGGATTACAGGCATGAGCCGCCACATCCAGTGAAACATTTCTTAAATAGAAATGAAGTCAGGTCTTTACTGAGAAAAAGTTAACTCTGACTTGGCTGATTGGGTTGACTGAAAGCACTGTCTTTGCCAATTAGGTTATAGAGTGAGTATTTTTCACAAATTAAGTAAGTAAAAGCTGGAGCTTCAAGCTTTCAACAAAACATATTTGAAGAATAAAAATATTTTATTAAAACTTGTATTGGCAATGAAATAAATAATATTTTGATTTTCCCAATCCTCTCTGAATAATTCGGGTGACTCAAGGTACTCTTAAGTGAAAAAGTAGTGGTTGCAATTAATGGTTATTTGATAAGTCTTGGAAAAGTACTTTTGGAATTTTTTCCAGAAATTGAGAAAGTAAATGAACACCTCTAAAGATTGGGTAACAAATGATTCTGCAAGTCAAGGCTTTTCCAATTCTTTGCTTTTGTCAATTTAGAAGAGGACCAATTTAGAGGAGTTATCAGCTGTCAGATTATTAAAAATAGTGTTTGATGATAGATTGCTATGTGATTACATAACTTAGAAGGTGACTCAAGGGGTTAAGCAATGTAGTACACAAACTCCTCTCATTTCCCTCTATTGATTTATGGGAACAAGATTTTTCAGAGTTTACATCTAAAATATAGCATTAAGTCAATATTCAATCACGGATACATAAATGAATTATCCTAAAAATGATAAAAAGCCTCATTCATCTCATTTAGAGATATATTTATTTTAAAAATAAAATTTTTATAACTTACAATTATTTATCAAAATTTATAATGTATTTATTTCATTTGACCAATTGGGCTGATAATAATCCTCAACCAAGAAAAGATTTTTTTTTTAACACGGAGCTTGATAGTAACAGGAAATAACATTTCAAATTTCAATGATAAGTGTGATAAGGGTGATCAATAAAACACTTTAAAACTTAAATATATTACATTAAATTCTGAAGGAAAATTGAAATGGGAATATAAATTTAATGAATGATGCAGAATGTTAAAAAAGAGATTATTCATGTATTTTTAAGTGAATGATGATGGTATTAAGTTGTTTTGGTATTTAGAATCTATTGAATACATTTGCAAGAGTGATGTAATGATTTTATTTTATGTCAACATTTGCAATTTTCTGGAAATTACATTCTTTCCAACTTTGTTTTTTAAACTTATGATAAAAAAATTTAGCTGTCAAATTAAAAATGTGCAAGGGGTCATATATTTTTCAAAATGTTTTTAGGGTGAAATGAGAAAAAAATTCTTTTGACATAAGATACTCAGGTGCTTCTAGTTCTGTATTATGAGGTCTATTGTTCCCTCTTCTTACTAGAGGGTTGCTTAAACTTTAAGATCCCTACCTGCTGGGAAGGGTTTCCATTTGGTTTCCACACTTGCTGCATTTGAACATCATCCTCAGCAGATACCTGAACTGAGGCCACTCTTGATGTTCCCGAATTCTGAGTCCACGAGGGTCAGTACCTCTGCCAGGGGCTTCTCAGAATAGCATCTTCCTATAGCTTTTGAATATACCAGTTTTTAATAGGATTTCTTTCTGCTACTTTTTTTTTTTCCAGTAATGAACTCTGCCCCCAATGTTCTCTTTCCCTCTGTTAATCCCACATTCCTTTTAGAGAGACTCATTTGAATTTCTAACGATTTACTCTTCTTCTCATGTGGGTCTCTTTCCTAACTTATAGAGTGAATGCAGCATCTGGATCTGAGCTACTTTTCTGCTTTTATTTCCCTTCGCTTTCTGACACATTCTTTTGTTTTTCCAACAAACTAATCTAGATGTTGGGATTTCCCTGATTGAGAGAAACGAAATCAATTAAGTTTGGGGTCTGTCAAAATATTTTAGTTCTAAGAGATCTTATCCACATTTATGTTCCTAAATTGGATATTCCCACTTAGGAGGTATTTTCCCATCTGACCAGTAGCTCATCTAAACCTAGATATAATTATTATTTTGTCTGTTTTCTCTTCAGTACATCCAATCTTTCTGTGCCTTCCCTCAGAGTCCTAATTCATGCATTTTTCCAGCATATTCTGTTAAGACAAAGGAAATACTGCATCCCCACTTCCAAAAACTTTCACCTGAGATGGTTTATCCAGTAATCTTTCGAATAGTTCATGATGATCTCTGTGGTCTTTTCCTGTGTTCCGAACTCTACTATTAAAATACTTTTTAAAAAAAACCCAGCAATTGCTTTTATTATATCTCATGATTTTAAGGGTCAGTAATTTGGACAGGGCTTGGCTAAGTGATTCTTCCATTCTGTGCAGCAACAACAGATGTGGTATTCAGCTGGCAGATGGCTTGAAGAGTGCTAGACAGTGGTATTCACTCACATGTATGGTGCCATGGAGGGGATGGCTGGAAGGATGACCTTAGCTGAGAGTATTGATAGGGATCCTACACGTGGCTTTTCTAGCATCACATTCTCACAGTTATCAAACTTCTGATATGGAAGCTCAGGGCTCCCAAAACAGTGTTCCAAGTTCCAAGATGCCTGGGTGGAAGCTTCAAGGCCTTTTATGACCTGGCCTTGGAAATCTTAGGACATTACTTCTGCCAAATGCTTGCTTCTATTGGTCAAGCAAGGCATTAAGACCAGATTCAAGGGAAGGGGAATTAGAACTCATCTCTCTATAAAAGAAGTAGAAAAGAATTTTTAACCATCTTTAATCTACTGCATCCTGTCAATGCTACCTGCATTTTATGTAACCCCTTTGCACAGATGGGCTACTCTACTATGTCTGACTTATGGACTTTCCATCCAAAACTTTAGGGAGAGGTCTCACAATATTTTCCTGGCTCCTTCTGAGGAACTCATGCCAGTTTGCTTTTTGAGAGTTTACCTCCCTTCTGATAGATTTCACTAGGTTGCAGTTACTCGTTTTCAGATTGACAGACAATGAAAAATACATTTTTTCTTTTCTAATTCCTTATCCAGAGAAGTTAAACTGCATGCGTCTCCTTAGCCCCCTTTTAATCCCTTTTCTTTGGTCTTTAAGATGTTATTTTTTTTGTTTCATATCTGCCTAGTATGCATTTTAAGAAAATGTTTGTCATTCAGCTTCAGCCTGTCTTCTTTTACTTTTTTTCAGTCTTTTACCACTCTTCTCATGATATTGAGTGAGGCATATTTTTGAAACGTCTCCAATGTCTTCTTGATTTCCTGAAAAAAATCACCTTGATTTTGTAGAGACTGTGTCAGTTTGAGGCCGATACTAAGGTAGGAGTAGATAGGCAATTCCTATGATGGATGCAGAGGAGGAAGCAGAAGCAGGCATGGAAAGCCATGTTGTAGGTCTGACATCTGAGAAAGAAAAGGAGGAAGGAAAAGACTCAGACAGGGAATCAAGCCAAAGTCCCCTGTTTGAGGAGTCCCCTGTCCCACAGTCATGCTGTGCTCAGTTATAGCTTGGAGTAGCTTAGGGGAAGTGTGGCCTTGGCAAGAATACAGGGCAGATCCAGAGGGGCATTTGCAAGGCCCCCACTCACAAGCTCGGGTTACCAATACATAGTGTTAGATGCGAAGGGAATGGGAAGCCAGGATGGAGACCCACTCTCCTATTTGGCAAAACTTGCTAATGAGGCTGGACAACAGCCTTGCCTTGAGGCTTCAATCTCCACTAGTCCAGGTGAGGTCCTGCCTACATTAAAGGAGATGGATTTCCTGACCTTCAAAAATGGGATGTCAAATTCAGAGGGGTCAGGGCCCGGCTCCTCCCAAGACCACATAGGTAACCTTAGTCAAGTCTGCATCTGTTTCCTCCACTATGAAATGAAGATTGGACAGATGATTTCCGAGGTCCTTTCCGGCTCTGACACATGGTGATATTTAGGGCCTTGAAGATTTCAGTGGAGCCTTTGATCTCATATCTTTCCAGATTTACACTGTGGAAAGGATGCTTACAACTTTTCTTTGTCAGAGATCTGATTCACTGAGACATATCTGAGGTGTAATTACTGTATATATGTGTATAGACATTAACATGAAATTATTCTCAGACTTAAATTGTCTAATATTAGCAGCTGATTGCAAAAGACATTGGGTTCGAATTGTTTAATGTAATGCTAATTTGCTTCAAGTGCAAACACTAATCAGGAACATTAGGTAATTATCATTTAGGTACAGGACCCCAATATGTGAAATCTGCATTTTCATGTGAGCATTAGTATCACATGTGTAGCTGCTTGTGGTAATGGTGGGGAAGAATTCTAAGAAGTGTGATCTTTATAGGGATTTGTAGTGACAAATCTTGGTTATTAATTTTACCTTTTGTTGAATCTCTAACAAGAGGCATCTGTCAAAACTTAGAGCATAATTTTTATATTTAATGTAGTTTGATTAAATACACAATTAATCTTAGACTGCTATATCTAGATTAGCATGTTGTGCGTGTGTGAGGAATTTCATAAATTTGAATAAAGAAGACAAAAGGGAGAGCCACTTACCTTGAGCCTCAAAGCTCGTAATTTTAATCATTTTACGAACAGGGAAACCAAAGTGTGGGGAGCTTAACTGTACAAGATCACAAAACTGTAACTGCTTACAATTTTATTTAGCTTCCACCTGGCAGGTACCTTTAGAAATCCTTTATATATATTGACAACCTTAAAAAATGGGCACAACCCCCTTAAAAGATAGAAATTGTTATTTACACCATTTTGTTTATTTATTTATTTATTTATTTATTTATTTATTTATTTATTTATTTGAGATGGGAGTCTTTCTATGTTGCCCAGGCTATTTCTTGGACTCCTGGACTTGAGCAATCCCCCTGCCTCAATCTTCCAAATAGCTGGAACTCATAGGCACGTGCCACTGCAGATGGCTTATTTTTACACCACTGTATAGATGAGGAAACTGAGGCAAAGAAAGGCTAAGGTGCTCCAAGTGTTGCTCTTAAGTGTCTTTTCCATAATACTAGTATTTAATTAAAACTAAATTTCACTTTAATGTTTTAAAATAAACCTGGCAACTGAAACCACATGAGTGGCTGCTCAGAGCACCCAGGTCTGGAGGTCTTACTTTCTTGCATGAGGCCCTCGAAGGTTGCTCTTCTTAGTCTCTAACTCCATTCTTTCTAGAAGAAAACTTGAGCTACTGGCATTAATTAGCAGGAAGGAATCCTTTACACTCAATGAATCACATGCTTCAAAGCAAATGGCTGATGATGAAGTGGTTTCAAGTTACATAAAAACCTTTCCCTCAGAAATTAGCTGAACTTTTCTAGAAATAATCTTTGTATCTTTTTTGTTAATGAATCTTTCATTTGCTTTCCTTCCTGAACCTCTCTTCTTGGTCTTATGTTCAGTCATTCCCAGACCCTCTCATCACTAGCCTCAGGTTCATTCTTCAGCCTTGATCAGTATAGCATTCCTCACCTAGTTTCCCACCCTTTGACGGGACTCCCAGTGTTGCTATTTCATCTTGGCCTTACCCCACAAGCAGCAAGCTATTGGGGAGAGCAAATGTCCAAGAAAAATATCCCTCAAGCAGTAAACTACTGTGGAGCACTTCTCTTGACTTAACCCTTGAACCCATCACTCAGCTGGAGTTCACCATTGGCTAATAGCCATTCAAAATGAGCAGATTCTTTGGTCATAGCTGTAGCCACTCATTCGTTTTCAATTTGATGGTTTGCTAATTTAACTGATGGTTTCTTTTCTTATTAAGAACCAGTAGATTCACAAAATGGTATTTGCTGAGCCCATCAATGTTGGGAGCTGATTTTCTGAGGGACTAGGGCAAGGCTAGTTATGGCCTATGTATCAAGGGTTTGATATTATCCCATATCTCTAAAATGTAGCTTAGACCTCACCCTGACTGATACCTTTCCCAAAGCTAGAACTTCATTGCACTCACAATGAGGCAGTAGCTAGGGGCAGGAGTAGATTCCATGGTTGCTGTTAGGAGCATGGGCCCACTGGTGTTCCACTAAGATGAGCAGAGGGTAGAGGTGGTGAGTAACTACTAGCTAACTTTTCTCTCTCTTCTTAGGCACTGGTGAGAAAAATTGATGCCTCAGACAATATCTACACCACAGAGTCCACCACAGGGAACCTGTTCAGCCTGACCCAGGAGGGGGCTCCCTTGTGCCGCATCATAGCCAAGGTGAGCTTCATGGTTAGGGACCAAAATGGCAGGCCTGGGGAAGTATGAGGAAGCTCACTTGTTCAATGGGAATAGCTGGCTCACGAGGTCTGTCTTGGCCCCTGCATTAGCTGCTGAGTCTCCTTGGGAGAGTCACTTATCCTATCTGGGACTTGGTGTGTGCATTTTTTTTTTTTTTTTTTTTGAGACGGAGTCTCACTCTGTCACCCAGGCTGGAGTGCAGTGGCGCGATCTCGGCTCACTGCAAGCTCTGCCTCCCGGGTTCACGCCATTCTCCTGCCTCAGCCTCCCGAGTAGCTGGGACTACAGGCGCCTGCCACCACGTCCGGCTAATTTTTGTATTTTTAGTAGAGACGGGGTTTCACCGTGTTAGCCAGGATGGTCTCGATCTCCTGATCTTGTGATCCGCCTGCCTCGGCCTCCCAAAGTGCTGGGATTACAGGCGTGAGCCACCGTGCCCGGCCGGTGTCTGCATTTTTAGTAGGTGGCTAGCCCCTCTGATTTCATTTCCCACTTGAGACAGAAATCTGGTGCCCCCAGAGCCTCTATCATCTTTCTTTATGGGTATATGTTATAAATATCAACCGTCTTTCTCCATCTCCACACATCCTTCCCTTCCTGGCAGCTGTGGTGTCCCTGAGGTCCATGGGATGTGGTGATGTAGTGAATAAAGAGACCATCTGGCATGTGGCATTTTGGGTGATCGATTGACCTTATATGGCTCCCTGACATCATGTTTGTAAGACATGGGATGTCTCAAACCCAGTTGAAAGAAAAGTTTTTATTTTTTTTCATATAGACTTGTGTATGGCTTAAGCTCTATCCACATCACTTAATGCTGCTGCCATAACAACCTATACCCCATAATAATTAGCAGTAGCATTATCAGGAGAAAGAGGAGGAACAGATCTACAAACATGACCTTCACCACCAACTCGGAGGTTTGTTCTCTGGGTTCC
This sequence comes from Homo sapiens, assembly GCF_000001405.40. Classification (NCBI taxonomy): domain Eukaryota; kingdom Metazoa; phylum Chordata; class Mammalia; order Primates; family Hominidae; genus Homo; species Homo sapiens. Next base: position 15,191,774 of record NC_000011.10, read on the forward strand.
CATCCAGTGCCCTTAGTCTCTTTTTGTGTCCGCTTAGAATCTTGTGAACCTCAGCATCTGCCTATGATCCTTGGAAAAGCAGGAGGAGAATCTGGGTCCTCTATTGTTTTTTCACCAAAGATATTGGCCAGTGTTCAGCAGGCATCAAGACAAGATGGCCTCTAAATAAACTCAGTCTCTGCCTAAGCTTTCCTATTCCTCCCAAAACAGGAGGCTGTACAATTCTCTGAACAAAATAAAATGCAAGGATTTGCTCAAGGAATACAAGAAGGGAGAAGAATGCAGGCTAAACTGCAAAGCAGGCTTGATTTAACTAATGCTTCTCAATTATGTTGGCATATTTCTCCTTTTAAGCCTTCATATCAGTTTCTCCCTCTCCCAGGCTGAAGAGGAGCCCAGAGACAGCCTCCCTCCCTCTGGCTCCCTCTGTTGATTGGGTCCTACATTCTGGCCATGGGCTGGGGTGGTTGTGTCTGTCCCAGCTGCTTGTCTGAGGAGAAAGCAGAGAAGGCACAAGGGCATATCATGGCCTTTGCACCTTTTGTCTTTGTGTTTTGAATGTCCTCTCTTTTTGCCACTTGGAAAACTCTTACTCAGCATTCCACACTCAATTCTGTATTCTTCTTTATTGCTTTCCAGACACGCTCCCACCTGTGGTGTCTAAAAAGAGTAGCAGGCACTGTCTCAGCACTTACCATATTCTATTTTGTTATGTGTTTTAAGCTGTGTGCTTTTTAAGGACAGAAACATCTGAGTCATCTCTGTGTCCTTAGTGCCTAGTGCAATGCCTGCACAAAGTGGGTACTCAAAGAGTTTGTTGAATGAGAAAGTTACAAATTCACAGATCCAAAATCTCTGAGAGTTGGGAGGGAACTGAAGTTCATCCGACCTTCAACTTTGGTAGGGGTTTCTGAAGGGCTGTTGAGTATCCAATGGGTCATCCTGTGTCCAGAAACAGGTTCACTGGATGTGGAGTATTTTAAATAACCTCCCTTATTCTCCATCTCTCATGTCCCCAGTTCTAATGCAAGTTCTCAGGGTACTACACTTTGAGACCTACAAAGCTAGTATGGTACTCTCTAATGACATTTATACTCAGACTAGATTCATATATATTGGAAGAGAATTCACATATATTTGACTCTGTTATATTTCTAACACTACACCAATGGGATCTCATGTAATTCTCATGATTCTGTGAGGAGGGTGGTACTAACATTTTATACAAATGAAGACGCTGAGGAACAGAGAGATTAAATAACTTGCTGCAGGGCATATAACTATCAAGTTGAATTGCAGGTATTCAAATTGTGAGCTTTGATTCCAAAGGATTCATTGCACTTATATCATATGCCTAGGAGTAGGTCTAGGATTTGTGAGGCCAGAAGCTTATGGAATTATTGGGGCCTTACTTAAGTAAAAGATTATAGAATTCCAAATTCCAAATTATTTAGAAAAGTGAGTTATTTAGAACGAGAAAATAATTCAAGAATATTTCTGGAAGGCAATTTTTTTAACCACTTTTTAATTATTATTATACTTTAAGTTCTAGGGTACATGTGCACAACGTGCAGGTTTGTTACCTATGTATACATGTGCTATGTTGGTTTGCTGTACCCATTAACTCGTCATTTACTTTAGGTATTTCTCCTAATGCTATCCCTCCCCCATCCCCCCACTCCACAACAGGCCTCAGTGTGTGATGTTCCCCTTCCTGTGTCCAAGTGTTCTCATTGTTCTGTTCCCACCTATGAGTGAGAACATGCGGTGTTGGTTTTCTGTCCTTGCAATAGTTTGCTGAGAATGATGGTTTCCAGCTTCATCCATGTCGCTACAAAGGACATGAACTCATCCTTTTTATGGCTGCATAGTATTCCATGGTGTATATGTGCCACATTTTCTTAATCCAGTCTATCACTGATGGACATTTGGGTTGGTTCCAAGTCTTTGCTATTGTGAATAGTGCCACAATAAACATACGTGTGTATGTGTCTTTATAGTAGCATGATTTATAATCCTTTGGGTATATACCCAGTAATGGGATGGCTGGGTCAAATGGTATTTCTAGTTCTAGATCCTTGAGGAATCGCCACACTGCTTCTGGAAGGCAATTCTGTACCAGGTTGGTCTGCAGTAGTTCACCTACATGAGAAACTGATGCCAACCACATTAACATATCCCACCAAACCAAAATGAAGCATGTCTCTCACACTCAACTTCATGGCTGGATCTGAAAAATGCCTGTAGCCACTCCAATACTACATTCAAGGAAGACTAAATCAAAAAGGATGGTGGTTTTCATTAATTATAATGGGAGTTGTAATTAATTAGCTTCATGGTTAATTTGCCCCTGAATTTGGATTCAAGACACTTAGAGCAAATATAGGCAACTAATAGCCCTAGGACCTCAGTAAGGTCTTTTGTTTCTTGTTTTTAGTCTCCTTTTTCACTTGAAATATGACATCACCATTGGAGACAGAACCAGGGATCTAATTGGTAGCAAAGTTATGTCCTTCGGTAGACTTAAGATGCTAGTCACAGGAAGATGCCCTGGCAACAGTGGTTCCCAGTGCCCACTCGGTATCGCAGTCCCTCAGAGAGTTTGTGGAAAACCCAGATACTTGTGCCCTACCCAAGATTCCATGGGGTCTTTGGGTAAGACCTGAGAATCTTCATTTTAACAAGCCCTACAAGTAGTTCTGAAGCATGGCCAGACTCTCAGAATCACTCATCTAAGCCCTTAAAGCAATCTTAATATTAGAGCACGGTAAATGCTTGTCAACTCTTGTGAGTGGAGAAGTGAATTTTATGTAATAGCAATAGCTAACATTTGAGTGTTGCTGTGTTCTGTCTTTAATGCATTATATAATTCCTTTCTTTTAATTCACAAAACCATCCTATGAAGAAAGTACCATGTTGTTACCATCAACAGTTGAGGAAATGGTTTAAGGAGCTTATTCAGGATCATGCAGCTGACAAGGAGTTGAGACAGAATTGAACCCCAGCCTCTTTAAGTTTAATTCAGAGTTCATGGTCCTAAACCCCACAGTGGTGACTTCTGGTTCAATCTTTGGCCCTTCAGGTCCTTGAGCCAAAGTGTGACTCAGGAGTTCTCAATCCTGGATACACAATCGAACTACTAGGGAGCTTTAAAATTTTTAGGATTCTGACTTAATTGGTCTGGAGTAGGTCCTGGGATGAATATTTTAGCTTTCCAAGTGATTCTACTGTGCTGCGTGGGTTGAGGACCTCTACTCTCTTTTGGGAGTCATTTAAATGTATTTAACCTGAAGAGCTTGTAGTGGTGTTGGAGCAAAGGGGATGGAGGAGATAGCATTGGATCTGTTTTCTCCAAGGATTCTGTGACTCAAACATTTAACTTGGTCAAGAGGGCTGACTGGAGATTTTTGTCTTGGTGCTGTGGGGGAACAGCCAACAGCTCCAACCTCTGAGCTGAAACTGACTTAACATTTGTTTAATGATTAATTCCAAACAGTAAGTAGCTGAACTTCTTTTGGAACAATTACCATTTTTCCCTTTCAAAATGAGTTGCAAACACATGCTGGATTTGGGCTCTCTGTGTGGATCTGAGGTCTGGGTGGGATAAGGACTTCTGAATGGCACATGGGTTCTGAAGATATTTTATGTTTTGTAAAGAATGGGCCTTAGAAATTTCCTGGGAAGGAAACTTTGCTTGGCAAGAGCTCTGAAGCTCTGGGTGTTCTGTTTCAGGACCTGAGCACTCAAGGTCTGTTTCCATGTGCCGCTTGATATAGACAGCTCCTACCACCTGCCTGCATTTGTGCTTCACATTCAGGAAAGCAGAGAGGAGACATGCATTTGGTTGTAAGCCAAGATGATGTTTGACCTCCTGCAGATTTAGTCTCCTGTCAGGACCAGGCCTTAACTCCAGTTAAACATTAATCCCAAACATTTCCAGTGGTAGAAAGCAGGGGGAAAGGCCTGGGTTGGGACAAGAGGGCAGCTCTCATCCCAGCTCTGCCACTAGCTCACTGGAGGAGGTTGGCCAGACCACTGGGGATTAACTCCTCCTTTGTGGCCTGAGGATGCTGGGCTGTATATTTAAGACACCTTCCAAATCTACCATGCTGCCTGACTTTCCCAGTGTTTTCATGGGAAAAGTAAGGGTGCAATTTTACTTTCATCCTATTCCATTTTAAAACAAAAGGCTAAGGTGAACTATTTGCCACGTTTAGTCATCACTTCCTACATTTCTGTCCACAGGCTTCTCAGCTGTTCCATCACTTCCTCAGCTACTCAGGGATCTCCCATGCCCCTAACACTCCCCTGGGCTCTCAAGAGCCATGACCAGGAGTTGTTTAAAGATTTCAAATAATCCTTTGATTATTTACATGGGCCACACCCTCCAGAGCCTGCCAGGAGAATACTTGAGTCTCACTGAATATTAACAACAACGATAATAATTACTATTTATTGGTGGCTTCCTATGTGTGCAGGCCCTGTGCAGGGACTTTCACACTGTTGTATCTTGTCCACATGACCCCTCTGAGAAGTATATCAGTGACCCTGTTTTACAGGTTAGAACGCCAGGACTCACAGTGGTTGAATACCTTGAGCAGTTGACACTTGAAACCAAATTTGTCCAGCTCTGGAGTAGGTGCTATTTCCATTTCACCAGCTAGTTGGTTAAAATCTAGAGTCTTTCCCTTTCCAGGCAAAACTCTGCTAACAACAAATCTGTCTCCCTCCTAATCAGTATTTCCTCTTTTTCTGCTCCTGGTCCACTGCACAGTAATCAGCTTGCTTGCTCTGGGTATGAGGCTGGTGGAGGTCAAAACTGGGAGGCATTGGCAGGAGATGGGGGCAAATGGGAGAATATGAGCTTTCTGAAGTGATCAACTCTGATGATCATGGTTGTGATGACAGCTGCAGTAAAGTAGTAATAATAAATTTATTTTTATAGCACTCACTTTGTGCCAGATAATGTTCTAAGGGCTTTATACAAATAACATATTTTAACCTCTCAATGATCCTCTGTGGTAGGCAGGATCTACCCCCATTTTCCAGGTGAGGGAGCTAAGACAGTGAGAAAGTCCAAAGCTAGTAAGGGACTGAACTGGAATTTGAACCTGGCTGTTTGGCAGCAAAGGCTACGTGCCTGGTTACTGTTCTGAACTGCTTCTCAGCAGCCCCTCCTCTTCCTCTTCCTCCCACCTTACTTCCCATTCTCTTCCTTTCTCTCACCAACCTTCCATGCCCATTGTTTACTCAGGCATGGTGCTATGCTTTCTAATCACCATCTCATCTGATTCTCTGATAGTCTTTTGATATGTCATAATTATAATTCCCATTTTGAAGATGAAGAGACAGAGTTTCAGAAAGAATATAAATAATTTATTCAAGGTCACACACATGAAAGCAGAGCTGGGATTTTAACCAGGTCTACAGATTCCAGAATCTTAATCTCAACCTTCTGATATTTCAGGTCCAAGGGATGGAGCAGACAGAGTGTTGAAGCAGAGAAAAGATTCAGGGAGGACTTCCATCTTTCCAGCTCATCTTTTCATCCATTTTTCCGGGCTGGAAAAGGGAGTCCTTCCTGAATCTTCTCTCTGGGAGAAGATGGGAGACTAATTCCTCCCATAGAATTACTGTGTTTGGGTTTCCAGTTCTGACAGTGATGCAGGAGCTGGGAGTCCCTGGCATGCCCTGCACAGCATCCTCACCTTGGATGCTCAGTAGATGTACCCAGTGTTGTAACAGTGTGGGGCAGTGATCTAGCAGCCTTCCTCATCCACCTCTTTGTGGCCTGCTGTTCTGTTTGTTTGGGTCCTTCATCTATCTTAGCTGCTTCTGGGAGAAAATGTGGGCAACCTGTCTGAGGCTTGTCCTCTCAGCTTCTTGGGTTCCTCTGAAGGCTAAAGAATAAGCCCAGACCTCTCTATGATGATGGTGACAAACTCCATCCCTTCCCCTGTGCAAGGCACAGAAAAGTCCTCTGGGCTTCATCAAAATTATCCCCCCCACCAATAACTCCTCTGTTATTCCTTCCACCACCAGCCCACACACCCCACAAGTGATCTCTTCCCACTTTATGACAGCTCATCCCAAGTCTCTCTGAATAATTCATACTGTTATGTGGCTGGGCTCTGAGCCCGGAGCTTTCTATAAAATTAAACAAGCTTCAGCCAACAGTGTGATTCTGCTAGGTCAGGCCATTCCCAGCTTCACTCCAGGATGAGTGCTGCACTCGGTTCTTGAATGGGGGCTCCAGAGTGGTCCTCAAGACCAATCCATTTTATTTCCTCTGTGGCTTTCTTCCTTCTCTCTCCTCTCACATATCCTAGCCCTCGGGACCTCTTTCATGAGGATATAAGACACTCTTATAATCAGGAAGCCTCACATAGCCTGACCCTTACCCACTCTCCAGAATCAGGTACCAGGCCTTTCCACATGTACTAACTCAATTGCACCCCCAACAGCTCAGACATATAGCTATTGTAGCCCATTTTTAGCCAAACTTAACCAGCAGCAAAGCCAGGATTTGGACCAGAATCTCTTTCTTTTGGATCCAGGAATTTCCCCCTCCCTCTCCTGGTAGCTAAAAGTGCTAAGAAGGCCATTTTTCACAGGCTTGAGAGAGATGTAATGAGAATCCAGTGCAAATGCATGCAGAGGCTTAAATATAGTTGTGCTGGGCTCAGTGCCTCCTGAGCCAAAGGAGGCTGCCACATTCATCCTGGCTCAGGCCTCATGCGTGTTCGTTGGCACTGTTTCTTCATTGTCTGCTTCAGATGTAAATGTCTCTCAATCAGTCATCTCTCTCTCTCTCATCTATCTACATATATAGAGAAATAATATTTATACAATATGTATGATTAAATATAAGCACACACATATATAAATATATATCCATATATATGTATATATATTTACATCTGGAAGAAGGCTAGAAATGACCAGCAGGGCTGGCTGATGAGAGCTTAGGACTTCTATTTCTTTTCTTCTCATTCTAAAGAGTAACTTGGTTTTCCTTCAGTGACTCTCTGAGTGAGGTCTGTATGTAGAACCTTCAAGCAGATGTCCCAGGAACTATGGGAAAGTAGGAAGGCAGGAGTAAAGGTTGTGGAACAAGGAATCAGAGGTGTAAGTGTCTGTCTCATGCCAGACATTTTTACTGAAGTAATTACGTGCACTTAAAATCAGAGTGGTTCTGTCTTGACCCTTCTACAACCCCCCACCCTCCGAGCATGTTAGGGCTTCTGCTCTGTGTTCTTTTAACCCTGCACCCCCAACCACATGTCATTGCCCCTCTACCCAGCTTTGTACCTGCTTTTAAAATTGTCTGCCTTCTCTATGAGACCATGAGTTTATTGTGGACGGGACTGAAGCAGTCTTGCTCAGTGTCCAGCATGACGTCTGGCCTATAATAAACCATTAACATTTTTGAATGCACGAATGAATGTACTAGCCCTAAGTTATGCCCTTTCACACCAAAAGAAATGAGGGGAATTCAACCACCCCAAAGGAAGTAGAATATATAAGTTGTGATTACTCTTAGCTGATTATAAAATGTCAGAAATTATGAACTCCTCCAGAGTTGGATATCTTCATCTTGACCCCTGAAGTGACCAGCAGCAAAACTCTTAGAATGAAAAGGGCGCATGAGCCTATCATTTTGGGGTGGAGGGTAAGGGAAGATCTGGAATTGAGCTATTTTGGTGAACCCGTGCTGGGCTTCTTCTTCCAATTGCCCATTCGTTGTTTTATCGTCATTCACTGCTGCATTCTCAGCACACATGGAACTGAGCCTGGCACATAATAGGTGCTTTTGTTGTCAGAGTTCTCAAAAACCTGACAGAGGATGGTCTTTTGCTGAACTTGCCTTCTTCCTATAACATTTTGCTTAGTTTTGGGAACCGGTACAATGAGGTTAGTTAGACCCAGGAGTGATGAGGTTAAAGGCGAGTGCCCTGAGGGACCCAGTTCAGATCAGTTGCTCATGCATTCTTTACTGCTGCCAACCCTAGGCACCCTGCCAGCTTTCAGGGAAGGAAAGAGGGAAAGATCTGGGCAAAGCGAGATGTGGGATATCCAATTCCTGCCACTCTAAATGCCCCAGTTAGTGCTGCCACTGGTTTGCTTGGCACCTTGGTTAGTCATTCCAGTGATCTCTTGGCTCACTTTGCTCCCAGAGCTAAGGTTGGCTCCAGCGATTATTATGAGTAAGTCTGACTAGTTAGCAGGGCACCTGGACAATGAGCTCTGCACTCCCAGATTCTTGCCTGATGGTAAACACTTTACTGGAAAGAAGTTTCCATAAACAGCTCTCACAAAAGGAAAAGTACATGCTCACCACACTCAAGAGCTGCGATGATTGTTTTTAAAAGGGTTATATCACACACACACACACACACACACACACACACACACACAAACAGGAGTAAACGAGTGAAAATGATGATGTGAATTTAGGCTGAATTATTTTACCCATCCGGACTTCAGTTTTTTTGATCAAAAAATGGGAGGAAATGGTAGTACTAATATAAATGAAACATTTTTTTTGCCTGCCTCCTGCAGCAGTTGGAAGAATCTGAGGAATAGCATGGTGACTGTTGGCAGAGGGAGAACCAGCTCTGGGCATCTAGTCAGTTCCTTCCACCTGCCTCAGATTGGTTTCTAGGACCTGCTTCCTGTGACTCCAGGCCTGCTCTATGGGAGGCTGCTCCAAGGGAGTTGCCAGATGTTTGGGAACCCTGTTGAAGGGTACTGATCGCCAGCCCTAGCAAATATGCCTGCCTTGGCCCCTGGCTCCCGAGCCCCAGAAGCATTTATAGTATCCCATCTCCAGCTTGGACTATGAAGGGTGACATTATTTCTGGAGCCAGCATTTCTCTGTAGTGTACATGTGAGCATTTGAGTGTGTGTAAGTGTGTGTGGGGCGGGGGTTGCTGGAGGCAGGGAGGACCCGAAAGCATATCTGGCGAATCAGGGATGTCACTTATTCTTGAGTTAGCCCCAGACAAGGTCACACAGTAAGATGATGTGACATTTCTTTCTCTTGGCAGGAGGGTGGGGTCGTAGCACTCTTCAAGGTTTGCCGGCAGGACAGTTTCCGGTGCTTGTACCCCCAGGCGCTCCGCACGCTGGCCTCCATCTGCTGCGTGGAAGAGGGTGTCCACCAGCTGGAGAAGGTAAGGACAGCTGGCTGGGTGGTGCCTGAGGTCCTCAAGCCAGGTAGGGGTGAGGTCCAGGCCTCATGATGGCCATCTGTTCCTTTTCATGGACCAAGTGCCTCGAGTAGTCCTTTTCCCAGGCACCATTCGGATAGGGTGGCTGGGACCTGGACTATGGGAGTCAGCAAAGAGGTGAAGGAGATGGGGACTGATGAGCCTGAGCAGGAAAGGCAGGGCTCAAAGGGACACTCAGCACTTCCTGGGTGGGGTGACAACTGGGGAGACTCCTGTGGGTGGATCATGGTAGGAGGCAGGCAAGTCAGGTGTTGGTGCTGGGGTTCAGGGTGGTTGATTCTTCACCCACAGCAGGCCTCCTAAAGACGGAAGAGGATCCAGATCCTGGGAGCATTGACTGGGCAAGAGCAGGGCAGCACTGGGTGTCTGGGAAAGCAGGTGGGGCTCCTCTCCACTAAAGACCAGCGGGCTTGGGTGAGGGAGGTGGAAGCCCCAGTCCAAGTGCTCACTGGGCCAAGATGGCGTGGGAGTAGGGTAGGGTTAGAGGAGGAAGGTGGTGATGTGACAGGCTCTAGTGCCTCTGTTCAAGCCTGATCTATGGTGACATAACTAATTCCCGCCACCCTGACCCCTTCCCTGGTTGTGCGACTGAGGCTGCGCCTCTACTTAGACATGAGTGAGTCTGAGCTTGCGGATAGGCTCTCAGGGACTCCAGCCAGGAGAGCTGGGGAGGCAGGGGCTGAAATCTGGGGTTTCCCAACCAAGTTTCCAGGAAAGATGCTGAAAATTCTTATAGAAAAGTGGAAAGGCCTGGTACGTCCTGCTACTATGGTGGTACCTGCAGGATTTGGGGTGGGATCTGAGTCTGTTCCTGTTAGCTGGTCTAAATGGGGACAGGGGCCAGCAAACTGCTCTCTGTCCTCTGCATCCATGTCCCACAGTCTGGTCCTGGCAGCCCAAATAACTCCACCCTACCCTCAGCTTCTTCACTTTGGTCTGGACTCCTAGACAAATGGTCATCTTACTTTTTACCCTGTCTCCTTCCAAACCTACTCAGATTATTGGGACAGGGTCATAGAATCATGAACTTACAGATGCTCTTAGCTAAGGATGGAATGTGGATAGGGAATCTGCTCATTTTACAGATGACAAGGCTATGGGTCAGAATGGGGAAGTAATTTGCCTAAGGTGACAGAGCAAGATAGTAGAGGAGATAGTGCCAGCTTTTTGGACAGAGTGCCCGCTTCCCACCGGGTTGGAAGTCTTCATATCTAGTTGCTATGAGCACTAGATTTGGAGGTGAGAAATCCATGCTTACTCCTTCATTGTGCTACTCATTAGGTAGCGAGGCTCTGAGGAGAGAAGTGATTAACTCAGGGTCATATAGCTATTAAATGAGAGAACCAAAAGCCAAATCCAAGTCTTCTAAGGCTGAAACCAATTACAGTTATCTCTATTCCAGTGGACTGTCTGATTGTGTGAGCACAGACATGCTATGCGTGTGCTCTCTTATATGGCAAAATAGAGGAGTGGAGAGGATGGTGAGAGAGAGAGGGAGAGACAGACAGTGGACTTGATAAAGGAAATGCATTGAGCATCCTCAACTTCACGTTCTGAATAATTCCCTCCCTTCTCCTATAAAACTTGTCCTTCCTTGGATAGTGTACAAACGACCAAATGGGGTTTGTTTCTCACCTTTCCTGTCTGGTTGGCAGGGAAAATGGGAGGAGAAGATAGAAGGAGCTTGGGATCACCAGCCCTCCAAAAGCCGATTGTATGGCTTTAGTGAGCTTGCAGTGCAGAAGGAAGTTTTCAATTCAGGGAAGAAAAACAACAGGGCTTTTCGTTTGTTTGTTTAGAGTTGAAAACCTGTGCAGCTGGGATGGCTGGAGGCATTTTTCCTTTCACCTATCTGATGCTGCTCAAATGCCAGAGTGCTTTAATGTGTCTTTCGCAGTATAGACGGCCCAGGCCCTAGCCTGAGATTCAGACCCTGCCCAGTTGAGCAAAAGGAGAAAGAGATGCTCGTAGTCTGGGGGTTTATTTTGTGCCAGGTGCTGAGATAGTCCACTACATATGTCCTTTCATTAATGCACCAGAACCTTGTGAGGTGAGCACTATTAGTATCTCCATCTTAAAGATAAGGAAATGGAATCTCAGACAGTTTAAGTGACTTGCCTAAATAACATAGTAAGTGTTAGAGCCAGAATTTGGACCCACATCTGCCATAGTACAGCACCCCTGTGTCACGACCTTGCTGGTTTAATGATTACTCTGAGAGCACTGAAAAGGTCCCTGCAGCTTAATCCCAGACCACCTTGCTATTCCTGGCCACTGTGCTAACCCCTCACATCCCCAGCTGGCATAGGGGATAGTAGCTTACCTGGACATTTCTCCTCTCCAGGCCAGATTGCTTATAATACACAGACACTCATGAAATATTTCCTCTGTGCCAGGCACTGAAGAGGAATAAGACTTACCCTGGTAAGAGCCCCTGAGTGATCAGAAATAACAACTACATTGTGTAGCAGTTGTAGAGCTTGCAAAGTGACTCCACATGGATTCTAATTTCATTTGATGCTTGCTTCAAGTTTGAAAGTATCCCCATAGTATGGATGAAAATACTGACGTCCAGAGAGGTGAAATGACTTCTTGCATGAAATCATACATTATGTAATTCATTCATTCAGCAAATATTTACTATCTGCTATTTGCTAGGCACTGTTTTAGGTGCTGGGAGTATAACAGTGAACAAAACAGACAAAACCTCTTGTCTTCATGGAGATTACATTCTAGTCTAGAAGGTAGCAAGTTATGGTCCATGGGCTAAATTCAGCCTGCTGTCTGCCTTGTATGGCCCATGAGCTAAGAATGATTTTTTTTTTTCATTTTTAAATGGTCAGAAAAAAAAACAGAAGAAGAATAAAATTCTGTGTCCCATGAAAGCTTCTGTGAAATTCGAAGTTCAGCCATAGTTTTATTAGAACACAGCTACACTTGTTTGTTTGGGTGTTCTCTATGTGCTTTCATACCAAAATAGCAGAACTGAATAGTTGCAACAGAGACCATATAGCCTTCAAAGCCAAAAATATTTACTCTCTGGCCATCTATAGAAAATTCTTGCCGAGCCCGGTTCTAGCAGGTAAGGAAGATGTCATGACCACGGTGAGAGGAACAATAACTAACATATATCGAATACTTGCTTTGGGCAAGCACTTTGCTAAGCCCCTCCTTTCATCAAGTCATTTATTCCTTGCCATCCTGTTATATCTCCACTGCTTACAGAAGAAAGGGAGACTCAGAGACGCGAAGCCACTTGCTCAAGGGCGCATAGCTAAAAAGTAGCCCAGGCAGTAATGTAATTCCAGCTCTGCTGGGCCAGAGCCAGCCTGGGCTGTTAACAATTGTGCAGACCCAGGACTCAAAATCTGATATTGTGAGGCCAGTTTCCATGCTCCTTTCCTCCATATCATATTGCTTCCAAAGTTGGGAGAAGTTCTAGAGACACCCATGAGGTCCTTAATCTCTCCCACCCTCCACCCACACCCCCTCCCTGGGTTCTGTCCATGCCTGCCACCCTCTGTGAGCTGGGCTGCTCAGCACTGCCCACAGAGGCTCTGGTGAGGTTGGCCATTGTCAGTGTTGAGGATGGAAGATGGTGAAGACCAGGCACAGGCCGGATTGTAGAAACCACAGAGTGACAGGTGAGTGAAGGTGGAGTGGGGAAGTGTGGTTCCCTGGGGCTCTTGCCAGCCACCCACTCACCGGGCATGGTTCGTGGCCAAATTAGATCACATCAAAGTTCCAGCCTTCTCCGCCTGATTTACTGGCCTGGCCTTCTCACTGAGGTTCGCTTAATTAATTGGCAGTGGGAAACGTGCTGGATTTGGTGAAATTCGTCTCTGTTGTGCAGCTTCCCCCTCCTTTCCTTCAACCGTGAAGAGGTTCATTAAATCCTGCACAGCCCCCAGCGGAGTTGTGGGTCTAGACAGGTCACTGCATCCATCCCAATTGCTGCTGTGTCATGCCTGAGCCTTGCTGGGTTTGGGGGACTTTTGTGGTCATAGATTCAGTCATGGTCTCATTCATTCACTCACGGGAAGTCACTTCGTCTCTGCTTCTTCATTCCTTCTGTTTGCCAGTCAGTCATTCACTTACTTTTAAACTCACTCAAATTCCAGTGCTTTAAGAGGGTGAGGCAGGAGCAATGCATGAAGCCAGGGGTTCCAGGCTCGCCTAGGCAACATAGCTAGACCCTGTTTCTTAAAAGTAAAATAAAATAAAAAATAAGTAAACTTACTCACTCATTTGTTCTCTCACGAAGTCCACCACTAATTCACTCTATGAATTCCTTCTTTTATCACTGAAGCAGCCTATTACAGTGGAGAGACTGAGAACTTGGAGAATCAGGCAATCCTGGGTTTGAACAGATTTTTCTCACTGTGAGCTTGGATATGTTATCCTGGGGGATTTGCTTAGCACAGTTCCTTGATCAGTAAAATGAGCCTATAAAATCTACCTCATGTATAGTAATATGATGCTTGGCACAGAGTAGACAGCGAATAAATGGTGGCTACTGTGATTGTGGCAGGTATAATGCTAATCACTTGGACTTTGAAAATGAATGGAAGGTTAGGGTCTGGTGGGGAAGGGAGGGCTGGCATGTGGGAGAGGGGCTGGCCTGGTCAAAGTTGCAGTGAAGTGCACACATGGAGAAGTTGGGTGGTCCAGGGGGGATGAGTCCTCACAGTCTTTCCCTTTAACAGACGAGGAAACTGAGACTCCGAGACAGTGTTTCCTCAGTCATGAATGTAGAGCTTGGATGCAAACCTAAGTCTGGCTGGTTCTAAACTCCTGCTCTTTCCTCTGCTACCTGGGGATAGCTGGTCCTTCTGAGGCAGGGACTGCAGAGGACTGGGAGCCAGGTTCTCTGTGTTGGCCTGGGCAAGGGACGGACACAGACACCCAACAAGCAGGGATGGAGGCAAGATGCCAACACACAGCAAAGGCCTCTCCACAAGTGTCTGACAGGCGTTTTGAGGCCTCATTCTTTCTTTTCAGAGCTGTCACGTGGAGGTCTGGTTCATCTGGGCTGCAGCCTCCCTGCATCCTAAGCTTCAGGACATCTGTCCTTCCTTCCCTGTGTCTTCATCTGACATCACTCCTCATTCCCTACCCCTATGCTGGGTTCTGGAGAAGAGACAGGCTCCCTGCTTCCCAGGATGGCTGAAGGGGGAGAGGCCCAGCAGGACAGACAGTGGTAAGGGCTGTCCCATGGCCATCAGAGGCTATAAGCAGGAGGCCCCACCTCTGGTGGGGTTGCCGGTGTAGGCAGCACCAAAGAGGCAATGAAGCTGGGCCCAGAAGGGCCAGGGAGGAGCTCCCAGGCAGACCAGAGGAAAGCAGTCTTAACAAGGGCAGGGGCAGAGGGGACACCACAGCAGGGAGCCACCCCAGCAGGGAGCCACCCAATGGGGCTCCAAGTCTCCAAGTCTTCCAGGGTCTTTGTGTTCAGTGAATTGGGGGAGCCCCAAGGAGAAGGCAGTGTTCTCTGGACCTCACTTGGGAGAAGACTAGAGGGAGAAAATGAGGGCCAAGGAGGGAGTAAGGGCCCCAGAGCCACACAGTCCAGCGAGAGCAGATGAACCCAGCCTGGTCAGGGTGGACTGCTGAGGGTGGCCTTCCTGGAGGACTGGAGCTGGCAAGGTGAACTGGCATTACCAAGGGGGAGGACTGCAGGGTTTGGGGAAGAATGAAGAGAGGTGAGGGAGCAAGTCACTTCTCCTGTCTGAATCCCAGCTTCATCTTCTGTAAAATGGGACTCCCACCTTCTTTATAGGGCTGCTATGGTGATGCAATGAAGCAATATGGGTGGGTCTTGCAGCAATGGTGCCTGCGTGGAGAAAGCACTCTGCCTGTGTCTGTTTCCTTTTCCTCCTCCCATGCCCATTTGTCTCTACTTTTCCAGGCTGGTCTGGGGAAAACTTCACATTGCCCCCAAAGGACCTGGTTATTGGGGATTTTGCAATGACCATGGCAGGGTGCCAGGTACTCTGAGTGGTGAAGGGGAAGGTCAGGGCACTGCTGGTTCAGGGATTGATTGTGGTTGGATGGGGCCAGGCCAGGATGGGGTTGGAGGGGGCTGGAGACTAGAGCTGGACTGCGGACTATGGTCCAGATGAGGGGCTGGAGATGTTAGGGATAGGAAGCTACAGGTCTGTGGCCAAAAGGAGTGGGGGGCACTCAAAGCCCAAGGCTCAGACAACCTTCAGGACAGTTCTGGTCATTGTCTTTTCCAGAACTGAAAGACCAGAGACGGCCTCACTTTCAAAAAGCATCCTTTTATTCTCACTCCTCCCTTTTATTTTATTTTTTCAAATAACGAGTTAGTTCACTCTGTGCTGGAGCCAAGGGGGTAGTTTAATGAAAATCAATACAGAAATTAAAGATGAGGGGAGAGCGGGGAGGACGGCTCAATTTCAAGTCCAAGAAGAAAATCACCAAGGGCAAGAGCTGGAAAACTGCTGCCTGTCTCCATGCAGCTCCTTCACGCCCCACCCTCATTTCCTGGGGCAGCTTCTTGGAATCAATAGGCCCTGACAGCTGAGGTGCTGGGCTGGAAGAGAGATGAAGACAGGGAGGCCTATATTGAGCTCTTGAAATCCCAGAGGCCCTGGGCAGGAGGGAGTGGGCTGCAAGCGGGAATGGTGGGGAGGCTCTGTGGCCCCAGCTGCTGTTTTACAGGGGTCTGTCTCCACTGTCTGCTCCCTGTATAATTGCAGATGGTCATAAATAGTTAATTTTTGCAAAAAATAAATAAAAAATTCAAACAAGCAAAAAAACCTCACTTTAATCAGTTTTTCTCACCATTATGCCCATTTGCTTTTCACGGTCATTTTGTAAGGAAGGCAGGGAGAGATGGTCACCTCCATCTTATTTACAGAAGAGCAAGTTGAGGCTGGAAAGGATAGAGATACTGGGAGGGACAGAGGCTGGACTGAGAACCCTGCGTTTTTGCTCCTAATCCTAAGTGTGCCCCCTGGTCCCATTAGGTGAATGGTGTCATAGTGTGCAGATCCCAAAGCAAAGCTACTACTTTCTTGCTAGAGTTGGTTCTAATATATAAGCCAGGCTGGATAGAGACAGAGGGGCTGTGAATGCAAGGCAAAAAAATCTTTGCTTAATTTGTCTTGCAATCCCTTCTTACCTAGGAATAGCTTTTAGAGAGAGGGAGAGAGAATGCCTCTGAATGAAGGTCGCAGATGCCTCTTCACCTCTCTTTGGCACTCAACCCATCTAGGATTATCAGCTTCCTCCACTCCTCACACCCCCAAACACTAGCCTTCAACTCCCATGGGAATGGGCTAAGGCTTTGCAGAGAGGCCCAGGGTCCCAGGTTAGCTGTGCTGTGACTCTGGCTGACAGGCAGAAAGGAACTGAGGCTGGCACTGTCATTGTCACTCTTCCCAGCCTTGCAAGGGGGCAGGGCCCATGATTGAGCCTTCTCAGAGGGACTGTGGCTTGTTCACTTTCGACATACCAAGGCTCCTGTCTGTCTGTCTTGATGGCTGGGGTGGGGGCACTTAAGGAGGCCAGGATGCAAAGAGGCAGGAACTAAATTAGCCACACTGCCCCACCTGCCCTCTCCCCTTCTAACAAAGACCTAGGCTGAGATTATGGGCCAGTACTTTCCAGACTGAAGGAAGGCTCGGGGACTGCGCCTTTCCCGCCAGGTCCAACCTGAGTTTGGAGAAGGGATGGGGCTGCCAGGCAGTCCAGGTGCCTAAGTGCAGCAGTGGGTTTGCAGGAGCAGGCTCCATCCGCAGAGGCTCGGTGGGACCCCATGTGCTGTGCAACAGCGACCCCTGGTGGATAAGAACACCAGTGGCCGCTCCATCAGGCTGCCTGGGGTAGGCTTCTCCTGGGGCTGTTGAGGCTGGTGGTCTCTGGGCTCCAGGACCAACAGTCAGGGCCAGTGTGTGGGGCGGAGTGAGTGGGGGAGTAGGGGAGGTTTACAAATTCAGGGCAGTGAGGGCTTTTTCCTACTGAGCCAGCCTCCGATGATGTAGGCAAATCTTTCATTCCAACATGTATCTAACTTCCAGATTTCCCCAGAGAGTCTGTCCTGTGTGTTCTTGGAGTGGAAATCTTCCTAGGCCTCCTAGTTCCCACTGGACAAAATCCAAACCCCTCAGCCTGGCACTGAAGGTGCCCTCTGAGCAAGCTGCCTCCAGCACATTGCCCCTTTGGTAAACAAGCCTGGGTTTGGTGCCCAGCTCTACCACTTATTCACTGTGTGTGTGACCTTGCACCCCTCTGAGCCCCATTTCATCACAGGTGAAAGTGAAGTGTCAATCCCTGCCTTGCAGGTTGTGAAGATGATACAAGTCAATGCTCCATAGATGTGAGTTATTTTCCCCTTCCCACCAAATTTCTCCACCAAAGGTCTTTGGGGCCTCCTTGCCTTGGAGCCTCTGCCTGTGCTGGGTGTCCCAATGAGAGTTTCACCTCCACTGTTGACATCTCGCTCTAAGGCCTCCTCTGGACCTCCTTCCCGACTGTGATCCTCCCTCCTTGGTGCTCACACAGTATGTGGTACTGCTCTGGAAGCGTATCCCACACTGCCTGACCTCAAACCTCTGCCTTGGCTTCCCCACCAAGAGACACTATCTCACCCACTTCTTTAGTCCATCAGGGAAGTGGTTTGCACACACAGGTGAATAATGTTTGCTATGAAACCAAATAAATACCAATTGAAGATTTCTGGTTCGTTCTTCCTCATTGCAGATGAGAAAATAGAGGCCCAGAGAGGTGAAATGATGTGCACACCCACATTCCCGAGATCAACCACAGGGCTGAGACCAGAATGCAGAATGTCTGACTTCACTTGAAACAGCATGGCAGGATGCTGTGATCAGTTTCAGACCCTGATGAGGGGTGGGAGTTGGGGGAGTATAAACATCATAGGGTCCCTCAATAAGGACAGAATGGAATTTGCCCTGAGCCCCTGTTTGCACCACTTAGCCCTGGCAATTTGCACCGGCTTTGCCCGTCTCCTAATTCTAATGGCCCTAAGCCCAAGTTCTTAGGTCTCAAAGAGACTTAGGGAGGTTGGTGGGCCAAGATGAGCTCTGCAAGTCAGCCTGAGATAAGTCAGATGAGTAGAAGCCCTTTGAGGCTGGCTATGTTTCCTGGGTAAAGTTCAGCAGGCTTGATGTTAGTGAAGAGATCCTGGGACAAGTTCTTCATTTGCCACTGATTTGCTAAGTGACCACAGGGAAGTTTTCTAATCCCTATGAGCCTCAATTTTCTCATTTGATGGGATTCCTAGTTCTGCTGGTATCCTGTGGCATATGAAGTAATTTTGTGAGATGTAATGTGATGAACAAAAGTTAGATGTTTAGCTGGCAGGGCTAGGAATTCTAGCCTGTTCTGTGGGCTACAGACATGCCTGTTCTGTGGGTTTGGGTTGTGTTGAGTGGGTGGTGTTCTTCCAGGAGTTGTTAGAAGAGAGCTGGGTGCCTGTGAATTCTTAGATGGAGCTCTGCATTTGAGAGTTTGTGTGTGTGTGTGTGTGTGTGTGTGTGTGTGTGTGTGTGTGGTGGAGTGGGATGCAGCAGGCTTAGCAGGGTAAAGTTGTTGTGTATCTCCTAGCTGGTCCCAAAGAATCTGGTGAGAGCAGAAAATAAATGAGAAGTCTGATGAAAACACAGTGCTGTTGCTGGGGAGAAGGGAGGCCGTGCTCACAGGGAAGCAAAGATTGCCTAGGACATGGGACAAGGTACAGAGGTGGCACTCTCAGCCACCCCTGAGTGCTTCTGGAGTGGGGCAAGTGCTAGTTTGGAGGGGAGCAGGGTAAAGGAGGTTGCTTGGGCTGGTGGGGTGGAGGGAGGATTGAAAGGATGATACACTGTGAAGGTTTAGGGTAGAATTTGGTAGGCAGGATCCACTTCTGGGAACAGTCTGGCACTGACAGTGCAGCATGGACAGTAGGCCAGCCCTCAAAGCCCAGAACTAGAACCATCACCCACAACCTGCTGCCGGCAAGTGGTGGGTCCTCTGGTCACCCACAGAGATAAAGAGAGACAGGGAGAAGGAAGGAGGATAAGAAAAGGGGAAGAGACTTACTGGAGGAAGAGAAAGGGAGAAGAGCTGGAAAGACACAAGCCCAGCTAATGGACAATCAATTTCCAAAGGAGTGTTTCGTTCTCTCTTTGGGCTACTTCAAAAATACAAACCAAGTTATTTGGAGATTTGTAATAGCTGGACATACAGTGCTCTGCTTGTGACCAACTTGAGTGTACCGTCCTCTCTTATTATGGTTTCAATTTTTATTTTCCTGATGAGTAATGGTTTTGAACACTTGTTCACATCCTTACTGGCCATTTGGTTATCATCTTTTGTGAAATGTAGGGCTGAGTCTTTTGCCCATTTTTAAAACACTGGGTTGTTTGTCTTTTCTTATTGATGTATAAACTTTGAAAAACACGTTCTACATATAAATTCTCTTAAGATACATATTATCAGCCTGTGGTAGGTTTTTTTATTCTCTTAATGGTGTCTTTTGATAAATAGAAATGCTTAATTTTGTTAAAATTCAATTTATTGACCTTTTCTTTTGTAGTCGGTGCTGCTTGCGTCCATTTAAGAAATCATTGATTTTTCCAAAATTATGAAAATATTCTCCTAATTTTCTTCTAGGAGCTTTATTGTTTTGCCTTTAAAATTTTGGCTTATGATATATTTCAACCTAATTTTAAAATGGTGTTCAAGGTCAATTTTTTTCCCATATGGATACCCAATTGAGCCAGCACTGTTTATTGAAAAGACTGTACTTTCAGCACTGAATTGAAGTGATACCTTTTTCTTTTTTTTTTAAATAGTGATACATGCATGAGTCTGTTTCTGGATTTTTTTTTTCTGTTCCATTAGCCTTTTTGTTCATCTTGTGCCAATAGAGCACGGGGCCCCTATAGTCTAATACATTTTTCTATTTGGTAACATAAATTAACCAACTTTGTTCTTCTTTAAGATTATCTTGGTAATTCTTAATTTCTTTACAGTTTTATATACATTTTAGAATCAGCTTGTCAATGTCCACAAAAATACCTGCTGAAATGATTGGGGTTTTTAAAAATTTAAATTTTTGGAAATTGACATAGTTTTTTTTTTGGAGATGGAGTCTCACTCTGTCGCCCAGGCTGGAGTGCAGTGGCACGATTCTAGCTCACTGCAACCTCCGCCTCCCGGGTTCAAGCGATTCTCCTGCCTCAGCCTCCTGAGTAGCTAGGATTACAGGTGTGTGCCACCGCGCCCAGCTAATTTTGTATTTTTAGTAGAGACAGGTTTCACCGTGTTAGCCAGGCTGATCTTGAACTCCTGACCTCAGGTGATCCGCCCACCTCAGCCTCCCTGACCTCAGGTGATCCGCCCACCTCAGCCTCCCAAAGTGCTGGAATTACAGGCGTGAGCCACTGGGCCCTGCCGTGAGCCACTGGGCCCCGCCAGAAATTGACATCTTAAACAATGTGTAATATTCTAATCAATGAACAGAGTACATCTCTCTACATCATACAAACTGTCTTTAATTTCTCTCAGCAATATTTTGAGTTTTTAGTGCTGGCATCTTGCACATCTTTTTTAGATTTATTCCTAGTTATGATTTCATGCAAATGTAAATGGTGTTTTTTAATTTTTATTTTCTGTTGTTGGTAATACATAAAAAATACAAGTTTGATATTGTATCCAGTAATCTTGCTTGCTATATTTACTTACTGTTTTTAATAGTGTATAGATTCATTAGAGTTTTCTATGTACACAATTATGTCATCTGTCAATAATGACAGTTTTGCCTCTACTTTTTCAATCCTTCTATTTTTGCATATCTTGTCTGATTGCATTGGGCAGTATGGTTTTAAATGAGAGCAGTGATAATGGGTATCTTTACCTTGTTACTGATTTCAGGGAAAAAGCTGTCAACATTTAACTTATTATTTTATTATTAAGTATGATACCATTATTATTTTAAGGATTAAAAATGAGGCTCATAGAAGGTGGATAACTTGCTCATTTCACCAAGTCAGCAAGGAGCCCAGGCTTTTCTCGCTGTGAAGGTTGTGCAACTTCCTTGTATTACAGATATCTCTAGAACAGTGCTGCTCAACTCAGGATGTCCATGAGAGTTACTTGAGGAGTTTTTTTTTTTTAATTATACTTTAAGTTTTACAAACTAATGATACCCCCAGCACTTTAGGAGGCCGAGGCGGGCAGATCACTGCACTCCAACCTGGGCGACAGAGTGAGACCTTGTCTCAAAAAAACAAAAACAAAAATAAAACCCTAATGATACCAAGACTCCACCACAGACCAATTAAATTCAAATTTCTGGTGGTAAAGTCTGGATATCTGTGTCTTTAAGACTGTCCTAGATGATTCGAATCATCTAAGAACCAGGCTGAGGACCACTGATCTAGAAGCAGGTTGGGTACAATTCAGATCCCAGCTGTGCCCAGTAGTGCTTTGCTGAAAACTTGATATTTTCTTATCAGCACATGCCTAGTAACCCTAGCCCAAAGGGAAATCCACCCCCAAAGCACCTTCAGAGCATCTGTTTGAAAATCAGCTATAAGGAAAATCATCTGCCTAACAGGGAAATTATTTACTCTATATACTCTTAAGTTACTCAATCCATAATTGCTTTCCACCTTAATTACTCATCCCTGCTTTCTCTGCCTATATGTCTCTCTCTCTCTCTACCTCACTGACTTGCCTGCCAAACTGGTTGTATAATCCCTTTCATTCATTGTTTCATTCCATATTACATATGAATATTTGTATTTTTCCATTTAACTTTTAACTAAAGATTCTTGTTTGACGTAGCAAAAGAAGTTGAGTGCTGGGATATATTAGTTTGGAGGAGGATAATATTATCATCCTGAAGGCCTGTTTTAGCTTCTGCAGCTTTCTATGGAGCTCTCAGCTCTATCACCACGCCATAAAACAAACACCTCATTGTATAAAGGGAGCCTTTAATTAACCTCTTAGACTGTTGCAGACGTCATCCTGAACCTTGTCCCTATCTGGTGTACAGTCCACATTAGCATTCTGCCTCTGACCCATGGGTTTATTTATTCCATGAAATGCTTTGCCCTTTCCCTTGGTCTGTCACTTGTCTTTGCTTCCTTGGATGTGACCCTTGCTCCCCTTTCTGATTATAATTGAATTTGCCCTCTAACTATACCCTGGATGAACAGGTCCATCCTGCCTAGATCAATGAGCAGGATGCCAGTCACTTTGTGATTCCCACTCATCATGTATTTTCCTGCAGCCTTTAGATGTCTGGAAGGACAGAAAGAAAGAGAAAATTTGAGCATCTCTAGGTCACTCTCCTGCTCCTATGGCTGCGTTTTCAGTGCATTCCCGTGATTCTGTTTAATTGTTACAATCCAGAAACCAACTCTACCTCCTTTTCCTTAAAATTAGACACATAAAACAAAAACAAAAACAACCTCCCTAAAAAACAAAACTAAGAAGAGCAGACTAGCACCAGTGATATATCATGGGCCTTTGTATATTAGCCTGTGTCCTTTAGATATTTGCATAAAAACCACCACTGGTGCTTTTCCAATAATCAGTAGGAGAATGTTGCCCATAAATCTGATATGATGTTTGCTGTACACTTTGGGTTCTTTAACTGCAAAAGTTCTGCTATGGTTTGATTGTGTCCTCCAAGGTTCATATGCTGGAAACATAATCCCCAGTGCAACTTTGTTGAGAGCTGGGACCTTTAAGAAGTGATTAGGTCATGAGGGCTCTGCACCCATGAATAGGTTAACACTGTTATTTTGGGAGTGGGTTAGATATCTTGGGTGTGGGCTCTTGATAAAAAGATGAGTTCAGCTTTATGCCCCCCACCAATCCTTTTATGCAAGATCTCTTGCCCTTCTGCCTTCCACTACAGAATGACGCAGCAAGTGGGCTCCTCAAACTTGGACTTCATAGCCTCCAAAACTGTAAGAAGTAAATCGATTCTTTATAAATCACCCAGTCTCAGGTATTTCATTATAGCAGCATAAAATAGACTAAGACAATTTCCATGCTGTTCCTCCCACTCCCTGGGAAGAATCTCAGCATTCGCCAGCCCCTTCTGTATCCAGACTCCAGGTGCATCAGCTCTGCTGCCCAGATGATGACCAAGCCAGGCCATCCTCATCACCACTTGCATGCCCGCCCATGAGGAAAGTCTGGCTTCAGGCCCAGGCCCATTCCATTCCATGTAAAATCTAATTATCTATAAGTGCTTCCAGCAGCAATTTCTTTAGGGATGTGAAAGTGCTTTGATTAGATTGTTCTCTTGGCATCATTAAGTTTACAACAAGGGATGGGAAGTGGGTGATTTGGGGATGCAGACTTTCCTAAAATGGGACTTGTGTTTGGGGCAGCTGGCCTCAGGGTGGGCTACTCCTGGGCCCATCATGGGAACTAAGCTGAGCATCCCCTGCTCACCTGGCCCTTTCACCAGCTTTTCCTCTTCTCCCCAGAGGCCCCAATGAGGGAGGCATGGGACAACAAGTGAGGAGGCCAGAACTGGAGTCCTGGCCCTGGCATTAACTTGCCATGTGGCCTAGGTAATCTCATCTCCTCCCTGGGCCTCCATTTCCTCATCATTCAGCCCATACTTCATCAGTAAACTGCTGTGTGTTAGGCCTCAGCTGGATGCTGAGGATCTAGAGAAAATTTGGTATAAGAACTGCCCTGAGTGGCTCAAATCTGCTTGGGGAATGTGCATGTTACCAGAAGAGACCATCTAACTTGATAGGTGTTCTAGCTGAGGTCAGACCACAGTGATGTGGCAATGGGGAGAACAGAGATGACCTCTTCTGGGTGAGGGAGGTGCATGCATGTTCACAGAGGAAGTGACATCTGACCAGCTCTGAGAGGGGAGTAAGGAGGGAAAACAGGGAAAATGACCACTTCAGCTTTAAGTGAATTGGGGTTGAGGTGCCCGTGGAATATCCAGGCAAATTATGTTTGGAATTATATATAAAATGATAAGATAGCAGTTTGGAATGTAGACGTGGATCTCAGAAAAGAGGGCTAGGTTTAGGGGTCATTGTAGCGAGTCACTGAGGCAACTTGGGTTTGGGTGCCTTTGTCTGATATGGAGTAAAGCGGGCTGGCAGCAAAACCTGGTATATGCCAGTTGAGATGAATGCAAAGGAGGAGAGGCCAACAGAGCAAATGGTAAAAAGTGGTGAGCTAGGGAGGAGCCTAAAAGTGTGGTGTCATAAAGTCTCAGCAGGAGATCAGGGCAAGATGGAGAGAACTGAATTCTCAGGAGCAGTGGAGCTTACAGGGAGGCCAAGTGAGAGAGGAATTGATTGACTGAGATTTGCATCAGACAATTTCTCAAATCCTTTGTAAGCATATGATTTCTCTCTCCCCTCTCTATCTCACTTTCTCTCTGTCTCACTCTCCATTTTCGTGTTGCTGTGCGTCTTTGTGTCTTCATCTCTCTTATTTATTTCTGCTTCATCTCTGTGTCACTGCCCAGGTCAGCACCTATCACAATGTAGGTGCTCAGGAAATGTTTATTGAACTATAGAAATGCAGGGATAGTACTGATTTTCTCTTTCTTCCCTTCTGAGGAGTTGCAATTATTCATTGCATTGTTCCTAGTTAGGAATCAAAACAGAAATCACTCCCATTTTAAAAGTCCTGGTTCTGGGCTGCATGACTGATGGATGTCTAAACAAGTGGTTAAACTTTGGGCCCCAGTGCAAAGAGCTGAGGTTCCTGGTGAGGTCTCAGTTCCAAAAAGAGTGTGCAGAAAGGACTTCTGGAGAGAAGCCCAGTGAGGAGGCTGGGACAGGCAGAAGTGGGGTGAACCTAGGATTCAGGGCCCCAAGTCTAGGAGCCACCAGGTGGGGAGGGGAGGGAATGATGGTGCCACCATGTGGCAGGCACTATACATGCAGTCTCTCATTTAATAATTCCAATGGTCCTCTGAAGTTGTTACTTTTAGGCCTATTTTATAAGAAGGAAAAAAACAACCTATGAGATTGGTATTATTCCTGTTTTATAGATAAAAGCTCAAAGTAGGTGTATTAGTCTTTTTTCACATTGCTGTAAGGACATATCCAAGACTGGGTAATTTATAAAGGAAAGAGGTTTAATTGGCTCACAGTTCCACAGGACTGGGGAGGTCTCAGGAAACTTAACAATCATGGTGGAAGGGGAAGCAAATACATCCTTGTTCACATGGCAGCAGCAAGGAGAAGTGCAGAGCAAAGCGGAGGGGAAGCCCCTTATAAAATCATCAGATCTCACGAGAAATCACTCACTATCACAAGAACAGCATGACTCAATTACCTCCCACCAGGTCCCTCTCATGACATGGGGATTATGGGAACTACAGTTCAAGGTGAGATTTGGGTGGGGACACAGCCAAACCATATCAGTAGGTAAGAAAATTGTTCAGCTAGTAAAGGATAGAGGCAGGATTCAGACGTAGGTAGGCCTAAATCTAATGTCTGTGCATGTTCTGATGCTACAGGAATTGCCTCAGGTGCTGGGAAGCCCAGAACCCAGTGGTGTGGGGCGCTTGAGTGGCCTCATACTATGGTGAGCTGGGCTGTGCAAGAGCTGCTGAGATGGTAATGAATATGAAGATCAACTTGCTGGCAGCAGACCAAGTGGCTGGTCAGCTGCATCAGAACGAAACGCTAGGAAAATTTGGCCCCTATGAAAAGATGCTAAACAGGCAATTTATAGTAGAGGAGATCCAACTTGCAAAAAACAAAAGCCAAAACAAACCAAATCAAAGCAAAATAATGATATTAAAAGTCTTTCAACCTCATTAGGAAGTGGAGACATGCAGGTTAAAATACAATTTTTGTAGCCATAAAATTGGCAAAAAATTTAAAAATCTGCCAATAGCAAGTATTGGCAAGAATCTGGTTTTTAGTGTGATTATGTATTGCTGGTGGGAATAAAAGTTACTACTATCATGTCGCAAAACAATTGGCAATACCAATAAACCTAAAGATGCGGAAACACTTTGCCCTAGGAATTCCACTCCTAGATTGGGATCTCTGAAGAAACTGGCAGATGTTCACCAGAAGACATTTAGAAGAATATTTATAGCAGCACTGTCCATTATAGCAAAAGCTGGGAAGCCACTCAGACACCCATCGACGGGAGAATGCATAAATGAATTGAAATTGATTTATATAATGAAATACCATACAACAGTGAAAATAAATGGATCATAGCCACATGCAACAACAAGAAGAGGTTTCATAAACAAATACTGACTGGAGAGAAAAATAAATTGCCATATTCAGCATTATACCATTTATGTCAAGTACAAATCTTGTAAAACTAACAGTGGATACCTTCAATAAACCTCTGAGGAAAACAAGGGAATAATATGCATAAAACTCAGAGTAATGGCCCATCCAGCAGGAGAAATCAGAGGTATGAGATCATGAAAGGTGTGCTGGGGATTTTCTTGATTTTATTTCTAGAACTAGAATTTTTGGATATTAGGCATATACATCTAAACATACAGGTGTTCATTTTATTATTTGTTAAAACTTATTCTCTCTCTCTCTCTATATATATATATGTACATATATATATTTCCCTTTTGAAGGGATAATTAATGAGTTACCAAAAGAGATCTGAAGCATATAAAACAAACTACAAGGGAAGCAAGACGATGGGCAATTGGCAATTGTATAAGCAACTCCACACATCCTCTGGAAACCAAAGGACAGTGAAGAAATTGGGGTCTACATCAGGATGGGGTCACTTTCCTGGGGTCAAGAATCAATTTAAGTTCTCATGTTGGCTGTTTCTCCAATGCTATCTTTTCCTATAATTGCCTTTGCTCACAATAGCTCCTCCATCTACGACGCCATTCCTTTAGCTTTGCTTGTCTAAAGTGTGTCCTTAAGTGTTAGGTCAAATTTTACTTTATTGTACTTATTTCCCACTTACTAAAAGCCTACTACATGCCAGACCTTGAGCAGCCAAGAGTTAACAAGCTGTGGTCCCCAGGCTTGCAGAGATGGCAGGGGGACAGGGGAGCAGACAGACAAAGGAGCAGAGAATCACACTGTATTAGTGCTTCTCTGAATTGCTGGCACATGAAAGTCAGCTGTGGAGCTGTTAAAAAGCAGATTCTCAAGCCTCTCTGGCAATTCTGGTGGAATAGGTCTGGGTGGGATACAGGAACTTGCTCTTAGGAAACTCTCACTGAATTTGATGCAGCTGGTCCACAGACCTCACTTGGAGAAACAGGGCCTGTTGGTGTGACAAATGTGACAATGATAGCAAAGGTACTTGGGCATGGGAGACCCAAAGAAGGCCACGTCTCCCAACTGAGGCGTGTTCATTAAGTCAGGGTAGCCTCCAGGAGGCCCCTCTGTAGAGCATCTTCATTTGTAATTTGTAGATGTGAATCACCTCCCCAACTGCAGTGGACACTGTTCCCAGCACAAGGCTTGGCATGCAGTATATGTCAGGGATGTTTTATTCAATGGGGTTTCAGAGCAGCAGTCTGGACTAGGGAGCAGGCCTGGCAGCCAGGCCTTGGGTGGCAGCAGACCCTGGGGACCATCAAATCCTTGGCCTCTCTGGTGTGTTCAGATTGGCCTATCTCCAAGCATGTGTTGGGGATTAGGGCAAGTTACTGGTTTGGGTCCGACTGGTATTCACATCTGAGCTGGGGACCAGGATAGCATCTGCAACCACGTTGAGATTAAGGAGACGGGATTGATTGAGATATTTCCCCACTAATGATCCTATAGCTTCTTAGCAACGAGCTTGATCTGTGCTGGAAGGAGGAAAGGGATGAAAGCCAGATGGAGTAAGAGGTTTCTTATGTTGGCAATAGGGCTGCTTCCTGCTTCTAGCCCCTGCTTCCCTTCCCTTTTCTAGGCCCAAACGAGGCCTCTCTCTGAAGGCCTGTTAGTTAAACACCTGGCATGAGTCCAGTTCTGCCAGGGACCACATGGCTGCTGTTTGTTCCCTTTTATTAAGCACATCCAGGTGAATTTTATTGTGGACAGTTCCCTGGGCTCCTGTTTCCACATTTGTCTCCTTTGAGTCTGAGATTGCCAAAGGCTTTCACAGCTAATGGACCTTACAGCTCCCAAGAGCCATTTAAGGGAGGCACAGAACTCAGTGGTGATAATTAGGCAAACGAAATGCAGACCTCTGGAGGCCCACTGGAGCTGAGTGGCAGGAAGACGCAGGGACAGAAGCCTCAGGTCTGTGGCAGGTGTAGGGAATGAGCACGGGCTGCTCCTCACCCCACCTCTCCTGTTCTTCCCCTGCCTCATCCCTACCTCCCACTCCCAACCCGAGAAGGACTTGGTGCTTGGTGGCATGGTCCCCAGGCAGGCTGGTGTCCGGGGCATCTGAGGGGCTGCAGTAGCACTGCAGAGCTAACCTTGACAAGCTCCTGCCCTCTTTTTCTCCAGCAAATCTTGTGTACTGACCCCAATGGAGGCTGAGGTCTGAGCTCAGGTGCCACTTCTTAGGAGGCAGCATCACATCCTGTTCAAAACCTGGGCTTTGACACCAGACCATTTGAGTTTGAATACCAATCCAACTGCTTTTAAAGTTCTTGATCTGGGGCAAGTCAATGAACCTTTCTGTGACTCAGCTTTCTTGTCTGTAAAATGGGAATAATAATACTGACCTCAGAGGGTTATTGTAAGGAATAGATTGTGTAATAACATGTGCACTCTATAGAATGGTACCTGGCACACTGTAAGCACATGCTCAGCAGAAGCTGTTATGCCAAGAGCAGATCTGACCCGGGCAGAGCTTGGAAACATGTTCTTATCTGGCACTAATGTCCCACCAGTTTCAGGTTTGCTTCTTACTGGTTGGGCACAGAAAGCAAGGCCACCAGGGAAGCAGCCCCATTTCTATAGTGGAGAATGGTGGAGGACAAGATGGGGAAGGAAATACTAAGCTCATCCTGTTGCTAAATATGAGGAAGGGAGGAAGAAACCAACATTTCCTGAGCATCTCTTCTAGATCAGGCATTGCCTGCTTTATCTCTTCAATCCCACAACACCCTGTTGAACGGTGAGGAAACAGAATCTCAGAGAGGGTAAGTGACTAACGCCAAGTCACACAGCAAGGAAGAGGGGATTGGAGGTCAGGGATGTGAGATTTCTAAGTGACTGTTCTTTCTATGACGATTTGCTGTGGTGGATGACCAGGGTCCTGACTCTAGACACTTGACTTGATGTCCGCTATCTAGGAGGCCCATGAAAGGTTACTGATCTCTGCTGGACTCAAAGGAGAGGCCTCCAGGTGCCAGAATTTGAGTCATTATGAGGGCCTTATCACTGGATTGTCCCTGGTTCCACATGGGGTCCTGGGCTGTTCTGGGAAGCCAGAGCTGGCTTCCATGTAGTGGGGGCTGAATCTGTATCTGTCTCATTAATGTCATGGGCAGTGGTGTCCACCCAGGATGCACAGGGGAGCTCCCTCTCTCCATCTGCAGGTGGATGGCGTTCTGTGCTTGGCCGACATCCTGACCGACAACAGCCACTCAGAGGCCACACGGGCTGAGGCTGCGGCTGTGGTGGCCCAGGTCACCTCCCCACACCTGCCCGTCACCCAGCACCTCAGTAGCTTCCTGGAGAGCATGGAGGAGATCGTGACAGCCCTCGTCAGTGAGTCACCCTGGGCAGCGGGACCACTAGGAGAGAGGGCCTTGGCACAGTTGTCTTCAGAAATAGCCAGGAAGGCCTTCCCATCTGCCACTCATTGCACCCCAAATATCTCCTGCATAGATGATCATATTTGCTGAAATCCCACAATTAATGGATCTGAATTAGGCTTTGATGAGCTCTATTATCAAGAGTTTCCTATTAAAATGTGTGCGGCCCTCTGAGAAGCAACCTGAATTATTGTCAGTTTGGGATTCATTGGCCTTTCAGAAGGGAGTCCAGGACAAGCCCCAGAAAGGAATGGGGCCTCAAATTTTGACGTTCAGATACTCAGATCGAGAGACTCTGATAGGCATTTTTCCTAAAGTCTCAGTCCTTGTGCCCAGTGACTATGGCAGCAATGACTGGGGAAAATGGTTTCTCAGAGAGCACCAGCCCACCACAACCTGCTGCCTGAAAATCCCACCATTGGCCTCATATCATGGGGCCTTGAAAGCATTGACTCCTCTAGGTTCCCCTATTCAAACATATGTACCCCCAGCAGGAGAATCATAGATCCGTATCTAAAATATGCTCTTTTCTTAGTTTTCCTTTGCTAAATTATAGAAACTGAAAGCGCTTGTCTGGATAACAATCCCCAGGGAATTTTTTGTGACCCACCTCTTTCTTTTAAAAGTGCTAACGGTGATCTGTGTTTCTATTTCTCTGGCACTCTCTTTGTATCTAATTGAAATGGAATGAAATTTAATTTTATCAGAAAATTTAGGATTAGCTCTTGGAGTCACCATGCCAGGGCTGGGAATATCTGAAATAGCATGAACTTAGGGGCAACACAGAACATTGGGCAAGGAGTCAGAACCCTGGGTTTGGACTCGGGCTTTTCACTCATCCATTCAAGTGGTTATGTGCAGCAAGCCTGCGCCGGTACTGTGTGAGATCCCGCCACTCACTTCTTACCATGTCACATTGTAAAACCCACTTCACAATTTTCCTAATATAAACAAGACATTGCAACTCGTTTCTCTCAAGGGTCCTTCTAACTCTAGAATTTGGAGATCTGCAAGTACTTTGCACATAGAAGACATCAGTTAAGTTGAGTTTATGGCTGATTCTAGTCATGGGGGCAGTGGCACTCACAGGTCAGGCTGGGAGAAATCAATTTGCCAATGTCCACATTTATTCAAAATTGAGAAAACATGGAAGCCCATTGTTGAAAGTCTTGGCTCGAGGGAGCTCAAGAGACCCTACAGTTCTAAGCATACTCTCTAGGTGAAGAAATCTAAGCCTAGAGGGGTTAAGTTACTTTCCTAAGGCCACAAAACAGCATTATGACTCACTTATGCCAGGAGTCTCATATTCAACATTCACCAGAGCCCATTAAGAAACATAAATGAGTTGAAGAGAGCCAGGTGGAAGAATAAAGGTGTTTGAGTCTTGTGTCAAATTGAAAAGCCCATGCACTGTCTAAAGGTGTGGTCACTGGTAAATTTCAGTTGATTGTTACCATGTGGGAAAGGCATAGACTTTTAAAGATAAGACAAAAATTGTAAACTTCATAGAAAATTTCTCAATTTATAAACATTATCAAATAAACAAAAGTACATGTAGTCCAAGTGACCTTTCACTATTGTCATGTATTCATTCCTGCTTCACTGCCCAGGCTGGGTTTCTCCCTGAGCCAAGGGGTCTTCCTATTTGTTTCATCCTGATGAAGATGCATTGTATAGTCCACTCTGAGATTCAGCAGATATCTTCTGGGCAGGAAGCCAGAGCTCTGTTCTTTGGTGGGAAATAGCCCTCCAACTTCTTGCCATTCCCTGGAAACATTTATAAATGAGTCACTGGAATCCTCAATTTAATCTTCCTAACACATCCCAGGTGACTCAGACTGTAGTTCAAATAAATGTGCAGCAAAATTAAAAGGCACTTAGGTGGTTGTGTTAATAATTGCTGTGTCGGCAGCAATAGCAACTGAATGAGAATGAGGGGGAGTGTTAGGACCTAGAAGGAATCTTACAGCAAAGTGGGCCACTGAGCTCTGCAGACTCACCCAAAACCATGGATATAGGGAGGTGGCCTGGAAGGGGCTGGGGACTCCAGTGATTTTCCCAAAATCAGAGGATAAGGCAATCATTGGATAAAGGGAATCAGAGTTCTTAATACCTTGGCTAATCTGTTTTTCCAGTCCTGGGTGGTTGGATCAAGAGCTTGAATTATCTAATGGTCAAACCTGGGCTGTGGGGAGCAACATTGCCCAGAGGGAGGCATTACCCTCCTGATAGAACCAAAACCCACATCTGTGGAAGCATTGCTGGGAATAAGTCAGAGGCTGAGAGACCAGAAGCAACTTGTAATGTAGAAAGAATGGGAACTTTGGAGTCAGGCAGACCTGGATTTGATTCTAGCCTCAAACAGTTACTTACTGGCCATAAGACCAGGAGCAAATCACTTAACATTTGAATCCTCAATTTCTTTATTTACAAAATAGTGATAAAAATGGGATTGTTGTAAGGATTAAATTATGTAATGAAGTAAAAAATATGTACAGCAGTGAGTAAACAAGAAATGGTAGCTGCTGATACTACTAGCTTCTCTAAGATTCAGCTAGTTGTAAATGTGGACAATCATTTTCTACTTTGAGGGTATTCAGAATTTAATGGCACAGTGCAAGGCCCACTGCAGGTGTTTGACTAATGTTATTGGTAGAAAAAGGGTTTTACTACTAAAACTAAAAGGTAGGGATCAGAATGTGCATTCACAGGTAGGTGCTAAGAGGTGGCATTTGCTTCAGAACCTGGAAGTATAGACTGTCTGGAGGCAAGAACTAGGGACCAGGATAGAACACAGCTCAATTTTGTCTCCCAAACTTTCTTTCTCTCCTGGGACTCTTTTTCTGAAGTATGGCCTTGCCTCCTGTGGTTTTGTGAAGGTGTTATCAGTAGGAGAGGGCCTGGACCGGAGAAGTACCTTGATTGGTAGTGAAGTTGGAGCTGAGGGCCAGACGTCAGGTCCACTGAAATGGGGGAAGCACCATGGATAGAGCCCATCTATGCCTCCTCCTGAGGTGGGCGTCCATTCCAGATTCTGTGGAGCCCATGGGGGATGTGTCAGGTGGTGGAAGGATAAGGTTACTCTGCTCCTTAAAGGCCCTTAGTACAATTACAGATGGTAAATGGGGGAATTTGGTTAGGGCTAAGCTAGGACCACTAGGATTAAAGAGCCTGACATTCAGGAGCTTGGTATAGGACTTTCTTGCTGCCAGATAACCCTTATCCTGGGACCAAAAGGAAGCACTGAGGCTCTGTTGATGGCAGCTGGAGGGGTATAGTCTCTCTGTTTCACCTTTAGTCTCTTCCTTAAGGCAAGCTTAGCAGCAGGCTAGTGTGCATTACCGGAGACACACATGGACTGAGAGCTCCTTCCGGACTCACAGGCTTTGTATCTCCTTTTCCTTTGGTCTAGAATATTCTGTTTCCCCAAGTATTTTTATGACTGGCCCCTTTCTTCCCTTAAGGTCTCAGCTGTAAAGTCACATTCTTAGGGACACCTTTTGTTGCGCACCTCAGCGGAACACTAGTTATTCTCTTAGCACTTGTTTATTTTCTCCCTCATATTTATCAGACTTTGTAATTATGCATAGTAATTTTTAAAAGCTTATTTTCTCTTGCCCACTAGTAAAGTGTGAGCTCAACAAAGGCAAGGACCTGACCTGTTTTGTTCACTATGCCATCCCAAGACCCCAGTGGCACCTGACACATAGTGTTCATTCAATAAATACTTATTGGATGAAGGAGTGAGTAGAATTACATACCAGGTTTCAAATCCCATTTGCCACCTGGGTAGACAGATACTGTTGCCTCTCTAGTAGCCACTTTCCTCATCTGTAAAATGGGTATTATAACACCTGCTCAAACGATCTCCCAGAGGTATTGTGTGAACCAAATGAGACAAGTGATATGAAAACACTTGGCACGGAAGTTATTTTCTTTCTCTTTGCCATCCAGAACTGTGCCAAGAGGCCTCATCAGGGGAAGTCTTCCTACTGGCCTCTGCGGCCCTTGCCAACATCACGTTCTTTGACACAATGGCCTGCGAGATGCTCCTGCAGTTGAATGCCATCCGTGTTCTCCTGGAAGCCTGCAGTGACAAGCAGAGAGTGGACACGCCTTACACTCGGGACCAGGTAAGACGCCCAGAAGGCACTGAGCACAGGGCCCATAGCCATGGAGACAGAAGTTAGGAGGCCAGCACGTAGTTTCTGAGGCAGGGGAGAGAGCATGGGAGTCCTGTTAGTTTTGCATGCTGTAGGAGGGCAAATATTCTCCACGTTTCTCATTGACTTTGTAGCCTCTCTATGAGAACTCCTACCCTCTTTGCCCATCCCATTATGAGCTTTACATGCTGCAGGAAGGTAAAAGAATATATTTTCTGTGTCTCTCATTGACCTTGAAGCCTCCCTACGAGATCTCCTACCTGCTTTGCCCATCCCAACCACTGTAGGGCCTTCCTCAATCTCTGTTCAGATTGCCTATTCTGGGAGGCGGAAAGACCCATGGAAGGTGCCTAGACCTCCTCTGAAGGTCTGTGTCCTGGTCATGTTGGTGGCCGTCTAACACTGAACCCTATAGTGAACTGCTCCCCTCTTTATCTCCATGAGAAACAGGGGCTTGGAGCAGAACCTTCATTCAGGGCCTCAGCTTCTACATCAGTCATAATTGTCTATGTATATTTGAGCTCCATGAAAGGTTTTCTTTGGTAGAAAGGGGGTTTTACTACTAAAAGTGTTTGAAAACATAGAATGGGGGTATTTTAAAGGCTCTTTGAACTCTGATGTTCTAGAATTTTATACCATTTCACCTCTGGCCACACTTGGCCTCCCACATCACCACCAAGGAGTGGGGGTGGTAGATTAGGTGGTCTCTGTAAATTCTTCCCAGTACCTGAGCTCTAAGTTACATGATCCTCTCGTCCTCAACTCAGCTTATCCCTGTCTGCATTTTAGCCCCTAAACCATCACCTCTTCCAGGCTTATCTCTTAACTGAAGCTGCTTTGGTTTCTGTTCCATGCCAGCAGCTGCAGGAAGGCCTTCCCTGATGGTTTCAGCCCTCTGGAATTGCCTCCTTTTCTTAGAATTCATACCTCACAATGCAGTGTTGACTTATCTAATGAGGTTATTCCTCTTAATTATTTCATGTGATTTTCTTCCTCTGAGGGCATGATCCATGTTCCCTAGGATTTTTTAAGGCCTCTAGCCTAGAGCTGGTGCCCTTGGTGAAGTTCCCCAAACTTTGTCAGTTATTTCTTATCCTCAGAATCGCCTGTGAAAGGGCAGCTGACCGTAGAAGCTCCTATTCGGAGATAATTTTCTAGTATCTAAGCATTTGCGTATGAGGGTTCTAATAATACTGTGACACTGGTGATATTTGCCCCATTTTATAGATAAGAATATTTTGGCTCAAGAGGATGTCCCCAAAATTAAATGGTTGGCAGGCAGCTAGCCAGCATTTAAATGAGGATTAAATTTAAATCCTGACTTAGAACTTGATCTTTGACTCTCATCTGCTGTCATCTTTGAAGAAAGGAGGTAGTGCAGCTGTTGAACCACAGACTGGGTGTTGGTCCTGCCTGGGCCATTTATCAATTGAGTGACACTGAGCAAGTCAAAGGCTCCTGGGTGTTGGGTTTTTGCATCTATTAATTGGGACATGAATGTCTATATTGCAGGGTTATTGTGAGGGTGAGTGTAATAAGATATGCAAGGACCTGATGTAAGGCTTAGCCCCTATTAAGTTCTTAATAAATGGTGAATATCATTACTTTTTAAACCTGATGCTCCAAAGAAGAGCATGAGTAGTGAATTATCCAAAATCCTCAACTTGGCCCTCCAAACTATGTATGATATGTATGATTCCAGACTTCCTTTCCAGTCTGATCTTATTACTTCTAAGAGTTGGAGAGGTCCCTGTAGAGAGAAGGTATGACAGTAACAGATAAAGTGGTGACCCCCTGGTTGGCTATTGGCTTGATTGACTCCTGAGGGGGACATGCCCCATGCCTACCATAGACATACCCTTGGTAGTAGAGAGGGAGACAGGAGGGCCCACTTTTTGTGATCCGCCTTACTCATGCTCATGTTCTCTTCAGATAGATACCTCCAGTTGCTGGGTCTTTCATCTACCTGACATAATTTTAGGTTCTTTCACCTTCAAGTGCCTCTCCTGTGGCTGACTCCGGTCATTTCCTACAAGATCCAGTAGTGAGGCAATAAGACAAGGAATTTTGGATTCAGACAACCTGAGTTTGAGGCTTTTTTGCTATTAATAATCATGTCACTTTGGGCAATTCACTCTATGTCTCACTTTCTTAATTTGTAAAATGGAAACAAATAATACATATTTTACAAAGTTGAAATAAGAATTAAATTAATTAATAAATAAATATAAACTCTTGGTACAGACTCTGGCACATAGAAACTGTTAAATCAATGGAAGCCACTGTCAATGTTATTACAATTGGCCTTTGAATGTGTGGCACACAGCATTGAATGGGACCCTCCAGAGAGGAGTCCCCTCATCTGTAAAATGGGCATGACCTCTTCCATCTTGAACATCCTCTGTCTCTATGTGTAGAAGTCCCCTTCTTATCACAAGGAATGACTAGCCCCCTCTTGAAGCCTCACTGAGTCCTAGGAAAAGGAGATCAGGGTAGGGAGAGAATGTGGTTGCGCTGCCAGCAGATAGTTCTCTCTGCACCTGGAGTCGGTACCTTTTCACGTTACTCCACTGTCTGAGCCAGGCACGTCACCCACTGTCCTCAGGATGGCTTCACCTTCTGTCCTGTCTCAGAACAACCACTTAGCTAGTGAAAGTGCACCCATTAAAGAAACAAATGGCTCTTTCCTGTTGCAGTGGGAGGATTAAGGTGATCAGAGGGCTCTCTGTAATGAAGACAAAGAAGATGAATTAGGCTTTGAAGTGCTCACTGCCCCCTAAAATACTTAGGAGATTAAATGCCCCATGAGGCTTCCGGTAATGAATCTGCCAATGACGCCAATGCTGTGTGGAGCCTCTTGGTCTTGGATCTATACAGACTACCTCTGTTTGGACAATGAGAACCCTTCCATCATCCTGGCAAGCCAGGTCCACTTAATTTGTTCAACAGAAGCCTCGTTGGGTATGCCTATCCTGTCGCCACCCTTGGGGTATGGACGTTGGTGAGGGCAGCCTTGGACCTAGGCTCTTCTATACCCTTCAGCTAATCCACAGGAAGGTGGCACGGGCTGCAGCTGACATGGTCAGCCATTGAGAAGCCTGACAAGCAATCTGAATAGTCCTATGTTTTCATGCCCAGGAGGTATTTTCCAGGAGCCATACTGCCCATAGAATCCAGCTACAGATCTGACAGGGGGAGGTAGGAAACGGGCTGCCTCCAAATTTGTTGGTGAACTTCTGGCCTATCCGTCAAGCAGGGACAATCTAGGATGGAAGAGACCTGATTATCTTATCTAATATATAATAGAGATTTTTACTGAGTCTGACTTTTTGTGGCCTTCAGGAATTAACTGCTTTCATAAGGGAAGGAGTGCTAGTATATACTTCCCACAGTAATACCTCATCTGTTTGGCATTTTAGAATGACTAGATTTTGTAACATTTCTGGGACCTCACTGTGAATACCATTTATCAGGGAATGCCAGTCACTAGGGGTTTCATTTTTGTCTCACATCTCAAAATCTCTCTATAGTTTATAAAGCTCTGTCATATACATATATGACGTATTAGAAACAGCACAGGTTTTTAGTTCAGACAGATTTGAGTTCACATTCTGGTTCTGCCATTTCCCAGCTATGTGACCTTGGACAAATCACTTAATCTCTGAGCCACAATTTCCTCATCTGTGTAATGGGGATAATAACATTTGTTCCCTCCCTCATGTCATTATGATGATTAGATGGGATAACGCTCATAAAGTACTTAGAAGCAAAGCGAATACCCAATAATGAATGGGATGGGTTCTCTAACAGAACCAGAGACTGGGATGGGTCGGAGACAGGGAATGTAAGCTTTGGAACAGGAAGGTAGGGTCAGGAAATATAGTTAATGTGGTGGCAATTGTATTGGTCTATTCTCACATTGCTGTAAAGAAATGCCTGATGTAATCCCAGTACTTTGGGAGGTTGAGGCAGGCAGATTGCCTGTGTTCATGAGTTCAAGACCAGCCTGGGCAACGTGGCAAAATCCTATCTCTATAAAAAACATTTTTATATATATATAAATTTTTTATATATTATATATATATAATATTATATATATATTTATATATATATATATATATTATATATATATATATATATATATATATATATATAATATATATATATATATATATATATATAAAAGCCAGGCATGGTGGTACACACCTGTAGTCCCAGCTACTTGGGAAGCTGAGGTGGGAGGATGGCTTGAGCCCGGGAAATGGAGGTTACAGTGAGCCAAGATGGCACCACTGTACTCCAGCCTGGATGATAGAGCCAGACCTTGTCTCAAAAATAAAAATAAAAATAAATTACCTAAGACTGGGTAATTTGTAAAGAAAAAAGGTTTAATTGGCTCATGGTTCTACAGGCTATACAGAAAGCATGAAGCTGGAATCTGTTTGGCTTCTGGAGAGGCCTTAGAAAACTTACAATAATGATGGAAGGCAAAGGTGAAGCAGACACATCGCATGGCAGAAGCAGGAGCAAGAGAGAGTGAAGGGGGAGGTGCTTCACCCTTTTCAACAAGAACTCACTCACTATCATAAGAATAGCACCATGAAGATGGTGCTAAATCATTCATGAAGGGTCCACCCCCATGATCCAATCACCTCCCACCAGGCTCCACCTCTAACATAGGGGATTACAATTCAACATGAGATTTTGGTGAAGACACAGATCCAAAACATATCAGGGATATTGTGTAGTATTGGAGGAATCCAGGATCACAACACCCTGTCCTGACCTGCTCCAGAAACCCTTCCCTACAAAGCCAAGGGCAAACCAAGCACAGAGAATATGGTCTGACTTTTATATGCTCTCTAATACGGTGGGTTTACAGCCCAACATTCATGTAATCCCTGGGGCGAGGGAGCTGGGCCTCACCCAGGAGAGCCCTTCAGCCTGTTTGCCAGCAGCACGGGACCTACATCCAAAACAGTTCTATG
Organism: Homo sapiens; assembly: GCF_000001405.40. Taxonomy (NCBI): domain Eukaryota; kingdom Metazoa; phylum Chordata; class Mammalia; order Primates; family Hominidae; genus Homo; species Homo sapiens. Next base: position 15,230,847 of record NC_000011.10, read on the forward strand.
GCTTTTATCATGTGGTCTCCTAAGCCTAAATCTTAGCCCACCAGTCTTGCCACTTTAGTAGTAAGGGAAAGCTGGTCCTGTCAATGAGAAGACCCACGTACCAGAGAGAAGAAGCCATCTGCTTGTCTCTGGGTCTAGGTCAGTGCCCTTCTCCTAGTCTGCACACCTGTCCAGCCCTCTCAGGTCCTGCGCCCTGGGCCCTGGGCCATGTCTGCCAGAGGGAGGAAAAGGCTCAAAAGAGAGCAGAAGAGGAGAGGGCTATACCTTCTCCTGGGCTCTCTTGCCTCTCTGGCCTTGGAAAAGAAAGTATTTTCAAAGAGATCCACCTTTCTTCCCTTAGATCCCTTAATTCTACAGATCAATGTCCTTGTCTGGATTCTTTCTGCTCTTTGGTAGAGGAAGTGGTGTGGAGGGAAGAGGGTGGAGAGAAGCACTGGGCTTCCCCTAGAGCAGTGCTATCCAATCTTTTGACTTCCCTGGGCCACACTGGAAGAAGAATTGTCTTGGGCCACACATAAAATACACTAACACTAACAACAGCTGATGAGCTAAAAAGAAAAATCACGCACAAAAAAATCTCATAATGTTTTAAGAAAGTTTACAAATTTGTGTTGGGCCACATTCAAAGCTGTCCTGGGCCACATGTGGCCTGTAGGTCATGGGTTGGACAAGCTTGCTAGAGGCTGAAAATTATTCTGCTTTTTGTTCTCAGGGCTGCAGTTGACATTGTTGCTGCAAATTTCAGAGTTAACACGGTGATAATAGAAATCTAAATATTCATCTGGCAATTAAAGAATAATTCTAATTACAGTCATACAAGCTGTTGGCCTTTTGGTCCTAATTTCTGCACAGCATAAAAGTAATTATAACTTTTCATGAAATATATGCCAGGCTTTCTTTGTTGAAAGTTCTTTAGATCAGAGCACCTGTCTCTACTTGGGTGTCCTGGGTATTCTTCACTTGCCTTGAATGCAGTTTGGTCTTCAGTATTAGTTTCCAGCAAGGGAACACAGGCAGAGTCAGGGTGTGATCAGGGCTGACTGCTGAGACACTGCTAGGATGTGAGGCAGGCCTGGTTCACACCTTGGCATCGGCCTGCAGACAAGTGTTTCTCCTCCGTGTGTGCTGACATCAAAAGGCCTCGCCAACCTCCTTCCTACCTCACAGGGACATTTCTTCTCGAACCAGTGACATGGGAGGTCCCCTGCTATCCTTGATCAATTTCCTGTCTGCCTCAATTTTCATGTCTTTGGAGGCCAAAGAAAAAATAATTTGAAAATGCCACAGAAGGTAGTGAATACACACTTTGCTGTTCTTCTGATGGGAAGGGTTGACTTGCTCTGGGACAGGCTCACCTTTGGGAGGGATCTCACATTAGCAGCGTGTCTTGGCCACACGGATGCTCAGCCCCCCGAGTGCTGCAGGTTACTTGGCTAGTGTTTCTTGACACAGTCTTTCAAGGCTTGAGTCCTTTCAGGTTCTCCTGCCCAGAGCGAGCCATATTTATTTTATTTAACAAAGGGTGCTTGATATTAACTCATTGAATGCTCATACAGGACTTAAAAGATACCTTTTATTTATTTACTTATTTATTTAGAGACGGAGTCTTGTTATATTGCTCAGGCTGATCTCAAACTCCTGGCTTCAAGTGATCCTCCTGCCTCAGCCTGTGGAGAAGCTGGGATTAAAGGCATGAGCTATGGTGCCTGGCTGAGTTATTTTTATTTCTTGTGGTAGGGCCCCCAGGGATGTCCACATCCTAATCCTCAAAACCTGTGAATAAGTTACTTTATATAGCGACACGGGTTTTCTAGATGCGATTGAGTTAAGATCTTGACATAGGAATGTTATCCTTGATTATCCAGGTGAATCCAGTGTCATCACAGAAGTTCTTGTAAGAGGGAGGGAAGAGGGTCAGAGTCAGAGACTCAAACGTGATTAAGGAAGCAAAGGTCAGAAGGATATACTCCCCTGAGCCAAAGAATGAGAGCAGCCTCTAGAAGCTGGAAAATAGAAACTAGGAAATTGATTTTCCCCTAGAGCCCCCAGAATAAATGAAGATCTGTCAACAACTTGATTTTTGCTATGTAAGACTCATTTAGAACTTCTGACTTCTAGAACTGCAAGATAAAATTGTGTCATTTTAAGCCACTGAGTTTGCGATAATTTGTTATAGCAGCAATAGAAAATGAATACACCAAGCCACAGAAGGTTAGGTAACATGGCCAAGATCATAGCAAAATGTGATAGAGCCAGGATTTAGATGTAGGTTGAGCTACACGCTTAGCTATCACATTATACTGACCTCTCACCTAGGGCCTTTCTCAAGGTGATGTCCTCTGGATTCACCAAACAAATGCAGGGGGAATGGTGCCCTTTCACTTAGGTGGAATAGAACTTAATTGAACATCATCAAACAAGACTGAATTAGCCTGGGTTGGGGAAACTGTCTGCCTGGCTCCTGCACTCTGCCCCCTGACAGCATTGTTAACTTGTATCCAACCAGGTAAAACAGCTGTCCCTAAAATCCCACCCATGGACTTGACTGTGAGGATAAACAGTGACCTCTTTCCCCTCTATGTTATGGTGCACACAAGGATGTTTCACAAGGGGGACTCAAAGCAGGGCATAATTGGCATTTATTCAAATTGTACTTAATTGAATACTTCATCTGCACCTCCAGAAAACCACATGGGGTACAGGCTCTGTAAAGAGGAAGTAATTTTCATTAACAGGATCTAAATTAGTCTGACACAAAGACCTACGTGGTGCCTGTGACACGGCTAATAATTACTGTGTAATGAACCCGTTGCCGCAGACAAAGATTTCCTTTTCTTTTCCTAGTTTGTCCTTCCTTCCTTCCTTTACCTCCCTTCCTCCCTCCTTCCCTCCTTCCTTCCTTCCTCCATGAATCTGCATGTCAAGTAAGTGTTTTTATTCAGAAAGGCCAGCCTGGTGATGGTGGGATGTCTCAGCCCCTGTGTGGTGGAAACAGAGTCCATGCTTTCTGCTAACAGCCCAGAGATAGCCAAACAAACTCTAAACTGACATGGACTTGGCCGTGTACCTCCTCCCTCATAAGAATGTGCACACGATGCCTCTTGGGGAACTTTCCAACCCAGCTTTTTCCTCTAACTCCTTCCACTGAGCCCACAAACGCAATCTTAAAAAGTGCAAAAACAAGTAAATAAATACGTAAAAGAGCCTCTAAGTCCTAAACCTCCTTTAGTCCTATTATTTTCTTAACTGCAAATAGGAGCTAGTCACCCCCTTCTTAAAACACCTGGTGGTACAGAGTTGCTTTCAGGATAAAGGTTCTGGAGTATTCTCCTGTCCTTCCTCTGGCAACCCACTGTAGTCATGCTTATCCAACCAGGCCCCTGATGGGGTCTGAGCTGGGAGGGGTTGTCACACACACAGATGCTGCAGCAGCCAAAGAATGTGGAATCCCCTTCCAATATGTGTTTAGAAGGAAAGGGGAGAGATAGATATTCTATTAATATGGTAAAGTTTTTCCTTTCTGTTTAAAAGAAGACATTTTTAAATGTATTTGTTATCCAGAGTAAAATAGTAATATGTGTTATCCAGAGTAATTAAAATGTAGATAATACTCTTTCTTGGTAGACATAACATTACTATCCAGTTTCAGAATTTTAGCTGCCTGAATTCTACTCAGTAGACTGTCAACTGCTGTCTCAGCGGAGGGGGGACACAGTTTTTGCTTATACCATCCTGCAAGCTTTGAAGAAACCTTTCGAGAGAGAGGCTTGTACCAGTGAGAAGTGTTTTTAAATTTTATTTTATTATTCATTTTAATTACCACTTGAGAGCGCTGTCCATTTCTGTGAAAGTGGGTGAATTTTCATCTTGCTATTTATGTCAGGAGCAGTGTTGTGGGTGGTATCTGAGTTAACAGGTGCCATGTTCCCAATCTATTCCAGTAGCATTTTGGCACCCTTTTGCAGTTTGGGGTCCCTGGAATGAGTCCTCTGTCAGGCCATTCCTTAATCCAGTTTGTGCTGTGAGTTCTTTTCTCCCTTGACTGTACCAGGGGAGGCTGGTTACAACCCACAAAGCTGTAACTGAGACTCACTGTCCACCTGGTGTCAATACCCCATTTCCTACAGGCAGAGACTTTCAGTGATGACTGATAAGCGAGGCTTACCACAGACTTGCAATGTGCAGCTGAGTATGCACTTTCTCATCAGATTCCATGTAATACCCAATGCTTGATAACGCTGCCTCTTCCTACTCATGCCCTCTAACGTGACCTTAGCCTTCATTCATCACAGGTTGAAAGTAGGTGAGGGTTAGTATCCAGGAAAGAAGCTTGGATGGAAGAAGTCAATCCAGAGTAAGAGCTAGCTGTCAGGAGGACAAGCCAGCACAGAGGAGTTTCAGGGGCCAGGGACCTGCTGGTTCTGTCTGCATTTCAGGACTGGGGACCAGAGCAGAAAGACAACCGGGCCCCAACTTCACCCAGGGTTATGCTAGTCTTTCCAGGGTGTCCTGGGGCCCTTGGGGGCCGTCCTATAGCCATAGGCTGATAAATGGGCATTAGTCACCGGGGAAATACATCTGGGTGGCAGGAGCCCATAAGGATGGAAGAAAATGCCGTGGAAGGATAGGCCCGGTGGACAGGAAGGAGTCACGGGATAAAAGGAAGCTTTGTAGCCCCTGGCTGACCTGTCTGTAGGGAGGACTATTAGGATCAGGTGTGCTCATTTTCTGAGGTTTCTAAATTATCTTTTCCAGATTGTGACCATCTTGGCAAACATGTCTGTCCTAGAACAGTGTGCCTCTGACATCATTCAGGAAAATGGTATGTCTTTGCAGCATTGTACATGTTATGTGGATTATCTGGATGTAGGGGACTGTGTCTTTGTGCTTGTGTGAATGCCTGTGCAGGTATGTAAATAGGTACATGTGGCCGGGCGCAGGAATCATGCCTGTAATCCCAGCACTTTGGGAAGCAGAGGTGGGCGGATCAACTGAGGTAAGGAGTTCGAGACCAGCCTGAGCAACATGGTGAAACCCTGTCTCCACTAAAAATACAGAAATTAGCTGGGTGTGGTGGTGGGCGCCTGTAATCTCAGCTACTCAGGAGGCTGAGGCAGGAGAATCACTTGAACCTGGGAGGCGGAGGTTGCAGTGAGCTGAGATCACGCCATTGCACTCCATCCTGGGCAACAGAGCGAGACTCTGTCTCAAAAAAAAAAAAAAAAAAAAAAATAGGTACACGTGTCTCCATGCTTGCCTGAGCATATATGTGTGTGCTTGTATGTGTGCAACTGGGTCTATATATGTGAATATTTGTTTGCTTTTGTGAGGCCTAAATTCTAGTGGAAGACAGATAATGTATAAGAAGATAGCAAATGTCCAGCAATAATAGCGTGACAGTGCCCCGGGGAAAATGAAGCAGGGAAGAAGAGTAAGGTAGTCTCAGGGTGGGGGGGTGGTGGTTGCTATTTTAATAGGGTCATGAGGAGAAGGCAAATATTTCATTATGATCCTCAAATAAAAAAAATCTATTCCTACCAAGGGATACATTCCAACTTTAAATTGTTCCTATCTTATTGGATTTGGCCACAGTAGAAAGCTGAGGAAGGGGTGAGAATGGGAGAGCAGGTCAGGGCAACCTGAATGTCTTGAGCCCTCACTGAGTGCATCTCTTCTCCCACTTGCTCCCTTGTTCCATCTTGTGCTGAACATGTCACCAAGGTCCAGGTGGGGTGGGCCAGGTTTCATTGGCCTGGAAGCTGATCTAAGCTGTTTCTGCCAAAGGACAAGGTGGTGGCTGCCTTGCAGCTGGGAGCAGAGATGGTGAGGGCTTCCTGTGACTGGGAAATAAGGGAGCAATTAGCAACCGGTTGGAAACCAGAGACGCTAATGAGGCGGAGTGAGCTGGGAGCCTGTGCCCGCTGCCTCTGCTCTTGCTAAACCCCCTTCTCCCAGGCTTCCCTGCTGTCTTAACAAACATACACTTTCCCATCCCCCATTGCTCTGTTACTAATTGAAGGACATCATTTTGTGTTAATTTTATGTGATTGAGCTAATAATGAGAAACTTTGCTGAGCCAGCTGAGGCCATGAAGCTGAGCTACTGCATCTGTGCTCCGTTCTTTCGGTACTTATAGAGCCTTACGTTGAAGTGTTCAGTGGGAGTGGGTCTCCATAGGCCTGTGAATTTGAGATTGGAATATCTGGCATCTGTAGAGGGTTTTATGGTTCACAAAGTGCTATTGACTGACTGAATCAGTAAACAGTTATTGAGACCTAATATGTGCCTGGCATTGTGCTAGACAATGAGAACAGAGATAACTAAATCCCTGTCTTTGTCCTAGAGGATCTCACAGTCTAGACAGAGAGCACAACTTAACAAAAGTGACATATGATAAAAATATAACATCTACAATAGAATAATGCAACAGAGGGAGGTTGGCATGGTGGTTGAGGTTGAAAACTGGAACCATACTCTGTGGGTTTGAATCCTGGCACTGTTGTTTACTAACCATATGACCTCTCTGTTTTTTCATCTGCAAAATGAGAATAATCCCTACCTCATAAGGATGTTGTGAGGATTAACATGAAGCACGTTAGAAGATTGTCTGGCACAGAATGAGCACTATGCTAAGCCCCCCTGCTCTTTCAGGAAACAGTGGCAGTCTCACGGGGTTTACCTGAAGAGAGTTTAATGAAGGAGCTATTTTCCAAAGCAGGGCAGGATTTGAGGAATCAACAATGGTGTCAATGCAACTGGTGTCTACTGGAAGACAGGCCTCTAAGGTCTGGACAGGGCAAATCTTGTTGTGCAGACTGGGCTTTGAGAGTCCATGGTCTAAATAACAGGTTGCAAACTTAGATGCCTACAAAACTCAGACAGGTAATGTAAATGGACGAGGCGAGCTCACCAGAGACAGGATCAATCTCTTTTAAAGAAGGAACTCATAATAAGCTTTAACAATTTGTTGTGCAGAAATGAGGTCCTAGGGTTAAAATTCAGGAGGCAGTTTCAGAAGTCAGAAATCTAGATTTTTATAGAAATCCTCCAGTTAGCACACTATCAAAAATCTAAAAAATTGTAGACACTATATGGGGCAACAAAACAAAGCAAAACTATATCCTTGGGTCATGTCTGGCTTAAGTTCTAAGCTGGCAGGAGCCACTGGGTGCAGAAGAGGGGAGTGTGGGATGGGCAGTTGGGCAACAGCTCACACAGAAGATGAACTTTTGCTACAACCTGCAGGGTGGAGTTTTTTAGATGGAGCGTCAAGAGGGAAAATGGCATCCCTTGTAGAAAGAAAGAGTGGGTAAAGGCAAGGAGGTATGAGCGGACATGGGTATGGTTTCTAGAACAATCAGAAGACAAATCTGGTTTCAGGGAGAGGTAGGAGGCTTCTCAGCAGAGATTATTCGGTTGAAAACTCTCAGTCTAACTACTGCACCCTTTTCCAGGTTGAATTTACTCTAAAACATTTGATCTAGTCAATATCCAGCTTAGGTTTGGATCACCTCTTACCTGGGGGATTCATCACCACTGGACCTGTCTCAGAAGCAGCCAGTATCAGAAGTGAAGAGGTGATGTAGAGAAACCAGTTATCTGAGTTTCTTTCGTTTTCTTAATCCTAAATGTGATGCTACATCTGAATTTTAATAGCGGCTCCCCCAACTGCTAACCATGTGACACTGGGCAAGATACTTCACTTCTTTCTGGGCTTCAAAATGGAATTGTAATGGTACCTAATACATGAGGCTACTGGAAGGTTTTAGGGCATTATGCATTTACTATGCATTTAGCACAGTGCTGAGTGTGTAGTAAAAGCTCAATAATAGCATTAAAAAATAAAGATGTCTTCAGATGCTCCTCCCAAGTATAGTGACTTGGTACATGGAGACACCCTCAGGAGAAGAAGGCATGGAGGAACAGCCTTGTCCAGCTTCCTCCCTGTGGGTGAGACCCCTGAAGTCATCCTGACAGCCTTTGCTTGCACCCTGCAGCCATCTGTCCAGCTGGCCCCATGGGGAAGGCTCCATGCTGGGGTAGGTACCAACTGTTCCTTGCTTCCTGCCTAGGGGTCCAGCTTATCATGGGCATGCTGTCTGAAAAACCAAGGTCTGGGACTCCTGCTGAAGTGGCAGCCTGTGAGCGAGTCCAGCAGAAAGCTGCAGTGACCCTGGCTCGTCTCAGCCGAGACCCAGATGTGGCACGGGAGGCCGTGCGGCTCAGCTGTGAGTGGTGCTTTCTGGCTGTGGCTGGAGTGGAGTGGGGGTATTGGGGGTGGGAGCAGCTCTGATTTCACAGTGGCAACAGTGGACACAGGGCAAGAGCTGGCTGGCATAAGCCCTGTCTCTGGGGGCTCAGGGGTGGAGGCTCAGGGGTGCAGCCGCTGGTCTAGTTTGTAACTTGGGGCCGAAGCAAGAGGGAGAAAGGACCTAGAGAGGTGAAAGTTGGCCAGAACAGTGACTCACCTGCAGACTGTTAATAAGAACCCCATTCTTTCATTCACTCATTCATTTATTCACTTGCTCAGTTATTCATATACTCATTTATTTACTTGTCTACTCACTTGTTCATTTACTCATTAATTTATCCTTTAGTTCATTTATTCATTAACCCATTCATGACTTCATTATTCACTATTAACTCATTCATTAATTCACCCATTAACATGCTCATTCATTCAGTCACTTATTTACCCAACAAATATTGTCAGAGCACCCACCCTATGCTAAGCTCTGTTCTGAGCGCTGGGCATGTAACACTGGATATGACATTGTCCTGACCCCAGGGGCTCACAGCCTCATGGAGGTGACAGATAAAAAAAGAGATATTCTCACTTCAGTATCATGGGAGTGACACCCAAAGCATGTCCATGGTGCATTTGGCATGCACAAGAAGTAGCTCATGTTTATCTGGGTGAGTCAAAGAATGGTTTAACAAGGGGGTGAGTCCTCTGCTGTGGTTTGATGGGTAAGTTGCTCCTATGTGAAGGCTGAGAAAGGGCTCTTCGGGAAGAAGCATGAGAAAAGGCATGGCAGTGTCACCAATCATCCAGGTACCCAGAGGGACAGCCTGGGGCAGCAGAGGGTTCCTGTTCCTTCAAGACCTTACAGAAGATGGACACACAGACTGCATTTGCATACCTTCTACTACTATCGTATAATGAGGGTGTCTTTTTTTTCTTAAAGTGTAAAAAGAAGTCAGTCTGCATTGCAAAGCTAAGTCATTCACTTAACTCTCCTCAGTAAAGCCCTAGGAAATATTAGTAGAGTCTGTAGTTTTATTTTATTTTAGCCACAGTATATTTTCTGATTGAAATTGGCACTTGAGAAAAAAAAAGACACAGTTAGGAATTTTGTCTGGTAAAGATTCAAATGTTAACCCGCATCTGTGGGTTTGGCTTGGACTCTTCAGCTTGGCCTGACCCTGACCCGGGTCTGTTCACCACTGAGGGAGTAGTAAGTTTCCACCACAGACTCCCCGAGGTGGGTTCAGTCCCCTTCTCTGGCAGATTGGGTGTGCAAGGGAGGCCCAGAACCTCTGGGTCAGGCCTGGCTGGGCCCTGTCCTGGGCCTGAGGCTCTCCCTGTGTCTCCTACAGGCATGTCCCGTCTCATCGAGCTCTGCAGATCCCCATCAGAGAGGAACAGCAGTGACGCCGTGCTTGTGGCCTGCCTGGTGAGTTCTCAGTCTTCCCCCAGCTTTTCCCCTGGCCTTCGGAATGCAGCCAAGGGGGCCAGGAGAACCGGCTGTGCTGTGGCTGGCTTCAGTAAGCCATAAAACCTCTCTGGGCTTTAGCTTTTCTCTTTAGGATTGTGAACATTGTAATATTTGTTTCACTTAATTCATAAAATCATGATGAAAATTATATGAGGTCATATGTGTGAAAGATGAGGGCTGAGAAACTCCCTCTTCCCTCTGTTCTACCACTACAATTTTAGGAACCAGGAACCTTTGAGGTTCCTGTGGAACGCTAGCTGGTCGTGTCTATGTCATGGTGCCTGCAGAACATGGGAGCTAGGATAGGGATATCCCCTGCCTATTCCAAAGGGAATAAAGTGAGAAAAACCTCCACTTGTCCCTACAGGGAGCCCATCTGCTGGTGCTCTTCCAGCATTGTAGCTCTCTCCTCCTTTGTGGAATAGAAAGAGAAGGAACATGACAAGACAGAGTGGACTATTCAGCAGCCACCTGGATCTTCACCTTGAACACAAGCAAGTGTCTCCTAGGAAGTCCCCACCCAACTTCTTTTTGCTAGGGGTCCACCATGAAATAATCAATAGTACCAGAGAGAAAATGCATGCTTCGTCTATATATTCTTCCCTACTAGGTCTCTAAGGACTCCCAAAGTAGAGTAGCTTCCATTTAGGAACATTTAGGAGTAGGGAAGCCACTCTATAAACACAACCCTTAACTTCCAGAAGAAAGTGCTGGCTCTTGTGTTCAAAGAACATAAGGGGGAAGTGATGGATTTAAAGATCCTTCAAGCTGTCTCACAGTAAAGTCCTCTCCTCAGCCCATTTTGAGCTGAGCTTGTCTCTTTTCTGGGAGTTTCTGATGGGCGTTGTGCCGTTGTAGAAACAGTGGGGCATTGCAGTCAATCAGACCTGTCTTGGTTGTACCATTAATGAGCTGTGTGACATTTGATAAGTCACTCAGTGCTATACATTTTATTCAATAAATGTTTATGGAATGATTCTGCGTTCCATTCACTGTTCTAGGCTATGGGGATACAGCTGCAGGTAAAAAAGACAAACATCTCTGCCCTCCTGCTGTGGTTTTTATTTTGGCACATTCAAGGTAATCTTAATCTTTTTGTATCTTTGGTACTCTGGTGAAGCTTACGGAGCCCTTCTCAGAATAATCCTTTAAATGCAAAAAAGTAAAATATATAGAATTAAAACCAAAGTGAATTATATTAAAAATTATTAAACTATTTAAGTATGTGATATATTAATATATTTGCTTTTTAGTCAACACATCATTAAATAAGACCTAGCAGTAAGCCTAGTAAGTATTGTCATCTTGACTCATGTGGACCATAAATGGTATTTGAAAATATTTTCAACAACTTTCACGGGCTGTGAAAGTATTTGTAATTTCTACTGGGAAATCACAAATCACAGGGTTTGTGAAGATGCCATGGTTTGTTGCTGCATTCACATTGCAACTGAAGGAAATGCTAAGTTTCAGTTACAGGTTGGTGAAAATAAAGATGTAACTTTTTCTCATTCAAGTTCACAGATCCTCTTAATTCTGCCTGTTCTAGCAAGTGAAGTGAGAGGAAATTAACATGTAATGATTGGCCCCAACTACCACTGCCTGACACTGAATAGGCCCTGAGGAAATGTTGGTAGCATTGAAAGCACTTGGGAAACTATAAAACTCCATTCAGATATGAAGGCTTGTGATTATTACAGCTATCATTTTTATTAGTGTGAAGGAGAGCACACAGAAGAGCTTGGCTACTATCTTTAATCACTTGAAGGACTTTCAAGCCGAAAAAGGATTATATCTTGTGGATGAGTTGGTGGATGCTGAAGAGAACCCCTCCCTCCCTAATCCATTCTCCGTGTGGCTTCTGAGTTAATTTTCCTAATGACAGTTTATAATCATGACACTTTCATGAAACCCCCATGGAACCTTTCTGTGGTTCCTCATTATCTCTGGGCCACTGTCCATCTGTTCGGCCCTTCTCAGTCTGGCTCCAACCCATCCCTAGGGCTGCAGACCTACCACTCTCTCCAGGCCCTGTCCACCTGGGCTAAGCCAGAACACCCTGAACTGTGCCGTGATCCTTGCTCCCAGCAAATGTTTTCTCTGTAAATCTGTGTATTAAAATTCTGCCAATCCTTCCAAGCTTAGATCTAAATCTCTCTTCTTCACAAAATTTTCCAGGAGCTCTCTGTGGTGCAAAGCCAGAGAGTACACAGCATGAACCTGAGCCTCCTCTCTTGGGTTTTGTTTGACCAAGTCCAAGGCAGGTTCCATTATCTTTGTCCCAGGTGTTTTAAGGGGAGGCTCTTGGAATTCAGACATAGGCCTGCCTGATTCTAGAGGCCTGCACTTTTCAACCAGACCATCTTGTTCCAAGCCATGCTCTTTCTCTCCCACTCTCTTACAGCACTGGTCTCCAGCACTGACTCATGGAGGAGGATTTGTACTTTTCCCCCTCTAGCCTGGAACCTTCCCAGGGCAGAGGACTTTTTCCAGCATTTTGTATATCCATGGGACCTTGAGTTTGGTGACTATGTATTAATTGATTTGGGGACTGACAGACTTGCTTCCTCTTTTCCTAGCTCCCAGTCTTGGGGGTGTCCATGGTTTGTCCCTAGGAGTGTTCCAACATTTGAGTGTGGTCTCCTGGTTGGTGAGATTCACTTGGAGCCTAGCCTGGCAGATGGAGTTAGAAGCCACCATTCCTGCTCTTCCCCAAGGCGTTTCCCAGCTTCAAAGGCTCCCTTCAGGTAGAGGGAGGAAGTTTCACTTATTGTCTCCCCTGTCTGGGAAAGTGGCAGTGCAGATCATCTCTCCCAAAAAGAATGGATTTTTCCTGAATGAAGCAGCTGTCAGTAGGTTGCCAGGCTTGTTTAATGCTTGGGTGTTTTCAGGCTGTCTGGGAATGAGATTCTAGGATGACTAGCTGTTTAACCCTCCCAGAGAAGCAGAGGCTGAGAGAAGGGTTGGCAAGGGTGCAGGGTCCTTTGAGGCTGCTGCACACTGAGGAGGGGGTGCTCTGAGCTACTGTAGGGTTCATGTCCTGTAGACTTTCTGGGGGCCCTGGGGAGGTAAGGGTGTCTCTTCTCTCTCTGCCGCTCTCTGTTGTGTTTTGGTTTCTGCTTTGCTCTCTTTCTAGGGTTTGCCTTCTCTCTTAGCAGTTTCTCTTTCTTCTTTCCCTTCTTCCCCTCTTTTTATCACCATAACTCCTTTCTCTCCTTCTCTACTCCTTCCTTTTTCTCTCTGCCTCCTTACCTCACCCTACCTCTCTCCTATTATCTCCCCTCCCCCTAAGGGCTCTCTCTTTTATTTTCTTTGCCACTATTTCTTTTTTTTTTTTCCTCCATCTCTTTTTTATACTTGGTCTTTTTTCTTCACCAAGTTCATCTCTGTCTGTTTTAATATTTCCTTCTTGTTCTTTTTTCTCTGTTGTCTCTTTTTCTCTGTTTCTTGGCTATTTCCCTTTTCTGTCTTATTTGCTCTCTTGATAGGTCTATGTTCTATTTCGCTCTGTCTCCTTGTCTCCCTTCTTGCTTTATTTTTATCCCTAATGATGCAAAAATGCATTGGTGGCCTTGTTTCCTCATCTTCAGAAAATCCCTGGTTCTGTTTTCATGGTGACAACTCAGGGAAAATGGGGTTATCTTTCCCAGTTGGAGCCAAGAAGAATCAGAAAGTGCTGTGAAGTTTACCCTTGTTAGTCTATGGGGTAAACCACGCCCCATGAGAGTCGAGATGTGTGTGTTAGAGGCAGTTCTGGGGAGTCTACTTCCTGTTGCTAGGGTCACAGACCCTGCTCATTAATGCACAGAGACACACGCTCCTTCTCTTTGACCTGGCCTGGACATGACAGCACCTGTGACTCCCAGCAACCAGCTCAAACTATCCTCTCTTTTCACTTTGTTGGCCTGATTTCTCAGCAACAGGCTACCTGCCATGTCCAGGTAATGAGTGGTACCCCTGCCTTGTGCTCAATATAACCTTGTATCCTGGGGTTGCAGCATCCTACCTGTGTGCATAGGTCTGAGTGCCCTGGAGTCAGACTCCTGTGTGATGTCTGGAAGGCCACTTTCCCCCTCTGAGCCCTAGTTTCCTTATTTCCAAAAGGGAGATCATGACACTTAGCTTGCAGCATCATGTAGGGATTAAGTGAGGTGCTATGGGGAGATTCTCAGTGTTTGCATTCCCTCCTTCTTTGCTTCTTTTGCCATTCTAGATATTCCCCCACTCTTTTTGCTTCCAGGGGTGGGAGAGGAGGGGCACCTTGTTCCCTGCTGTGTATATGCTCAGGAAGAGGGAAGAAATTAATATTTATCAAGCACTTAGCATGCATTGTCTCAGTTAACTGGTAAACAGGTCTAGGTAGGTGCACAGCTCACATTTAGTTTCAGGTTGCTCTATCAGCAGATCTCAATATTAAAGCACTTCGTTTATTCATTTCTTTTCAGCCAACATTTATTGAGCCCTGTGCCAACCTCTGTGTTGTCTGCTATAGATACAGAGAAATAGAAAACAAGATCCTTACTCTCGAGGAGCTCAGAGTCTAGTGTGGGAGATAAATACCTAAAAGCTAGTTATGGCCAAGTGTGAGAAGCTTGAGGTCAGCCCAGGGGCCCTGGTTGCACAGGGGAGGGAGGGATGGACTGTCTCTGCTTCAGGATAATTGGGGAAGCCTTCATGGGGGAGGTGACAATAGGCAGGAGCAGGAAGTCACTTCAAGTCACAAGTAAGAGTATGAGCAAGGAGGAGGGGGTATAGCTCAGAGGTAGAGCATTGGGCTGAAGATTAAGAATATGAGCAAGGACACATGGACACAAAATAGAAATAGCATACTCATTGCTCATTGTGTGGGGAGCTGGGGAGTGATTTTATTCTGCCAGCACCTCTCTTTCCTGTTCATCCCCCTTGCCAGGTGTTGAATTTCTCAGTAGCAGAATCCCTGTCTACTTTTACAATATGTTCTCCCTCTCTTTTCCTCTTTTTTCCATAGTGCTTTCTATAGCACCTTGCTGAATTTATGGATGAATGAATAGTTCTTGCTGTTCTAAGGTTACTCTAGGGATCTGGAAATAATAAAGACCATTATTAAGATTATTAACAGCTTTCAGATGACATCTATCTTAGTGATCAAGGTGCAAATAAAGCTAGCTGACCAAGAGATGTGGTTGCTATGTTGACCAGGTGACCAAGATGGTGACTGAGATGCCAAGTGGCTAACATGATGATCAACCCAAATTGTCTGGTAAATGCACCACTTTCTGAAATGCACATTTCAGGGTAGGTGAAGGAAATACATGTACCTGACATGGCCCAGTCTGACACGTGTCACCTCTTCTGTCTTCTCCCCAGGCTGCTCTGCGTAGATTGGCTGGGGTCTGCCCTGAAGGCCTCCAGGACTCTGACTTTCAGCAGTTGGTCCAGCCTCGGCTGGTGGACTCCTTCTTACTCTGCAGCAACATGGAGGAGAGTTTTGTGTAGTGAGTGTGGGCGAAGAAATACATTTGGCTGTTCTCACACCCCCTCTGACTATGCACCAGTGAACACATCTGAGTACATACCAGCTCTCCTCATCTTCTTATTTATACTTAACTTATTTTTGTGTGAAATAAATGGAGGACAAAATCTTAGAGCAACATCATCAAACAGTCTTTGGTCCTTGAGAATCTTCTTTGTGTTTTATTTTTTGATTTCTGTAGCTTTTCAGTTGCAGATGTTGAAATTCGTAATGACAAATATGACAAATTGTCATGGGTGATTCCACTTCATCTTATTTTTTCTACTCTCACTATACAATCTTGCCTCATTTTTTAAAACTTTGGAACCAGAGGATTTCAACTGCCTAGCAAGTTTTTTTTTTAAGTTGGATTTGCTCTTCCCAAAAATCTAAAATGAATTTAATAATTGGGTAGAATATATTGGAAAGAAGTTTCTTTTTCTTTAATAAATGGAATCATATAAAATGTATCCCGGATTTTCTTATTAAATTGTATTTTAAACTAGGTTCTTGCTTCCCAGGTTTCATTCCCCAAAAACTTTTCCAACCATTAAAAGTACACACAGAATTGTCTTGTTTTCATAGGTGTATAAATAGGTTAAGTTCTGAGTGACTTAGTGAGAAACCAAAGTGACTTTCAAAAATACACCCAAAGGCACCAGAAACCCTGCTTCCTTTGGCTTCTTTGCTTTTGTGTAACCTCCTGTTCACCTCCTGGTGAATAGAATCCTCAGATGAGGCTTATTGAATGATTGATTCCTCCTCAAAAGTATACTTGAAAGCAGTGGTGTGCTGAAGCCAGCTCATGCCCACTCACAAGGGACAACTGTGAGAATTTCTTCCTAACTCTGCACTCAGTGACCTTGCGTTGGTAGCCATGAGCTACTTCATGAGCCCTCATGTTGAAATTGGCCATAGTGGGAGTATTTACACCACAGAAATTCACAGATGCTATAAAGCACAGCTTTCGCTTTTTTTTTTTTTAGAGAGAGCTGGTTTACCAATTTCACTGCTTGAAAGTATCACAAAAATCTGGGGATCCTTTTGAAAATATAAATGCCATCATATTGTGATATAATTTATACAATATAATATAATTGTGTAAAATCATGATTATAATAATGTTTCAATAAACATTTCTTAAATTCCCAATTACTAGTTTACATGAGTTAACCTAATGAACCAAGTCCTGGGCTAAGCATCTAATTTGCATTATCCAATTTATTCCTCACAATAATCACATGAGTATTAATTAGTATATTCATATATGTTATTACATATGATCAGGTTATTAAATTACTTGCACAAGGTCAGTAGCTAGTAAGTGGTGCTAGGATTTGATTCTGGCAATAGCTATTACCAAAGCCTTTGTGCTGAAGTCATATGCTATATACAAAGGTAATGTCTAGGTCCTCCCACCTAATGTGATGATGATTATTATTATTACGATAGAAAACACTTGTGCAACATTAACCAGGTGCCATGGACTTGTTTTATATTATTCTCAGTATAGATATTAACATTTACTACTACATACCCATTTTACAGAGAAGAAACAGAGGAAACTCATTTTACAGATACAACAATGGAGCTGAAGTAGCAAGAAAATGGCAGACCTTGGATTCAAACCAAGGTCTTCTGAGTCCTTATACAAAGCTTCCATTTTTAGAAATAAGGTATATATATATATATATATATATTTCACTGAGTTGTGCAGATTGTTCAGATATTGGCAACTTTCATTATATGATATCAACAGACAACTTTTGTTAATATCATTATGATCTCATCTGAAAAGTTTTTAAATATTGGGAAACTATCAAGCTTGAAAGCATAAATTTTGTCATTGGCAACAAATACTGTCAGCTGTTTCCCTTGAAGAGACGGACTCGCTTTGTTCATTTTTGAGAAAATATCTGCCAAACTCCTCAGTCTCAATAACCACAGTTTGTCAATTGTTCTTTCAAGTAAAGGTAGTGTTCCACAGAAAAAGCAACTAGTTGATACTGCAATTGAAACAATCACATAAGTGCCTTTCTCTTGAAACTGACACGCATTCTGCTTTGGCATACAGTAGAAGTGCCTGAAATGCAGTTCTCATATCACTCAGAATAGTTAAAATGGCATGTACCAGGGGTCAGAATTTAATACACTTAATAATTTTTACTGCTTCATCAAGGATATTCCTAAGTGGAATTGGCATTTTAAAAATTTAAGTGTGTGGCAGTGAAGAATACAATAACTGTAAGTACAATTTGGTGCCACTGCCTTGATCATATTAAGGTGCAATTTTACTTACCATTGCTTTTGCACCATTAGTGCAAATGTCAATAAGTGGAGAAAGGTAAATAACTTCTTAGTATTTTTATAAAAATAGTTTCGACCTCACAGAGCTCCTGAATGTGTCTTAGGACTCCCCAGAGATCAGGGGCCCTACTTTGAGAATCACTGATCTAGTTTAATACTAATTTTATGGTGAGGAAACTGAGGCCGGTGTTGAGGGGAAGCAAATGATTTTTCCCCAAAGCATACAGAATGAAGACTAAATCGCAGCCTTTTGCATTCAGGGTCAAAGTTCTGCCCATTCCTCAATATCAGGCTAGTTGGTCGCTAATATCACAGAACTGGAAGAGATTAAAGGAGAGTAGCTCTTCAGATAATATATAATGTTGAAAATTTCTACACTGCAACCTTTATTATGAAGGTGCATGTATATCAACCAGGGGCCTAGTAGGAAACAGACTTTAACTCAGGTGGTTCAAATAACAAAAGTTTTAGTAAAGAGACTATTTGGAGACTTGAATGCCGAGTTAAGGAAGCTATTGAGGGATGCTGAGTCACCCAGAGACTAACCACCAAGGTAAGCCCTTACCATCCTAAGAGCAGAAGGGTCAAGTGAGATAATAGTGTTACCAAAGTCCACTGACAGCTGCAGTTGTGGCAGAAGGGCTTATCCGGTGGGAGCCATAAGGACTCAGCCGCTGTGAGTGACATGGAGTCTGGGCAGGGAGGAAGGACAGAAGTACCCAGACCATCTCTTCTCACCTTCTGACCTCCTTCCAGTGCCTCCCATTGGCTAGTACTCTGGTAAGAGCCAGTTATGAAATCCTCTGGAACAAGCCTCTTTAGAAGAGAGCAGGGCAGAGAAGAGTAGAGATTGGATCTGGGTAAGGTTAGGATGGGGCCAAACTGAGAATAATAGGCACAGGTAGAAAAGTCTACATCCTTTCTTATTCCTCTGAAAAGCAACCAGTATTACTTTGGGCCTGAAGCAAACCATCAAGTAACAGGATTTATGAAACTTGTTTTAGAGAAGGAGAAGATAGGGGGGTTATAGGTAGAAGCAAATAATATCCCTCCTTGGAGCCTTGCTTCAGAAAGAAGAACCAGGAAGGATGGAGTAGGAGATGGCAGCACCTGGTGAAAGGGAAGTAGATTGTGTCCCGGGCCTCAAAGTAAGGAAGATACAGATATTCAGGGAACTACCTGTCCCAGGCCTTAGAGAAAGGAAGATAGAGATATTCAGAAGTTGGTGCAGAGCTGAATCAACTGCAGCAGACTGTCAAAATCACAGGAGGTCCATAAAGAGAGGAGTCAGCGTGGTTGGTGGTTCCTGGAGATGGGACCAAAGGCTGTGGCCAGAAGTGTGCTCCAGGGAAAGGTAGAAGAGTCTCCATCTTCTACACCAGCCCTTGGCTCTGCCGCATGGTTTTTCCATAGTAACTTTCACCCTGCTGACTCTCTACCTACACTCTGTACAAGACAACTACTATACTGGGCAGGGCATTGGCCAGCTATGTGGCCTTAGGCCTTCATGATTGAGGCCATGGGCATAAAGTCCTCACTGGTCAGGTGCAGCACAAGTTAGCTCAGGTCACACAGATCAGGTTGGAATGGGGGGTGGCTGATTGATTAAAAGTTAGGATTTTCTTGGCCTAAAGCATACACATTGCCTGAAATCTTCCTTTATCTCTAGGCCCTAGGACAGGATTAAGGCTGGGACTGGGTTCTCAGGAAGCCCACAGGTTGAGTAGAGTCTACATCTATATACTGTGTCTAGATGGGGAAATCCGTACACCCAGATTCTTTAGGATAGCTAGGCAGCATGCTATGGAGAAAGAGTCACCACTAGTTGGAATCAGGAGGATTCCTCCATGAGTTAAAAATCCTAGCTTTACCACTTTACTGTTGTTGACTTTGGACAGGGCTTTGTACCTCTATGAGCTTCTGTTCTCTCATCTGTAAAGTAGGGATAATACTCCTGCCTGATCTCCCTCTTAGGTTTAGGATTAAGATTAAGCGAGATCATTTGTATGGAAGTTCTTAGTAAACTATAAAGTTCTGTGCAAATGTAAGTTGTTGTCATCATCATAACTGTCATCATTTTGGAAAGGACTCCATAGATGACCCAGTACTTCATTTTCCTTATGCTGGGCCCCCTTGATAGTATCCCTTCTAACAGAATCCTCCATTATTGCTCACGCATCTCCACTGAATGTCATTACTTTCTCTATTATTTGACAGTCCTTAGGATTATGAAGTTTCACCCTATATGAAGCCATAATCTGAAAATTCATCTGTTGGTCCTAGTGTTGGTGTCTATCTCTTGGCATGTTATCTGTTCAACAAAAGAAATTACTCTCAAATTTAGTGGCTTAAAACAGTAACAACTACAACAACAGCAACAACAACAACAAATTTATTCTTATATTTCCTGTGGGTCAGATTTTCAGAAATGGCTTAGCTGAGGGGATATGGCTCAGGATTTCTCCTAAGTTTCTAATGAAGATGTTGAAAGCATTTACAGAATGGCAGAGCAAGGGCTCCCAAAATCTGCTTCTCCATAAAAGCAATGAGAACACTGTTTAAGATTGTAAAAATCAATTTTTTCAGAACTTTGAAAATTAATTAAAGGCTTGCAATAATCCAAGAAGTTCTAAAGAAAAAGGCCTGAATCTCTGTAAGAACAGTGAGCTTTGTAGTGCTTAACCTGTCTCATTCTCATACCTCTCTCCCCAGCTCCAGGGTATTCTTAAAGACCAGCAGCCTCAAAACTATAATAGCTGTGAAAACCAGCAAGCTAGCAGCTCCTGGAAGAAGCAAAATGAGTTTGGAGTTTCTGTAAAAACTCCAACTAGACATCCGCATGCAAAAGTAATCCAACTGGAAAGCTACATTATGCCAAACACAAAAATTAACAGAAAATGCATGATAGACCTAAGTATAAGAGCTAACACTATACAACTCTTCGAAGTAAACATAGGTGTAAATCTTTATAATCTTGGGTTAGACAATGGTTTCTTGGCTATAATACCTAAAGCACAAGTGACAAAAGAACAAATAGATAAATTGGACTTCACCAAAATTAAAAACTTTTGTGCTTCAAAGATCACCAATAAGAAAGTGAAAAGGCAACTCATGGAATAGGCAAAAATATTTTCAAGTCACATGTCTGATAAGGGGTTGATATCAGATACAATAAATTCTTATAATTAAACAATAAAAACACAACCCAGTTAATAGCTGGACAAAGGATTTGAATAGATATCTCTCCAAAGGAGGCATAGAAATGGTAAAAAGGTATGTAAAAGATGCTCAACATCATGAGTCATTAGGGAATGGAAATCAAAATTGCAATGAGGTACCACTTCATTCTGGTGGGATGGTATGGTGGGATGGTGGGATGGTAAAATAGTACAGCTGGTGGGATGGTAAAATTGCTGGTGGGATGGTAAAATAGTACAGTCACTTTGGAAAACATTCTGTTAGTTCCTCAAAATATTGAACATAGAGTTATCATATGGCCCAGCAATTCCACTCATGGTATATGTTCAAAAGAAATGAAAATGTATGTTCACACAAAAACTTATACACTAAGGTTCATAACAGCATTATTCATAGTTGCCCAAAAGTAGAAACAACTCAAATGTCTATTAGCTGATAACTAGTTTTAAAAATGTGATAAATCATACAATGGAATATTATTTGGCAATAAAAAATAAAGCATTGATGTAGGCTACAACAGTGATTAACTTTGAACACATTATGCTAAGTGAAAGAAACTAGTACAAAAGGCAACATATTGTATTGTTCCAAATATACGAGATGTACAGAATAGCCAAGCCTTCATGAATAGGCAGTCGATTAGTTGTTGTCAGGGGATTTGGGGAGGAGGAATGGGGAGTAACTGCTAATGAATATGGAGTTTCTTTTTGGTGTGATGAAAATTAATGGTGAATGTTGCACAACTCTGTGAATATACTGAAAATCCAGTGAATTATACACTTTAAAAGGATGAATTTATGATATGTGAATTATATCTCAGTTAAAACTGTTACTTTAAAAAATGTGTCAGCCAGGGCTGCGATCATGTGAAGACACAAATAGGATTGGAGGATCTGCTTTCAAGGTTGCTCACTCAGCTGGCTGGCAAGTTGGTGCTGGTTAGTAGTGGGAGGCCTCAGTTCCTCTTCATTGGAGCCTCTCCGCAGGCTGCTTCAGCGTCCTCTTGATATGGCTTTTAGCTTCCTCTAGAGTGAGTGATCCAAGAGAGATAGAGGCCGATAGAATCTATCCTTTTTATGCGCTAGTCTTAGAAGTCACTTAGATGACTTCTGACACATTTTGTTAGTTAGAAGCATGTAACTGAATCTAGCCCTCATTCAAGGAAAGGGGAATGAAACTCCACTGCTTGAAGAGTGGATGAATTATCAAAGAATTTTCAGACATATTTTAAAACCACCACATTGATTATATTTTTAGCAAGGCTTTTCTGTCTGATATGCTACTTTACTAGTCACATTCATGTTCTCCAAATTCTTTCTAAACTGCTCACTCAATTTCAGGAAGTCTAATGTGTCAATATCTCTCAGGTCCCAACCACCATCTCCCTGTGTCCCACTGCCATCAAAATGAGCATACAGAACTGAAAACAAACCCACTCCTTTTCCCTCTACTCCCCTCCACATCTCTCACCATGCCAGCCACCAGCTGTGGTAGAACAAAGCCAGAAATAATTGCATTTGCTAGAAGAATATAGGTAAAGAGAAAATTACCACTGAAGTTTGATTTCAAAAACAACAGTTCAAAAGGGAATAAAAGGAAAATGCAACAAACAGAAGAAAATAAACTTTCTTGCTTAATAACAATATTCCACGCCCTTTGAATTTTTTTGCTTGGGGTAAGGAGGGCTGGGAGCAGAAAGTGTGTAAGTCTAATTTTCTAATATAAGTTGTAGAAAAGAATAAGAAGTGAAGATCAAAGAATGAGGGAATCGAGAGCCTATTCAAAGGCGTTGAGACACAAATGACACTACATAAGCTTCCGACGTAAGATCCTTCATGAGAGGACTTGCCCTCGGACGACCCACAGCTCCATCATGTCTTATCTCTGGCTATATTAAACCTCAGAATAATTACTGTCCCTTCAACGCTATCTTTTTGTAACACCCACAAACTCATAGTGTGGAAAGATGGTGTTACACATAAAGGAAACTTTATTAACAAGCAAAAGAAAAGGAGGAAGAAAAGGAAGTTGGACACTGAATGGAAAACTCAAGCCAAAGATTTGCAGGGTCTTTTTTTTTTTTAATAATATTCAGAAAGGTGGAACCTTTGAAAGGGAAAGTTTAAATGAGGAAAGAAGGGGTGACGTCAAGCCCTGGATGAGATTTACAGTTAAAGCCCATAGCAGGTGGGAGAATGACCTGTCCTGCCTCTCCAGGCTGTGCAGTTTAGGGCAGGCAGGAGACATGACTCAGTCTCAACTGATGAGACCCTCTCAAAGTCCAACTGATTTTAACAGAGATTTGGAGTGTAGACTGGGAACTTGGCCATATCTATGTTCTGGGTAAGAAGTCATAACAGGGACCCTGAGGCAAAGAATCCTATTCTGGAACTCAGAACAGGGAAGAATTGAAGGAGCCTTTCCTCAGCTCAGTGGCTCCATTTGAAATTCGCCTCAAAGTATGGAGCTAATGCTGATGGTATTTATTGAGTGCCTCCTACATGGAGTCATTTTACCAAGTGTTACCTCTCATTTTCACCTTTGTGAGTTGGGTGCTATTATTATATTTCCACATATACTCTCCATTACAGATGGAGAAGAGGCTTAGAGAGGTCAGGTAATCAGAAAGTTAATACTGTTGTGGGATAGAATCCATATCTCTTTGACTTTAGAAGCTAATTAGGAAGAAAGTAGGGACTTAGTACCAGACACTTTTTAGCAGCTAGATGTGGTGCTGGATCTTTGTAGAGCCATTGTCCTCCAGCAAACATATCATGAAGGTCTGCTCTAGGCTCAGGAAAGAAAAACAAATATAAGTAAGTGCCAGGATTACCTCTGATTTTAGATTAGAGGGTGGCAAGTTGTAGATAAGCCAATCCCTTCAGAAAAGCTTTAAAGTATAGTGGTTAAAACTGTAGACTGTTGTGGACTTGAATCCTGGCTCTACCATTTACTAACTATATAATCTTGGGCAAGACACATACCTCCCTGTGCCTCAGTTGCCTCATATGTAAAATGGGATAATGATAGTGCCTTAGGCATAGGATTGTTGTGAGAATTAAATGTGGTAATACATGGAAAAGACTTAAAATAGCACCTAATGGCAAGTGCTCAATAAACGTGGTTACAGTGAAAGTTAACCACATCCCACCTTTGCATCTATTCAGGTTGCCTGGTCCTGCTTGACAGTGCTTCAGATGCAGGCCCATAGTGTGTTAGAAACAGAGACTATTAATCTGTAAGGGATGCAGAGGCCATCTAGGCTGATCTCTACATCCTCCACCTAGGAAAGAAGAAACAGGCTTAAAATTACAGAGCAAATAAATGGAAAAGCTGGGACTTGGATCCAAGAAATAACACGTACTATTACCATAGTTGCCATTTTCTTGAGCACTTGTTCTGTGCCAGGCACTGTATATGTACTACTTCACTAAATTTCTAAAACAATTCCTGCTAAGTAGTTATTATTGATTCCTTTTTACAAATAAGGGAACTGAGGCTTAGAAAGACTTTACATCTTGCCTAAGATCATATAATAGAAGGCAGGATTTGATCAAACACTTTCTGAAACCAAAACCCATGATCATTCCACTTGGTACACATATATTTTATTTTATTTGTGTATAAATAAGCCCAATCACTATATATGATCTTAAAATACTTCGGCAAATTCCAAACTCTATTTGAAAAAAAGTTTACATTTTAATTAGTTAATTCTTAAGCACAGATACACAATATTTTAACACTTGTTAAAATTTCAGTCATAGATATGAAAATTATTTCAGGGAGAAGGAGAATAGGCATGAGAATAAAATATAACTTAAATAATGAAAATAAAAGTCCTGTGCAATTCTGACCAACACCAGAAAAATCTCTAAAATAACTACTCCTTATTCTAGTTTCAGAGTAAAGCATCAAAGACAAATCAAAGTGGATGCTATAAATTATCAGTTCAATTTTTAAAGCAATGACAGCCTTTGGGAACAAATGCTTTAACATGTCTTTTTGTTAGATATTTCTGATGGTTCCTTTGTAGAGATCTATTTATTTCTACAATCTTGTCTTCTTTAACACAGTTTTTATTGGGGCTTCTTATACAACTTTTGGTGCTATCAATAACTGATAAAAACAGAAATAAGAGGCTATTTGTATGTATGTATATGTAAGTGTGTGTATGTGTGTGTGTGTGTGTGTGTGTGTGTGTTAGTCTCGGACTTGAGGTCCTCAAAAGAAACTGTGCAGCCCAAATATAAACCCTTAAAGGGATTTTTATAAAGGGGTCTATAAAGGGATAATCTATAAAGGGGTATTTGTTTATTTTCAAATTTTGGCATCATACAGAAACAAGAATCTTCAGTTTGCCTATGTGGTTAACATGGCATTCTCTTGTAAACTCCACGGTCTCTTTCTTTTCCACCCTGAGATTGATTCAGTCCCACTGCAGACATATCCCACCATCAACTCTTAAAATAGACCCAGTTCTCACTTTGGTGCAAGCCATGATGATCATGCATGACAGCTGGAGCATGGGAGTCCCACTACATATGAATGAGTGTGTTTCTACTCACAGGGAAGGCAGGGGAAAGAGCAGCTTTCAGGGCATTAGCCCCATTTTGCAGGCTTGGCTGCTCACACCATTCCCAACTGCGCTGTGCTTTCAGCAGAATCCATGCATGACTTGAGGAACAAGGGTAGGGGAAGGGACATGCTAATTTTCAATGGTTTTTGAAAAATTTATTCTTTAAACCTCAAACTTGTTAAAATTTAATAATGAACTTACTTATACTTCTAAAGTACTTCTAAATTGAAAAGTTCACCATTTAGATGGTGCATCTTGAGAAATGTATCACATAATCCAACTGAGAAAGTTCACAGCCTCTTATCAGGTTGGCACTTTCGTATGGCAGTTCTTGGAGAAAATTTCATTTCATTTTTTTTTTTTTTTTGAGAGGGAGTTTCGCTCTGTTGCCCAGGCTGGAGTACAGTGGCAAGATCTTGGCTCACCGCAACCTCCGCCTTCCAGTTTCAAGCGATTCTCTTGCCTCAGCCTACCAAGTAGCTGGGATTACAGGTGCCCACCACCACGCCCAGCTAATTTTTGTATTTTTAGTAGAGATGGGGTTTCACCATGTTGGTGAGGCTGGTTTTGAACTCCTGACCTCATGATCCACCCACTTCGGCCTCTCAAAGTGCTGGGATTACACGGGTGAGGCACTGCACCTGGCCTGCAAGGTTGGCTGCTCTCTGTGACTAGCCATCAAAAGACAATGGGCTTGGTCTCCTCCCCAAAGACCAGTCCACAAGAGTAAAGGTGGCGGGGTGGACACTCACACACTTGATCTATGGCCTTTGCCTTCCTCCTAAATGTCTATCCCTTGAGCTTGGGACATTCAACTGTCATTCCAGGGCTCTCCCAAACCAGATACAAATTTTAAAGTTTCTTTATCAATTAAAATGTCTTATTTCTCTTGTTATTTAATGGTATTTTCCAACATTTAAGTGGCTCTCCTCTTATTGCCTGCTATTTCCTTAATGATAGAACCTGCTGAGGCCTGAAATTATAAAATTGCAAGATCAAAAAGTTCAGTTAAACAGCCACATGGTCTTGGCAAGGATAACAGAGAGCTCATTTAATCCAAGCCCAAGATGCACGTATCCATTATTATTTACTGATTGGAAGACATTTTGAACCTTGTATATATTTTAAATTTTAGTATAGAGAAGAGATTGGTAGTGGTAAATTCATAAAATAAAATACTATAAATAAATTTGAAAAGTTTGTCATCTAAGTATATCTCAACATATTGTTGGAGTAAGAAAAAGAAAGTGATAAAAGATGTACATAGTACAATGTCATTTATACAAAAGTTGAATATATAAAAGATACTAAATTATGTTTATGGAAAAATCATATGTTGTTAAAGTATTAATACATGGATGGTGTTATGAGGTGAATTTTACGCCCCCAAAATTCATGTTGAACTCCTAACCACCCCCCCGCCTCAGTACCTCATAATGGGACCTTATCTGGAAAAAGGGTTATTGCAGAAATAGTTAGTTAAAATGAGGTCATATTGGAGTAGGATGGGCCCTTAATGCAGTATGACTAGTGTCCTTTTTATAAGAGGAGATTTGGACATAGAGACACATGCACAGGGAGAAGACCATGTGAAGCTGGAGTTATGCCGCCCGGAGTCAAAGAACTACCAGAAGCTAGAGAGAGGCCTGGAGCCCATCCGTCTCTAGTGCCTTCAGAGGGAGCACAGCCCTGCCCACCCTTGATCTGTGACTTCCAGCCTCCAGAACTGCATGACAATGAATTTCTGTTACTTAAGCCACTTGGCTTATGGTACTTAGCTATGGCAACCCCAGGAAACTAAAACACATGGGAAAGATACACATGAACTTCAAGACAATGTCTACCCCTGGAGAGGTAGGAAAGGGAACAGGATTGAAGAGGAGCATATGAGACCTTTATTTCATTAATAATAAAATAAAAGACCTGCAGTATATATGGGAAAATGTTGCTAGTTGCTAAATTAGGTAGTAGACATACGGGTGTTTGTTATATTATTCTCTATACTTTTTAAATATATAAACTATCCCAAAATGAATCAAAAAGATATTCAGAGGAGTGTCTCAGCACAGCTAAGAACAGCAGTGTTGTCTCTGGTTGTTGGTTCTAAAGCTGTAATCAACCTAAAGCCCTGCCTCTCTTTCGTTATAAAGAAAGAGATTGCTGGGTCAGAGACTGAAGATGCTGAGAATCTATCAAGACCAGTTATGCAGAAGAAAACAGATAGCTGGCATAGAGAGAGATTTATTTTTAGAAACAGCCACTTTATTCACTTGTCTCATCCCTTGAAGGTTCTTTATAATTGTGACTGCATCGCTCATCCAGCTTTGGGGTTGAGATGTAAGGTCAGAATTTTACCAATTAGAGGAGTAGATCTTCATAGAAAAGACTGTCTCTGAAGCTAAAGCTCCTACAATATCCTGTCTAAAGACAGCTTGCCTGGGCAGTGGGTGATGTAATTTGATCTGTTAATACTTAACCAGGAGAGACTCAAGAATTCATACTGACATCTGCTGGACCCTTTGAATACTTCCTGGTGTAAGTTAGAACCAGAAATTCTGGAGCAGGAGAACTCCCAATAGGCCCCTTTAGGGACTCTCTGACCTGGGGCGGGTGTGTCAGCATGCTGAGATATGCAACTTGAAATCAAATTTAAGATCTTTTGCTCACTGCACACGTTTAGCATAATACAACCATGACAGAATGAGGCAGGACATCTAGGGTATAATTAACAATCACTATTCTATGATAGTCTCAGCAACACAAATGCCAATTTGCTTGTCAAATTCCAAAGAGAGAGGAAGGGACCATGTGGTAACAATACAAAACAAGGTCTTTGTTTTCAGGGCTCAACTCAGCAACTGCTCTGTTCTTTGTGTAGCAGGAAAGAAAATCTTGTCAGCTCCTGGTCCACTGGGCTCTAGATACAAAGTTACTGTGTGGACATCTTTCCAGAATCAAATTCCAATACAACTCAGTTCTCTGGATCTGTGGGGGAGTCTGTAAAGATGTAAATTGAGATCCAGGAGCCCAGTGGAGGAAGCTCAGATAACTAAGATAACAAGTTCCTTTGTTTGGGGCTTGTTGGATACACCCTATCAAAAGCTCTAGCAGTCATTAGATTTTGTTGCTGCTTAATAAAAACAAGAAAGCAAATTGTTAATAGCTGGAGTTTGTTTGACAGGAAAAATTTTTCCAAGAGTGGAACTATCTGAAAAAAATTAAAAGAATTCTATTGTGGTATGCATGTTGAAAGCTATTCTATAGATAATAATAGAGTTAAATATTTTCTCCCAAAAAGGAACTATTATGACAAAATAATAAAATGTTTCTCTTTTACTCCATACTCTCCTGATATAAGAAAGAGTTGTATGACTTGAGTTGAAATTGGATTTTTAAGCAACTTTCATTATTTTTGTCCACTTTTAGATGAGAGTTAGTTCTCATATTCTTTCTGTTGAAGAAACAGGATGAGGGAAGGAGATAAACATTTACTGACGTGCGAGACAGTTTACATGCATCTTTGAATTTCATTCCAAGATATTGTTATGCCCATCCTACAGATGCAAAACTTTTTCTCAAAGAGATTAGATGTTTTTCTCCAAATTTCATGACTATTAAGCAGCAGATTCAGGATAGGAATTCAGTTTGGTCTGACTTCAAAGCCTATGTTTGCTTTCCCTTACATAATATTGTCTACATCTGATTATAATTGCTGGGTTAAAAGAAAAATTACCAGATTTTACTTAGATTTTCTTTGCGTCCCTAAACAATTGAAAGTACACATAATCCCAGTGTTTAGACTTGAACCACCTCTCTGTACTCTGATGTGAGAGAGAATCTGAAGGTGAAAATGGCAGTATGATCAGTGGGAAAAAAAAGTGAAGGCCAAATTGATAGAACTTTGGTTTTATATCCAAGGTAGGCATGGATCCAACAGCCATGGAGCAGTGGAGAGGATCTTACCCAACCCAGCCTGCCTGAGGGAGGCCGACCCACATCCACAAAACCCTGAGCCCTGCTCACTCTGTTTTTTGTTTTTTTTGTTTTTTTTAAAGATGTTGAAGGCAAGTTTCCAACCAGTCCTGCTTTCCCTGGACACAGGATAGTGGCTGTAAATGTCATCTGGGTCCACCCATTTATTGTGCTATTGACTGGGTACCTGAAAAGACAACAGTAGAATGCAGTTGAGAAGCACTCTTACGATGAAATGTAATGATCTAATTTATTCATTTTGTAAATGTTTATTTAGTGTCTTTTTTTGATGTCATAAGACAGAATACAGGTATGGGGGTCATCTAGATCTGGATGTAAATCTCAGTCAGCCACTTACTATTTAACCTGAGGCTATTATTTAATATCTCTGTACTTTATCTATGAAATGAGAATAACATCAAGCTCACATGGTTGTTGTAAGAATTAGAAATAATATATGGGATGTGTCTAACACAGAGCCTAGTACCTTGAAGGTACAAAACAAGATGCAACTTATTATTGTTTTGTTATTCCTATATTTAAAATAGTTATTGTGTTATATTGAGGTAATAGAGATTATAATAGACCTGGGGGACAAATAAATGGAAGAATAGGAAACTTTCCCTGCCTTTGAGACATGCACATCTAGTCCTGGAGCCAGATGCATAAACACATGATGATGGGATGAGAAAGGTTTTGTGAATGAGGTAAGGGCAAGCTGCTCTGGGAGCACCTCTTATGGTTTACTATTAGTTAGCTTAAATATAATTATATATAGGAGCTACAAATTAATATAGAGTCTAAAGATATTGGGTGCCTGTGGCATCCACCAGTGGCTCACAAAGGTTAGGCCCTAAGCCAGGAATCTCTGGGCCAAAGGTGGAAATTAGGTTTCCTTTCATGCATCAACTCTGATAATTGATAGTGTGTTCTTGCATGACTTTGTTAGTGAAAATTCTGAGCAGAGAAGTTTGCTCACATTGTAGAAGCAGCATATCCAAGAGACTGAGAACTTGGCTTGTGGAGCCACACTGCTCTGTTGCTTGCTTGATCCTGGACAAGTTCCTCAACTTCCTTGTCCTTTAAGTGTCTTCATGTGTATGCCTGGTTCTGATCCAGGTTTTTTTCTGCCATATTCTGAGTTTTAGCTTTAGTTTTTGTGTGCTGGTTTTCAGTTCTTTCTATACCCCATACTAGCTGCTGTTATATTTTGGCCTTTGCTAGTTTATAACACTTTCTTATATCAGAGCTGATATGTAACAGCAAGGACTTCTCATTCTTTCTGTAATTGCTTAAATTCTAATCTTTAAAGTATAAAGTAACACAATATTGACCACATAAACTCCATAATCTTTGTTTTACTGCTTCAGGCATTTTAAATTAAGCACCTATTTTGAATTAGACACTTTATTATCTCTGGTACAATCTGACAAAGTTATATTTACAAATGAGGAAATAGAGGCTTAGGGAAGTTAGGTGGTAACTACTAAGTGGAAGATCTGAAATGTAAACTTTGGTATTTTGGAGTCCAAAGTTTGAGCTTCTTCCTTTCTTACTACATGCTGCATGCTAGAACTTATTGTTTTCAGCACTTGGTTCTAGCACAAGTTAAGATACAGAACTTTGAAGAATATTGAGAAAGATGGGAAAATTAGCGGGAAAATGGGGTAGAGCTCTCAGAAAAGAAATTAGCAATTAAAAATCAAGTGCACTCAGGGACTTAGGATCTAATCCACTTGTATACTTTTGTGCAGGTGTGAGAATCAGGCTGGACTGATTTAGGTTCACGTAATGGAGGTGAGGAAGATCAGAACTGCAGAGCAGGCATGGCAGGATATCTGGCCTAGTGGGAACAGTGGAACTGGACCTCAGGGAGGGGACAAGTAGAGCTAGCAGGCTGAAGCAGACAAGTAAGCCTATCAAAATACTGGAGTGCAAGACAGGGCTCCCACCTTTCTGGGTCCTAGTTCCTCAAAAGGTATCCCAGAGAGAGTAAAATAGGCAGGTGGCAGCTTGGCCTCCCCTTGGACAATTTATCTTGCAGAAGGGCAAGGTGCCTGGAGCTTCCATTTTCCAATAATAAGACAGAGATGAGGTACCCTGACTGACACACATTGAAAACAATGGAAAACAGTGAATAAGTTATATACAACATCTTATTAAAGACTTTAATGAGCTGGCAAGAGAATAAAAAACCATGAACCAAGCAAAACTGAAAATCCATGAGGCAAGTTTTTACCATAAAGGCATTTGATAAATCAGGTGGAAAACAGCCTTGCATAATACTTTTGGATGAAAACGAAGTCCAGAGACTGCTGGACATACTGAGTCCGAAGAGAAGCCCCCAGCAAAAAGTTGGAGCTCTAAAGGATTTTGTCCTCAGTATAAGGGTAAGTTAGAAATAAACCCAGTCATCTGACCCAGAAGGCTGAAAGGAAAACTGCAGGTCTTGATTCTTGGCACCAATAGAGAGAGGGGAATTTGTGCCATAAGATGGCCCTCACATGAGTTTTCAGACTTAATTTACATTATCTGGGTGATAAACACACACACACACACACACACACACACACACAAACAGTATCTCCAGCCCAAGAATTTTGATTAAAGTGGTTCTTTAATTAGTTGAAAGCACAGTTCTCTATGGAAGAAACAATTTCAAGGCCTCAAAGCATTTCCACAGACAAAGCTCAAAGACATAGGAACTCAGTCCAAAATACCAGTGAGAAACAAAGAGAAATACAGCACTCTGAGAAACAGAGGAAAAAAATCAGAAGAGCTAGACCTACACTGAATATAGGTATCTGACTCATCAGATACAGAATATGAATAAGAATATTTAATTTTTAGAGAAATACAAAGTGAATTCACAATATTTGCAAAGGGCAAAACTATTAAAAATGACCAGATAGATTTAAAATAGAAACAACGAAACTTCTAAAGTTAATAAAAAATAAAATAATTGAAATGAGAATCCAATAGATGTTTTTAAAAGCAGATTAGAAGCAGCTAAACAGTGAACTGATGAACTGGAAGATATATCTGAAAAGGTGTACATTTGAGAGTACTTGTGGGCAATATAGAAGAAAGATTAAGAAAAATTGAACACAGCGTTAACAGGTTTAATATGTATGAAACTGGAGTTCCAGAAGAGGAGGAGAGAATCAGGCAGAGATCATATCTGAAGATGTAAGGGCTCAAAAACTTCCAACTTTGGTGAATGACATCATCATCATTATCCCATTCAGAAACTGTGATGATTTGATGATTTCTCAGTAGGATAAATAAAAAGAAATCCATATGTGTAGATATAAAAATGAGACTGCAAAACATCAAAGACAATGACAAGATCTTAAAGGTAGACAGAGGAAAAAAACCAGATTACTTTAAAAGAAATGATAGTTGGAACAACAGCCAGTTTCTTAACAGCAAAAATGAAAGCTGTAAGTGAAATACTGTCAATGTATCGTACATTCATTTTCTATTGTTGTTATAATAAGTTATCACAAAATTTTCAGCTTAAAAACACACAAATGTAGTATCTTACAGTTCTGTAGGTAGGAAGTCCAGGTGGGCTCAACTGGTTTGTCTGCTCTGAGTTTCACAAAGCTGAAATCAAGCTGTCAGCCAGCTGGGCTCTTATCGGAAGGCTTTGGGAAGAATTCACTTTCAAGCTCATATGGTTGTTGGCATAATCCAGTTCCTTGCAGCTGTAAGACTGAAGTTCCTGTTTCTTTGCTGGCTGTCAGTGGGGGATAGCCATCAGATCCTGGAGGCCTCTCTCTGGTCCTCTATCTAGAGCCAGCAATAGAACCTCAAATTCTTCTCATGCTTGGAATCTTTTGATCTTCCCTTTTGCTGTATCTCTATTCTGCTGCGGCTACTGCTGCGTATCTCTGACTGAAGGCACAGAAAGTTCTCTGCTTTGAAAGGCCCCTTTAGTTAGATTGGACCCACCTGGATACTCCAAGGTACTCTTTTTCAAAGGTCAGTAGCCTTAATTACATCTACCAGTAGCCTTAATTATTCCTTGCAGCAGTAAGACTGAAGTTCCTGTTTCTTTGCTGGCTGTCAGCGGGGGATAGCCATCAGATCCTGGAGGCCTCTCTCTGGTCCTCTATCTAGAGCCAGCAATAGAACCTCAAATTCTTCTCATGCTTGGAATCTTGATCTTCCCTTTTGCTGTATCTCTATTCTGCTGCGGCGGCTGCTGCGTATCTCTGACTGAAGGCACAGGAAGTTCTCTGCTTTGAAAGGCCCCTTTAGTTAGATTGGACCCACCTGGATACTCCAAGGTACTCTTTTTCAAAGGTCAGTAGCCTTAATTACATCTACCAGTAGCCTTAATTATTCCTTGCAGCTGTAAGACTGAAGTTCCTGTTTCTTTGCTGGCTGTCAGCGGGGGATAGCCATCAGATCCTGGAGGCCTCTCTCTGGTCCTCTATCTAGAGCCAGCAATAGAACCTCAAATTCTTCTCATGCTTGGAATCTTTTGATCTTCCCTTTTGCTGTATCTCTATTCTGCTGCGGCTACTGCTGCGTATGTCTGACTGAAGGCACAGGAAGTTCTCTGCTTTGAAAGGCCCCTTTAGTTAGATTGGACCCACCTGGATACTCCAAGGTACTCTTTTTCAAAGGTCAGTAGGCTTAATTACATCTACTAGTAGCCTTAATTACATCTGCAAGTTTTCTTTTGCCGTGTAATGTAACCTATTGATAGGTTCCAGGCATGAGGGTGTGGACAACTTTGGGGTGGCAGCATTATTCTGCTGACCACAAACTAACAGAAAGTAACTATTTGGAAATATTTTTCAAGAATAAAGGGAGAATGACACTTTTACATTAGCAGTAACTAAGAGAATTTGTCACAAAACAACTCTCACTAAAGAAAATGCTGAAGAATGTGTTTTAAGCAGAAAAAATGTGACCCAAGAAAAAAGGTCTGAAATGCAACAAGGAATGAAAGGTAAAAGTGTTGTGCATTGTATAGATCAGTAGTAAATGCTTTGTAGATTAAGAAAAATAAGTTTAAATTAAAATATGTGACAATAATGTTTAATTGAGTGGAATAAATGTATTCTAAGGTCTTTATATTTGTTCCTTGAATGCAAATAGACTTATTGCGAAGAATGTACTTCAGGCAGAAGACATCTGCAGTGTCTGCTGGTCATCAATCAAATTTCTTATTTTATATATGTTATGATTTGGAATAAAGTCATGCTATCTTCTTAATAAAAGTTATATAAGTTTCTGGAATAATTTGTAAGATAGAAATATTTTGAATAATCAGTAAAATTTCTCAATAAGATCATCTAGTGTTCTTTATGGGAAGATTTTTAGAAGTACCAATTCAATTTATTTAGGGATTATTGCACAATTCACCTTTTTTTTTTCTAGAGTCAGCTTGGGTAAATTGTATTTTAATTCGTGTTTCAATTACTTATTAGCATAAAACTTTCAAAATATCCCTTTATTACCTTTTAAATTCTACTGAGTCTGAATTATGTACTATTACTCATTTCTGGTATTTTTGGGCTTTTATTGTTTATATTGATCAAGCTTGCCAGAAGCTTGTAAATTTTACTAGTTTATTTAAAGTACTAATTCTTGGTTTTGTACATTCTCTCTATTATATGTTAATTTTATATTTCATTAAAAAACTTTATTTTTCGGTATGGTAGGTATTTTCAGGTATATGTTTTTAAATTGTTCTTGCTTTTTTTTTTTTTTTTACTTTTAATCTTTCTGTATCCTTCTATTTTAGCATTTTTTTCAGTCATCATAGTAAAATTTTCCTAAAACTTAAAAGTACATGAAATCCTTTGCCTCAGTGAAATTTTCCAAGAGTCTTGTGGTTCTCTCAGGCTAGGAGTTTCTGCAGATACTCATAGTGACAAAGTCCATTGAGCCTGAGACCACATGCATATTTGCTCAAGATTTGACATGATTTCCAGGAATAGGGGATGATGAAGCAGAATATAGGATTGAAATCTCAAAATGCTTCTTAGATGTGGAGAAGAAGTAATCTAACCAAGAGTTAGTTTTATTTTTAGGGAATATTTGTATTTTTGGAGAAGAGAATAAAATAGGTTAAAATAAAGACCTTTCTAGAATAAGATCAAGATCAATATGATGTGATCTCAAAAAAAAAAAAGTAACACTTTGCACGTTATTCAGGATTTGAATTGCAAGGACATGCACCAGAATAAAAACATTTCCAGATGTCTTAGGAACTGCATTGGCCTTCATAGGGATCTATTAGCAACTTTAAGGTCACTTATTACTAAATAGAGACTTCTTGGTTATGTCCATCATCTGTGAAGAATGAATTACTAAATTTTACAGAGAATAGACTAGTAAAGACAAGAAAAACATTTCTTAAGTGGGTAGAATGAGGTGCTGTAAGAAAGGCAAATATTTTTCCTATATACCTTGGCTACTATAGCAGACTATATAAAATCCTGTGTCCAAATTAGAAGCTATCTTATTATGCACATCTTTTTGGTAGAAGTTGTAGTTGTACCCAAGATTGTAGTTGTACCCAAGATTGGTGAGCAATGAAATGCTCCAGCACACATACAAAGTGGAAAGTTTGAACACTGCTTTCATCATAAAGTGGAAAAGGTCTCTGAAGAAAGGTATATTTTTCTTCATATATTTCAGAAGTTCCAATTTTAACATCCAATCCACTTTCCCAACCACTTCATGCAAGTTTCCCAGGTAAGTTTAGAAAAGAAAGATTTCATGGTTGGGTTGAAGAGTGGAAGATAGGAAGACACTCAGAGATGATGGGCTATATGCTACATCAGTCTCTATTAATCAGTGAAGCAGAAAATAGAAGCTATTATTGCATGTTTTATTCCTTTGTGTAAATTCGGATTTCTATTTAGTATCATTTTTCTTCTGATTGAAGACCTTTTAAAATTTCTTGTAGCATATACATCTACCAGTGTTGAATTCTTTCAGCTTCTGTGAGTCTGAAAAACTATTTCTTGCAGGATGTAAAATTCTTGGTTAACAGTTTTTTTGTCCACCATTCCTCTAGCGCCAGTTTTGCTCCACTGCCTTCTGGCTTGTATTGTTTCTGATGAGAAGTCTGCTGTCATTCTTATCTTTGCTCCTCTATATAATGTGTCTTTGATCACTTGTGGTTTCAAAATATTTCTCTTCATGATCTGTCTTAAGCAATTAGGTTATAATATGCTCTATGTATTTCTGATTCACTCATTCTTCTCTCACTCAAGGACTCCAATTACATGCCTATTGGGCTGAATGAAAATTTCCCACAGCTCACTCATACTCTATTCATTTCCCCCCAGTTTTTGTTAAAATTTTATTTTATTTTGAATAATTTATATTGCTATGTCTTCAGGTTCACTAAAACTTTCTACTGGACTATCTAGTCTGCTGTTAGTGCTATCTAATATACTCTCATCTCAGACTTTGTGGGCTATATCTCTAGATGTTCAATTTGGGTCTTTTAAAAATATACCTATCATGTCTTCACATGCTCTTTCTTCTACCTTCTTAACATACTCTACCTTCTTGAAGATATAGTGTATATTTGTAGTAACTATTTTAATATTGTTCTATGCTAATTCAATCTTCTATGCCATTTTCAGATCTGTTTCTATTGATGGAGTTTTCTTATTATGGGTTCTAGTTTCATGCTTCTTTGCAAGGCTAATTATTGATTGGATGCAAGACATTGTGAATTTGCTTTAGGGGTACTAGATATTTTATCTTCATATAAATATTTTTGAACTTTGTGTGGGATGTAGTTAAGTTATTTGAAAACAGTTTGATAATCTTCAGAGCTCTCTCTCTGTGCAGCTCTCTCATCACTGATAATCTGCCCTATCAACTCTAGCTGCCTTGGCTTCTTGGACTCCTAATACCATCTTCTCAATTCAGGAAGACTACCAACCTCTGCCTGCATTCCACCTCCTTGCACTGTAGCCTGGAAACACTCATTAGGTTGTCAGATGGTACAATCAGAGGTCTCACTTAATTTGTTTTCTCTTTCTGAGAGAATTTACTGTCCCACACTGATGATGTCCAGTGTCTGAAAACAATTGATTTGTATATTTTTCCAAGATTTCAATTGCTTCAGGTGAGAATCAAGTCTAGTCCCTGTTACTACATCTTGGCCCAAAGCAGAAGTTGCCCTTCTATTAATTACAAAACTCAGATATTCACTGACTATAAAGAAACTACTTTAGTCAGAAAATCCTTTCTTGCTTTCAGATTGTCTTTCAACACATAATAAAAATCTAATTGACATGTTTTAGGTGATGACTATGAAATAGACTCAGACTGTTCCATTTAAATAGATATGATTCTCGATCAGTGAAGGATCATTAACTGTTTTCATGCTGGAAACAATTAGATTCAAGAATCTGAAAATCAAGATGGCAGAAGTTATAGTCTCTAAAATGACAAATAATATTTTAAAACAAATGAATTGAGATATCAGCAATTCCTTGACCTATAAAAAGTGTTTGCCTTCACTTGTCTGGAAGAAACAATGCTGCTGAGAAAGAATTTGCTATGGCATCAAGAAATTAAGTACTTTAAGCCCCATGCTACTTGTTGTTCACATCAGGATTGGCCAAATTATCTGATTATTCAGAGTCTGTCTATGTATGTTTCAGTTCCTCAGTCACAGCATTTTTAGAACAGTACTGTAACCTCAACCTAATCCTTAGCAGTGGTCATAAAGGCTGAAGTTTCATAAGACTATATGGATACTATAGCAGTTTTTCTTGTAGCTTTAGTTTCTTGAAAAAATGCTGTTTGAAAGTAAGAATTACTCTAAATACCTACATTATTAACTTCAAATTGGTATAGAAAATGTAACATCTGTTATTGATACAGAGAAATACAAGGTATTCTGCAATTTTTACATTTTTGCGTTTATTTGAATCTGAATTCCTTATGATAAAATATCCAATTAACTTGCAGTCACTGCTTGTCAAACAATGTTACCCTACTCAGTATGTCAACAATTTTGTTTTCAAAGGTATATCTATTTCATTAAATAGTTATTATTTTATTAATATAGTAATACTTTTCCCCTTCCAGGTGCTCAAACATTTAGATACTGTTATCCTTTTGGAATGGGTACTTTGATTAAATCTTTGCCTATTATATATTAAAGTAGCCTATTAAATATTCAATTAGTCATGGTTATGAGACTTCATGGCTTCTTCTACATGTTCCAAGACTCTTTTTGAGATACTATTGCCTCTTTTTCCTAATCTGAAATTAAATGACCAACGTCTCCCAACCATCTTTAGGCACTTATGGTGTAATGCTTTCAACTTCGCCATTTTCCAGAGGACAGTTTTCCTTCCTTGGCAGTGATGTGGTACTTTTTTTTATCCATCCATGGCTGACTGGAATTCCTGATGGTTTTTTTTTTGTTTGTTTCTTTTTCTTCACAGACTTACATGGAAATTTCTTCAATGGCAGTGGTGAGGAGGAACATGTGTAAAGAAGATGATCTGAACTAGGTAAGTGAGATCATCTTTTGAATAGCATCCTACATGATCTTGTCTATCTCTGTTCAAGTCTTTATTGCTCAGCTCCATGGGAGTCAATATTTTTCCCATAAATCTAATATTTATGGTTTTACAGGAATAAAGAAGCAACTTTTTTACATTATTGATTAGGTTGGGTTCTAAGCCAGTATCAGACTTGATACCATGGCAAGTTCTACTACAGGGCAGTTCACTTTTCACAAAGGAAGCCTTTTTATTATTATTATTATCCTTTAAGTTTTAGGGTACATGTGCACAATGTGCAGGTTTGTTACGTATGTATACATGTGCCATGTTGGTGTACTGCACCCATTAACTGGTCATATAGCATTAGGTATATCTCCTAATGCTATCCCTCCCCCCACCCCCACCCCACAACAGTGCCTGGAGTGTGATGTTCCCCTTCCTGTGTCCATGTGTTCTCATTGTTCAATTCCCACCTATGAGTGAGAACATGCGGTGTTTGGTTTTTTGTCCTTGCGATAGTTTGCTGAGAACGATGATTTCCAGTTTCATCCATGTCCTTACAAAGGACATGAACTCATCATTTTTTATGGCTGCATAATATTCCATGGTGTATATGTGCCACATTTTCTTAATCCAATCTATCGTTGTTGGACATTTGGGTTGGTTCCAAGTCTTTGCTATTGTGAATAGTGCCGCAATAAACATACGTGTGCATATGTCTTTATAGCAGCATGATTTATAATCCTTTGGGTATATACCCAGTAATAGGATGGCTGGGTCAAATGGTATTTTTAGTTCTAGATCCCTGAGGAATCGCCACACTGACTTCCACAATGGTTGAACTAGTTTACCGTCCCACCAACAGTGTAAAAGTGTTCCTATTTCTCCACATCCTCTCCAGCACCTGTTGTTTCCTGACTTTTTAATGATTGCCATTCTAACTGGTGTGAGATGGTATCTCATTGTGGTTTTGATTTGCATTTCTCTGATGGCCAGTGATGATGAGCATTTTTTCATGTGTTTTTTGGCTGCATAAATGTCTTCTTTTGAGAAGTGTCTGTTCATATCCTTTGCCCACTTTTTGATGGGGTTGTTTGTTTTTTTCTTGTAAATTTGTTTGAGTTCATTGTAGATTCTGGATATTAGCCCTTTGTCAGATGAGTAGGTTGTGAAAATTTTCTCCCATTTTGTAGGTTGCCTGTTCACTCTGATGGTAGTTTCTTTTGCTGTGCAGAAGCTCTTTAGTTTAATTAGATCCCATTTGTCAATTTTGGCTTTTGTTGCCATTGCTTTTGGTGTTTTAGACATGAAGTCCTTGCCCATGCCTATGTCCCGAATGATATTGCCTAGGTTTTCTTCTAGGGTTTTTATGGTTTTAGGTCTAACATGTAAGTCTTTAATCCATCTTGAATTAATTTTTGTATAAGGTGTAAGGAAGGGATCCAGTTTCAGCTTTCTACATATGACTAGCCAGTTTTCCCAGCACCATTTATTAAATAGGGAATCCTTTCCCCATTGCTTGTTTTTCTCAGGTTTGTCAAAGATCAGATAGTTGTAGATATGCGACATTATTTCTGAGGGCTCTGTTGTGTTCCATTGATCTGTATCTCTGTTTTGGTACCAGTACCATGCTCTTTTGGTTACTGTAGCCTTGTAGTATAGTTTGAAGTCAGGTAGCATGATGCCTCCGGATTTGTTCTTTTGGCTTAGGATTGACTTGGCGATGTGGGCTCTTTTTTGATTCCATATGAACTTTAAAGTAGTTTTTTCCAATTCTGTGAAGAAAGTCATTGGTAGCTTGATGGGGATGGCATTGAATCTATAAATTACCTTGGGCAGTATGGCCATTTTCACGATATTGATTCTTCCAACCCATGAGCATGGAATGTTCTTCCATTTGTTCATATCCTCTTTTATTTCCTTGAGCAGTGGTTTGTAGATCTCCTTGAAGAGGTCCTTCACGTCCCTTGTAAGTTGGATTCCTAGGTATTTTATTCTCTTTGAAGCAATTGTGAATGAGAGTTCACTCATGATTTGGCTCTCTGTCTGTTATTGGTGTGTAAGAATGCTTGTGATTTTTGTACATTGATTTTGTATCCTGAGACTTTGCTGAAGTTGCTTATCAGCTTGAGGAGATTTTGTGCTGAGACAATGG
Organism: Homo sapiens; assembly: GCF_000001405.40. Lineage (NCBI taxonomy): Eukaryota > Metazoa > Chordata > Mammalia > Primates > Hominidae > Homo > Homo sapiens. Next base: position 15,271,777 of record NC_000011.10, read on the forward strand.
GGTTTTCTAGATATACAATCATGTCATCTGCAAACAGGGACAATTTGACTTCCTCTTTTCCTAATTGAATGCCCTTTATTTCCTTCTCCTGCCTAATTGCCCTGGCCAGAACTTTGAACACTATGTTGAATAGGAGTGGTGAGAGAGGGCATCCCTGTCTTGTGCCAGTTTTCAAAGGGAATGCTTCCAGTTTTTGCCTATTCAGTATGATATTGGCTGTGGGTTTGTCATACATAGCTCTTATTATTTTGAGATACGTCCCATCAATACCTAATTTATTGAGAGTTTTTAGCATGAAGAGTTGTTGAATTTTGTCGAAGGCCTTTTCTGCATCTATTGAGATAATCATGTGGTTTTTGTCTTTGATTCTGTTTATATGGGAAGCTTTTAATTACAGGTAATTCCTGCACAGATTCACTCTTCTCTCTACACAACTCTTCCAAATAGGATTGGTCAGGCCAGGGCCACTGTGTTACAAAATGTGGTATAGTTAAATGGTGTCCCCTGGGGTTATCCCATGCACATCCTTGGGCCAGGTTATCCTCAAATTCCCTAGAGCCTGAATTTCTTGTCTGTAATTCTTCACCAAGGACTTACATATAAAGCTTTTCAAGAGATGAAATTCCTTTATAGTCAATGGCCTGGATGCTTTTTCATCTCCGGGAGGGTTTTGTCCTTTACTCCTACAGTCATCTTCATCTAAGATGGAGGCAATTCCCTCCTTCCAGTTACTCAGACCAAAAGCCTTGTATTAATACCTGCACCCAATTCTTCCTTTTAAAAATAACCCATAGCCAATGCAACAGCAAATCTGCTTATCTCCAACTTCCATTTAAACACATATTTTAGTTATTTTGGGCATGGCTTTTCTTTACTACCTTCATGAGAAAACTTTATAAATTGCAACAAAAACAGATGGTTTGAGACCTGGGTTGGAGCTAAGATTTAAAGAAAAAATGAGTCCAACAGCACTGAAACTATTTCAGTCCAGGGACAAACAAGGAAAGATCCCATTTATTTCAAGAAATAAGTGTGGTATTCAGAACAAAATCTTGGGAGCCTCAGATTCACAGACTGAGGGTAGATGTCCCATTTGGGTCACATCTCAGTCCCCAAGAGCCATGCCTGGGGACACTGTACTACTTGTTGGAGGCACCTCCTATTCAAAGATGTCTGTTTGATTTTTTAAAATCAATCTGACAATACTTGTCATTAAATTGGCCCAACCTTCTTACATTTATTGTAACCATTCATTTTCTATCACCTTTTAATGCTTTCTTTATTACCTCTTGCCGATTTTTGAATTGGACATTTTTTCCTTCTTTGTATTTTTTATCTTTACTTCTCTTTTTTTGGTGGTTACCTTGGAAATGTGTTATGCATGGTTAATTTCTCAAAGTCAAAAGGTAAGCTGTATATTTACCACCCTCCCAAACATTGCAAGGATCTTAGAATATTTTATCTTCAATCAGTCCTTACCAGAGAATATTATTGTTTTGGTATATTTATCCTTTTTTTAACTTATAAGACATTGTTATTTTGTTTAACATGGTCAAAATTTGTTTAGATTCACATATTCAATAATTTACTTGCTCGTCATTTTTACTTCTTCTTGAATATTCCATCTTAGAAAACTTTCTGTAGAGAAATGTTTGGTCAAATCCATCAGGAGACAAGTATAAGAATGTATGTATCAGCACCCCCTATAATGTCCAAACCTGGACAACCCACACATCAATTCAACAGTATACTGGATAAATATTTTGTTATATTCCTTCAGTGGAAATCTATAAAACCATGAAAATTAATGAACTGATGTTGTACAGGAAAAAATGAATAAATCTTAATAAAACAAGGCTGAGCAAAAGGAGTAAAGTCACAAAACGCATACAGTGTGATTTTATTTACATGAAATTTGAAAAGTGCAAAACTGAACAGTATGTTGTTTAAGGATACAAAAATGTGTAATGCAATTATAAAGAAAAATGAAGAAGTGATAAATACAAAATTCTGGAAGGTAGTTATGTCTGAAGGATAAGAAAAAGAACTGGCATCTGATAAGAGAATACAGAGCAAATGTAATAAAAATGTTCTCTCTCTTAAACTCGTTGATGAGTACAAGGATGTTGGCTCTGTGCTTAAATATTATGTCAAAGGCATTCCATCTATTTCCTCCCAGTTTCTACCTCCTTGAAGTTAGGCGAGGCCGTGGAATTTGTTCAAGCTAATAAGTTGTAGTCAGGATTGATGTGTGTGTGTGTGTGTGTGTGTGTGTGTATGTGTGTGTGTGTGTGTTACTTCTGGACCAAAGCATGAAAAAGTCAGTGAATAACCCTCCAGATAACTCCTTCTCTTCCATAGCCTCATGTTGAGATGGGGGAGCCACAGGATCATAGCAGTCTGAATTGCTGAGCCATTGCTTGGAGGTAACTCTGGAGAAGTGTCCAGGCCAGCAGCTGATTTTGCAGAGATGAGAAGTCCATGTTTATTGTGCCAAGTCACGGCCATTTTAGGGTTGTTTGTCACTGCAGTATAATAACCTGGACTAATACAAGTATTTTTACAAATACTCTGTTATATTTATTCAATATTTAACAAAATCAAGTTAGAAGACTCACACTAAAAATTTCAAAGAATACAAACCAATGAGGAAAGAGCACCACCCAGGACTTGGGTATAAGTAGGTCATGACTACTTCCAAATTTCTCTAGCTTGATTGGTAATGAAATTACCATGATGATCTATTGACCACCTGTTGGGTCAAGAGAAAAGTAAGTAGAGCAGTGGGCATTCATTAGAATCAGCTCTATGGTGCTCAGCCAAGGAATGGCCTTGCTGACTCTGGACTGTTTTGCATCGTTATTGAACTTGGCCACATGTGTAGGTCTGGGCTCCCCAGTGGGGTTGAACATTCCTTGAGGCTGGGATTATGATGTTTCTTGCACCTTCCTGTCATCTTCATCCTGGTAACAGGCTTGTGAGTGATCCTCAGGTACTTGTTGTGTTGAGCTCAGAAAGCCTTCTTTTCCTCTTCAGCTAAAGTTCTTGACAGCTGCCACATCCTCCCTGCCCTCTCCCACCTTGCCAAGCACCTTTGGCCTGGGGACCTGCCAAACAAGACCCAGGGGACATAGTTTTCTAAGAAAAGCTGGCTTCTCCAGCAGCGGGGATTTACCAGCAGCGGGATGTCATGCGAAACAGATTGCAGATGCCTCGCCTCCGTGGCCATCAGAATCAGAAATGCTTGCCTGCCAATCAGCATTACGGTGAAGAACTGTGACATGACAGTTGTCTGACTTGTGTTAATACGTTCTAATCTTGCAAACTAATTTTGTTCCCCCACTTGGCCATCCCTGCATTGTGTTTGGCCTGCCAGGGCTGGCACCATCCATCAATCTTAGTTAGTGGCCTGCTCCTTCTACCTTATAGCTGAGAGTGTCCCTGATCCCATCGAGACACCCATACCCCCCTAAACAAAGGCTTCTTTTCAATCAGGCTGTAAGAATGTGGTCATTTGGTTCAGAACAAAGATGCATGTTCTTGTCTGTGAGGGCTGACAAGATGACCATTGTCTGATCACGTTTTTTCAGGATGGCTTTTCTGGGGGGAGAATTCCCCATGGCACAAGGAGAACATTGTGGGCCTGGTTGTCATTTATGAGCCAGTGAAACATGTTAAATTTGTTGGAGTCAAACTCCCTGACCTCTCTTTGGGCCTAGTTTCCCCCTCTGGATGTAGAGCTCTGGGCTACATGATCACCAAGGTATTTTTTTGTCTCTGAAATTTGATCAATTCAGTCCATCATTCTATGGCCATTGATCCTCATGTCTGGCAATAGCATTTTGTTTCAAGTTCTCTTTAGGTTACTATTTTAATACTTTGGGGGGTGTATAGCGGTGTTACAAACCCCTTGAAAATCTGATGAAAGAGTTAAAACCTTTCTCCCTAGAAAAATGCACTGACACAAAACTTGTACTTAAAATTTCCTGAGGTTTGTAACTCCTAAAAGCTAATTTGTGGTCTCTAGAGGTTGAGAAGCCTAATTTTGATTTGTGTCCCGATTTTATTTCTTACTCTGGCATTTACCTGATTTTTAAACTTGCAAGCCATATTAAGTGATTTTTTTTTCATTTTTTTCAACATTTTGTTTTGAAAAATTTCAAAACTACAGAAAAATAGAAAGTTCTGATGGATATTCACATACCCTGTAACTATTAATAGATTCACCAACTGTTACATTTGCCATCTTCTCCTTGTTCTTTTTCTCCTCCTCCTTCTTTTCCCCCCTTCATCCCTCTCTTATCCACCCCCCCACCCCTTATGCCGGAGGCTGGGTCTTTGGAGATGTATGAAACCCAGCCTCTTCCCTTTCCTCTTCACTAATCTTGTGGGATGATAAGACAAAGACGCTGTTAATTGCGTAGAAAGCAAACTTCACCAGTGCCACATTAGAGCCATAATAAGATACTGTGGAGTGAGAGAAGAGAAACATTTCTACTAGAGGCAAGGGTCTGGGGACAGATTGGTAAAAGGAATCACGAAAGGATAGGGTAGCAGTTACCCTATCCTTGAAGAATGGGCACTTTTGGTGTAGGTTATAGTGTGAGCAAAGGCATAGAACTGGCTTGGAGCAGAGTGAATATGAGCAATGACAGATACAGTTCTCCTTTGGACTTGTTTGTATTATTTTTCTATCTGACTGGCCTGATCCTAAATGAATCCATCCCCTACCAAAGCCTTTTAGAAAATATCCCTGAGAGGGCTAGTACTGTGGGTCATTTCTGGAGCCCTTCATCCCTTTATCAATGAAAGAGAAGAGACAGCTTTTTCTGCTCACATGACTCTTGGATAAGGAGCAGGTGATGATTACTATACAACCTGGCCTCCTCTCCCCATCTTATCTCTTCCCCTTCCTGGGATCAGGTAGGGGTTGACCCAATCTTCTCAGCCAGAACTGCCAGCATTGAGTGTTCACCAATTTTGAAATCCATTGAAAAGCAAGGACCACCTGTGATTTTCTGATGAGCCACAAGAGGGGGAAGTGTGAACACAAATGAAAAAGGGGGGAAAAAGAACCCACACAAAAACAAAACCCAGCTGGGAAATGAACAGCTTTTCCGAGGCCCTCATTTCTGATGCAGGCTAGCAGTTTCAATCTGTTACGTTTCTCTGTCTATGTCTCTGTCGCCTCTCTCTGTCACTATTCTTTCTCTGCCCCTCTCTCACTTTGTCTCTTACTTTCCCGCTGGAATTTCTCTGGGAAAAAAATGCAAATTTGTTTTTCTGCCTCTAGGTTCAAAAATCAGTTGCACAATTTCTAGATGGAGGGAGTTAAGGATCTAAGAGGCTTTAAGTTTAATTTGAATATCAGTCAATGGGGAGTTTTTGCAGTTAAGCTCCTCACTCCTCACAAAAACAAAACAGAAAAGCCTAAGTGAAATCAGTGCCGTTTGGCCACATTAATATTAACAGTTAACAATTGTGTAGCCCTCTCCTTGTGCCAGGTGCTGTTCTAAGTGCTTTGCACGCATGAACTCTGTTAATCCTCCTAGCTACCCTCTGGGGTTGGTACTATTATTGTCAGCGTTTTACAGATGAAGAATCCAGGGTACAGAGATGTCAAAGGGCTTGGTCAATATCACACAGCTAGTGTCAGAGCTGGGATTTGAAGAGGGCAGTCTGGGTCGAGACTTTCAGCTCTTAATCTCTCTATAGTAGCTAGATCTTAAAATTAATGAGTGTATAGTGTTCAAAACAAAGGAGGTGATGACCCTAATACAGCCTCCCACAGTCAAATCAGATCTGGTTGTGTTCAACTCATAGGATCATATATTTAAAGAGATAGTTGACATTTGGAGCTGCCCGTATGCAGGTGATGAGGGTAATAGAAATAAGGTCATATTGCAACCATTTGGTTCAAGTGAGGGGGTTTAGTCTGGCAAAAACAAAACAAAAGAACCCGAGAGTGGAGGCCAGAAAAATTGTTCTCAAATATTTGCAGAGACTCTGAGACCTCTCTCTTTCTCTGGAGGTTCAGCAACTTTCTTTCACAGATAGTCCCCTGCCTATGGACACTTCCTGAGCAGGGGGATGCTCTGTGGCTTATTTGGGCCAAGGTTTCCTGATCAGTCCCAAGACTGGCAGGAATTCCATTATCTGGGAAGAAGACTGACCCTCAATCATTTGAGCTTCCTTTGCCTCCCACGGGGTTGTTCAACCAGGGCTTACTTTCCCAGACTGTGGGGTTAGGTCTGCATGTATCAGTGATAAAATGCAATTTGACATGTCCTTATGAGTCACTTCAAACATAATAGGAGTATCTTTTCCTTAAAAATAATGCATATTTAATATAGAAAATTTAGAAATTATAGTAAAGTACAGAAAAAAATATCTTACACTATCCCATCACCCTGAGGAAGCCAGTGGTAACATTTTATTATACTTTCTCCTGGGCCTTTTTTCCTGTGCATATATCCTCGTCCACAATCTTCTTAATGGTTCTGAAAGGAATCCTTTCCGGAGAGCCATAAAAAAAAAACTCAGAGAAATGTCACAGTCCATTATGAAGCATGAGTCAGAGCTTCTTCAGCCTCCAGAGAATGTCTTCGGTGAAAATATTTCAGAAAACATTCTGAAAAAAAGTAGTGATTTTATTTCTTCTAGGGCCTCATCTAAAGAGTTGGGATTACCGAGGCAGAGAACAGAGTGTGGAGTATTTGGACTTCATAATAGCACGAGGTGGAAAGGGGAAGAGAAGGCCAGGTCTGGCATCTTTTGTGGGCCAGGCAGTGAACTGGACGCTTTACTCACTTATTGATTTATTCAAGAAATATCTGAGTCCCTGTAATGATAGCCACTGGGGATATAGTGGTGAATACAAAGGTTGTGCTGTGGATCCTCTTCTTAGAGAGAAACTAGTGTTGAGGGGAAAGCTGAGAGTAACGAGTGGAGGGAACAACCAAAGAATATAATATGGAACTGAACACAGACAAGAGTGGGATAGTTGGGAAAAGCTTGCCTTAAGGAAGGGGGATTGGATCTGAGGTCTAAAGAATAAAATGGAGTTGGGTGAGGGGAGATGGAAAAGGGAGAACATTCCAACAAGAAGGTAGAGTATATGCAAGTGTTTAGCTGGAGGATGGGTGGCACATTCCTGGAGAAGAAATGAGACCAGATAGACTGCAGAGAGGGAGCAGAGGAGTGAGGCAATCAAATTTAGAGACTCTAAAAAAGAATGAGCTATTGTACATGCAGCAACACGGATGAATATCACAGACTTAAACTTGAGTAAAAGAAGCCAGACACAATAGCGTGCACAGTGTATAATTCATTTATACTAAGTTCAAGAACAGGTAAAACTAATCTGTGGTGACAGAGTCAGGACCGTGGTTATCTCTGAGGGGGGCTGGTATTCACTGGGATGGGGCACAAAGGAACCTTATGAGGTGCTAGAAAATGTCTATTTCCAGGTGACGGTGACACCAGTGTATATGTATGTAAAATTTCATCACGTTGTATGCTTAAGATTAGTGCACCTGACATACTTTACTAAATGTACAATCTAACTCCATGAAAAAATACAATAGACACATTTTAAATGTATAATAAACCACTGAAAGTAAAGTCCACGGGCTGATGCTGCTCTGTGAGCAGTTTGTTACCAGTGGGCAAGCTTCCTTCAGAATGCAAATCAATGGATGACTTTTTTTCATGGAGAAAGTCTCGCTGGCACAGAATGCTAGCAGTGTGCTTGGTGATGTAGCACCAGTGGAGGTGAGGGATGATGCAGCTTGGATTGCAATGAAGAAGTGGGGGGATGAGAGAAGTTAATAAAGAGTCCTGTGACGTTTGGTTTGGTTTTGTTTCTGTGTGAGCTTTTTACAAGTTAGGAAATTGAGACTAGAATGGTGACTGCTGTGGTCTGAATGTTTGCATGACCCTCTTCAAATTCATATGTTGAAGTCCTGACCTCTAAAGTGATGGTATTAAGAGGTGGGGACTTTGGGAGATGACTAGATCAGGAGCTCTGCCTTCATGAACGGGATTAGTGTCCTTTTCAAAGGGGTCCCAGAGATCTGTCTTTTGCCTTCTGCCAAGTGAGGAGGCAGCAAGAAAACACCATTTATAAAATGGGGCAGATTCCAGGTATGGAATCTGCCTGTGCCTTGATCTTGGGCTTCTCAGCCTCCAGAATTGTAAGAAATAAATCTTCATTGTTTAGACCCAGTCAATGGATATTTGTTATAGCAGCCTGAGTGGCCTAAGCCAATGACATAAGCATCCAAGGTCATGTCGTTTGTAAGGGGTAGGCTATTCCAATTCACCATTTCTTTGCAAAGAAATAAAGAAATAATTGGAACACCCTTATATTTTTCTATAGAAAAGGGCTGCTATAAGCAACTTTCCAAAGAGAATCCTAACTTTTTTTGCTTCCAAATGCAGAGCTCAATCATCCTCTAATATCCAGATAACAACCTCCATTAATGAGCCTTTACTCTGGGACCAGTGCCCTGGGTATTTTTCACATCTTGTCTCACTGGAGCCTCTACATAACCCCCTGAGGGAGCTATTATTAACATTCCCATTACCATTTGAGAACATTAAACATAAAGAGGTGAAATGCTTTTATTCCTGGGGTCACAAAGGGTTTGAATTCATCAGGATTTGAACTTGGGTCTACATTTTATTCATTGCACTATGCCCAGTCAGGCTTCCTGGCCTGTATCCTTTTCAGGAGGAAGCAGTGGCTGAGTTTGAGCCATTTAGTGATTTCTCTGTGGTTGAATACACATTGAAGGGACCTGCTCTGGTTTCATAGGGGTTTCAGAAGGAAGACTCATATACATTGCTTTTGATGTTCACCAGAGCAACTCCATTCTAGGCCTTAGGAAACTGTTTCTCCCAGCCACCTGGCCTATATCTTACAACAACTAACATAGCAACAGTCTCTTGAGTCAGTTGTTTAGGGCAGCATAAAGGGCTTGGTTGGGGGCTACCCTACCCAGGGACAAGGAGGAGATGCAGAGAGTGTGGCTGAATATTATGCACCACCAAGGAGTTAGTTCCACTAAGACCCATAGGATTTTAAAGTAGAACCAGATCTGGGTCAGTCCTAGACCCCAGCAAGGAATACCTGCAAAGTCATCGTAGTTACCTAGTCTCTTTGTGGCTGCTTGGACCAATTGGTCTGAACACCAACATGGACCTAGAAACAGAATGAGATTTTGAGTCTGTTATCCTGGATTTTGTCTCCATCTACCCACTCTGGTTAGGCGGACATCGAGATATAACTTTTTAAAGCCTCAGCTTCCTCACTTCTAACATGGAATAACAATATCTTAACAGTGTTGATATTGGGATTCAATGAAATCATATATGTGTAAATGCCTACCATAGAGACTGCTTCATACCAGCTACTCAATACATTATTTTTCTTTTCTTTGTTTTTCATGAAACTGGCTTTCTTTATATTTTTTCTCACTGTCATCCAATTCCCTTTAGGATTCAGTTGTTCTCAGTGTAGTTTATGTGTGTGTGTGTGTGTGTGTGTGTGTGTGTGTGTGTGTGTATGTGTGTGTTCTTGTTCCAGAGGATGGATCCATCTGGGGTGGGAGGTGATCCCTGAGGAGTGAGAGGAAAACAGTGTGGGTTGTTGCAACGTGACTCTCTCTCCATTCCCATTTGCTTCTTCTCCCTTGAGTCAGGGCAGTGAACTTGAATAAGCTTTGATGGGTTTCCTAAAGGAGGTTTGGAGAAGAGAGGGTCATAGGGTGAGAAGAAAGCAAAGGGAGTGCCTCTCTAGGTCTGAAACCCCATGCCTGCACACTCCAGTTCACATGGTGCAGGCAGTGACTCCCACCCCATCCACTCCTAGTGCATCTCTCCTCCACCAGCACCTCTCAACCCTGATTTTCTGGCATTGGGGAGGGAAGAGATGCTGTGGTTGAACTGGGGGAATAAATGGTTTTCTTGTTTCTGAGAGGCAAAAGGCAGCCAAGGGGTCCCCTAAACATGCCTGAAGCCACTGCCAGTGGCCTCTGAAACCATGCATACCAGGGTGCCTTCTCTGGTTCCCAGCCACCTTATGGGTTATAGGCCTCCTATATACCAGTGCCAAGGCAATGTGTCTGATGCTTTGGCTTAGTTTCATTTTAGAGAAGAGCTGGAACCATAACCTGTGGAAGGAGCCTCTGCAGGCTGCTTGACCCAGGGGAGAGGAAAACTCCCCATTTTCTTTCATGATGGCAAAGGATTGATCTAGTGATTTTTTGGGCCTCTTGGTGTCCACAGGTGAAACAAAGAGGTGATTTTGCAATGCTGTTTCCAGTGAGTAAATCCTTTTCTTGTGTTTTCATTTTAAGAAGGCTTAAAAAGGCAGCAGGAAGAGAAGCCTTGCACATTTAGGATACAGACACCTTGACACAAGGTGATGAGCTGTACTAACATTTGTTTCTGTGGAAAGGTTTGCAACCAACCAAAGAACAAGACAAATAACCATATGGCTTTTTAAGAGCAAATGATGAGAAAATTCCTTCATTTTGCAAGGCAGGAATGAGTTTGTGCAAGTTGGACAGGGTGGCAGGAGGTGAGGAATGGAGTCAGGGAAGGACTTCTAGCAGCTAGGGAGTGTATTTCTCATCCAATGGGGCTGCATGACTTGGAGGCAGGGTAGTGAGATGTGAGTGGATGATGGATAGAAGGTGCTGCTCACTGTCCCTGAGTTAGGGGGAGAAACTGGATCAGGAGGAGGCTGCTTTTCTGCCCTGTTTTCCTTCCCCCACTGGATATGGAAGAAAGTGGATGCAGTGTTAGTGAGTCTTCCTTGGAGAACAATCTGAAAAATCTACAGATTAGGTGACTAGGAGGGACTTGATGGGCCCTAAATTCCCACTTTTGTGGTGGGCTTCAGTTAGTGTTCCTGCTCTGCTCTACAGCTAGGATATCACATTAGTAGAGGGAACCAACATTCCATGGGATTTTTAACTCTAAGATCCTGATATAGTCTTTGAAATTCCCACAGTGTAGTGAAAGAAACAGAAAATGATCAAAATCGAAGAACCTGCTTGCTATGATAGAAGCATAAACAAAAAAACTCTGGGGTCCAGAAGAGAGAGCAGCTATGTATTGAAGGATAGAAAAACTTTACAGAGGAGGTGATGTTTGATATGGGTTTTAAAGGATGAATAGGAGTTTGTCAGTCAAAGAGCATGAGAAAAGACAGCCTAGTAGAGAGAAAGACACATAAAAAGGCACAGAGATAGGAGAAGGCATGACATGCTGGGCAATAGGGAGTGGTGAAGTGAGGGTGAGGGATGGTGGGATGGAGTGACAGGAGGCGCACCCAGAAAAGTAGTCTGTCTCCAGGGTGAAGAACTTTGGATGTCATGCCAGGAAGCTTGAACTTATATCTGTGAGGAAGGGAGAATTAGCAGAGTTTTGACTTTTTAAACTTTAATTTATTTATGACATGAACTATATATATATATATTTATTTTTGAAGAATTGGGTAATACAGATAAGTAAACAAAAATAATCACTTTTAACTGTACCACCTTGAAGATAACTACTGGTAACAATTTGATCTATATGTTTTCAAAATTCTATATCTATTTATCTATCATCTATCACCTCTCAATCTATTCCTCTTTCACAAATAAGAACATTATACACACAAAAACATACACACTCACACATACATAAACACTGTATGTATATAAGCCCCCACACACATACACTCATCTCCCCATATCTGCAGGGGATTTGTTCCAGGGCCCCCAAAAGAATACTAAAATCTGAGGATGCTCAAGTCTCTTATGTAAAATGGCATAGTATTTGCATATAACCTATATACACCCTCCTGTATACTTGAAATCATCTCTAGATTACTTTTAATATCTAATAAAATATAAATGCTATGTAAATAGTTGTTGTATGGTTTTCTTTCTTTTTTTTTTTTTACTATTGTATTGTTATTTTTATTTTTTTTTCCTCAAATAGTTTCAGTATCTGGTTGGTGGAACCTGCTAATACAGAGGCCTGACTATATATCTCATTAATTATTTGGATTTTTTAAAATTTAACATTTGTTCATAGCCAATGAACATATTCCCTGGCCTCATCCTTTTTATGGCTACATGGTACTTTAATGCATGGGTCCACCTCTGGAGTTCATTTAACCAGACTTCTGTTATTGGAAATTTGGGTGATTTTCAATTTTCTCTGTTGCAAATAATGCTGTAACAAAAATCTTTGCAAGTATGTACTTGTGTAATTTTCTGATTCTTTCCTTTGGATAAATCTATAGAAATATTATTGACAACTTTTTGGAACTTTTAGATGTTTAAATATCCAGGATGGGTTTTAAGCAGGGTAGCAACTATAAGATTTTTATGTAGAAAGCTCACTCTGGCTGCTGGTTGTCTAGAGAGGTCAGGAAGAGAGCTGCTTCAAGGGTTGATGAGGACTTGAGAAAGAGAAATGAAAGATAAATTTAGGAGATAAAATCAACAGAAATGTTTGTAATTTGATATGTGGGATAGATTTGGATAGTGTAAATGTAAATTTTTAACAGTAAAAAAATGTTTTAAGGCAGCGATAGTCTTTACAAAATGGAGGAAGAGAAAGTTAGTGTCCAACAGTGTTATGGGCTTGTGTTCTCCCACCATGCCCAAATAGGATGGGCCCTAATCTAATATGGCTGATGTCCTTGTAAGAAGAGGAAATTTGGACACCGTTGGACACAGAAAGAAGACTGTTGAAGACACAGGGAGAAGAGCATCATCTACAAGCCAAGGAGAGGCCTCAGAAGAAATCAACCCTGCTGACATCTTGATCGCCCTCTAGAATTGTGAGAAAATAAATTTCTGTTGTTAAACCCCCACTTGTCTGTGATGCTTGTTATGGCAACCCTAACAAACTAATACAACTAGAAAACAGCAGGAGATAAGTTTTTGTTGTTGTTGTTGTTGTTGTTGTTGTTGTTGTCGTTGTTGTTGAGATGGAGTCTCCCTCTGTTGCCCAGGCTGGAGTGCAGTGGCGGGATCTCAGCTCACTGCAAGCTCTGCCACCATTCTCCTGCCTCAGCCTCCCAGGTAGCTGAGACTACAGGCACATGCTAGCACACTTGGCTAATTTTTATTGTTGTTGTTGTATTTTTAGTAGAGACGGGGGTCTCACCATGTTGGCCAGGATGGCCTCGATCTCCTGACCTCATGATCCACCCACCTCAGCCTCCCAAAGTGCTGGGATTACAGGCGTGAGCCACCCTGCCCAGCCTTTAAAGGGTTTTTTGAATTCTCCTTCTCCATTTTCTTCTTAGCCACAAATGGGTTTGTAATATTTCGGTAGCAAAGGAGCTCAGTGGTATAATCAAACTCTGTTTACTAAAGATATAAAAATAGTACAACTAATCAAATCAAAATGGTGTTATCAAAGGAATTCCCATCAATTTTCTAACCATTTACTGGATAACTCTCATTTGATTAAAATTTTTTTTCTTTTTTTATGAGCAATTGATCTTTGTAAATTTTCTGCGTATTCCCAGGGTTAAGTGTTTTAGCATATAATTATCCTACATTGTGTTTGTGAACTTCCAACAAGCTTCCCTCCATTCTTTGTGGACAGTTTCAGCCTTGAGTTTGTTTACCTATGATTATTAACATATTTAAATGCAACTGCATAATTTTGATGCTTAATTTCAAGTTGATACGTTGAGATGTTTGAAGAGGAAATTAATGTAGCTGATAAAATAACTTCAATAATTTTCAGGCATTTTAAAAGAGTATGTAAGGGTACAGCAAGAGTGTTATAGAATTTTGTTCATGGAAATTACTGGAAACTTATTTGTCTCTGGCATGAGCATTGCTCCTAAAATATTCTCTAAAATGCTACCAGCTTGGAAAACCTGCCAATTCAAGATCAAATTGACACATGACATTTTCCTTGTGTGGGCTACTTTGAGGGAGTCTTGAGCTGCTTGGTCATCTGGAATACTGAAAGGCAGTCCATAGGCCTTTGCCATTTCAGAAGAATCTGATTCAATTATCTCTCAAGGAAAAGTAATCTTTATCTAAAGCCGATGGGACAAGTACCTGGGTGATCTATGTTTCTTTTGGAAAACTCCCATGTTCTTAGTTTAGATTAGCTAGAATCTGGAAACTGAAGAAGCATCCTCATTGAACTTCTCTCTACTCTCTCTGGGTTATGGAATGTCTATACAGGCCTGAGGCTAGGATAGTCCATGACACGCTCAGGACATCAGGATCTTACTTTAGGTCTTTTCCATCCTCTAACATTTTCTAAGTATGTTGTCTGTGCCAAGGTCTGTCCTAGGCACTGGTGATACCAAAAAAGAAAAGCCATTCTTTCCTCAAAGACCTCACAATATTACCAAGTCCTTTATCTCTAATTGTGCTTTGCAGGACATGAGAGGTGGGCAATTCTCTATAAAAAAGATGTTTCCTGTTCAAATAAATGTGAGACAATACAAGAAATGATGTATATTCTATCCCTTTCTAAAAGTCACATTGTACAACAATATACTAAGGATTCTACTGCAGACATTAAAAAAAAAAAGAAAACAACAACTTGTAGGTAAAATATCTAGAAACATCCCAAGGAGTACACTTCAGAAAACGCTGAGATTGTGGCGTGTTCCAGTCCTGGGATTTCTGCTGCCCTTGGTCCTCTTGGTAACTGTCAAAGTTACATCTCACCTGATCTTTTGCTTGCTGTTCTTGGGTACCCACTTTACACAGCATGTATTTATATAGGCCAAACCGTTTTACAAGAACCCCAAGGGCTTCTTTGAATTCTTTTCCTGTTACAGGAGATTTTATTGTTTTAAATATTGCTTACAGTAAGTGCGTCACTGGCTGGGAATCTTTGGTTAAACTGAGATTTCACAGTAATAGAATCCAATCCAGTCTCTAGGGTTCATTGTACACATTGTTGGTTGGGTTTTCACTCAGATTTACAAGGACAATTACAGTTCTACTGGTTTAAGCTGTCCAATGAAGGTCTCCCTGAAGGCATGGACTGAGGTTCTTCTTTTGTCTGTTTGTTCACCTGCCCATGGCCAAATATCCTCCTTCCTTTATGGCACATAGAAAACTTTCCACAGTACTGTCAAGATTGAGTTGTTTCTTTCAAGTTTCAAGTCAGTAGCCCCACTTATATGAATGTGACATTAGGTACACATCGAAGTCTTAGCGTTCTCCCTCCTACCACCTTTGTCTTCAAGCTTACATGTCCTGCCTTTCTTAACCAAAGGTTAGGCTGAAGAAAGTTCAAGAAAACCTCAGACATGTCCATCTTCCCACTTTCTCAGCCTTCACATGGCTTGGGATTGTTATTTCCTGTTGTGTTTCTTGAGTTTCAGCCCCATTCCTGCCTCTTCACCACCATTCCCTCAAATCTCTTGTGAATAGCTTGGCAAGCCACCTCTGAGCACTGCACTAATGTCAGTGAAAGAGAGTGAAGAAGAAATGAGATTTTGAAGCACTGAGAATTAATAATAATGAAAACTCGTGTGTGGATGCCAAGATTGTCTTTTCTTCTCCCCCATCGGCTCATGTTTTTGAAGCTATTTCATTCTAAAATGGCTTTGCCTTGGGGAGAACAGATAAGAATTAGACAAGGCCAAGGTCCTTCCTGTAAATGTCACAGGAGCCCCAACTCAGTGAGCTGGTCTGTTCCATTCCAAATCAGGCAGCATTGCTCAGTTCACTAAGTTTGTGCTTAGGTCTCTTAGAGGCTCAAGGTATAATCCCATGCTATGTCATCCATTATTCATGATTCATTCAGCTATCACCTGTGGGAGAAAAACAAATGAAGACAATGTGGTTCCTTCTCTTAAAGAACTCACAGTCCAATGGTGGAAGTAGGCACCCAATCAGGTCACTGAAATACTGATATGCATGCAAAAGGTAAAGGTATGGGGAGGTGGGATGGGGGCATAAAGAACAGGTGCCTCACGCAGCCTGGGGATGGGGGGTGTTAGAGTTGACCTCTTTTTAAACTGAATCTTAAAGTAGGGGACAACAGAATTGTTCCACAAAGAGGCAGGTAGGAAATAGTTTAGGCTTTGGGGTCCATACAGTCACTGTCACCAATGTGCAACACTGCCATTGTAGCAGAAAGGTCATAGACAATAGATAAACAAATGGGTGTAGCTCTGTTCCAGTAAAACTTTATTTATGAACTCAGGCAGATGGATTTGGCCTGAGGTCATAGTTTGCCGACATTGTCTTAAAGCAAAATAATAACAAATAGCTAGCTATATAATGCCTACTAGATACCAAACATGGTGTAGACACAGACACACATATATATGCAAACACATATACTTATTTAATCCTCACAATGACCCTATGAAGTAAGTATCCTAATCTCCATTTTATAGTTGAGGAACTGAAGACACTAACAGGTGAAGAAAATTGCCCAAAGTTGATTAGCTGTTGAGTAGTAGAGCTGGGATTCAAATTTTTAAGTTGGCCCTAGAGTCCAGACACTCAATGACTCTTCTACATAAGGCAAGAATAAGGGAGTGGATATACTATGAAGAGGAAACAGCATAATCAAGGACCCACAGGCAAGAAACTATATGAAGAGTACACGGAGGAGTAAGTGGGAAGCAGACAGTGGCAAGAAGTGAGGTAAGAAGGGGCTGGATTGTGGGAGGCATTGAACGCCATATTGAAGAGTGAGGTCTATTAAATACAAAAGGCAGCACCACCCCAGGGAAGAGACAACAGGTTGTTCTGAGACTTAACCCTTCTCCTTTGCATTCCTGGGAACAATACTTTGACTGTAGGGAGGCAGGAGCAAGCTCCAGGTTTCTGCAGAGGCTGGAAAAGGGGCAGGAAGGAGAGTCCTTTGGCAGATGCTGGTTTTCCTAAGGGTCAGCTCTGATTGGAGGATGACCCAATCCAAGGAGCTCTTGCAGGGCGAGGGGCAGTCTGAGCATGGCTTCGCTGGCCTCCCTCTTAGGTTGCCAGCCTGTTTGGCTTGGCAGAGGTGGAGTAGCACAGTTAGCTCATCAGGCCAAAATTTCTCTGCCAGACGTGAAGTTTAATAGTCATCAGAGCCCCATAGCTGGGGAGAGTTTATAAATTCTCATACTTATACACAAGCCACAAGACTGTTTATTGAGGGGTTTTTTTTTTTTAATTAAAGCTCCAGTTCAAGCCCCACCCACACCATTACCTTACTGAGTGAGTTATTTCTCTCTCCATCTTTTTAATGGGCCACAGTCACCCTGGTCTCTTGCCTCAGGCATAAGGGAGAGCTCTGCTGGAAATAAAAGTGTCTAGCTTGGAAGGAAGCAGCCAGCTGCAGGCCAGGCTGGGCCAGTAATTGGCTGAGATGATACTGGAGGCTCGGCTAACAGGCCCAAATTGGTCCCTAATCAAGTCCAACCTGAGAGCTGCTCACTTCCCTGGGCTGCCAATTTTCTTCTTGCTGTTGGGCAGGATTCCGGCTGCCTGTACAAATGGCGCTACAATGGTTAAGGGCAGGAACACAAACCCTCTTCAGAATCCATTAGAACATGTCACCTGCTTTGTCCTGGAAGAGACTCGGCTTCATTCATCTCTTGGCTTCCTGGTGCCAAGTCCTCAGCCCAGCTTCGAGGAAGTCTGGAGAGGCTGGAGGTCTAGTTCAAGCCAGCACTGCTGGCCATAGTAATAATTACCTCATCTCCTCTTGCACTTGATGTATTTCAGAGCACTTGTCATATACATGGACTTGAAGACAACTCTGTGCAGGGGCCCAGCAGGCATTATAATTCCCCATTTTGCAGATGAAAGAAAATCCCCATTGTATAGATTTGAGAGGAATCTGTATTTGGCGGAAGAAGAAACAAAATCTGAGAAGTCAAGCAAGCTTCCCAAGGTCCCACAGCATCTGGTCCAGCCTGGAGCTGAAACTAAACTCCAAATCTCCTGGCTACTAGCCTGGGCTCTTTGTCTTTCATTTTTCTTCCATGAGAGCCAGCAGAATTGTGAATTTCTGGGCAGGTGTACTCAGGTTAAGTGGCCTTGGGCCTGGCTTAGCCTGGGGCCCGTGGATGCAATAGAGAGATGTGTTCCTGGGACAGGTGGTGGCCCGTGGGGAGGAAATGTCACCAGAGGTTAGGGCATATGGGTGTAGAGAGTAGACGGGTGGACACCGTTGCCAGGCAACTAATTCCACACTGCCCCAGTTACCTAGGTGATGGTGGAGTGAAGAGGATCTGGATAATACTGAGTAGGGATGAATTCCAGGTCCTTCACTGTATCCAGGCTTGGCGTAAAGATTTCTCTTTTTCTGCTGATTTTCTTCCCCTAGTTATCTGGTCCTCATAGTGGCACTAGGATGCCTCTTCCTTTTAGTTATTGCCTCCTTTACCCCAGCAATGAATTTGTTCATAGATTTTTTTTTTCCCCTCAGCTTACTTCAGTGTCTGCCTTAAATTGTGAGCATTGGAGGATAAGACCCAAGCATTAAATACAGTTAATGAACATTTACTGATTTCCTAGTAAGGGGAAACCTATCTTCATATTCATTAACTCATGTAATCTGGGGGATGGCCTGGCTCTGGCTGTCTTGTGCGAGCCAATTGTTTACGTCTCTTCCCAATCTGTCATTCAGTGACACCATGTTGGTAACTTGAAGCCAGCCTCACTGAGTGTATTTATACCATGAAAACCCACAAACACTAAAACCAGGTATTTTATTTGTTGTTGTTGCCTGCAAATCTGGTTGTTAAATATTTATCAGCACACAACTGTAATTCTCTCTACAACTCAATGAGGAAAGTGTTTATTATTTTCATTTTATAGGTGAAAAATAGAAATTCAGTGAGGAAAATCAATTTGCTCCGGGGCACTCAACTAGTAAGTGTGGATTTACCATTGGAACTAGCCTCACTCTGATTCTAGAGCCTTTGCTATTTTCATGCTACTCCACTTATGGTCCTGGTAATGCTTCAATTGCATGGATCAGAGATTGGGATTCTGTTGGAACAAGTTGCAAGAACAAGACATACAATTTTTACAGCACTTTAAAAAGTTTCAAATACTTTCATACTTATTATGTTACTTGATCTTCACAACCATCTTGTAAAGTAGATAAATGTCATTACTTCCACTCGAAATTGAATAAATTGAGACTCAGAGGTTAAATAAACATCCCTCGGTCATACCAGTAATAGATAGTGAATTTGAAGCTGGAATATTTGTTAAATGATCTTTGGTTCAGGGTCCTTTTCATCATGCAATGTAACCTCAGATCTTGACAAAATAGGTCCTAGCTAATCAAACATTTCACCTAAATAGAATTTTACCTTTCCTCTACTTGTGAGACAACACAATGAAGTTGTCTCATATTAAGGATTCATTAGAAAGAAATAACAGATATATGCTAGGATCAGCTTATACCCAAGTAAACTAAATCTCTGCCTCCTTCTAGGTCTTAATCTATAATGTGGGTGGTGGTTGTGGCAGCAGGAGGGTGAGCAGGGGAAAAGGAAGGGATAGCAAGAAGATGAGCGTTGGATAAGAGAACTTGGACATTCTGGGATCCTGAGATTCCCAACCTCCCTCCAAATTCACTCACAGTCCTGGACAGTAAGAAATACTTTCAAAGAGATCACTTCTGTAAGTAGTTCCTCCCAAGAAATACTCTAATGTTCTCTGGACTTACAAGTAGCAGAAAAGAGATCCAGACATTGTTCCGCACTTACCAACTACCAAGGTTGAAATAGAAGGGTTTTCTTTTTAACTCTGAGTAAAATGGAAAAGGACTTTAAAGAAATTTGCTGGGTATTAGAAATTCTGGTTAACTGAGATACGTTGGTCCCTATTGAACCATGATGTGGGGCAAGGGAAAGATGCAGAACAAGGAAACCAGGCATCTGTGGGGCCATGAGAAAAGCTCGGGAGTGGACTCAAAATACACAATGGCAGCCCTGCTATGGGTCAACTCTGGGACATTGGGCACATCACTTTGACTTATCTGAACTCCAGTTTCTGCCTTTATAGACTAGAGAGAGTAAAATAACCCTACAAATAGTTGTTTTGTAAACAAAATTAAATAGGATAACCAATGCAAAAGTGAATAGTGGGTATTCAAGAAATGTATTCAATGTTTTTCAAATAAATAAGCCATTTTGTGGCTTGCTCTTGAGAAGTCAACTCTTAGCTGTTCTTTGTCAAAAAATCCACCTAGCATGGCATAAAATGAGTTGAATTTTATTCAGTAATCCAACTGATTGTTCTCTTTTTTGCAAGCCTGTTTAGAGAATGAGGTCATTCTGCTGCCACCTCCCTGGTGGCATGGTGCCCAGCTGCTTTCTGTAGGCAATGGTGTGAAAAAAATTTTAATAGTCAGTCATGCCCTAGAGTGGGCATAGTTTATAATTTTCCATGACTTACTATGCTCAGCCTCAATTACTTTTGATTGAATATATATATATTTTTAAATCACCTCATTAATAGTGGTGCTTGTGATTTTGTCTTCTATTTCTAATAGAAATCTACCATTTTTCATTCGGTGGTTTCCCAGCCAAGTGGGAAAAAGACAGCCAGGGTTAAATAGATCCACTGAAAATAGTTTATGGAGAATATGGGGCAGGAAAATGTTTTCCAAACTAATACCAGTAACAAAAAGGGTTACCCCTACATGATTCTATTTCTTTTTTCTTATTGCCTTACTATCACATATATCCATCTTAACCATTTTGGTTATCTTTCAGCCCATGAATTACTTAATCTGTGCAAAGCAGTGAGTCCAAGAAATGGAGAGAAAAGAGATAGAGTTAATGCATATGAAGTTCGTAAAACTATGCCCAACACACGGAAATCATTGCATTAGTGTTCAGTCACAAGAATCACCACTTTGAATGTGAGTGGATAGGCTTTCTGCAAATTGAGATGCTGGAATAGTTCATCTTCTCAACTTTCAACTTGCTATCTTTATGTTTCAACATTCACCACCTCTCCCTAACCTTAGTCAGGTTACGTATATGCTTCCCAGACCCTTCCCATAAAATCTTGCTCCCAGGAAAGACTCTGATGGTTTGATTTAGTGAGGTGTCAAGGATGAATATTGTTTGAGATGATCACTGGGTGGGGATGGGGCTACAGCCAGAGGATTCCCTTTAGAGGGCAAATTTAATTGGAGTTTCAAGCCTCGTTGTAGGAATTCACATCTAGGAAAGGCAGACATAGTTTGGGGGATAGATTAGGAGTTAGCCCATCAATTTTGTTGGCCTTCACAGATGTCAGGCAGCCCTATGGGCTGAGCAGTTCTCATGAGACCAGCAGGGAAGGAAGCAGCACTAAACGACGTCAGCCATCAGTGCTATCCTTTACAGTGGCCTCGGTATGTGGTGCAACAATACACTCTTCTAGGCTTCAGCCAAATAAGATGCCTTCTTAGTGCCCACTAGATTCTGCCAGAGTCTCCCCATTTTCCTGGTAGAGTTTTAGAAACAAATATCAGCTATAATAAGTACTTGACCAGTCCATATGTCTATCTCCTGGGCTTTCTGGATTCTGCTGTCTGCCTTGATGAAACACAGAGATGCAGCAATCTCTATGCCATTGGTCCTCCAAATAACACCAATCCCAAGAAGCCAACAGAATGAATCTGCTTTCCTGACAGCTCTCAGGCATAGGCCTGGCCATTTTGCAGGCTCAGTGTTCTTTGTTCCTATGCCAGCCCCTGTGCCAGTGGGTTCAAAGCCACAGCAAGTGTGGTCTGAGAAAAACTGGCCATTCTATCTGCAGAGTCTAGTTGGGAAGTGTGACCTGATTGGAAGGACACAGACTCCGGAGTTGGGAGAACAGAGTTTAGATCCTAGCTGCTCCTAGGATTTGGACAAGTCCTTTCATTACTATGGACCTCAGTTTTACTAATCTGTGACACAGAAATAGAAATCTCTGCCCTGAATACACCCAAGGGTTGTTTTGAGCAGCAGATGAAATCCTGGCCTGAAGCTAAGATCAAGGGTGAACTGCCCCTTGGCCTAGGGCTTAAGTTTTCTGAAGGGGGTTGCAGAGAATCAGCTGACATTATCTGAAGCACAGCGAGGGGATTCATTGGACTGGCTGCCCTTCTCTCTGACGATCTGTGAACCTGGACAGCAAACCTTCCAGAGAAAGCCTACCCTGGTCCCAGGTGATATTCGCAAAAAAAATGGGACCCTTGGGCTAAGTAAAAGACCAGATTGTGGAGGGGAAATTGATAGAAATCATAACTGACAGGTCACAGATTTAAACATTTATTGACTCCAGCTAACTATGCATACTTATTCCAGTGCTACATACACTTACTTTGATCTCACACACACACTCTCTCAAGATGTCACAAATGCTTGGCTGTTACACACACTCAGCCTGTTACACAAACACACCCATGCAGATGTTACACATAATTTCTCAGATGTCCCCCACACTTACTCAGGTGTCCCAGACACTCAATCATAGGGTAGGCCCACTGGTTCTGTTGGGCTTCATACTGTCTTAGGTATTATTTGGTTGCATGAGACTAAGCCCACTTAAAGCAGCTTAGGCCAAAAGGAGATTTGTTGGAAAAATTAAAGCTATGTCACAGAACTCTGGATGGGAGTCAGCAATAAGGGTGTGTGTGACTTTTTTCTCTCTCTTTTTCTGGAGAGGAATGAACTAGCACCCTGGTTTCTGCTTCTGCCTCTCTCTGAGTCTGTGGTTTATTTTGTTTCTCCTCTGGCCAATTTTTTTTCTCTGCTTGCATTCAGCTCATCATAGCTGTTCTTAAATGATAAACCAGGCTTTATTGGGCTTTGCTGTTCTTGTTTTTAATATCGTGATAAAGCCCATTTGTCTCTGCTCTCAGAGACTAGTCACAGGCTACCCAGTGGTCTTCCTTTTTAATTTCTAATGTTAATTTTCTGTGTTTTCCATCATAAGACAAAATTTTTTGTTATGGGAAATGACAAAAACAAAATATCAGCAAAAAGAAAAATAGGACTCATCATTACACCACTCAAAGTTAAATTACTTTCTTCTCATCTTTGTTTCTCTGTGGTTATTTTTATAGCACTGGTCATATACTATAATTTAGAAATAACATTTTAGGCCAGGTGCAGTGGCTCAAGCCTGTAATCCCAGCACTTTGGAAGGCCAAGGTGGGCAGATCACAAGGTCAGGAGATCGAGACCATCCTGGCTAACATGGTGAAACCCCATCTCTACTAAAAATACAAAAAAAAAAAAATTAGCCAGGCGTGGTGGCGGGCGCCTGTAGTCCCAGCTACTTGGGAGGCTGAGGCAGGAGAATGGCGTGAACCCGGGAGGCAGAGCTTTCAGTGAGCCGAGATTGCACCACTGCACTCTAGCCTGGGCAACAGAGCGAGACTCCGTCTCAAAAAAAAAAAAAAAAAAAAAAGTGATAACATTTTAATATCTATTGCAGGAATATGGTTGAAGACATCTTCCTTTAAGCACATACTCTCAGGTGAGCCAATCAAGGCTCTGGTGCCTTGAGATGGGCCCTGGTTCATCTTTGCCTTAATGAAGAACAGAGGGAGTCTTCAGGCAGCTCAGGTGAATTGTGTTTGACTAGGTTGGGGGCCACTGCCTTAGGCATTTTCCCTAATGCTCACTGATGTACCTGCATGCCCAGGAATCCAATGGGCCTTCATCTCCACAATAGTTCTAATTTGAACCATTCTAGGCTTCTTAACAAGGGGCGCATGTCCTGGACTTCAGTTTCTCAGGGACACTCTGTGATTGTTTGCCAAGTTTTGCATTTTGCATTTTTTTTTCTGGAAGAAAGAGTCCATAGCTAAAAAATATCCATGATCTAGAAATTCAAGAACCCCTTGTTCACTGTCAATAGCAAAGGCTATCCTAGACTGCAGGGGTCTCTGCCCTCCTGGTTTCCAGCCAGCCCAGCCTTAGACAGGGAGAACAATCAGCAAAAGAAACCAGCTTATCCTTCTTCTTCTACTTTTTTTAACTTTTGTTTTCATTTTTGAGGTCTGATGCACATTATTCTAAACTGTTAAAAGGGGTGAGAACCTTCCCACACAGAAGAAAATGGAATTGGTATGCAAAGTAAGCCCAGTCTTGAATAATTAATTCTGATTTACATGTTCAGATGAGCCTGAGAGCTGCCCTGGCAGCCGGGAGGGAATTCATATGCAGGAAGGTGGAGGGTGGTGTGTCCAGAAGGGGAAATTTGGCTTCCCCAGGAACCTTCACTGTCTTTCTCAAGTCAATTCTTTTGCTTTCTGGAGCTATAAAAGCCCTGGGAGATGGGGAATTGAGGCTTAAGAAGGGGTAATTGTCTTGCCCAAACTCACACAGCAAGTTAGTGACAGAAAATATCACATAGTGATTAACAGCCAGGGATCAGGGATTTGGGGATCACCAGGATTTTAATCCTGTCACTTACCAGTTATGTGACCTTGGCAAGTTACTTAATCTCTCTAAGCCTCAGCTTCTTCATCTGTAAAATGGGAACAATCAATAATATCCACTTTACAGGGCTGCTGTAAACATTCAATTCAATGTGTACCATGCTTATAAGCATGGTAGAAATGGTTGATTGCTCTTGCTGTGGCTCTTATTATCAAAATCCTCCTCCTCCTTCTTCTCCTCCTTCTCATCTTTAACGATGGAACTATAATTAGAACCCAGATTTCTTTATCAGCACAACTTATGTTAATCAAAAGCAGTTTAGGGTCTTTGGTGAGCCTCAGTGCCTCCTCCCTGCTAATTATTCTCTGGTATTATTGCTAGGGAACAACAATACTACAAATAATAAATAATAACATATGCCAAATGGGCACTTCCTCCAAGGTACTTTGCTAAGCACTTTGCAAATCTTTAGGCCCCTGAAGGTGATAATTCACTAAGGTCCTGGACCACAATGTTGAGGATGGAGAGGAGGCATGATCTAATGGGATGGGGCCCTGTCTGCGGGGTTTAAACAGAGAGGCTGTTGAGACTCAAGCCTGACCCAAGCATATGCCCTCCTCTCAGCTCTGCTGCACCGAGGGCTGGTCAGATCCCTTCAGAGGTTGGCGCCAGTAGACTGCCCACAGTCTGCAGTTCTGAGACCCACTGAAGCTCACTGGGGAGAATGGAAGCCACCGACAGACCCCAGGTGTACATCCTGAGGAGAAGCACATGTCCTCACTGCTTCCACTATCTGAATGAAAAGGGGATCCCATGGAGGAAGGACCCAGTGTTGACCCAGTGAGTGGAAGCTGTAGAGAGGCAGATTTTAACAGTAGTTTAATTCTATAGAGCAAAAACTCTCTACAAAGTTAGAATTCATCATCGAGATAGATTCCCAGCCACTAAGAAGTTTTTGTAGAGGTCCCTGGGAATGTTGTAAAGAGGGGCCCTTTAGAGAGGATGATGCTTGGGGCCCCTAGATCCCTGGAACTCTCAGGTTTCAAGTTTCCAGGCTGGTTGATGAGGCCTTTTTGCGTTCATAGAACCAGGTTTTCCACTCACACTGTTTGGGACTCAGGAGATGCCAGCCAGGGAGCTGGGTTGCCCAGTTAGTCCATGATAAGAGACAAGCAACTTCCAACTTCTTTTTTTGTACCATGACCCCAAATTAGAAGGACCTTCTGCAGATGTGATAGGCTTAGCCCCTTTGGGATCCAGGGCTTTATTCTCAGAGGCAGCATAATATAGTGAAAAAACAAACAAACAAACAAAACAAAAACAAAACACTGAACTTGGAGGCAGACATTCTGCGTTAAATCCCAGTACTGCTCACAGTGTTTTTACTTTGGGCAACTTGCTAAACCTCTCTGAACCTTAGATCTTTTGGGAGATCATGTTAGTTACCCAATGTAAAGAGTAGAGATAATACTTGCATGGTACCTGGCACAGCATAGGTGAATTCTATAATGTGTGTCAGCGTATGTACATTATAAAAGTATATAAACATGGGACAGTTGTGCAGGCTAGATGAGAGAACAAATGGCAAAGCCTAAATGTCACTTTCCTTTCCCCAAGCCCTGTTCGTGTGTTAAGGAGGCTGTGTCCTCTGATATGTCATTCTCAGTAGTCTAATATTGTTCCTCAAGCTTTACTTTCAGAAGCCCCTATTCTGCTGGTAGTGAGAGGGGAGGCTAAGCTGGGACTAGAATGTTGACAGAGGATTTGTATAAATGCAATGAGAAAACAGCCTCCCAAATGGATGGCAGCACCTGCTGACTGATGTTCAGGAAGACTTTAAGCATCTGTTGTAAGATCTCCCACCTCTGGAACCCTGCATCTACTTGTTCTGGAAGAAGAATCAGAAAGCAGAAAGAGTGCAAACCAGAAAACGTGTCTCTGCCCCTTACTACTCTACCTCTCTCTGCTTTGATTTCCTCATCTGTAAAATGCGGCTAATAAATTCTACTGAGGATTTTGATGAGAATTCTACAAGATGACTGTTGGACACATCTAGCCAATGCCTAGGTGGCACTCAATATTTGCTAGTGAATCTGCATCTGGAGAGTTGAACTCTCTGCATGGCCAAGGGCTAACGCTATAAATATTAAGATTTTTTTTAAATAGTATTTTACTACAGATCTTTATATTCTTCTTCACTGGGGGAAAATGAGTATAATTTAACCTTTACTTGGTGACTTAGGTTGTCACTATTAACACCAGCCACTACTTAGTAAGGTCCTTGGGAAGGTGGGTAGGACTGTTTGCCTCTGTGATAAATGGCTCCAGAGCAAACTTCTGCCTCATCACGGCTATTGCTGCATCTGCAAATAGTAGTTTTTCTCAATAAATTTAATTGACTGCCTCTCCTCTTCTTTAGGCTGGAAAAATAACATCCAAGAATTTTGTGAGTAAAATGAGTTTCCAAATCCCTGAAGGGCTGCCCATGGTTAAAGCAGATGGGTTTGTGACAGCTCTTTTGGCTGGCATATCTCGATTGCTTCCTTACTTGTACCTGGGTGCATTCTGGACAGAGATAGTATAAGTGATGACCTATTCTCCAACTGGAAAACAGACTGTGGAATCCTGCATTGCTCCTATATAGCTTGCCTAAGAAGCACAGAAGCACAGGGGCAGCCGAGGAGCAGCACTAACTCCCTTCTTTCCCTCCCTCCCTTCCCTCCCTCCCTCCCTCCCTCCCTCCCTCCCTCCCTTCCTTCCTTCCTTCCTTCCTTCCTTCCTTCGCTTCTATTTTTCTTCTTCTTTTTTTTTTTCTTTTTCTTTTTACCATACTATTGTGAGGGCTTACTCTTTTGTACACACAGTTGTGTGTGGTTGGGATACAATGAAGCTCAGAGATTAGTGTAGTTCAGTTGGCTTGCCTATATCTGACATTCTTACTTCTAGGAGAAGATTGTCTGTAAATCCCTGATTTAAAAACGCCCAAACCACTGAGCTCATGCTCAAAAATCAGAGAGTAAATCAATCTTCAATTAACCTTTGGTACCTTCTATGCTTTTGTAAATGAGAGTTACAGACAATATAGTAGGTATATGAAAGCTTCACTTGCAAACTTGGGTTAGATTAGAAATAGGGGCAATGGACTGTTAGATCCAGAGTTGCTGGATTCCAAAAATTGTTTGGAATCCAGAGCATGCCAAAGACATATTCATTTGCTCTCCAATTGATCATTTAAAATACAGTGTCTAGTTTTGAGATATTTCCTGCCAGAGAGTGTTGTGATTCCCAGACACTGAGGCCTGGGTATACAGAGGCTCATGCACACATGGATTGCTCAAAGCACACACATAGGCATTCACATGGCCCTGGACAAAATCTATCGACCTGCACACAGGTACACATATGCACACAAAGGCACCTAGGTGCCTCTTCTTCACCTGACTTCTTTCCTTTGTCTGGCTAACTCTCCCTTATTTTCAGGTCCTAGCTTAAGTGCCTGTTCCTCTGAGAAGTCTTTTCTGATTTCTCTTGATTTATATGTCCCTGCTATGTATGCCAAAAATACTCTCTCCTCTCCTGATCTTAGCACTTATCCTGTTTTACTGTGATTGGCTATTAAGTAACATATAGAAACCTCACAAGATCATAGCTCCCTGAGTAGAGATGCTTTAAAAGATTTCACAACGATTATAACTCCACATTGTGTAGTACATAATAGATGCTCAATAAACATTGTTGAGTGAATATAAGAAATGGTTACACTAACTCAAACCAACCCACAAAATCACTCTCATAAACACACCCACAAAGATATAAATGTATACACAAATATGATATGTGCACAGAGAGATGAGCTTGTGCGCTGTTATACACACCCATAGATTCACAGGGACAAAGCAGGCACACACTCTACCAAGTACAGAGATGCTCACATTCACATACAGGCCCATATAAGCTATTACACACATACCCACAAGCAAAATACACACGCACGCACCTCAAGGAAGAGATTTTCCTCTCACTTGTATTCATGACCTGTGTATGCAAATTGGATTTTCAGAATGTTCTAATCCTTTGTTGACATTTATTAAGACAAAACAGAGGTGGGCACACACAGCCTCTTGGCTGGGCAGATGCGTCTTTGCTGCAATGTAATGTCAGAAACTGTTGATGCAGAATTAATGCTCACTTTTACGAGTTTATCTTATGTCATAGAGTTGAAAAAAACCTCGGTGTAAATATTCATCATATGGCTTAATTGGTTTGATGTACCGTAGCAACAAGCACAGCGCCAGACGCTTGCTATGGAGGCCTCTGCGTTGTTTCAAAGTCTTTATTATTATGACAGCAAAGTCTTGTTCATTAAAGTTTCACAATCCATTTTCATTAGGTTGAAGCTGAGTCTGTAAATGAACAGTTGCTCTGAAAAATCAAGCCCTCACAGTTCTCGCTGGGGAGGCAGCGCGTCTGTATTAATTATCAGGACGCTGGTGTCGATCGACGATGTTAATTGCACTGATGGCTCGTTATTTGGGGAATTGCCATGCATTTCATGCAGGGATAATAAAAATGAATTTTTAAACAAAGAGACTTAAAATAATATCGAATCTGCAGAGAATACCAACATCAAAGGCGTATCTCAAAGCTTTGAATTTTATCTTTGTGGTCCAAAATGTTAAAGAGGCGCCCGCAACGCAGTTGGTTCAAGTTTGCAGTGAAGGAAAACAAAACAAGAGTTAATTAACTGTTATTACAAACCTTTTCAACTTTAATTTGACTTTCAAATATTAGCATTTATCTATGAACTGTGCTTCTGGGTTTGACAAATTAGTTTTCACAGAACAAGTTTAATTAGGCGTCATTGTGCTTTTATGTCAGTTTTCAGAGCTCCAGACAATGAATGGATTAACTTATTAAAAGTCATCTGTTTAAAAGACTTTGTCGAATGGCAAATGGGTGGGCAAAGTTGCTTGGCTTTGCAAGGAGATGGGGAAAATGATATTGCTGGTTGGGTGTCAGGGGGGTTGTAGATCAGATGAAGAGGGGATTGGCCTTCCTACCAGCTGAAGCCTGCTTCTGGGGCACCTCCACTTTCTTGCTCTCTCAGGTGGTGAGAGACCTGTGGTCACTATGCCAACACAGTGCCTAGGAAAACTGAGCCGAGGAAGGCACCGTGTCTATTGTGGAGGAAGGAAATGGCAATGGCAATGGAGAGAGTTGTAGGGTCTGTTTGCATGGCAATCTGTGCCTGACCGTGTGTTATATTCCATGATTCTCTAGTTCAGAGTTCGGCAAACTTTTTCTGTAAAGGACCAGACAGTCTGTCACAGCCACTCTACTCTGACATTGTAATATGAAAGCAGCCATAGCTAAAAAACAAAAAAACAAAAAACAAAAAAAAAAACAAACAAAACATCAGGTGTGCTCCAATAAAATTTTATTTACAGAAAGAGGAGGAGGTGGCCCAGGGGTCATAGTTTGCTGACTCCTGCTCTAGTTGAATGTCATGGGTTGTTCTGGCCATAGCAACCAGAATACATTCAACAAAAGGGAGTCTCTTCTCTGCTAATTTTCTCCTCAAAATGACCCATGACTTCTCAGTCATCAAACATTTTCTGACTTTCCTCTAAAGCACTAGGCATTACTGGACAAATGGTGATACACAGATGGTTTATAAAATGTGTCCTGACCTTGAAGAGGTCACATTCTAATGGTGGAGCTCCTTCTTTGGAATCTGCTATGATAGGGTTAGGGTGTATTCATTTTGACTTGTTGAGTTAGATGTCTAGCGATGTATTACAGCAGGGCACACGTGGCCTTGAGGGTATCTCTGGAAACTTCAAATACACTTATTGCTGCAAACCCAGGACACCTCACCTAGACCCTGGGAAGTGGAGTGGATGGGGTGGAATGAAGTTTGAGAAGCAAGCAAGGCAGGCTAGCCAAGGTGCAATATCTCAGGAGAAGTGACCTGGGCAGCTGGCCTGGAAGTGGCACAGACTAAGAGGAATGGCAATTTTGGCCTCTTTGGCTCGTAGTAAAAATGGAAAAACAGAAGTCTAGAAGGAGATCTGGACTTGTCTAAGTTCAAACTGTAGAACGAATAATAGGCCTGGAAAGTGGGAACTTAAGGAAAGAGGAGAAAGAAGCCAGAATCCACGGGACTAGTTTCCAGCCTCAGGACCATTGACACCACCCATCCCCATCTCTGGATCCTGCTTCTCCAACTCCCCACTTCCGGTGTCAGCCTCCCTTTTCCTCCCTGTAGTTTCAGCCTGTTCTTATGCCCATAGCAATGGGTACACCGGGCAGGCAGGATTGAAACAGCTTTGATCTACTTCTGCTTTGCTTCTGGGGGCTGTGCGTGGTATCCCTCTGGGGGTGCTCTGCTGAGCCTGCCTCTCCTCTCAGCTCCCCTGCCCTCAGGTTGCCTAGGCTGAGGGCTTGCCTCTGGTTTTGCTGGAGGCCCACCCCTTGTCCTGATGCCAGGGTTGTACCTGGGTCATGCCTGTCATCCTTGGGTCATCCCTCCTGATGAGGGCTACCCACCTGCCTGACCCTGTATGTCAGATTCCCTTCCCAGGTTCATACTTCCCTGAGGGAGCTGTCTTACTTACAGATTCCTCTGGTGTTTAGAGCTTTCTGAGTCTCTCAGACCCTGAGTCTTGCCTGCCTTAGAGGCCAGGCCCTGGATGTGTCCAAGATCAACCCGCAGTTCCATGCAGACTTTTGCCAGCCCTGGGATGTTGCTATTAGGAACTCTCCAGTACTATATATACTCTGGACATGAGAATTATAGTCTGACCATAACACAACAAGGGATGGTGAACATCAGACAGTAACTTATGGATAGAATGGAGATAAATAAACAAAATAATAGTCAGGCAGACTTTAGCTGTACTTGGGATGAGGGGACAGCCTTCCTTTAGACTTCCAATGTCTAAGATTGATTTATGTATACCCCTATTGTCACTACCCAAGAGATACCTCAGTGAGAAGAAAAACAAAATAATTTCATTTTATCCTATTACAATCTTTTGAAGACAGATTTATTAATCCCATTTCACAGGTGTGGAAACTGAGGTTTGTAGAGGAGCAATGAATTGGATCAAAGAGCTGGTAAGTTGTGAGTCTGATCCCAAGAGGATGCACTTTCATGGCTTCCCACATTAACCATACCCTGGAGCCCATGCCAGGAGGATGGATTCTAGCCGAGGGCTCTCTAGCTAAGCACACAGGGCATCCACTTCTTACCTTGTCAGTCCCAGGAAAGACGACGGCTTAGTGTACACATGCAAATGACATCCAGCTTCTCACTGCCGAATCCCTGAGCACAAGAACTTGTTGTTCATTTCTATAAATGTTAACATATCAGGATGTATTTTGACATGCTACTAAGATAAGTGCTAGAGCTGACAATAATAATGTATAATTTATGTCTCTCATATTACCTTCCCATCACTATACTTACATTATTACATAAATTAGTTTAATGTATCTGACATTCATCAGATAATTTAAGCATTTGTTCTTTTGTTTTTGTCTCTAGCTCTGCAGGCTTCTAGGCTGGGGATCATGGCACCATTTTGGCACTGACTTCAGGGTGCCCTGGGAAAGTTATGGAAGACTTTCCTGACATGCATAGAGGAGATTTACTTTCTAGGGGAGTGATTAGACCATAGGGTACAGATAGCCCTGGAAGAAGCACTCACCTCTGAGGTAGACTGCAAAAAATATCCACAAATTCTTCCCATCCTGATATGAATACCCCTTTATAATGAAACTTTGGAGCCCCTCCCATCCAGAAGTACAGTCTATTCACCATATTAATTTAGACTTGGCTATATATCTGGTTTTGGCCAGAAGGGCATCAGCAAACTTGTGCCCAGTGACTAGCCCTCTTTCTGCTGTTGGAAATCTGCACTTACCTTTATTTGAATGAGCCCCAGAGAGCCTGCTGGATGATGAGACCCGAGATCCAGTTACCTCCTTTGCCCTTGCTGATACTCAGCCATCTGCCAGACATGTGGATGAGGCTACAGACTGCTAGCTAACTGTAGCTACATGAATGGGCTCAGTAGAGGCCAGCAGAAGAACCACCCAGCTGATCCCAGCCCAAATTACTGATCCACAGAATTCTGAACTAAATGCATGGTTGTTATTTTAAGCCAATACATGTTGAGGTAATTTGTTACACAACAAAAGATGATAGAAAGCTGAGGTTGATTGATAGGGGAGCCCTCCTTGTAGTTGTTAGGGAGGAGAAGGGGATATTTCTTGAGTTTCTACTATACTGGGGCTGAGCACTTATACTATAATATCTCCTTCAGTCCTCACAACAGATATATTATTTCCTTTGTGATGTAAGCATTATTATCCCCATTTTATAGTTAAGAAGAACTTAGATTCAAAATATTTAGGTTTCTTGCCCAAAGTCACAGAGCTAGTAAGTGGTAAATCCAGGATTCAAACTCAGGTGTGTCTGCTTGAACACCCCAACCCTGATCATTTATTCAGACCTTAAAAAGGAGAAATATTTGAACTGATGAATTCTGAGGTTGCATTTTTGCCCCAGGTGAGGAGCATACATAAAACAACTCCAAGTGTTTGCTATGACCATAGTCCAAAAAGCATCAATGCAGTGTCTGTTATTTGCAAGGCTTTTTCACTTGCAATATCTGACTTAATTACTCAGGCCTGTAGAGTCTGTATTATTATCCCTTTTTTCTAGACGAGGCAAGTAGATTCAGAGAAGTTAAGGAACTTGTCCAACATAAGCAGGGGAACCAGGACTTGAGCTCAGAACTCTTGAATCCAAGCTCCATGCCTGCTCCCTTGAGCCAGGCCATCTCTCTTTCCAGTTTCCTAGTGGGACCATAGGCTGGATGCTTTAAGTTCCAGAGCTTTATGTATTGACAGAGATGAAGACAACTGATTTAGAGCTACTACCAGTGTGCGAGACCCTGTGCTAGACCCGTGTAGGTTTTAGAGACAAACAGGGGATAGTCCCTGCCCTCACAGGGTTGGCTCTCTGGCTGGGAAGACAGCACTCCACAGTGTGGTAAATCTGGGTCTATGCAGTGCAGTTGTATGGAGCATTGTCACATGACCGGGCATATCACCACCTTCTTTTCAAGTGATACTAACACTTGTCCACTTGAATAAATCAACATGTCCATTTCCACAGTCAATGCCTGTGCCCCATGCATGCTCCCTGGGACCCCTCCAAAGTGCATCACTCTGTTTTCATGTTCACAAGTGTTAAGAAGCAGTCAGACTTAAAAGTGAAATGTCCAGTTTTGGTGAGGATATGAAGAAGCTGATAGAATTAGTAAATTGATTCAAATTTTTCCATAAGACAATTTGGATTAGGTAACAAAATCCTCAAAATATGTATATATTTGATTCCCAAATTCTAGGAATGTATTCTAAGAAAATCATGTACCATGAAGATTTGCAAAGGTTTGGTTATAATATTTTTAATGATAATGATATTTAATTGGAAACAACCTAAATGCCAATAATAGGTATTGGTAAATAAAATATATCCACACAATGGATTGCTAACCAGTGAGTTAAAATGAGGCTGCAGATGAGTATCATGAGATATCATTAAAAGAAAATGTAGACTAGAAAAACAATATTGTGGTATGAATTCACCATGTAAACAAAATATATATGGAAAAAGTTTTGGAAGATTGTATGCCAAAGTGTTAACAATGGCTATTTCTGGTAGAGAGGTTAGGAAATTAGGGATATTTCTTATTTTCTTCTGTATGTTTCTTTGTATTTTTTCCATTTTCTTCATTAGTGGTGTGATGCTTTTAGTGTTGAAAAAAAAAAGAGGAATAAGCCATATTAAACAGCATTCAGCATTTAAAATAAAATTTTTATAAAACCTGTTTGTAGAAACCTGGAAATCTGGTTGATACTGATGGTCTAGTTTTAAATTCCATAGAAAGGTAGTTACAGAATTTAAGAAGTGAGGGACAGGAGAAACATTACTAAGATTTAGGAACCAATACCTCATTCCTTCCACCCTCACCCCAAAGCTATTGCCTTTGTTACTCACAGAGCTCATGTCTCTTATTTTGATCCAAAACAGACCTGACCATTATTTAGTACAAAGAAAAAAGTCTTTGGCATCACACAGATATGGGCTCATCCCCTACCTCTTACTACCGTAGTGATAATGAGCAAGTCAATATCACATCTCTGAGCATCCATTTCTTTGTCTTTATAGCATGGATATACAGCCTAGCTTGCAACAATGTTGAGAGAATTAGCGTGTAAAGAGCCAAGCATAGTACCTGACATAAGGTAGGTGCTCTATAAATTGTCATCATTATTATTATTGGTGTTTTGGTATTGTTAGTATCACTTAAAGGATCAAGAGAGTTTGAATGCTATGCTCATATTTTCTGATGAGCAGATCAAATCAGCCATAGAAATAGGCTTCTGCAAGTTCCCAAGGGTAATAAGAAATGCTGGTTGATGCTTGATTCCAAGACTCCTCTCTTCCCTGGCAGTGACATTTTAAACAGGCTCCCACAGACTTCAACCCAAAGCATCTTCACTCCTGAAAAAAGCACATTTCCTTTTGCAGGCAGGCAGGTCAGGATTATTATCTTGCATGTATAGAAAAGTGTATCATTTGTCCCCATATAAACATGGCTTATCCTAGAATGGGGCCTGATGTCCAACTCTGCATGTGCCCAACTCTGCATGCCAACTCTTGCCTGTGCTGATGGCAAAATGTTGGTCATTGATCATAATGCCCTTTCCTTCCAAGTCCAGGCATAGTCTTGAGATTCTTCTCAACACATGTTTCATGTAGCCATTGTCAATTGATCAGAGGTGGCAAATAAGATGAAACCCACTTGGCATGTCTGGTTGAAATCTGGGAGGCGGGGGGAGGCAAAGGCTGAGGGTTCATCTATTTCCACCCCTGATTTACTTCTGGGGGGGTTAGAAGAGTCCTTTTCCCTCTGGGTCTCATTTTTCTCATGGATTCAATGAAGTCCTAGGATTACATCAGGTATGATGAAAGGTTTCCTTTCATGTGTCTATTCTGATGAATTAGTATCTCTATAAAAAGTATCTTGTACAAAATATTGAAGAGCCACATCCAGAGTTGGCTGGAGAGGGTAGATGAGTGATGCCTGCCATGGCGTGATATGAACTGGGGCCGGGGTAGGGGTACCAGGTATTTGCCCTTCCTGGATTGGATGGTCTCAAGTAGCTTGGAATTTTTACAGTTCTTAGAAACTTACTGGGGAGAAGTGACTGGTCCAAATAAGTTTTTGGTAAAGCTGGGCTCCCTGTTTGGGGCTTGTTCCACAAAGACTCAAATGCTACTGCAAGCCTCTGGGCAGCATGAGTGTTCCTCCAGGGGAAATACGAGTTCTGGGTGAATGGGCAGCATCAGTCCTTCCTTTTCTGGGACAGATCTTTGCTGCCCCAGTGAGGCTCTCTGCTCAGCCTGACACCCCTCACTGCAGCAGTGGGCTCTGGAGCCAGAGCCAGGCTGATCCTCCAGGCCAGCCAAGGGACTTTCTCTGGGTCTTTCCCAAAAGGTTTGGGGAAGGAAGTGATTCGATTCCAAAGTCTTTCCCCTGGGGTGGAGTTGGGGGGTGGGAGGCATTTCCCAGAGTGGGGCTTTGGCTAGGCAGGGGCTCAGCTAAGAGCTACAGGGAAGCAGCAGGGGTTCCTTAAATATGCAGAGGGAGCAGCTGCCTTTGATCTCTCCAGCGGCAGAAGCAGCCACTTCCCGCTGAGCTAGAGTGTGCATATGTGCCTGAGGGTGGCATGTGCTGTGTGTGGGTTAACATGTAAATAAGGGTAGACTGAACACCAACGTGTGCACACACAGGCACAATTCATGCATATGTGCATGATTCATATGTGCGGACATGTGTATACACATCTGCATATGTGTGCTCTATTAGTGTGTGGGAGTTATCAGTGTGTGTACGTGTATATGTTGTATAGTTTGTTGGGCCTAGCACATGTTTGTACTTTCATTTATTTGAGATATCTCTATAATACAATGTTATTATCTGCCCATCAACCCCCATTTGGGGCAATTCTTTTTCCTTTCGTTATTCTCAGCATTACTGCCAAAACTACAATAGTAGTTCAATCTGATCCTGCCTCCTGGCTTAATCAACTTATCATGGAATGAGTCACTTCTAGTACCCACTTACCTGGTCACAGATGGTCAGGAGACAATGTGGTAGATTGTGTTACTCTTCAGAACATTTATTGCCCTCTTCCCTCTGTTGAAGTTAGGATGCCTGAACAACTTACTTTTGCCAATGGAATGAGGGTCCAGACACATGTCACACTTGGGTATGACTTCTAAGAGCCCTTTCATAACTTGCCACCTTTTCTCCTTTCCCTCTGCCATGAGACGTATGGTATTCAGATAAAGCCTGTTCCGTCATCCTGGTTCCCAGAAAGGAGGTGATATGGAGCAGAGCTATAGGCAGCCCATAATAAACCTTAGCAGAAGTGAAAAATAAACCTTGTAGGAATGAGCTATGAAGATTTTAAGGTTTGGTTGTTGTTGTTTTTTAATTTTGTTACTGTAGCATAACTTATCCTAAACTAACTAAAACAGATGGGCACTGGAATCAATTGTCCCTTCTCTTGGATTTTTGACCTAGGAACCAGAAAGCACTTGTATTTATCTGCCATGTATCTGCTTCTATATACCATGACATGTGGCTGGAGATCAGCAGGTGTGTGGCTATGTTTCCCACACATGGAGAAATGCCATGTTTTCCATATTTGACTGCACATTTGCTTTTTGTGTGAAGCTAACACACAGAGAAATAGAGACCAAAGTGAGTAAAGAGGTCAATAAAGTCCATGGTTCTGAATTAGGCGACTCTGAGGCCAAGTTACATCCTTGTTTTGCCTCATCTTCATTGTCGCACCTCACCTTGATTCTGAATTCCCCTTTTAATGAAAGCCAATGTGAGTTAGGTAGGTTTCTGTCACTTGCACAAAGACTAATGTAATATGCATGCTCTTGTATGACTATATCCTTGTGTGTATAAACACTGCTATGTTTCTACATGTACTTTTGTTTATTCATGTATGTTCCCCCATTTGCGAAATGTGTGTGTCTGTGTATCCTTGTGTGTCTATGTGTGTCCTGTTAATCATATGCAGCCATATAGTTAGTTTATAGAACACGAGTATGTGTGTAAATTTGCTTGGCAAATAATAGGTATTCAATAAACATTTTCTGAATGAATATACTCTATTACAACAGAATGTTCACATTTGTTGCACAATAAATGACTAAGAAAAAACTGTGTGGGGAGGAGGGATTGTTTATACATGGTAACAGTCTGCTAGAACATATCCTGACTGTACTTGGACTTGTGGTGGGGATGATCTGCATATTTCCACTTCTCCCAAATGGTTTACACATTGGGTTTGCAGGTTACCCCTTGGGCATCTACTTAGCTGGGCTTCATCCACCCTTGATCCACTGACAAGACAATAGAAAAAAGCATAGGCCCACCCAGCTGCTCTCTCGTGGTGCTGGGACAGCCACTGTGGAGGCCTGGGAAAGTTCTGCGTTTCAGGAGGATATTCTGGAAGGACTGCTTAGGTCCAGAGTCAGGATGGCTGATGTAACTCCCAGCCACCTGCTCAAGCTCTCAGTGAGGCTTACATTGTTGTAACAGGGAGTGTTAATCAACAGACTTTCTGCATTTGACTTCGGCAGTTTTATGATTAGGTGGTTTGACAGAAACTTGGGATTTGATTTCTGCTATTTGCACTTTATTGTCATGTGTTAGGAGAGTATTTTGAATTGGTGAGGTGGAAAGATTGAAGAGACAGCAGTGAAGGGCAGTGGAGGTGAGATGGCAAGATTACTACAAAGAAGGAAAGCATCATGCTTGCAGGCTTTCTGAGTAAAAATCAGGGACCCCTGGGGTTGAAGGAACTTTAAAGATCAACTGCTTCAACCTAACCCCATGCTCAAATTTCCTCTAATAATATTAATTGTAATTACAGTAACTATAATAACAGCTATTCTGTGTGAGCACCTACCAGCCTTTCAGGAAGTTGTTGGAGTCAGGCTTGATAGGCTGCAGAGAGTATAGATTCACCCAAGAAAGCTCAGTTCCACTCTTTCTTTTTCCTCTCTTTTCCCCTTCTGTCTTCATTATCACTGACGCTCCACCTGTATCTTTTGTTCTGATAACCACTTGGGACAATATGAAACAAGCACAAACCTTCTCTTGTGGGACAGCCCTGTAGAGGTGCGAAGTCGGTGCTAGTGGCCCCCAGAGTGGTGTATTTTCCAGACTCTTTAGCTTCAGTCCTTCCTACCCTGACCTTGAGCTCCCTCTCTCTCCTGTTTTCCTCTTCAGACAAATCAAGCATGTGAATTTCTCTCTTCAAATGTGGCTCCCAGTTGACCTATCCTCCCTAGTGAGGTGTGTCCAAGATAAAAATGCACTTCAGGAAAGACTTGTTATGCCCCAGGTGTGTCCTTGAAGCACCTTTAAACCCAGTGGGATCTTTGTAAAGAAGAGTCCCTAAAGTTACTGGGGCCCTCAAATCCTGCCACGATGGTCAGTCACCATCAGTTCTGGAAGGTTCAAATCAGTTCTGGAAGGTTCAAATCAGTTCAACTAAATTCATTCAACAAATATTTAAAGTATGGACTTTGGAGTCAAGCAAACCTAAGTTTGGACTCTGATCTATCATTTCTTAGTTGTCTGATTTAATATCAAGTGACAATTATTCAGAGCTCCTTTTCTTTTTCATCAGATTTACAAGGGGCAATCATACCTGACTCATGGGCTTTCCATGAGGGTTGATGGAAACCACATATGAGAAACACTAAGAATGATGCTTCATCCACCCACCCACTCATTCATTCATTCCTTTATTATGAAGGATAAAAGCTTGGGATATTCAGTGGTGAACAGGTCCTTGTCTTCACAGAGTTTAGAGGGGTGCCTGCTTGCCACATACTCAACAAATATCACCCTGCTGACCTCCTTCATGTCTCTGTACACACAGGAGACAGTGCTGGGAAACTGGGTGTGGGTAGAGTTACAAAAATGAATAAAACAGGGCAATGGCTCCCAAGGAACTGAGATTTTAGGAAGAGCACTATGCCATTATGGAATTGGAGAGAGGGCTGACCAGTTTTTAAGCTTGAATTTAAATTTGACACTAAATCCTAGAACGAAAGAAACAACTACAACAACAACAACAAAAAACCTTGACTTTCTTGGTAACTGGGATGTTGATAGTCCACACAGAAGTCTGCACTGGAGCTGTGGTAATTGTAATCATGGAAGTCCAACTTCTCAGAAAGACCAACAAATCTAGAATCTGGATGAGGGAGACTAACTCTGAAGGGAATTATGGGGAGATGAAGTTCATTGACTATTCCTGAGTGTCTAACTCTGGTTGGGTCATTCATTCATTCACATTTATTGGAAGTCCAGTATGTGCCAGGCATAGGCAATGTGCTGGTACAGATCCTTGTGTTTTTACAGTATCATGGGGGAAGTTGGCCTTTATAATCCAGTATGAAGAATGCTAAGATAGGGTGGGGAGTATCACAGTAATTTCCTATGTCATGGTGACCCAGGGAAGTATCATCCTTCTCCATCTTTCTTCATTCATTTCAAGTACAGGTGATTTTTTGACCCCTAGGGGACATTTGACAGTGTCTGGAGACGTATTTGGTTATCACAACTGGAGTGATGGTTTGTTACTAGCATCTAAAGGGTAGAGGCTGAGGATGCTGTTAAACATCCTACAACAGGCAGGACAATCCCCTTCAACAGATAGTTATCTGACCCAAAATGTTCATAGTGTTGCTGTGGAGAAACCCTGATCTAGAGGGATTATATAAAGCTTCTCAAAAGAAGAGATACCGGCTGGGTGCGGTGGCTCACGCCTGTAATCCCAGCACTTTGGGAGGCCGAGGTGGGCGGATCACGAGGTTAGGAGATTGAGACCATCCTGACTAATACGGTGAAATCCCGTCTCTACTAAAAATACAAAAACATTAGCTAAGCCTGGTGGCGGGCCCCTGTAGTCCCACCTACTTGGAAGGCTGAGGCAGGAGAATGGTGTGAACCCGGGAGGCAGAGCTTGCAGTGAGCCAAGATTGCACCACTGCACTCCAGCCTGGGCGACAGAGTGAGACTCCGTCTGAAAAAAAAAAAAAAAAAAAAAAAAAAGAGAGATACGGAGTTGGGTCCATAGGATGAGAAGTTAACTGGAAAAAGGATGTGGGTGGGCAGGCCTCCAGGAAATGAAACAGCAGATTCAAACATGTGGAAATGAGAGAGCACAAAGAGCAAAAGTGAGAGCCAGGGTGGGTGGAGGAGGACTGCCCCTGAGACCCAGAACTGTAGAGCCACCAATGTACAACTCCAGCCTGGGAGAGCCATGGGCACAAGACTCAGACCTGTGAGAGCTCCAGTATAGGCTGTGGCCGAACAGCCATGG
This sequence comes from Homo sapiens, assembly GCF_000001405.40. Lineage (NCBI taxonomy): Eukaryota > Metazoa > Chordata > Mammalia > Primates > Hominidae > Homo > Homo sapiens. The sequence continues at coordinate 15,312,665 of NC_000011.10, forward strand.
AGATGGGGTCATCCAGAGTCTTGGGGGCCCAATCCCACTCCAATGTATCTGTAAGGCAGGACACGGAGTCAAAGGAGATGACTCTCAAAACTTAAGATGTCATGTTGTTTGTAATGTTGGTTTTAGACTTATTTGGGACAAGTTACCTCTTTCTTCCTTCCTGTTTTTCCATTTTGGAATAGGAATGTCTATCCTAGGCCTATTCCACCATTATATTTTGGAAGCACATAACTTTGGTTTCACAGGCTCACATTGTTGAGTATGTGGAGAGAAGTTTGCTTCAGCATGAATCACGCCTTGAGTCTCATCCATATCTGGAATAGGTTGATATTTAGATGAGACTTAGACTTTAAAATTGATTTTGGAAGAAATTAAGACTTTTGGGGATGTTGGGATGAAATAAATGTATTTTGCATGTGAGAAGGGTATGAATTTTGGGGGGCCTGGGTGGAATGCTATGGTCTGAATGTGTGTGTCCCCCCAAAATTCATATGTTGAAACCCAACCCCCAAGGTGATAGTATTAAAAGGTGGGGCCTTTGGGGGGTAATTATATATCATGAGCTCCACCCTCATGAATGGGATTAGTACTCTTATAAAAGAGGCCTGGGGGAGCTTGTTGGTTTCTTCTACCATGTGAGAACTCAGCAAGAAGGTGCCATCATTGAAGCAGAGAGCGAGCCCTCGACAGACACCAAATCTGCTGGTACCTGGGTCTTGGGCTTCCCAGCTTCCAAAATATGAATAATAAATATCCGTTGTTTATAATTGATCCAGTCTAAGGTATTCTGTTATAGCAGCCTGAATGGACTAAAACTCTGACCTTTCTTCTCTGTTTTTTTCTCCCTTCTCTGTCTTTTTCTCCCTTCTCTGTTTTGACTTCTCTCTCTCTTTTTTTGAGGTTACATTGAAGTTAGGCCAACAAGGCCAAGCAAAAGAATGGGATTTCATGCTAAATTTATTTTACTTCACTCAGCAAACATCTCTCAATTTCTCACTCCTAGCACAGTGAATAATACATATTAAGTGCTCAAAAAATGTTTGTTAAATGAATGTAAGAATAAATTTCAGTCTTAATTTAAATGTCTTCTCCTTGGAGAAGCCTCATTCAGACCATATCATGGGCAAAATTCCTCCACCCTAAGTTGGTCTCTACACCACTGCTTCACTTCATTTCTTTCATCATACTCATAAGGATCTGAAATTATATTAAAATATGTGTTTGTTTGTATGTTATGGTCTGTCTCCCTTACTAGAATATAAGCTCTGGGAAATAAGGGAATTCATCTGGATCACCTATTCTCTCTAGTGCCTGGAAGAATGTCAGGTACACAGTAGACATTCTTAAATATTTACTGAAAGTGGAAGAATGTCAGGTACACAGTAGACATTCTTAAATATTTGCTGAAAGAGGTTTGCTGGCTGGCTTCTTTGCGTCAGACCCCGTGTTAAGTACTGAGGGTTCAGAGATGTACAAGACATGTACCCTGGCCAGAAGACTCTTTCATGTTGGATAGAAAATGCCAAGTAACAAACCTGACAAAAACAAGCAATGGGGAAAGAATTCACTATTTAATAAATAGTGCTGGGAAAACTGGCTAGCCATATGTAGAAAGCTGAAACTGGATCCCTTCGTTACACCTTATACAAAAATTAACTCAAGATGAATTAAAGACTTAAATGTAAGACCTAAAACCATAAAAACCCTAGAAGAAAACCTAGGCAAATACCGTTCAGGACATAGGCATGGGCAAAGACTTCATGACTAAAACACCAAAAGCAATGGCAACAAAAGCCAAAACAGGCAAATGGGATCTAATTAAACTAAAGAGCTTCTGCACAGCAAAAGAAACTATCATCAGAGTGAACAGGCAGCCTACAGAATGGGAGAGAATTTTTGCAATCTATCCATCTGACAAAGGGCTAATATCCAGAATCTACAAATTTATAAGAAAGAAACAAACAACCCCATCAAAAAGCGGGCAAAGGATATGAACAGACACTTCTCAAAAGAAGACATTTATGCAGCCAACAGACATATGAAAAATGCTCATCATTACTGGTCATCAGAGAAATGCAAATCAAAACCATAATGAGATACCATCTCACAGCAGTTAGAATGGCGATCATTAAAAAGTCAGGAAACAACAAATGCTGGAGAGGATATGGAGAAATAGGAACGCTTTTACACTGTTGGTGGGAGTGTAAACTAGTTGAACCATTGTGGAAGACAGTGTGGCAATTCCTCAAGGATCTAGAACTAGAAATACCATTTAACCCAGCAATCCCATTACTGGGTATATACCCAAAGGATTAGAAATCATGCTACTATAAAGATACATGCACACGTATGTTTTTCGTGGCACTATTCACAAAAGCAAAGACTTGGAACCAACCCAAACGTCTATCAGTAATAGACTGGATAAAGAAAATGTGGCACATATACACCATGGAATACTATGCAGCCATAAAAAAGGATGAGTTCATGTCCTTTGCAGGGACATGGATGAAGCTGGAAACCATCATTCTCAGCAAAATATCACAAGGACAGAAAACCAAACACCGCGTGTTCTCACTCGTAAGTGGGAGTTGAACAATGAGAACACATGGACACAGGGAAGGGAACATCACACACTGGGGCCTGTTGAGGGATGGGAGGCTGGGGGAGGGATAGCATTAGGAGAAATACTTAATGTAAATGACGAGTTGATGGGTGCAGCAAACCAATGTGGCACATGTATACCTATGTAACAAACCTGCACATTGTGCACATGTACCCTAGAACTTAAAGTATAATAATAATAAAGAAAATGCCAAGTAAATTCTGAACATGATACAACTGAAGCTCCACTTGAGGCTGACTCATCTGCCATCATGGAGAGTGGATTAGAGTTAGGAACAACTAACTGCTATAAGCAACAACCTCAGAAGATCAGTGACATAATTCAATAAGAGTTCTATTTTTCTCTCTTCCCAGTTCAGTGCACGTCAGGCAGCTCTCTACCAAATGGTGACTCAAGAACCTAGGCTCTTTGATTTTGTACTGCCATTTTGTGAAATGGGAGAGTTGAAGATCACACTGGAAGTGGCGTGCATGGCGATGGCCTACATTTGATTGACTGAACCCCGCCATATGGCCCTAGCTAACTGCAAAGAGCTATGAATATTATCCATATGTGCACCTAGAAGGGAAAGGAAATAAATTTGATGGTCACAGAGCCTTTTGTTTTTGCCATTGACAGGATGGAAGGGACAGGTCATAGACTGAGACAGGAAGACCACTAGAAGAATTAATGAGAACCACTACTAAAATAATAGCACTGGCCATGGGGCTTTTTTTATTTTTTATTTTTTGAGATAGAGCTTCACTCTTTTGGCCCAGGCTGGAGTGCAATGGCACGGTCTCGGCTGATTGCAACCTCTGTCTCCTGAATTCAAGTGATTCTCCTGCCTCAACCTCCCAAGTAGCTGGGATTACAGGTATCTGCCACCATACCCAGCTAATTTTTGTATTTTTAGTAGAACAGGGTTTCACCATGTTGGCCAGGCTTGTCTCAAACTCCTCACCTCAGATGTTCCACCCACCTCAGCCTTCCAAAGTGCTAGGATTACAGGAGTGAACAACCACACCCGGCTGGCCATGGAGATTTTGAAGAGAGAATTGGATGAGATTATTATCAAATCCAGAAGTTACAAATCACATAATCATGCTCTAGTTTGATGAGTCCTTTAACAAAATTACCATGAAACTTTTGTCGAGATGCCTCCCAAGGCCGCATTTGTTTCATTAGAAGTTATTCTGAGGATAACATTGTCTCTGCTGCTCTGAGAATTTTGCTATTGATACAAAGTGACAAGGTTGTGTCTTACTGAAGAGATAATTGGATCATGAACAAAGGGTGAGATTTTTGGGTACAAAGATTGCCCATATCTTTTTCTGTGGTACCTCCATTCTTTAGATTTCATGTGAAGTCCTCCCAAATGAGAGTGCCCATTATGTGCCAATTTCTTTGCCAGGTGCTTAGGGATATGAGAGGGGAAAGATATGAGTCTGACTATCAAGTGTCTTAAGTTTTTCCTCAGAGAGCTGCAAGTAACTCATGTGACACAATTATGGAACCCAAAGACATCAAACCTTGAGCTGCAGTTGCTCAATGTTGTGTGGGCTCCCAGCAAGGTGAGATTACTATAAGTGCGTGATGATGCTAACATTTCTGAAGGAGGTGGCCCTTAGGTTGAGTCTCTGAGTGTTTCTTTCAAAGCTACCATTGACTTAAGGCCTAGTGTATTCCAGAGGCCGACAGCATGACTTTGGAATCAGATAGGCCTGGGTTTGGAGCTGGGTTCTATTCTCTACTAAATCCATGGTATCAAATAAATGTGGATAAATGAGACATCATAAACAGGGTGCCTTATACAGAGGTCATGTTCAATAAATGATAGATGTTAGATTGTAAAAGAATAGCAACAGTATACTCTCTGAAGCCAGAATTTTGGGGTATGAATCCCAGCTCAGCCCCTTACTTTCCGTGTGATCTTGGGCAAGTTACTTATCTTCCCCGTGCCTCAGCTTCCTCATCTGTAAAACAGGCATAATGCTACTGCCTATATGTAGGGCTGCAGTGAGGGCTCAAGCCATTAATAGATATATAATATACAGATAATATGTAGCACATATATTAAAAACATGTAAGTGCTATATGCAAGTAGTACCTATTAATATCACTATTATAAAAGTAATCATTTCACATCTACATGTAATCACTTCTACATTGAGAAATAAGGCATTTCCCTCCTGGAGATCCACAGAATAATCCAGAAACACACTGTGCATTTTTTTCCGTGTGTGTCTGTGTGTGCATGATGGGAAGTGATGGCCTGAGTGATGGAGTTTTTTTTTTTTCCTCACGTTGTGACATTGACACATGCATTTTCAAATAAATTGAGTTCCCATTTTGCTATACTCATTTGGCAGCAAGCACAAGTTCATGGAAAAATATGAATAGACAAGGGGAAGGTGCACAAAAGGGGGTGGCGGTGGGAGAGTCAGAGAATCAATTTACAGTTTGTCAAGACAAGAGTATTAATGCCTCCCTTTTATTAAAAAAATTAATGCACTGGGTCCTTGTCTGTCATGGATTGTAACAGCTATAGCAATCACTTATTGAATACTCACCATGCATGGGTTTTTTTCTAAGTGCTTTATGAATGCGTTATCTTATTTAATTTTCACAATAACCTAAGAAGCTGGTACCATTTGAACAGGCTTTAAGAGGTTAACTGGCCTGAGGTCACATGGTCAGTGTATGATGGAGCCAAGACTAAAATGTGAAGCTTTCTGACTCTAAAAGGAAATGGTCTTAACTGCAGCTGATGTACAGCCAGGACCTGCCAGGACCAGGACGGCAGCACGGATTATTTGTAGCCACCATCTTTTCTGATGGGTGGGGCCCCATCATACTGGCTGTTGAATAATTCCACTACCACTACTTGCCAACAATGAGGTGATACTACACTGTTACAATCAGTGGTAGGGAAAAAGGAGGCAAACGTAGGGTATCTTCTTACAATCTATGACACATTGATTTGAATCTAAAGAGAAATAAAACTAAACTTTAAAATGCACAAGATCTTAGGAATAAAGTGATCATCAAGTATGTTTGCAACACCTGATCAGCATGGTGGACGGGAAAGAGCACTGGGCTATGAGTCAGAGGAGCTGACTTATAAACACTTCTGTCCTCCATGAGAAAGATGCTATTGACAAAAGAATTTTGGTAAATGCAAATAACATAAAATGAAACAAAAATCTAAAAAGGAAAAACAGGCACAATTTTCAAATTCTTATCTCTTAGGGAAAACCCTTGGGAACTACTGTGACCATTTTTATGGCTCTGCATACTTTCAGAAATATGTTTATATATTCCTCTGTCTGTTGGGTGACAGGTTGATCTTAGAGGTCCCTTCTGGTTGAAAGCATTCTGACAATAATTCAATAACTCCTGTCAAGGTGTGGAATAGGAGAAGCTGGGGATGTGCCACTTTTGACTGGCTAGCTGGGTTCTAGTTCATCCCCAGTGAAAAAGTGTCTAAGGGGAAATTTTCTTACTGTGTAAAACTGAAAAGCAGAACTCAGTACAGTATATAATCCTAACAATGCCGTACGAAAACGCAGTAAAAATAGAGTCAATTATACACTGTCAAAGCTTTTCTCTAAACAGCTGCCTAACAGAATATGACAATTTTTCCTACAATGTAGTAAAAAATAAAAAAAAGTTCTCTCACAATGCCAACTACACAGGGCCGAATTCATTAACACTTTATTACCTTAAACTCCATTGTAAGACAAAAATAATATGACGCAACTTGTCACTTTTTTCTTTTCCTGGTTTTGTTACTGTGACACATTAAGATTTGGGCGCCTGCTTGTGTGTTGTGATCTACATTTAATGATCTTAACAGGGACTTACTAAGACATTGTTCGTTTCTCTTGCGCTATCCCTGAGCGGAGTGTTACATGAACAGTGAGACCCAATTATATCATAGTGTAATTTACAAAAGAGAGGGGAAAAAAAAGTTCTTTTCATGGTGTGTTCCCCAATGAGACTAACAGTATTGTAGCAGTTTCTTGGCTCTGCTTTGCAACAATATAATTAGCTATAATCTGAGCATTTGCATATAGTACATAGAGCAGAGTAATTCTCTGCTTGCTGGTTTAGGATGTAAAACAGTCTTTTATAAGACAGTTGCTCTGATACACCTAATTTTCCTTAGCACATTTGCATCTATGTTGTGGCTGATTATCACAAATGGAAATTGTCACTTTCAATATGGAAGAAAAATGAGGAAATGCATCATAATGAAAGGTAGTTTATTTATTTATTTATTTTTATTTTAACCAATAGATTTTGATTGGGGGCTTATTATTGACTCAGGACTGGGGCAGAACCCTGATGCCTTAGAGATAAAAAGCTGGACTTCATTTTAATCCAAACTTTGTATGGCTTTATAGTTAGGGTTACATTTCATACACGTCGTAATTATACTTGAGAATGTCAAGTGCTTCAGCACTAGGATAGCTGGAGCTTCTATTCTAAGCACAGGTCTTTGTTTCCTTTAGTAAACAAGAAGCTACTAGTAGGGAATTGAGGAACAGAAAGAGAGTTTATTAGTTTGTTATCTCTTTCTTGTGAACTGTCCACTCTCTTACCCTTAACCACCAAATTTGAGATTGATTATACATCCATAAACTGGTCACATTAGTTTATTTCATTAATTGATTTCACCTTAGAGAATGTGTGTGTATCATTCCAATGTGTCAGGCAAAAATCTTTACATCAAAAAATCTCTTGAAAATCCCATCAAATTACATTTAAGGGAGTTAAGAAGCTCCATTACAAAAGGCCTATGGGAACTGAGCCAATTGGAGTTCCAAAGGAACTCCTGAGCCAAAGGAGTAGTGGATTCACAGTAATTTTCCATTTCAGGCTCCCTCCAGGGCACACCTAAATTGCAGGTGGAATGGCCTCATGTTTAAGTAATTATCTCTCTGTATCCCTATCTTCTCCCCTTTCTTCTTCATCCCATTTAAACAGAAGTGTTTAGTTGACAATAAGCATGACCTTCAACCACTCCCACTAGACTGAAAGCTCCACTGGAATGTTGGTCTTGTTTACCTTTGTTTCAGTACTAGCACAGTGCCTGATACATAGTAGGCACTCGGTAAGTATTTATGAAAAAGGACAATTGAAAGGATTTGCTAATCCTTCAACTTTCAGCCACATGAGATATACAACTAGAAGGATTGATGGCTATCAGGCCCCAATAGTCTTGTTCATCATCTCCATCATACCACCTTGAAAATTCAAAAGATGGTGGAGCTGAGATGGTAATGTGTTTTCTCCAAAGTTTGGTTTATTTGTTAACTGCAGGTTAGGGAATGTAAAATTCCACCTCTTTGGATTGGATTAGAGCTAGCTTTTGGCCAGCCAACATGCATTAATTGGACATTGGGAATTGTGGATTCCTCGAACTATGAGGTGTTAATGCTAGACAGACTCTTAGAGATAATGAAGTCCAGGACTCCAAATTCACAGGTAGATGTTATGGGTTACATTGTATCCCTCCTACACTAATTCATATTTTGAAGTCCTAACCTCTAATACCTCAAAATGTGACCTTATTTGAAGATAAGATTTTTACAGAGGCAATCAAGCTAAAATCTTAAAATGATGTCATTAGGGTAGGCCCTAATCTAATACACCTGATGTCTTTATAAGAAAGGAAAATTTTGGACACAGAGACAGGCATAGAGGGTAGACGTTATAAAAAGACACAGAGGATGACCATGTACAAACCAAGGAGAGAGATGTTGACTGGATTCTTCCTTCATATCCCTAAGAAAGAACCAGCCCTAATAACACCTTGACTTTGTGTCTTCAACCTCCAGAAATCTATGACTACAAGATACTATTGCTTAAACCACCAAGTCTGTGGTACTTTGCTATGGCAGCTCTAGCAACCTAATACCATGGGCAATCTGGGGACCAAATTTAGGTAAATACCCAGGCTGCTTGTTAGGCAAGAGGGTAGATGGTTTTGGCCAGGCTTAAATGTGATCTTTCTCAGCACTAGCAGCTATTTTTGAGAGGTCATGCAGTCACCTCCATGTGTGATCCCTCTTGAAGAACACTCTAAACTTGGATGTTTAGGAATGTTTAAAATGTTTAGAAAATGTTTAGGAAGAAAGGACCATATATAATGATTAAGGACATGTGGCAACAAGAAGCCAAACTCTTGCTTCTATGATTCCCTGCTTGTCCCTCAACCAACAAATTTGCAGTGCATCAGTGAACTTTTCCTACTTAGTAATACTTGTTGTGATATAGGATGTCAGATTTATTTTCCTATTTTTTGTGATTTTTTTAATGGAAGTTGTGAAAACAATAGGGGAAGGGAGTAAAGGATATAGAAAGTGGGGAGCAATGGAAAATGCAAGATATAATTCTTCATGATTTGCATACAAACCCTCCAACTTTTTAGCTTTTTAACTCGAAATAATTTTAATCCTACAAAAAAGTTGCAATAACAGTGAAAGAGCTCTCATATGTCTTTCACCCAGGTTCATCAATTGTCAAGATTTGTCACATTTTACCACATTTATTTTATCATTATGTATGTTCTTTTCTTCTTAAACATTTCAGTGTGGCTTTCCAAAGAATGAGGTTATTTCCTTATGTAACTGCAGTGCAATGATCAAAATCAAGATATTTAACATTGATATTAACTGATAGATATTATTTAAATTTCACCAATTAGTCCAATAATGTCTTTTATAGCACTCCCCCCACCAATTCAGGATTCAATGTAAGATTATGTCCTGCATTTAATTTTCATGAATCTCTAATCTGCTTTTACCTGGAAAGATCCCTTCATCTGCAGATATTGAGATATTTTAAAGAGTACAGTACAAGTCATATGTTTTGTGGATTGTCCTCATTTTTGATTTGTCAGATGCTTTCTTGTGACTGGAGCCATGTTGTACCTTTCTGGCACGAAACCTCTAAGGTTGGCTGTATCCTTTCCTGTGCATCATGCCTGATACTGGGTTGTCTCACCAGGTTCCTCTCGCCCAACACACTCTATTGGTAGATGAAAACAACAGGTTAATAATGAGTACAGCTAAAGATAACTTTTGAGAGGAAAATGCATGTCTTCATCCATTCATTCATTACACACAGCAATTTTATGATCTCCAGAGCACCAATTTGTTCTTCTTTGGAGAACAGATATATTAGTTTTTGCTTTGTTTCAATGGTTTCCAAAAACTGTTCAGGTTGTAGAATGCCTGGAAATCAGGACCCTTTTTATGGATTTTTGAAAGGCCCTCTCTAAATGCCTATACCAGAAAACAAAGTGTAAGCTTTCCCCTCTCCCAAGTGCTCACAACAAAACAAGAAACAAAACAAGCTGTTGAACTAAACATTATCCATTGTTTCTGAGTTTTCCTGTTAACAACTTGTTCTTTGCCCATTCATTTTGTGTCCTGTGAGGCCAGTCTAGCAGTGCAGCGGTAGCTGGGTCTGAAATTGTAAAGAAAAAATGTGGGAAGGAAAGGTTGTAGCTAAAGGAATTTCCTCATTAATATGTGTTCTACAAATTGGAAAAGAATGCTGATGTTGGATTTTAGCTTCAGAATTCATTTGTGAAATGCCTGCAAAGAGGAAATATGAGAACTTTGGTTTTCTATAGCATGTTTTCTCAAATGGTACAGGATTAATGGATTATTAGTGTGTGGAGATAGTGGTTCCCCCAGTCTGTGGGATGATTTGGTGGGGACTAGGGAGCTAGAACCCCTGGGGTGATTGCCTGTGACCACAAACAGCCTTGTAAATTAATCTCCATCGACTCTTAAAATAATCATTTTCTGCGCCCACCGTAAAGTGAAAAGATTGGAAAACAATATAGTCACCTGTTTTATTTTATGCCTCTCTGAAAGCAGGTGCTTGAAGGCAGGACTCAGGTCTCATTCATTTATTTGTCTTTTTCAATGCATAGCATAAAGCCAGGCACACAATATTTACTCAATATATATTTATTACATAGAAATTGCTGACTCTCTGCTATGAGCAGGCACTGCAAGAAAAGCTGTGATGGTGAAGCAATGAGAGACTGCTTGAGGGGCCACTTCTCCAACAGCTGTTGCCTTGGAGGATGGAGAATCTTTTTAAGCACAGCTTAAAGGACACCTTAAATCTGAAATAGAGCAAATGACAAAGTGGTGAAAGAAGAGACACATAACACATTTCTGGAAAAAGAGAGTGAACCCAATCTCTGACAGGATTAGCAGGTTAATTAAAGAATCTGTCCTGATGATGCTGGCACATCTTCAATTCAGACTGACATTAACTCAAGACACAGGCCCCCATCTATCTTTTCCACCAGCTGCCATGAAGTTGAAATACTTACCAGACAAGTTGATTCTTAAGAATCTTCTAGGCACGTGTAACTCTATCCCAGGTGGAAGCCCACTCCAGGAGAGGTGATGAGTTAACTCATGGATTAGCAGGAATGGGGTTATCTGATTAACCTTGACCACCTAGTTATGGTCAGTGGGTATAATGAGCAACAGAAAGGGAAAGTTTAGATGGAGTGAGCAAATTAACACTCTCTGAGCATCTCTCACATGCCTGACACAGTGCTAAGCATATTGCCTCACTTATTTCATTTGATGTGCTGATTAAGAGTGGCTACTAAGGTATCAGGTAGACCTGGGTTCAAATCCCAGCTCTGTTATATTCTGACTGAATGACTCTGGATAGGCTACTTTTTTGTAAGCCTTGGTCGTCTTATCTGTAAGACAAGGACAATAATACCTTTGTATTAGTTTCCTAGGGATGCCATAACAAATTACCACAAATTTAGTGCTTTAAAACAACAGAAATGTATTCCTTTACAGTTCTGGAGGCCAGAAACTCAAAATCAAGGTGTCAGCAGAAGGGAGCTTCCTCTAAAGGCTCTAGAGGAGAATCTGCCCTTGCCTCTTCCAACTTTGGATGGCGCCAGGCATTCCTTGGCTTGTGACTGCATCACTCCCATCTCTGCCTCCTCCTTCACGTAGCCTTCTCCTCTGTGTCTTTTTCTATCCTGTATCTCATAAGGACATTTGTCATTGGATTTAGGACCTACCTGGGTAATGCAGAATGTTCTTATCCTGAGATCTCCAACTTATTGTCTATAGAGAGCTATGTCACAATATTATAAAGTCTGGGAACTAGATCTTATTCACCTCTGTTAACATGTTAAAATAGGTTCAGAGAGGTTTATTACCTTGTTCAAGGTCAAAATGGATTTCCTATACAGTGCTGAGTAACTGCGGACTCTCTGTTTTTGTCCCTCATTGTGAAGAGTGGGTTGGATCTTCCAATGCAGACCCTAAGACAAAAATTTGGGTACAAGTCGATTATTTGGCAAATGATCTTAGGAAACAGTGAGACACTGGGAAAGTGAACAAGGTAAGCAGAAAAGCCAGTGGAAGTTGCATTATTGTGTGTGCGTTACTGCTGTGGGCACTTGGGCCTAAACCCCACCAGGACCGTCTGGGAGGTTGATGTATATGAGAACACAGGTAACCTCCAGGATGGGCTGAGGGGATACCAGAGGGGCAATAAGAGCTTATCCTACCCTCATAAACTCTACAGTGGCAGAAATCTTGGGGGATCAAGGTAAGAGGAAGCACTGAAGTGAGGGATGAAAATGGGCAACAAAAGTCAAACTTAGCTTTTGGTAATTTTGCTTGGGCCACCCTTGGGATGTCTGATGGAATCGCAGATTCTCAGTGCTGGAGTGGGCATTACCAGTCATGGGATTTGACCTCACTCCCATTGAGGAGATTCCCTTTACAATAACCCATGTCCTCAGATTTGTCCTCAGGGTTGGTCTACAGCCACTGCTTAGATACACTGCCTGCTGAGGCTGACTGTTTTATTGCTGTACACCTCTAATCATGAAAAAGATCTTTATGTTGATTCAAAATTTGACTTGTTGGGTCTTCCACCCAGGAGAGCTAGTTCTTTTCCTTGAGCCCTCATTCTTCCTTAAGAGATCTACTTTGGCTTACACATTGCTTTTAGCTTTGCAATCCCTTCCTGTCCCTGCCCTAAAAGCTGTGGCTCTTTGGAAACACTGTATCCAGCTCCCATGGGGCTCCTGTTTATAATGGTCTAGGAAGTAACTTAAGTGGTTTTAGAATGAAATATAGCTGAACTGTTAGGGGCAATTTAAGCATATGGAACAGAAAGAAGAACATCTACTCAACAAATGCCAAATAAGCACTAACTTTGTGTGTCAGATCTGTGGCCAAGAGTCTGTTAGAAGATATGGACACACAATGATAAACTACAATGTCCAGGATAAAGGTCTTGAAAGGCCATTTCTAGAAGGAGCAGAATGAGGTGTGCCATGCTTACCAAAGCCTGAAGGACTACCTGCTCTGAGCATTGCAATTTCATCATGAAAACTGGGGAAGACTTCATGGAGGTGACATTTGAATTGGACTTTGATGAAAGGTTAGGACTTTAACAGACTCTAGTACTAGGAAGAAAAGAATCTGAAGATAGGGGAATGGCACAAAAATGTCCTAGAGATGAGGGCATGTATGCTTTATTCAGGGCATGGCAACTTATCAGGTGTTCCTAAGAGTTTAGAGTGTGTATGTTTATGTGTTTGTGTGGTTAGTAGCATATGAGGTTGGGATGGCATGTAACAGGCCCACTTAGATAATATTGTATGACACCTGGTCTTGACTTGTCCATTAGATGATAGAAATGTCTTCAAATGCTTTTGCACATGCAAGAGAATGATTCAGTTTTATTTTTAAAAACAGTCACTCTAATATCCTTGTGCAGGATAGGCCAAATTGTAGTGAAATTGGAGATAGGAAAATTAGGTAAGGTGGGAGTGCAGACATTAAGATAATTTACCCATCTATGCTTTTGCCCATTTTTTCATCCATTCTTTCATTCATCTGTCCATCCATCCCTCCAATCTTAAGCATTTACATGCAAATTTTTGTGGTAGAAATTAAGATTTTGAAGAAAGGAAAGATATTTTCTATCTTCAAGGGGGTTATGCTATAGTAGGGGTTGAATTGGGGAAGTGGAGAGGAGAAGGATAGAAAGATGTTTCGGGATTGAAGTAGACTCATCAGTGTCAAATTGCAAATGGATGGGAAAGAAGAAAAATGGAAAAAAATCCCTCACACTAGAGAGGGATACCTGAAATCCAAGCCCAGTTGTACTATTGGCTATACTATACTATACTATACTATACTATACTATACTATACTATACTATACTATACTACGCACTGGCTGTGTGACCATGGACAAGTCCCTATCCCTCTCTGGGCCTATTTTCCTCATCCACAAGGTTTGGACTAGGTGATTTCTTTCAGTGCTTGCCATTCCAGGATTCCATTCTTCTATCTCTTTGTCCATTAATTATTAAGAGAAAGAGTGATGGTTAGGAGCTGGCAAACATTGGGGTGTTTGGACATAGAAAGTGAGCACAGGGCAGTGTGAATCAGTGAGGAAACAGTTGGAGAGACAGATGACTAGGAACACAGGTTGGAATCAGGAAACAGGGGCTGTGAATGTCAGAATCATGAGCAGTAGTAAGAAACACAATTTTTACAGCTTCGTTCCATCACTTCATCTTCCAGCTTCTGACATGCTTCCCTGCTTCTGGCTCTAACCTGGCTGGAGTACCCCCAGAAACAACTGCTCAGAAGCCAGATAACCACAGTTTCTTCCCCTTCCATCTCAAGTGGGTCTAAGCCCTGGGCAGGCTTGAGGCAATCCCAGACTAGCAGGGTGTGGACCAGGGGACACTTGGGTAAGGACATGACTGCTCTTCTCCTCTGTGGGCTGAGAGCCTTATCACTCTGGACTAGAACTTGTTCACTTTTCTTGCCCTGGCCTCTCCTCAGGGCCTTTGTCCTACTTGGCAAAGAAAAGTCATAGAATCAGGGACCTAGGAGGACATGAGTGGTCACTGATTCTAGAAGACGGGGTGCTCCTTAAGGCAAGGGCCACACCTTGGTGCTTGCTGAATTCTCAGCCCCTAACAAGATACTGGTTCATAATAGGTGCTCAATCAAACCTCACTGAAGGAATAAATGATTGAATGATTGGCATCAATACATGCTCATTGAAGGAATGAATGAAAAATTGAATGATTGGAACTAATCATGTACAAATGACGAAGCTGAAGTCCAGGATGGCCAAGTGGCTACTGAAAAGAACACTGACTTTGGAGTCAGACAGAGCTGGGGTCATATCTTAGTGCCATTTCTTCTTGACTGTAGCTTTTTAAAATGAAGACAATATGTGCCCTGAAAAGAGCAGTTACGAAGATTAAAAAGATATTGCAGCTAAAGCGTCTAGAATGATGTGAGCACACAGTTTGCACCCAATATTTTTCAGCTCTAGCTCAAGGGTGTCCAGAGTATCAGTGGCAATTCTCTGACCTTTGGAAAGAACTAGGGGCATCATGTGAGGAACCCTTGTTTGAAAGGCTTTAAAGACCCTAGACAACCTAATCTGTGTAGGGCATCTTGGGATACAGCCTTCTTAGAGGGAGAAGGGGGATGGACCAAATGGCCTGGGACCCTTCCCAATCCGTTTTGGGTCTTGGAAACAAGGATGCACTTCTGATCCTGACCATGGGGTGGCACCAGCCCATCAGGTTAGGTAACTCACAGTGGCAGGCAAGGCCTCTTTGCTTCCCAGCAAGGGTGTTGGAAGAGGGTTGGGGTGGGGAATGAGCAGGAGTGGGGGTGGGGGAAGGAGCAGCCTAGAGAGTCCAGGTGTTTGTGCCTCTGTGTGCCAGTGTGTGTGTGCCTTTGTGCATGACTGGGTGGGGGTGGGCTGTAGAAGCATTATGAGGGTGTACGAGCATGTGTGTGAGTGTGTGTGTGTCTGCATGAGCACTAACGATTCAGAGAAAGGAGGCCTTTGTTTCACTCCTATTTATGTGCAGGGAAATCATTTGACGTAAATGAAATTGCTCTGCCCTAAGGATATTGTATATGGCTGTGGATGAAGTTAGGCTTGGGGACGTGGAATTTTCAAGATGTTAGAGGCACTAAAATTTGTTTAGTCAACCCCCCTCATTTTACTCATGGGATAAACCGAGGCTGGATGGGGGCTCTAACCAGGTATGCCATAGACCCTTGCTGGGCTGGGCCAGAGCTCTGGCTCCCTGACGCTGCCTACCAAGGTTTGAGTGTTTGAGCCTTGTGGCTTCCTCAGGACAAGGAGCTGGACCACCTGAATATGATGGGTGACCTCCAGGAAGCAAGCCCCGCAAGATGGGGCTGAGGACCCATTACTTAGTCTCACCTGCATTCAGTGGGCGCTTCTTGGCTTCTCCCTCTTGCACTTCACTCCTCACATCTTGATCCCAAAGCCAGCCCAGACAGGCCCTGTCATCCCCTAGGCAGAACCTCGAGGATAGCAGGCAGGTGACAGCCTGGGAGTAGAGTCCAGATCTCCTGTCTTCTACCCTGTGTTCTTTTCCTGCTGTCATTGCTTCCATCTTACCTTTGGGGAGGGGCTCTACCTGCCTCCTCAGTAACCAGGGGATCAGGCCTCAGGGGCACCAGGCCTCAACTCTGCCTTTTCAAGGAACTCAATGATGTCTCCATCCCTTTAATAAGGACCTTGAGCTATACCCAAGGCCTGATGATGGTCACAGAGATTTAGGCATGCAACTGGTATGCAGCTGGTAAAAATGATGGTGAGCCCCACCATTTGTTTGCGTTTACTCTGCTCTAAGGACTGGGCTGGGTTCTTTAGTTCTGGAGTCAGACTACCTGGGCTTGAAGTCTGCCTCCCTCACTGTCTAGCTCTGTGACCTACAGCCAAATTCCTAACCTCTCTGATTCCACATTTTAAAGTCAGAGATGTCATGTGTGCCTACCAGGGAGAGTTGTTGATAGGCTTAAATGAATTAACACACATAAAGTGCCTAACACTAATGTCTCAATACATGTTGTTACTGTTACACTTTAAATCTTACAACAACCCTGCCCCAAATGGGAGAGAGGATGCTCCCATATTATGAATGAGAAAACTGAGATCCAAGGAGTTGGTGTATTATATATGATTCAAAGTAACAGCTAGCAAATAGCGGGTATGATGCTAAAATCCAAGTCTCGATTCAGACCTTATGCCAGTCCTCTGAAATCCTTTATTGTCCCATTACCAAGTCCAGGAATGAAGGGTGGCCACCTTTATAAAATAAGTTCAATGAAAGCAAAATCAAATATTGTATATGTTTGCACATGTATATATAAATATGAAGGAGTAAGAAAGCATTTAAGAAAATAAAAAATGACTTTCTCCTGCACCTAGTGTTCTCATCAGGCCCCAGGTTTGTCTTGAATTCTAACAGGTTGGTACCAGGATGGTTTAGGAGACAGACATATCCCAGAAACCCTTCCTGGTCTGCCAGGAGTCCTGCACTCACAGCACCCTTCCCTCCCAAATTACCCATCCTTTTTTGATTCAAATCCATCCCACATGGATGGGTGTTCTGTACTGGGTAGCAGGATGGTGTACCCCAGACTCCCCAGCATAGTTCATAATCAGTGCCCCTTTATGAGCTCTATGCCAACGCATAATCTGTGTTATATAAAACATAGTTATGAGCCCTCATTACGGCTGGGAGGCCATAGTTAAAATAAAAGTTACCCAGTTGCAGATGTGCAATGTCAGGCCACTAATGAACCAGTCTGGCAACCTAGTGGGTCCTACCTGGTCCAAGGAAGGGCCTCTGCGCTGCTTCAACCCAGCCAGCATAAAGCCTTCAAGATAAGCACTGTTTGCTGGACCGCAGCTTTCTTGAAACTCCTCCCCATGATTCCTCCATCAGTGGAGGCTCCCTCCATCCCAGACTGGCAGTGAGCATCCAGGACATCTATAGCCATCCGTTCACCCAACCATCATCTTTGGGGCACCCATTCTGTGTGGCATTACAGAAGCCTCGATGAACAGTGTCAACTCTTGCTATGCCTTCATGGATCTTGCAGTCAACACCTTTAGGGGTTATAAGTGACAATTATGAATCAAATCACTGCCATTTTGGGATCTAGACTACCCATCTGATCCCGAATTGCGCAGAGCCAGCTAGGCAGGTGACCAAGTAGCTAACAACATGGCAGGTCAATTCTTGGGGAGCCTCGGATGAGGGAGGAAGGAACTGGGGAAACTGAATTGCTCAGTAGGAACACTGGGGTTGGAATCAGGAGCCAAAATTGGTAAACCAGTAAACAGAGTAAGACTCAGTCTCAAAAAAAAAAAAAAAAAAAGAAAGAAAGAAAAAAAGAAAGTGAATGAAGTCTCCCTGCTTCCAGTTTTGTTATCTACAGTTCATTCTTCACTCAGCAGCCACAGTGATCTGTGAAATCATACTACATTTCTCTCTGTCTTAAAGCTTTTCAATGGTTCCCCATTATTCTATGGCCTGTAAGGGTCTGGACAGTTTGTGTCCTCCCTCCTGCTTCTCAGGCCTTAGGTCTTAAGACTTACCATTCTTCCATCCTTCTCTACTCCACTACTTCGACCACTGCTCGACTGCTTCAAGCACACTGACCTTCTTTCTATCCCTGGAAACATTGGCAAGCTTAGTCCTTCCTCAGGGTCTTCACACCACTTTCTCCCCTGCTTCAGGGTCTTCACACCCACTTTCTCCCCTTGCCTGAAATGCTGCTCTCCCAAATTGTCACAAGGTTGGCTACTTCTTGTTATTTGGGTCTCAATTCCAATATCACCTCAGAGTTGCAGTGGGGATGGGAATTTTGATTTTTTCATCGTAGAATCGGTTGTAGGATCCTTGGAAAGCCAGCACCATACTGTGATGCCTGGGATATTTCTGGATTAGATCCTCATGGACCTAGGGAAAACTTCATCCCACCAGCAATGCAATCAGAAATGGAATAGATGTCTGCTCTTACAACAGGGATAGGAAGTGAAGAGATAGTTTGCCACCACAAATTTTGAGCTCTTAAAAAGATATTATTTCAACAGAGCAAATGGATTTTGTGTCTTTTCTTCTAGGCTTTTTCCATATAAATCAAGTGAAATCATTTTCCAAATGTTCATGTGCAAGGCATCATTCAGTTATTTGGGAAAATCTTACAGAGAACTTACTATACATTAGTTCCAGCTAAGGCACTGGGGTAGAAAAGATGAACAAGACTTGGCCACTTTCTCCAAGTATATGCAGATCAGAAGGGAGGCAGGCATGGCCATTATATCTGGAAACAGACCTCCTGAGTTCAAATCCTGGCTGGGTGTCTTTGGAAAATTTATTTAACAGCTATGTGTCTTATTAGCCTTCTCATTAGTAAAATGGGACTGACAAAAATAATGCTTCAGAGGGCCATTGGAAAGATTAAATGAATTAATATAAGAATAGAGCTAGCACAGTGTCTGGGACATTGTAAATGACAAATAAGTGCCAACTAATAAGGTTGTTATAAGGTAAAGTGAAGTAGGCTTTCAAGGGAGATGTACAAGGTGCCATGGGGACAAGAAACTGCTAGACAAGGACAGGAAGTACATCTTGCAGGAGACGAAAGTTACCTATGGAGTGGCAGCATCATGTCAAGGCAAGAGTAGGGTCTTTGGAAGATAGGCCTTTTTTTCAATTCTAGCTATGTTGTTTATCACCGTTGTGACTTTGGGCAGGTTATTTAACATTCTCTGTGACACAGGTATTGTCTCATGAGAGCATTGTGAACATCAAATAAAATGTCATGAGTGAAGTTTCTGGCACACGGTAGGTACTGGATAAAGGGCCCTGCTCACTAGCCCCATGAAGAATTACATTGTGAGTGGATGCTGTGTTGCATGGATCCCATCAGCCTTCTTGGGTTTTGCCCAACTGAAGAAAACTATCTCTTCCAGGGTTATGCCTCTTTTTAAGGGCAACCTGATTCCAATGTCTGATGACCTGGGAGCATAAAGACCCAGACTCTCACTACCATTAGAGATGACTCTGAGTGACCATCCAGGCTCCAGAGCTCTCTATGGGGCCAAGTGAGGTCTTAATTGGGACTGCATTACAGCTCAGTGTCTCCCTCTGCCCTTCATGTTTCCTTCATTTCTTGTCTTAGTAAGCTCAGGCTACCATAACAAAATATCACCAACTAGGTGGCTTAAACAACAGAAATTTATTTACTTACAGTTCTGGAGGCTAGAAGTCCAACATCAAGTTTGGTTGAAACCAACCAGCAGGGTTGGTTTCTGATGAGGGCTCTTTTCCTGGCTTGCAGATGGCTGCCTTCTTGCTGTATCCTCATGTTGCTTTTCCTCTATGTTCACGGGGAAAAGAGATTTCTGGTGTCTCTTCCTCTTCTTATAGGGACTCCAGTCTTATCAGATTATGGCTTCACTCTTATGACCCTATTTAACCTTAATTATCTCCTTGAAGGCCCTAACTCCAAATACAGTATCACTGGGGGCTAAGATTTCAGCATATGAATTTTGGGGGAACATAGTTCACTCCATAATAACTCCCTTTAACAGGAGTGGATCTTAAATGTACTCCTTAGTAATGCCTCCCACTGTCTGTCAGTTGAGTGTCTTCTGGGGAATCCAAGGTGCAGACACACTTCTAAATAATCTCAGTGTACATTGTGCCTGGAACATAGTAGTTACTCAATTCATCTTTATTGAATAAAATGATATTTGGACAAATATTTATTAATAATGGTCAGAGAAAATAAAAATCCAGCTATTCCATTATGGGTTTTTATTTCAGTATTCATGTACACAAACACCACAAACTGTAGCCCAGGGATCATAAGATCAAGCAGCCTTTATTTGCCACATAGGAAAGGGGGTCATCTGACAGGTCTAGGTTCTAGTTAGGAAGGTCTAAAGGGAAGAATGGAGAAAGAAATTTCCCTTATTGACTGCCTTCTGTAAGCCAGTACTATGCTAGAAGCCTTGCTGGCACAGATTTTCATACATACAGCTCAACTGCTCTGTGAAGTAGAGATCTTTGCTAACTCCACCTGAAAGACAGAGAAACTGAGGTTTCCTGTTCAAGGTCACACAGCCAGCCAGTGGCACAGTTGAGAATCAATCCTTACACAGCATCCAAGGCCCTGGAAGGAAGATAAGAGTCCCTAGATCCACTCTCTTTCATCAGAGGCATCACCTCCAGGTTGGCAGTGACAGGCCTGTCCTCCCTCAACCCCAGGGTGTGCCCAGGCCCCACCCCAGCTGCTGTTTCCCAGAAGCCTTTGCAAAGCTAAGGAACCAGATCTCTGGGGATAAGGCTGACACTGGAAGTTAATGACTATCAGTTGATACAAAACACTTGTTTACATGTTTCCATCATTAGAGGTTCCAGCCTCACCTCTCCTGGGCCTCCTGCCAGATGTTTGGAGGGGTTTTCGCAAGCTGTGCAGTTTACTAAATACTAAAGCACTCATATTAAGGCATTTTAGTATTAGGCAGTACAATGTTGCAATGTTGATAAGGGGTAATTGAATTTCTTTATCTGGAGCAAAATGGACATAGACACTCTCAGAATTTGCTCAGCTGGGGAACACAGATGGTTGCTGAAGACATGAAGCTTCCCTTCTAGAGCCTCCATTGAGGAGAATAGTTTGATTTAATGGTCCTTTGAGCTTTGTATCTGGCTCCTGGTGGATGCTGAAGCAACACTTCCTGAGGAAACCAGGGGAGACTTCATAGGGAAAGTGACATTTACTCTTGGTGTTGAAGCATAAATGAGATTTTTCCAGGTAGAAAGAGAGGATGGGGAAGGGCATTCCAGAGGAGAAAACAGCAAGTGCAAAGGCACAGGAGTCTGGTAGTTCGAAGATAGAAAGCACCTCCTATAACACCAAGCACACCTTTATGTCTGGCTGGTTTCTATCCAGACTAGTGGCTCTCTACCCTATATGAACACTAGAATCATCTGAGGAGATTTAAAAAAATTACCCAGCCTCTCTCCCCTGATTTAATTCAATTAGATAAGATTCTGAGTGTCAGTATGTTTGGAAAGCTCTCTGGATTAGTCTAATATACAGCCAAAGTTTGAACTGATCCTTACATCTCAGTGACTTTTCACCTTCTCAACTTTTAGACAAATGCATTGGGGAGAAACTTTGGTCAACTTTTCAAATTTGTTACCAAGTGTGACTGAAGTGCAAGATGGGGCTTCCTCAGTGCTCAGCCTTGAGGGCAAACGTTTCCCTTTGGGCTGGTGAGGCACGTGAGGCACCCTCTTTCCTGTCAAATCCTGTTAGGGGAAGAATAACTTCTAGGAAGAGCTCAACTTTGACCAGATCTTGACCACATTAATCACATAAGTAAGCAAATACCAATAGGACCCCAGTGCCTTTACCTGCAACTTTCCTTCTGCTGACTTTTCTGGATGAAGAAAAAAAATGGTAAATTATTCAAGATTGGGGAGAGCAGGTTTTGTAACTGTGAATTGTAAGATGGCTGAATAAGAAACTATAGTAGCCTATACATGTTTTATCCCTATTTTTTTTTCTCCTTTGCAGAAGAAGATTTCAGTTTTCGTTTCTCCCAAGCAGGACTGCTCACTTTGACATTCCCTGGGTGTCTGTAGTACTAGGCAATAATTAAATATCAGGTGCATAAGTTGCTCTTTAATTTGACATGTGTGCTCCAGGCAATAACGGCACACAGTGCCATGTGGGAGTGTAATTGCTAAGGAATAAAATCTTGTAGTGAGTGAGATCATTGTATCAGGTATGATGTGACAGCTCATTTGATCATTATGCCCAGGCTAAAGAGTTTGCCTAATTAGTTTCCATTAAAACTCACCCTTTAATCAAGAGTTATTCTTGCATAAAGAATGTCACTCGGTCCAGATGAATGAACAATGGTTTCCCCTTGAGATTGGACTCTCAGCTACACTGGGATGCCATATGTCTTTTCAAACAATCCACACCCGGCCCTCAGCTGGGATGCCCAAGCTGGAATGGTTGGTATAAGTGGAGAAGAGGAAAGATATTGGGAGGAAATAAATGAATGCTTCCAGCCCTTGTGGTTGGGGCTTGGGGTCTAAGGGAAGACTTCTGACAGGCACAGAGACATGGGATTCCAGAGAACTTCCGTATGCAGAGAGAATGAGGACATAAAGAGGAAGAGGTGACTTGGTTATATGTAGGTTGTGGCAAAGCTCAGGCTGGGACCCAGTTCTGACTTGCAGCCCTAGGCTTGCTCTTTCCCATCAAATGCTGACTTCAACTCTCATGCTTCTTAGGACTGAGCACATAGAGCTTTATCTCCTGACCCGCTTTGAGTACTGGGCTTTGAGATGGCAAGAGTGAGAATGAATGCTGGGTACACTCAGCACTTAGTCTTGTTCCGTTTCTATCTCCTAGACTCTGAAGCCAACCTACTCTTCCTCTGAATCTCAGCTCTGCCTTTGAATAGCTGTGGGGTCTTGAGCAAGTCACTTGAGCATTCTAAGATTTTATTTCTTTACCTACAAGGTAGAAGTAATAATATCTACCTCCTGGATAAAAGGACTCTTCTCTGGGTACCTGGAATTCAGGGTACCTCCTCTTAACTTGGGATTCCATTTTGAGGAAATGTGTGCCAACATTATGTGGCATGTCTAGTTATTTTGGTTTATAAAATGATGTTTTCCTGGGGCTTTCAACCAATTACTTAGGTAATCTGTATTGGGGAAAGAACCAAGGTCAAGGGTCTGTCTGGCCCCATGGGTTTAAGGAGAAAGGGGAACAGATGAATCCTAGTACGGAAAGCCCAAGACCACACAAGCCCAGTGGTTGGAGTTTCGCTTTCAAACTGTAGGGTGAAGTGGCAAGGGGAGAGGGTGGTCCCTTTAGGTTGTGTCCCCCAGCCCTGGGTTTAGGAGGGGGTAGGGTGAAGGTGTGAAAGCCTAAGGGCAGCAGAACAGACCCACTTTGTTTTAATCAACTCTTAATCCCAGCAGGGATTTCCTGCTGCTCTAGTGTTGGCCTGGCTGAGCTGTGAAAGGGCAGGCAACGGCTTGCCTGAGGCAGTCCCAAGGAAGGTGAGATCAGGATTTCAAAGATTCCCTCCTGCACATTGGCTGGCACCATCTCTCGCTGTCCTGGACCCCTTGAAGCTGCCCTACTCCCTGGCACATGCCAGTTCCAGGAACTGTTCCAGAGGGCTCACTTTTTTTGTTGTTGTTACTTCCTGGAACCCATATTTTCCCCTTGCTTTCACCATTTTTTCAGTGTTCATATTTTTTGGAGGAAGGAGAGAAAACTAGTCAACTATCTTGACATAAACCAAGATTTTATATATTTTTAATATTTGATATGATATCTAAAAACACATATGTCACATTTGTTAGATGGCACAGTTGTTAAAAACAAGCACTCTGAAATTAGACTATTTGAGTTTTTAATTTTACCTAATGAAATATAAATAAACTTTATGGGTATATAATATACATCAAATAAAATTTACTCACTTTAAGAGTATAGCATGGTGACTTTTGGCAAATATATACACCCATGTAACTACCACCACAACCTATATAGAGAATATATATATAGAGAGAATATATTGACAGGTTATAGTTGTGTGTATTTAAGGGGTAATGTTCTGACTTTTGAATACAATGTGGAACGACTGGCTCAAACTAATTAACGTATCAATCACCTCAAATATTTAACACTTTATGTGGTTAGAGCATTTGAAATTTATTCTCTTGGTGGTATTAAAATGTACAGTACTCAATTATTAACAACACTATGCAATTGATCTAAAAACAATCAAACCTATTCCTCCCATCCAACTGAGGCTTTGAATCATTTTATTATTATCTTCCCATTCTCCCCACCCTCAGCTTCTGGTAGCTACCATTCTACTCTCTGCTTCTATGACTTCCAATTGTTTTAGATTCCACATATAAGTGAGAAATTGTCGTATTTGCCTTTCTGTGTTTGGCTTATTTCACTTAACATAATGTTCTCCAATGCCATCCACATTGTCCCAAATGACAGAATTTCTTCCTTTTTTAAGTCTTTGTGTATATGTACTATATTTTCTTTATTCATTCAACCTCTGATGAATACTTAGGTTGATCTTGGCTATTGTGAATAATGCTGCAATTAACATGTGCATGCAGACATTTTTTGACATACCAATTTCAATATTTTTGGGTAAATACCCAGAAGTGGGATTGCTGGGTCATATAGTGATTCTATTTTTAGTTTTTTTAGAAACCTCTATACCTATTTAGAGAATATCTTAAAAATTATATATTGACAGATTATAGTTGTATGTATTTAAGGTGTAATGTTATGACTTTTGAATACAGTGTGGACTGACTGACTCAAACTAATTAACATATCAATCACCTCAAATATTTAACACTTTTTGTGGTTAGAGCATTTGAAATTCATTCTCTTGGTGATATTAAAATGTACAGTACTCAATTACTAACAACACTATGCAATTGATCTAAAAAAAAAATCAAACTTAGTCCTTCCATCCAACCGAGGCTTTGAATCGTTTTATTATCATCTTCCCATTCTCCCCACCCTCAGCTTTTTTGAGAAAACTCTATACTGTTTTTCATAATGGCTGTATTAATGTACAAGTTTTCTCTTTTGTCCACCTACTCCCCAACACTTGTTATCTTTTGTCTTTTGGATAATAACCATTTTATTGGTTGTGAAGTGACATTTTATTGTGGTTTTAATTTGCATCTTAATGATTAATTATGTTAGCAGTTTTTCATTTGTCTGTTAGCCATTTATATGTCTTCTTTTGAGAAATATCTCTTCAGGTCCTTTGCCCATTTCTTATTCAGATTATTTGTTTTCTTTCTATAGAGTTGTTTGAATTCCTTGTGTATTTTAGATATTAATTCGTTATCAGATGTATGAGTTACAAATATTTTCTCCCAATGTGTAGGTTGTCTCTTTACTCTGTTGTTTCCTTTGCTGTGCTGAAGCTTTTTATCTTGATGTAATCTCATTTGTCTAATTTTGCTCTCATTGCTTGTGCTTTTGGGGTCAAATCTAAAAATCATTGCATAGATCAATGTCAGGTAGTTTCTCTCCTATGTTTTAGTGTAGTAGTTTTACAGTTTCTGCTCTTATATTTAAGCCTTTAATTCATTTTTAGTTGATTTCTGTATGTAGCGTGAGGTACAGTTTCAATTTTATTCTTTTGCATGTGGATATCCAGTTGCTGATGACATGATCTTATATATAAAGATCATGTGCCCTTCTGAGCACGGGGCCCAGTGAGACTTCACAAATGCACAGGTGTCCTTTTGAGCATGGAGCCCACTGGTTTTACTCTCTGCTGTTGCCATCTTGAAATCTTAATACTTTTTGAACAAGTAGCTACACATTTCCATTTTATACTGAGCCCACCAGATTATGTACCTAATGTTAATATCCTACATAACCATGGTGCATTTATCAAAACTAAGAAACTAACATTAGAACAGTACTATTAACTAGACTACAGACTTTATTTGGACTGAACCAGTTTTCCTACTAATGTCCTTTTTTCTTTTCCAGAATCCAATCCAGAATATCACGTTACATTTAGTTGTCATGTCTCCCTAGTTTCTACTCTGGGACATTTTCTTGGTCTTTCTTTGCCTTCTAGGACCCCGAAACTTTTAAATGTCCTGGCCAGTTGTTTTGTTCCTCAACTTGAGTTGATCTGATGTTTTCTCTTTATTAGACTGAGGTTATGAATTTTTTTAAAAGGATATCACAAAGGCAGAGTGCTCTCAACTCAGCAGAGGTACATAATCTCAACATGATTTATCACTGGTGTGTGTAATCTTGATAACTTGGCAAGGGTTGTGTGTGCCAGGTTTCTTCATTAGGAAGTTACTACAGTTCCTTCCATGCTCCATTTGTTAGAATAGAGTCACTAAGTCCAGCTCACTCTTAGAAGGAGCGGAATTAAACCTCACCTCCTAGTGGGAGGAGTATCAAACAACTTGTGAACAAATGTTAATATCACCCCAACAATAAGTAAATATTTGTGTGGGAGCTTATGCCTCTTTGTAGGTCCCTAAGAACTTGAATCTGGGTGCTTCTTTGTTGGGTGTGTATATATTTAGTATAGTTAGGTCTTCTTGTTGAATCGGACCCTTTACCACTATGTAATGCCCTTCTTTGTCTTTTTTGATCTTTGTTGGTTTGAACTATGTTTTGTCTGAAGTTAGGATCACAGCCCCTGCTTTTTTCTGTTTTCCATTTGCTTGCTAGATTTCCCTCCCTCTCTTTATTTTGAGCCTATGGGTGTCATTACATGTGAGATGGGTCTCTTGCAGACAGCATACCATTGGGTCTTGCTTTTTTATCCAACTTGCCATGCTGTTCCTTTTAAGTGGGGCATTTAGCCTGTTTACATTCAAGGTTAGTACTGATATGTGTGCATTTGGTCCTGTCATTGTGTTGTTAGCTGGTTATTTTTTATTTTTTTATTTTTTTTTTTTTTTTGAGACGGAGTCTCGCTCTGTCGCCCAGGCTGGAGTGCAGTGGCGGGATCTCGGCTCACTGCAAGCTCCGCCTCCCGGATTCACGCCATTCTCCTGCCTCAGCCTCCCAAGTAGCTGGGACTACAGGCGCCCGCCACTACGCCCGGCTAATTTTTTTTTTGTATTTTTAGTAGAGACGGGGTTTCACCGTTTTAGCCAGGATGGTCTCGATCTCCTGACCTCGTGATCCGCCCGCCTCGGCCTCCCAAAGTGCTGGGATTACAGGCGTGAGCCACCGCGCCCGGCCTGTTAGCTGGTTATTATGTTGGCTTTTTGTTTGGTTGCTGTATCATGTCACGGTCTGTCTGTTTAAGTGGGTTTTTTATTAACTGGTAGTGGTCTTTTCTTTCTATATTTAGCACTTCTTTCAAAATCTCTTGTAAGGCAGGTATGGTGGTAACAAACTCCCTCAACATTTGCCTATTTGAAAAAGATCTTATTTCTCCTTTGCTTAGGAAGCTTAATTTGGCTGGATATGAAATTACAGGTTGAAGATTTTTTTAAGAATGTTGAATATAGGCCCCCAATCTCTTCTTGCTTGTAGGGTTTCAGCTGAGAGGTCCACTGTTAACCTGATGAAGTTCCCTTTGTAGGTGATCTGCCCTTTCTCTCTAGCTGCCTTTAACATTCTTTCTTTCATTTGACCTTGGAAAATCTGATGATTATGTGTCTTGGGGATGATCTTCTTTTGTAGAATCTTGCAGGAGTTTCTGTATTTCTTGAGTTTGACTGTTGGCCTCTCTGGCAAGGTTGGAGAAGTTTTCATACACAGTATTCTGAAATGTTTCCCAAGTTGTTTGCTTTCTCCCCCTCCTTACAGGGATGCCAGTGATACATAGATTCAGCCTCTACATAATTCCATACATTTTGGAGGTTTTGTTCATTTCTCTTTGTTTTTTTTTTCTTTATTTTTATCTGACTATATTATTTCAGAGAGCCAGTCTACAAGTTCTGAGATTCTTTTCTCTGCTTGGTTTATTCTGCTGTTAATACTTGTGATTGCATCGTGAAATTCTTGTATTGTGTTATTCAGCTCTGTCAGATTCATTAGATTCTTCTTTATACCAGCTATTTTGTTCTTCAGCTCCTGTATTTTTTTATTGTAATTCTTAATTTCCTTGGATTGGGTTATTTCATCCTCCTGAATCTCAATGATCTTCATTCCTATCCATATTCTGAATTCTATTTCTGTCATTTCAGCCAGCTTCTCACTGGGGATTAGTCCCTTTTATTGGGCAGGTCTTTCTTCCTGGATTATGTGCCAGCTTCATTACATTTAGTTAATGCTTACTAAACATGCAAGAGATCCTGAACCTCTAATCTATGGGAGCTATATGTAACCATAATAATATAAGTACTACAATGCCTCATTAATTTGAACTCGAAAAGATTCAGAATTGGAGTGAACTTGCACTATAATACAGCTGAATTTACATTTTGATTGTTTCTGAAGACTGACCAACCACATGAAAAAAGTGAAAGGAATCAAGAATAAGCATAAGAACCACCTTAAGATGATCCAATCCCATGATTTTTGAAATGCTATTTTTTTCCACTTAAATATAATACTGGAAGCCACTTTAAATTATTGTTTGAAAGAGAAGGAGGAAAAATGGAATGAAATCAGTAAATT
Source organism: Homo sapiens (assembly GCF_000001405.40). Lineage (NCBI taxonomy): Eukaryota > Metazoa > Chordata > Mammalia > Primates > Hominidae > Homo > Homo sapiens. The sequence goes on from NC_000011.10 coordinate 15,341,368, forward strand.
TATCAGACATGCTATTTATTCATTAAAACAGGTTTTGAAAGGACTTAAACTAGGCAAGCCTTAGTTACCCTAGTCTGGGGTTCCTCTAAGTTTTGGAATAAATAATTGTGTATTTATACTCACAGCTTCTGTAATTCCAATTGTGCCTGAAGTGAAGAACTGTGGCAATCCCTGATATTAAGGGGCAATTAATGAAATCTGGAAGGTGCAAGGCTCTGGACTTCCTACAGTGGCCTTTGCCTTCTTGAAGGTCTCATAAAGGTCTCATAATATTTTCCCAAGTCTGTTTTTGCCCTCACAGCTGAGGAAGCCCATCCACCCCTTCAGGGGGGCAGTGGTGGGAGTGATTTTCACCCCGTTTATCTCTTCAATATCAGCAATTTCTGTGTTCCTAACAGCAATGGATGTCATGCTGGGTAATCCTCTTCCTGTTGTGAAAGGACCTGAGCAATTACCAGTGAAGTATTCAGGAAAGATCCAAGGGAAATGATAGCTAATGATGCCTTTTATCAGACCCACCAATATTTGAGCAAACATGCTTTGGAGAAAATAGAGATTGTATTATCTTTATGGGTATACAATGAATGTTGTGTTATAGTATTTGAATGTGCATATGTGTGTGTGTGAATCTATATGTTTTAAAAGTCTTATCAGTATTCTTTTATTAAGAAATTCACTTTATTTTCAGGGCAACCTTTATCTTGTCAGAGAATCAGAGAAGATTAGAAAAAAATTGGCTTTCTAACTTTTCGTATGTTACACCCCTTGCAGTACTACTATCCCTTCTCTTCAGAGCAATCAGAGTGGTCTTTTAAAAACATAAAACAGATTATATCATATCCTCCATTAAAAATCTCCCAATGACATCCCACTGTACTTACAATAAATGCCAAGCTGAGGCTCACCTTGGCCTTAACAGGGCCCTGAACGACCTGGCCCTGCCCACTTCCCGCCTTCCCTTTGGCCAGCCTCATCCATGCTCTGGTTCATTTGTTTCTTTCTGGTCTCTAAACATGCAGGGCCTGTTCTCATCTCAGAGCCCTGTTAGTCCCACCTGCTGGTCCCACTGCCTGCACATGCCCTCCTTTCTGAAGTAGAAACCACCCATCCAGTTACTCTGTTTCACTTTTCCTTGTTGGATTGTTTTCAAAGCATTTGTCACTCTCTGAAATAGTCTTGTTTGTTCATTTGCTTAATGTCTGCCCTGACTCAGTGTAAGCTTCCTAAGGGGGAATCTTCTTGTTTTATTCACCACCACATTGCCAGCACCTGGAAGAGTAGCTGGACACTAACAGGTGCTCCATATATTTTTGAATGACTGAGTGAATTAGTGAATATAAAATTTGGCTGCCACCTCCATCTGCTATGCTTTCCTCGGTCTAGTTTTTCTTTCAGGATTCTAATACAACTTTGGAGGAAGCTACCAATTGGTAGATCAAGTTGGAGTGAGTGCTATGTGGGTCAGGGAAATCTGGCTCAGAAGCCAGCTAAGGCAGGATGCATCAGGTACATGTAGGCATTTGGAACTCAGGGGGCTGCACCGTAAAAGGTATCCTCTTATCCTCAAGTTTGAGATGTGGGTGTCAGGAAGCTTCTGAAAGAGATACTCAGTGGACACTCAACAGTTATACATTTGTGCTCTGCCAACTGAATGAATGATTGCCATGAACACAGGAAACTCCTGAGAGCCTCCTTTAGCAGGGAAGCCCTTTAATTGTATTTCTAAAATATCATCTGCCTCTATTCTGACACTTCTGTTTCCACTGCACTGCCTTAGCTAAGGTTCACTTTATCCCTCTCCCGAGGAGATACTGAAGGATCTGTCTTAAAAGCAAGTGCCAATGGTGAAAATCCCCTACTTACTCCTCATTGGAGAATATGGGAGTCCCAGCCTAGGGCTGCGGAGGTTTGCACAGATGTTAACTATCAGATAGAGATAAAAAGGGTGTTTGCTGCCCTTTTAATCAATTGATGACCCTTTATAGCAATTCTTCTTGTAGACAGTGACCCTCTTTTATTGCTAGCTGCCAAAGACAATTTGCTGTATACTCATCTCCCCCTGCCTGGAGTCCCAGATTTACTGCTTTGCACCAATCTAAACAAAGTGGCAGATAGTAAAGCATTTCACCATTATTCAACCTAGAAACTAAAAACTTTTCCAGATAAAAGAAAACGGAGAGAGAGACTTAGGCCAATCTAATTCAAAGGCTCTTAGGAAATGTCATCGACCTCATGGAGCCTGTAGGAATCACAGTGCAAGAACTCAATGTCATGTTTTGCTCCAAGAAATACCATTAGAATAAAGGCTTCTGGGCCGGGCACGGTGGCTTATGCCTGTAGTCTCAGCACTTTGGGAGGCCAAGGCGGGCAGATCACCTGAGGTCGGGAGTTCGAGACCAGCCTTACCAACATGGAGAAACCCCATCTCTACTAAAAATACAAAATTAGCCAGGTATGGTGGTGCATGTCTGTAATCCCAGCTACTTGGGGCACTGAGGCAGGAGAATCGCTTGAAGTCAGGAGGCGGAGGTTGCGGTGAGCTGAGATCATGCCATTACACTCCAGCCTGGGCAACAAGAACAAAACTCCTTCTCAAACAAACAAAAACAAAAACAAAACAAAAAAAAGAGAGAGAAAAGGCTTCTATAAGTTGCCTCTATAACATATGGTAGAACAGTTATAAGGAGAGACAAATGAAGCAAGGCTACACATGATTTTTGCCCTTTATTTGAAGATTTTTCTTCACTGAGGTCTTATAGATAAGATTTTCTCTTTATAAACTTTGCATTTTGTAAAATATATTATTTGTCTATGAGCACAGAAAAAATTCATCCAGATAATCCAAGACCAAGGATATTTCTTAGATTAATGTCTTTTTCCATATGAGCATCAGCAGATGAGAATAAGACTCAATGTACATAAATACCACATGTCTGTAGAAAGGCATTTCCTGAACTAGAGACCCAAAGGACACACTTTCCAGGATATTAATGTCACAGAAAATGTTTGGTGCACCATTAAGTCACATTTACTGTAATAGAAGCTCCATGAGAAGAGGGACTTTGTCTTTTTTTACCACTGCAGCTCCAGCATCTAAAACAGGTCCTGACACATAGTAGGCACTCAAAATATTTATTATTAAATGAAATGTTGCCTTAAACTAGTTTAACCAGGTTTCTTTACTGCAGGACTTTCCAGAGGCTTATCATGCTAATATATGTAGTGAAGCTCCAAGAGGAGGTGCTGGCATAACTTATTTCTCAAACCTATTTGAACATGGGTCACCCCAGGACATATCTATTCACACCTAGTGGCACTGTGTTCCATAGAAGTTTGGGAAATGCTGAGTTAAATTAAAAGGACAGGTAAAAATATCTAAGGCAAAAGGGAGTACAGGTAGTTAATCCACAATTTAGGTTCTGTTACAACTTTTTGCTGACTTACATTCTTTGATCTTTGAATACAGGAAAAATGAAGAAGAGGATGGAGGAGAGAGCATGGGTGGGAGGAGAGAGAGGAAAAACAGAAAGGAAAGACAAAGAGAGAGACAGAGAGAAATGACCATTTGAGATGGAAGAAGTGGTACTCTGAATTGCAGGAAAAAATTCAGATTGTGCTGGGCTTTACTGGCAGATGATTGGCAGCTGGAAGCTTCTCGTGGAACCTAGTGATGATAATTGCCCACAGGCTGGATTTATCTTGTAAAGACTTGCTTGAAGCCTTATCTGCTCAATTGGCTGTGACCAGGAAAGAGGACACTGATGGTTAGATCTGTTCTCTTTTTTCAATATGGGTTCATCCACCCATCCTTTCTACCCTGGGACACACATTAGTGAATGGTCTGGATTCGTTACTACAGAAGAAATTAGGCACAGATGAAGAATAGGTAATACTGCAGATTTTGGAGACAAGCCATTGGGTTGATGGTGAGTATCCTGTGTGGTCTTGGACCTATTAACCTCTCTGTATTTCAGTTTCCTCCTCCAAAAAATGGAGATAATAATAATATTCACCTTATAAGGTCCTGAGTGTCAAATAAGGTGATACATATGCATTTATTACAGTGCCTTGCACATGGGAAGTGCTCAAATGATAATTATTGGTATCATTAGTAATAGTAATTAAATATAATATCTGGGTATTCTGTTAACTCATAACTTATATTTTAATTTATTTCTATGAACCTCATGTATAGCATTATGTAAGTAGATTTTGTAAGTTATTTCTTTTAATACAAAACACTTATTACAAATTCTACTTGCTTAGAAGAATTTGCTACATGGTTTTGAAGGTGGGTATCCTTTGAGGAAACAGCACCTCTTGCAAATAGAAATATTCCCCCTGACCTTACATTATTCGTTCCTCTCTCTAAAGAAAAGAAAATAATGCCTATCCTGGAAGAAAAATTTAGACTTGCATCTCAAGTGAGTTGCTTAATATCCCATCTCAATTTTACTTTTTGCCCCCTTTTACCTTGTGCAATATGTTCCAAAGCCAAAAGTCTCTAACTCCAATTCTCCAGGCTCTGTTCTACTGTATGAATAAAATGTAGCACAGCAGGAAAAAATGAGCCCTTTCTATACCTCATTTTCTAAAGCAGGGTGGGAGAAGGCGTCTCTCACCTGTTATGCACACCTTTGGCTCCTAGGTCATAATTACACCCGTCAGCTGGCCTCGCTCCATTTTGATGGCTCAGCCCACCTACCTGGAGGGGTTCTTTTAACTTAGGACTCTAGAAGGAAAATAAAAATGGTGATGAATGACTATGTACAAGGGTTGAATTATATTTAATTTAAAAAGGCCGGGCACGGTGGCTCACGGCTGTAATCCCAGCACATTGGGAGGCCGAGGTGGGCAGATCACCTGAGGTCAGCAGTTTGAGACCAGCCTGGCCAGCATGGTGAAACCCCCATCTCTACTAAAAATACAAAAATTAGCCAGGCTTGGTAGCAGGTGCCTGTAATCCCAGCTACTCGGGAAGCTGAGGCAAGAGAATCACTTGAACGCGGGAGGCAGAGGTTGCAGTGAGCTGAGATCATGCCATTTCACTCAAGCCTGGGCAACAAAGCAAAACAAAACAAAAACCACCCAAAAAACAGTTTAGGTCCAATTGTGTATTTAGTCCACAAATGCTGTATCTCAAGTACCTAGAGCAATGCCTGGCATAGAGTAGGCACTCAATATCTTTTTTGAATGACTAAATATTAAATCTAAAATTTAGTACCATTTTTAGGGTATAAAGAAGAAACCAAACAAAAATGAGCCCTAAGTTCCACACCCAGATAACCCCTACTGCCCCATATGAGTAATACATAAATAAGATTGGAAAAGTTGAACTAAACAGAAATTATTGAAGCAAAGCCTTCCATTTCCCTTTCTGCCCCTTATCCCGTCTTTAAAGGTAATCATTGAAAACAATTTATTCGATGGTGTTTCCCTCAAAGCAATTATTTGTGTAAGGGTATAGATGAATACACAAGGCCACATTATTAATATAATGGACAACAAACACAAAAGCAGAGGTTCTCAAGGTAAAGTCTGACAACCCACATGAAGCCCAGCTGCCTCTGAAACACCTGGTTTGTCTGTTAACAGTACAGACTGAAATAGACATTCTGATTTGGTTGGTCTGGGCATGCCCAGGAATCTGCATTTCATGAAGCATCTCAAATACGTATATTCTATAACTGTAAAGTTGAAGGATGTGGCTCATTAAGGATCTAATGAAGCTCAAGATGATTCATGTTTTGGCACCAGACCCCACTTGTTGTGGAATTGGTGGAACTCTTAGCCAACTGTTAACCAGCTCTTAGATGAAGCAACACATCTCTGCTGTGTGCAGCAGCTGACTTTATCAGCAAGCTTCCATCTTATCCAGTTATCTCAAAAGCCCCTTCCCGTTCCGTGTCTTCTATCGAACTAGTTGAACTTGTTTCTTCATTGTAACAGACATGGCTATTAACTGCAGATAGTCTTAGTCTTTCTCCCTTCAGCTGCTTGATTGATGTCTAGCTTCATGTTTCTAGCTGTAGCTGTGGCTACCCCTGTTCTTGATGGTTCTGCTGCATAGAATTTAAAGCTCTTCTTCCTTAGGGACCTCATTCTGAAAAATGTCTGCTGATTATGACCATAGCGATGTCTCTGCCCTTCCCTCTGTCCCTTTCACTCTTGATCAGGGGGAACTGTGCCCAAGTGTGGGCCTGCCTTTCTCTTTTTGATTCTCAGGTAGTGAGAGCTTTTATAAGCTATCTTGGATTTTTAGGCAGAAAAGGATCACATGTAGGTTTTGAGATTGTTGAAAAATTCTTCCCCATTCTGTAGATGCCATGAGTTCCATGCATTGTGTTATTAAATGTGGTCACAAAAGCAGGAACCCAGGCTTTTTGCCCTCTGCTCAACTCTTTGAGGGCAGTCTCTGCTTGGCCTCTTAGATATCAGGTAATGAACAAGATGGAAGGGGAAAGAGATGACTCTGCCAGCTGATGTTTCTAGACAGATCATCAACATAAAAGGGGATGGAGTTGGACACTGAATATCCTACCAAGGCAACCCATCCAGCAGTGGGATAAACATGACCAAAGAAGAGTGCCCTTTTCTCCAGGAAGATTTTGATGATATAAGCTGACTTATGTTGGAAAAGGACCACTCTGATTACTGTGTTAGGAATTGGAAGCAGGGAGACCAGTTGCAGGGTATTATGGTGAGAAACTGAGATTTGCCAGTTTCCTACCAGACTCACTAGAGATGACTGGCTCACACCAGGGTGGTAGCAGCAGGGGAATGAGAAACAGTTGGAGGCAACCCAGAAACTGCATGATTGCTTGAGGTACACAGCCACCTGAAATTCACAAGCCATCAGATTCACCCCATTCACGTTTCTGTTTCTATTTCACCTCAAAGGTCCTTAATCACAAGATCTCCTGAGATCTTCCTCTAACAAGCTGAACAATGTCTGGACGAGAGTAAAACATCTGGTACCCACAACTACCCAAGCAGTTTTGATCATTTGAATCCACAATTTCCAGCTTTTGGGCTGTGTTGGTGCAGGCCTGTGGTGTGGTACACTTGAGAAGCACTGTGCTAGGGCTGGAGGAGCTGGTTTCTCATCCTAGTCCTGCCCCTGACTGTCATGCACCTTGGATAGGGCCCTTCTCTGGCCCCACCCACCCTGTTACAAAATGAGGAACATGGAGGATGTGGTTTCCAAGGCTTCTTCCACCTCAGACAGGCTGAAGTTCTTAATTGACTGATCCCTGGCTCCTTGATGAGGATTACAGGAAGCTGTCTGGTTTTCTCTTTTCTCATTCATTTAAATTCTGAGTTTTAACATATGATCAACTTCCCTGAGAATCTGCATGTCAAGTTCAAGAGAGAGTGACTGCATTTAATGGGTGTCACTTTTGGAGCTGTTGCTCTGCTTTTTCTCAGAGAGCAGTCAACTCAGTTCCACTTGGAACATCACAGCCGCAAATTCCCTGGTTTGGAGAAAGCATTTTCCTTGCATGTTTCATCTGGTTCAGGCTCTGGAAGACTCAGGGGGTCTGTGAGCCTGCCTTAGGACATGCCTATTTACACTACTGGTTTCTCCTTGGACATGATTGGAAACAATCTCTAAAAGCTTTGGCCAGCTTCCTCTTTAGTTTTTGCACAGCATCCCACAAATGAATATTGTGCAGCTCTGTGGGATGCTAAGTGCCTCTTCCAGATCTGTGAGTGCCCAAGTCTGCCCAAAACCAATGTACATGGACTGGTGAGCTGAAGTGTCCAGGGGGTAAATATGAAGGAAGCTTTCCTTCTTGGCAGGCTTTTCTCATGAGGCATTTCTCAGGAGAGTTTTTCCTCTCTATTCAAGAGAGAAAGCTTGTAGTATTGTTTACACCAGAAAGCATCTTTGTAAATGTAGTCTGCAAATTGTGGAGGCCGATTTCCCCAGGGAGCAGAAGCCATAGCTGATGAGGCCACCATTAGCCAAAACCAAGGACCATGTCTGTTAAACAGTTCCAGGATGTTTTTGCAGTGGCAGTCTGGCCAACACTGACTGAAGAGTCAGAGGACCAGGAAAGTTTGGTGAATCAGGCTTCATAACATCTCCCTTTGGTGGTTCAGTGGTCAGACCTCCCCAGAGTTCAGAGGTTGCCCTTGCCACCCTGACTAGGAGCCCAGTTGCAGCTATTACACTTGCAACCCAATACCAGCTAACATTTAACGAGCACAACACTTTACCTTATATTACCTCACTTAGCCACTCCTGTCATTTTTCCACTTACAGATAAGGACACCAAGATTTATAGATGTAGCTATGTAAGTGGCAGAGCTTGGATGGTCTGAGACCCAATAGCCTGAGCTCTTACCAACTTAGCTGTATTGACACCCTCAGTCATGCATCACCCAGAGAAAGGCACCTAGTCCTCTGCTCTCCCTCATGGGCTCTTATTGCAGAGACAGGGCCCACAGACCACAATGAGGAATAAAGTCATGTGGAGCCAGTGATTAGGAAGGGGTCAAAAGAATGTCAAACCAAGTGTAAAGTTTGGAGGTAAAGGAAATTCTGTGTTTTCAAATATGTTTGCCTAATAGTTAGCAAATCTTTTTTTTTTTTTAATACTGGGAACATTAAACCATTTTTTTTTATTATACTTTAAGTTTTAGGGTACATGTGCACATTGTGCAGGTTAGTTACATATGTATACATGTGCCATGCTGGTGCACTGCACCCACTAACTCGTCATCTAGCATTAGGTATATCTCCCAATGCTATCCCTCCCCCCTCCCCCCACCCCACCACAGTCCCCAGAGTGTGATATTCCCCTTCCTGTGTCCAAAGACTTGGAACCAACCCAAATGTCCAACAATGATAGACTGGATTAAGAAAATGTGGCACATATACACCATGGAATACTATGCAGCCATAAAAAATGATGAGTTCATGTCCTTTGTAGGGACATGGATGAAATTGGAAATCATCATTCTCAGTAAACTATCGCAAGAACAAAAAACCAAACACCGCATATCCTCACTCATAGGTGGGAATTGAACAATGAGATCACATGGACATAGTTAGCAAATCTTTTAAGTTAAAAATTTTTCCCTTCTCTTTTAATTCCCCTGATTTTTATTTCTAATTTTGTGTATTATATTGTGTTTTATTTATTTTATTCAGGAGTAAGTAAGCCAGTGACTTACCAATTTTTTTCCCTAAAGAAATAGCTCTTGTCTTTGTTACTTCAATTCCTACTCTATTTTCTAATTTATTGTGTTCTATTTTTATTTTACTAATTAATTCTTTTTATTTTACTAATTCTTTTTTCTAGTTTAATTTTACTAATTAATTAATAAATTAATTTATTGCTTTCTATTTTTATGTTACTAATTCATTATTTTATTTTACTAATTCTTTTTTCTGTGATTCAGATTCATTTCACTTTATTTTTAATTTGTTTAATTTAGTGCTTAATTCATTCATTTTATTCTCATTTAATAATATAAGGTTGTACGATTATGAGTCTTTTTGCCTGCACACTTCTGACTGTATTACAATGGGTCCAATATGTACAGATTCCACTCTCCCTTATTCATTGAATAATCTGTGTTTATTGAGTCTTACGATGTACCAGACATTACACTAGTGGCTGGAGATATGGTCGCTAGAAATTCCTGCCTTCATGGGGCTAATTCAGGTGAGGAAAAGAAAATGATCAAGTCAATAAATAATGTCAGGCAATGATAGAGAGAAGAAGGAGAGTGATGAAGTGATAACTTGACATTTAAACAGAGATCTGGAAGAAGTGAGAAATATATATGAAGGAGAGGGATATCTCAGATAAAGGAGACAGCAGAGACAGCACATATAAATGATCTGGTGCAGGAACATGCTTGGTGTATTCTAAGATCCCCAGAGAGTACAGTGTGACTGGGGCAGAAAAGACTTAGAGGGAAGTGGTAGGTGGGATCTGGAGAAGTGTGCAGGAGCAAGGTCATTTGCAGGTTATGTGCAGCATTATAGGGCATGGCAAGGATTTTGGATTTTATTATAAGCGTGATAGGAAGATGGAGGATTTTGAGCATGTGACGGATGTGATCTAACTTATGTTGATAATCAGTTTATTAATGTATAAAGCTCACCCATTTTAAGTGTGCAATGTGATTAATTTGGACAAATACTGTTGTGTAAACACCAACATAATCAATATCAAGAACATTTGCAACACCTCAGAAAGTTTCCTTGTGCCCTTTATAGTAGATCCTCATTTCGACCCCCAGTCTTAGGGAATCATATATCTGTTTTAACTAACTATACGTTTATCTTTTTAGAATTTCATATAAATTAAGTCATACACAAAGGTCTTTTGTGTCTGACTTCTGTCACTTAGCATAATAATCTTGAGATTCATCTATGTCCTTTCCTCTATCAGCTGTTAGTTTTTGTTTTTCATTGCTGAGTAACATTTCATTGTATGGATATACCACAATTTGTTTATTCATCTATCAGTTGATGGTGATTTCAGGTTGTTGGCTATTATGAATCAAGCTGCTATGAACATTAATGTAAGAGGCTTTGTGTGTGTATATATATATATATATATATATATTTTACTTTCTCTTAGGGGTATATGCGGAATAGTAGTGGTGGGTCATATAGTAAGTATATAAGTTTTAAAAAACTGCTAAACTCTTTTCCAAAGTGTCTGTATTTTTCTGCATTCCTACCAGCTGTATGTGAGAATTCTAGTTGTTAACAGCTAACATTTACTACGTCTAAGTGTTAGAACTCCTAACGCTTAGTTAGGAGTCTTTCTAATTTTCGTCAACAGGGTATGTATTGGTATCTTATTTTGCATTTACTTTACATTTCCCTTGTGACTATGTTGAGCATGTTTTCATGCACTTATCTTACCACTTGTATATCATTTCTGGCAAAGTATCTGTTCAAATATTTTGCCCATTATTTTATATAGGTTGTTTGCTTTCTTATTATTATGCTGATTAATTTAAAAATTTTAAACTAATCTTACATTTTCATGATAAATCTCACTTGGACATGATGAATTGTTCTCTTTATATGTTGGTGTATTTGATTTGATAAGATTTAGTAAAGGATTTATATATTTGTTTATGAGAAATATTGATCTGTGGGGCTTTTTTGAGTAATTTCTTTGACAGGTTTTGTTTTCAGGTAACATTGACTTCATAAAATAATCTGAAAAGCATTACCCCTTTCTTCTATTTTCTGATAGAGTTTGTGAAGAATTGGGTTATTTTCTACCTTAAATATTTGATAGAATTATCAGTACATCTAATAGGTATAGAGCTATTTAGATTATCTATTTCTTCTTGAATGAGCTTTTTTTGTTTGTTTTCCTTCCAAGGAATTTTAAAATTTCACCTAAGCTGTAGAATTTATTGGTATAAAGTTGTTTCTAAAATTCTCTTATGATTCCTTGTAATGTTTATAGAATGTGTATATTATTTTCTTATCTATTCCTGTTTTAGATTTATTTTGTCTTCTCTCTTATTTTTTGATTATTTGGCTAAAGTTTAATTGGCCTTTTCAAAGAGTGAGCATTTGATTATCTTTTTCTCTATTTTTTTTCGGTATGAGGTCATTGGTTTTTACTGTGATCTTTGTTATTTCCTTTATTCTACTTACTTTAGGTTTGATTTGTTCTTCTTTTTCTAGTTTCTTAAGCTAGAAGCTTAGATTATTGATTTAGATTATCCTTATTTTCTAACTTTTGCGTTGTAATGCTATACATTTTGCTCTAAGGGCTACTTTAGCTGTATCCCACACATTTTTTGTATATTGGATGTAAAAATTTGTTTGTTTCAAAATACGCTGTATTGACTCAAAAGGAAGATTGATGTCTTTTTCAATATGGCCAATTAAAAAAATCAGGGGTATTTGAAAAATTATCCTGTGTGTCATCTAGAAGCAATGTAATTAATGATCATACAAATCACCCATTGCTTTTGTAAGCCCAAAAGTTGTAGGCAAAACTTTCTGGTAAATTATATAGTTTATACTCCATGGCTACAACTGAAAGCTAGTACTTTGAATTAGAATAATCTTTTAAACATAATAATGCCAGCAATAGATAGGAAATTTCTGAAACATGAGCATATGTCACACATAAAGGTGGTAAAATGTGACATTGGTAGACACAAGAAAGGCTTAACATTTAGCAAACACCTACTATGTGCCAGGTCTGGGCCAGGATTATACTGATCTCATTTAGTCACTTTAGTAATTCTAGGTAGGTATTTAGACATGAGGAAATTGAAGCTTAGAGGATAGAAACTACTTTTCTAAGATTATATATGATTCAATCTCAGGGTGGTCTAATTTCAGATACTACTCTTTTTAATACTTACGTGGAAATACAGAGTCAAGAGAAGAAAATAGAGCAATAACACGTATCATAAGTAAAAAAATTCATTATTATAAATTATAAACTTATATAGACATTTTGTATATATAAAAGTACTTGATATGTCAGAAGCACTGGTTATTTAGGCAAAATATTTTATCTCAAATTTTTTCTTCTAAGATTAACTTATCTTACATAGAGGCAGGAATTCTATTCTTTTTTCCCATTCTAGGTAAATTCTTCTGAAAAGTACTCAAATAATATAAAATAGTGATCTTCCAAGATAGAGGAGGACCAATTTTTTTTAGGGAAAGGAGTAAGAAAAGATAACATTGAAAATTTTAATATTTAAATAAACCAAGTATTATACCCATTCTAATTATTGGCTATGCGATATTGGACATGTTAGTAGAACCCTATGAATTCCAGTTTTATCATTTGAAAGTTAAGCATTTCTTGAGTAACTTTATATGCCAATATCCTGAAGTAGCACACAGTATAGCTCTTCACAGGTTAGTAGAAAGGTCTTTGTTAAAAGGCTCTTACCCTAACCATTGCTTTGTTACAAACGGATTATATTCTGCTCCTAGTACGTGACTTATTCTTTCCCTTTGTGCCATTATTTTTATCCTGTATGCACTTAGAGAAAGCAGAATAACGTGAACCATCTAACACTTTTAAAAGAGAGGTTTTTTTTTTTTTTCATTGCAACCACAAATATATGGATTGCCAGAGAAATGCCTCATTTGACAGTTGGAAGTCAGGTACTAGCTTTGCCTGGGAGGCTATCAGAGGCTCCTCAATTGCTTCTCCTTCTGTCCCAGTTGCATATTTATCTCAGGGATAGCACCCAGCTTCTAAGAAAAGGGAATTACGAGGTGGAACTTTGGGGGTTCCGTGACATATGGGATTTACTTTCTCTGGGTGAAGTAACAGGGCAGTGAAACCAACATGAGAGTGCAAACTCTCAGAAGACAATTTTACCACCCATATATCTATTGATTCATTTAGCCTTTATTAAATAAATATTTACTGAATGACTACTATGTACAAAGAACTGTGCTAAGTGATAGGAATCAGCAGGTGACAAAACAGAAGAAACACCTGTCTGCATGAAGCTTTTATTCTAGTAGTTTACAATAAATAAAAGATATTGGGGGGCTAAATTTAAGCTAGGCATTATTCAAGTACTTTAGGCATATTACCTCACTATTCTCATGGAAACCCCCTAAGGTCAGTACTACTGATGTCTCCATTTTACAAAGAAAACCGAGGGCAAGAAAAGTGAAGTAACATACTCAAGATCAGCAAGCTAGAAAGAGGCAGAGACAGGCCAGGCGCGGTGGCTCACGCCTGTAATCCCAGCACTTTGGGAGGCCGAGGCAGGTGGATCATGAGGTCAAGAGATCCAGACCATCCTGGCCAACATGCTGAAACCCCGTCTCTACTAAAACACACACACACACACACACACACACACACACACACACACACAATTAGCCGGGCGTGGTGGCAGGCGCCGGTAGTCCCAGCTACTCCGGAGGCTGAGGCAGGAGAATGGCGTGAACCCGGGAGGCAGAGCTTGCAGTGAGCCGAGATCACACCTTTGCACTCCAGCCTGGGCGACAGAGCGAGATTCCGTCTCAAAAAAAAAAAAAAAGCAAAAAAAAAAAAAAAAAAGAGGCAGAGACAAAAATCTCACTATCTAGCAGAAGAGATAACGTGAATTGACATTTATAACATGGATAGAAATTGTGGAAGGTGAATAGAGATCATATCTAATTGAAGATTCTGGGGAGATTTTCATGAAAGAAGTGACATTTGATTTGGGGTTAGGCAGGTGGAAATGAAGAAAGAAGAAGTAAGGGAAAAGATGAGTAAAGGTGCAGAAATTTGAAAGCACAGAATCCAGTCAGTTTGACTGAAGCTGAGGGTACACAAAGGGATTAGTGGTAATTAAGGTTATAGAAATGACTGAAGCTGCAAAACTCCTCAACAAAATGTTGGCAAATTATGATCAATAGTGTAGTGGAGATACTACCACCAGCTTACTACAGGAGCCTACACTTTAATCATTTGAACATTTAATATATAATTGTATCAGATTTCCAAAACACATTTAATGAAAGTTCACAACCATTTTAGACTAAAAAAAAAGAAAAAGAATAAAGACCTATTAGTAATGAAGTATACAGTGATACATTCATGTAAAACATCTACCCTAAACAAACATCAAATGGACAGAGAAGTACGACAACACAGGTTTCTCATTTTCTCAATATTTTTCTGCTTAGATATGCCTGAAAGATACAATAAGCTTTATTGATAGAGGATCATTATGCAATGATTCTAAACTGTGAGTGACACAGCTTGGAGAACAGCTTATCAAGATCTCATGGAGAGAGGAGTATGATAACTCTGTTTTCATGTCCCTAACCCCAAAGTTTTTTATGCAGCCTCCCAAAGGTTATGAGCCCTTGGTTGAGAAACACTTCAATTACCCCAATAAATAAGGAATACTAAAATAATGCTCACTATCATCACTCTTATTCCATTTGTTTGAAAAGTTCTAACATGCAGCAATAAAAGAAAAATAAGTATAAATATTAGTAAAGAATAAAGATTCTTGGAAAACTCATGAACTAAAAATGAAAAATACCACTCAAATTAATACAAAGATCTTCAACAGAAGGTCAGTTATAATATGAGAAAATAGATTTCTTAGGTACCAGAACAAAGTGTAGTGAAAAGAGCTACCATTCACAAGAGTAAGAAAAACTTTAAAAGACCAGAAGTGATATTAAGAATAATTTTGCAGGCCTTATATGTGAATGAAACCACAAAACTTTACTAAAGAGAATAAAAGAAGCTCTGAATAAATGGAACAGCATTATGTTCTTAGATAGGAAGATTCAATAGGAAAAGAGCCAACTTTTTAAAAATTAATCTATAAGTTTAACTAGCTCAAATTCAAATACGAAAGAGAGGGCTCTGTTTCTGAAACTTGACCAAATTATTTCACAGTTCACCTGGAAGAATGTATATAGATGGATACCAGGAAAATTTTGAAAAATTTGAATGACAAAGGTAAACTTTCATTTCCAAACATTAATAAGTATAATATCATAATAGTTTCAATGGTTTGGTTCTTATTCCATGATAAGAATGGCCACATAGAATCTCAGAAATGTACCCAAGTAAGTAGTAAAACTTAGTATATGATAAACATGATTTTTCTAATCACTGAGTAATTAGATGGATTTTTCAATAAATAGTACAGGGTTAAATGTTGGGATATCTGCCAATTTTTTTGAGAAAAAAATGTCAGGGTTCCATTGGATATTGTGTTTTTTTCTGACTCACACCATTTCTTGATCTAAATATCTGACAAGGCATGTGTGGTGTTATGATATATGTTGTTTTTCATTCATGGTGCCTGGCTCATAACTCCCATAGCCCTTGTTATAGTCTTTTGTTATGATGTTGGGTGTGTTAGGCCCCTGACTCTCTCCTGCCCTCCTTTCACTCTCAAGTTCCCCTGCCTTTCTGATTGTCCATGAGAGGGTCCCACCCTATACCCTGGGGGAAGGAATGTTGATGTGATGAAACCTCTATTAAAATCCAAGAGGAAGGGTTTGGTGAGCTTCTGAATAGCTAAACACATGGAGGTTCTTGGAGGGTGGCATGCCCAGGTAGGGCATGGAAGCTCTATGCCCCTTCCCCTATACCTAGCCCTAGACATCTCTTCATCTGTATCCTTTGCAATATCCTTTGTAATAAACTGGTAAACAAAAGTGTTTCCTGAGTTCTGTGAGCTGCTCCAGCAAATTAATCCAACCCAAAGAGAAAGTTGTGGGAGCACCAACTTGAAGCTGGTTGGTCAGAAGTTCCAGAGGCCCAGACTGGCAACTGTTATGTGTGTGTGGGTGGAGGGGCAACTGTGGGGACTGAACCCTCAATCTGTGGGATCTGGAACTATCTCCGGGTAGACAGTGTCAGAACTGAATTGGATGATACCTGGCTGGTGTCCGCTGCTTGGTGATGGGGAGAGATGACCACATATTTAATCACATTTAATCACAGATGTTTTCTTCTGTGTCGATGATGTGTGATGAGGTGTGAAAACAGAGGAAAAACATGGTTTGAGGAGAGTTTTCCCTACACAGCATGAAACTGCTGATTTGCTTTGATGAGGACTGAGGCAAAGAACTAAGTCTATGGAAAGGGTCTGTTGGTAGCAGCAGAGGGGACCCACTGAGAAAACCAAACTTATTCTTTCTGGATGACCTGTCATTTTTATCCTAGTTTTATGAATGATGCTGCTGAATGGCACTGGTACCCTGACTGATGTTGCCTGTATTCGTGGTTTCCAAATGCTGGTGTTGGCTATGAGAGAATGTTTACTCTGTGGCAAAATGGAAAAGTTAGGACAAATAGTGTTTGTCATAATGCAAATCTTATCCAATATAAAAAATTATCATTTTTCAAGATGTGAGTAGATGTTTCTCCAAGATATACAAATGGCCAATAGGTATTTGAAAAATGCTCAACATCATGAATCATCAAGGAAATTCAAATTAAAACCACAGTGAGATATCACCTCACATCTGTTAGAATGGCTGTTACCAAAAAGAGGAAATGTAACAAGTGTTGGTGAGGCTATGGAGAAAAGTGAACCCTGGTGGGCTGTTGATGGGGATGTAAATTAGTACAGCTATTATGGAAAACAGTACAGAGGTTCCTCAGAAAATTAAAAACAGAATCATCAGATGATCCAGCAATCCCACTACTGGGTATATATCCAAAGGATATGAAATCAGTATTTTGAAGAGATATCTTCACTTCCATGTCCATTGCAGCATTATTCACTATAGCCAAGAGATAGAATCAACCTAAGTGTCCATCAATGGATGAATGAATTTTTAAAATGTCGTATATGTACACAATGGAATGCTATTCAGCTTTTAGAAGAAGTAAATACTATCCTTTCTGACAACATGAACGAACCTTAAGGACATTATGTGATGTGAAATAAGCTAGGCACAGAAAATAAATACCACATTGATCTCTTATGTGGAATCTAAAAAAGATGAACTCATAGAAAAAGTAGATGGTGATTATCAGAGACTGAGGAGTGGGAAGATTGGAGAGATGTTGGTCAAAGAACACAAAATTTCAGTTAGACAGGATCAATACACTCAAGAGATCTATGTACAATATGTGTGAATATACATCACGGTGACTATAGTTAATAATAATATATTGTATACTTTAAAATCACTGTAAGAGTAGATTTTACATGTTCTCACCACAAAAAGATAAGGATGTGAGGTGCATATGTTAAATAGCTTGATTTAGCCATTCCACAATGTATGTATATATCAAAATATCATGTTGTACACTATAAATACATACAAATTTTACTTGTCAATTACAAAAATTAAAAAATTATTCTTTTTTTGAAATTGTATTCATCTTAGAGATTGGTGATAAAAATATTCTTCTGTGAAATGATAGATTAGTATTTGGTGGCTTTTCTTTATTATTAAATATGAATGTATGTACTAAGATAAAAAATTAAAAAGTTGAAAACCTGGCATCAGTTCCTCCAACCTAATTGTTTTTTATTTTAGTGGCACACATATACTTACAGCTCCCAAGTCTATGTAACACAATGCAGTACTAGTTATACTGAGTTTGTATGGATCAGAGAATGAAGTCATCTTAGAATTTTTTAGATTTTAGCCACTAAGCACAATCTCTCTGCTATGTCATCTCTTCAGCAGCTCCTACAAAGGACATCCCATTACTTATTGAATAGGAGGCTCATTACTTCTCACAACACATCCTCTGCCATTTGTAGACATTTCTACTTCGGAAATTTTCCTGTGGGACAGCAAAAAACGTGACTTCTTTCTTTCCCAAAAGACAGCCCTTCACTATTTAAAAGCAACAGCCATATCCTGCCAAGTCTCATCTTCTCTATGTAATATCACATCCTCTCTCATTTCCTTCTACCAGTTACCATCTGCCGGTGCCAGTGCCTGTGGATCAAACACCAACAACCTTGGATCATTTGGCAATCACATCATATAGTGTTGCCTATCAAGCTTATAGTTAACTAAAACAGCTTAAGCTTATTTTTTTCCTCACAGCGACTATTTACCTAGGCATTCCCCACGTCTACCTATGAGTAGTTGACTTTTTGAATCTTTTGAAAACTTCACATTTATCCCTGTCAGTTGATACTGACCTATATTTCATTCAGTCATCTGGCTACCCTCCCAACTTTTTGTCATCCACATATCTTGATGAACATGTTGTCTGTGTGTTTAAGATACTGAAAAAAATATTAAATAGATTAGGGCCGAGGACAGAGCCCTATTGCTAAGAATGACCACAAAATTCAATGTCCGTTTAAATGGTGGTCCCAAGCACAAATACTCTGTTCTGTTATCTTCATTTACTGGTACAGAACAAAAGTCAACGGCCATAGCATTCAGCTAGAGATTTTTATCTGATAGTCATTATCACTATCAATAAAGATGTTTAACCAGCTACTGAGCAAATTCCCACTGTTTCTAGATTGCAGACATACCACAATATACTTTGTCACACACCTGACTGAAAATAAGCTAGACTTGTTCTATTGATAACTCAATTAAAAAAAAAAACATGAAATTTATTTGATAAGAGTTGTCTTTGTGGGACCTGGCCATTGTTGCTTATTTTCTCAGCTTTCAAAACCATTGATTTAATAATCAATTATTGCTTTACTAGTGGTTGATTAACTAGCTTCTAGTTTCTAAATCTGCCTTCTGCCTTTTTATAAAACCAGCACAACATCATTTGTGCATGCATGTATTTACTCAACAAATATTTATTGTGTGCCTGTTATATGTCACGTACTGTTCTTGGCAATACAATACAAGTGTTATCATTGTCTTCATTCATCTTATCGTTAAGCACCTTTCATTTTTATTTTTTTTTTATGATTTCTTGAAAAACACTGACAGGAAGTAGTTCCATCCACATATTCTCCAAGGCTTGGAGGCTTTGTATCACTGGCTCTGGTTGGCAGCTTTGATTCTTCTGGCATCATAGCCTTATGGTTTCTTTCCTCCACCTTCTATCTCTTTTCATCCTTTCTTCTTTCTCTCTCATTTTCTTTTCCCCATACTTTCTTTTCTTCCTTAACCCCTTTCAGGCTTGGAGACTCCCTTCCCAATATCTGGGAACAGGGCTAATCAGTTGGCGTTGCTAGAGTTGGCAAGGGATCTCTGAGGATTGCACACTTGCTGGAAATGGGGATGAAGTGGGACTAGGATTAAATATTGGAAGTCTCAGGCACCATCTATTATTTATTTATTGTTCAATTGGTCAAAAAGGGATAGGAAAATGGAATGAAAACTGTCTTGTAAATGGATAGGACCAAAGCTGATGAAGCCAGAATAATCTCTCTCCATTAATTCTTAGCATAGTTAGCCATTTCCCTTGGTTCTCTGCAACTCACACTCTTTAAATAACAATTAATAGGATAAACATTTCCCTCCCTGTAGTGGTGTGCAGTAAAGGATAATAGTAATTTATAATACTTGCATCCAAGCCATTAACTCTCCAGGATTTCCAGCATGAAATGGCAATTATTATTTAAGTGGGAACTCTCAGGGCACTGGTGCAAGAGGTGGGTGTTTCATCCTCACATGCCTTAGCTGAGATGAATTTTTGTTTGTTCCATATCCTCAGCCTGGCACACTGAACAGACTGTGTTAGGGCTGACTCTACGTTTAGCTCTGGTTGCTTCATGATGACAGTCACATGCTTACAGTGAAGATTTTGGAATGAATGGGTCGTTGTGTCTGGATTTCACCAATGTTTGCAATTTTCTGAAAAGGAAAAGCATGCTGCTTTTCTAGAATGTTTTTTGTTTTTTGGTTTTACTCCCAAATCCTTAACTTTCCCACTGGAGTAGAATCCATATCTGCGGGCTTGTGCTGTACATACACATATACACCCCAGAGCTGTTGGGCCTGGAGAATACCATTAATAATGCAGCCAAGTCTGGGTGCTTTTTAAAAGTCTATTTCTTGCTTATAAATAAGTGGTAATTTGTTTAAAACATCATTACACACAGTGTTCAGTCAGATCCCATGCATTCGATTATTTTAAATAAATGGACCATAAATGGAACAAGTTCTTTCTAATTTACAAATGATAGGAAACATTTTTCAAGAAAAAAAAAGGAAAAAGGAAAAAATTTGTTCTTAACTAGATCTCATTAATGTAGAACTGTTCAATGACCTGTAAAGATTAAAGAATTAGTGAATTGGTGGAATTATCAGAATGAAAAATCTGTATAATTTTTGTTTCAATTTGAAAATCTACTAAACAGTCTAGCGACTTTAGTCTCGGATATTACTTTTTAATATCAGTTCCTACAAATGCATTGGCATCAGGGTTGCAAATGAGCTGAATGAAAAGCAACAAATAGTGTGTTTAAATTCACGGCACAACAGAGGAGCTAAGTGGGAAGGAGGGATGCCATGGGGGGAGGGATGGGTTATTTTTTTCCCAATAAAACAACTGAAGACATTTAATTAAGTGACCACTCTGCTAAGTGGAGCAAAAATTAATATAAATGCATTTATGTCCAAGCAATGGTGCATAATTAAGAAGTCGGCTTCAAATAGAGAACCAGAGATGGAGCTATTTAACCAACATTGCCAGAACAATTTCTTCCTAAAATTGTTCTGGTGATCATAAACAGGAAGAAAGATAGCAGGAGGGGAGTGAAGAAAGTCTTGCACATTGAATAGGACTCAGAAGATGAGGCCATCCCCACTGATAAGAGTCTGTTCATAAGGGAAGGGTGGCTTAAGGGTCCCCTTCTCCTCCTTCCTGGATCTGCCCACTCCAACCTCCACCTCATTGTCACTCATGCCTATCTGCAAGGGAGGTCTCTCTTTTGAACTCCCCTCACCAGTCCCTGTCTGCTTTGGGCCAATTTAAACATAATTTTTAAATCTTTTCTGCTGGATGATAATCCTTTCAAAGTAATAAATTATCTCTAAGGTCTCTCAGTGACCATCATCATACTAAGATCAGGGTAAAAGCACAATGAATGTTTTTAATCTGGGATTCCAGGCATCCCCAAAGACTTGGTGGAGGCAGTTTGTGCTAGGGCTCTAGCTGACTGCCTAGAAAAAAAAGGCAGTCAGCTCTGTTGGATGCCTTTCACCTCTTCTTTTTTTTCACTGGCCTAAATATCTTCTATTGCTTCTTGATCTACTCACCTCTCCCTCCACTCCACTCTGTTCTCTGGGGGTCTGGCCCATCGAAACTGCAACAGCTCCCTTGCTTCTGGAGGCAGGAATGAAGCAAGAGGAGAGTGGGGTCAGAGATTTATTCCCTGATCCTCCCTTCTGGATGGAGGTAGGTGGGCTGCTTTCCATTCCTCTTCTCAAAAGACTGTCTCCATGGAGCCATGCTTTTTGATTAATCACTCCCTTCCCTTTTCTCTTATGGCCTAGAGATGATAGTGGCTCTTAGCTGTTATCAGGTCTAGAGTACTGCACTAGCCCTTTTCCTTAAACTCTGCCCACACCCTTAAAAAGAGTTCTTTTGTTAAATCCTCCTTTAGTTACCAGTTGCAATGTGCTGTCCCTTTGCTTCTAGGTCCCTGACTGATGCCACTCTTTCCAGGTCATGCCCTTTGGTCATTTTTCTCCAGCTTTACAAACCATGACTATGCTTAATAAGGACAGTGCCTGAATCCTGAATGCACAGGTCTCCTGGGAAGGCACATTGGGTCTCATGGGAACAGTCGAATGGGCCCACAAGTCACTTGGGCTTGTCCATTTTGGAACAATAAAAACATGTTAACTAATAGCATGGAGAGACAGAAGCTTCCACGTCTTGTCTTCAGTGGAGACAGGCACACTCTGAGTCTTTGGAGTTGTGAGGCTGGAACACAGGTGCCTGAGTTTGGGGACCTAATCAGCTGGTGGGCTAATTCAAGTAGGACAAGTGGTAATAACTCACATCTCAGTGACTCTACAAAGTACTTTCATTAGCATTGTTTTCTCACAATTGCTCAGTGAATTATCTAGTGCAATTATTCTCAACTGCAGTGACTTTTTCCCCAAGGGAACAAATGGCCATGTCCATAGACATTTTTTATTGCCCCAATCTGAGGGGTATGCTGCTGGCATCCAGAGGGTAGAGGCCAAGGATGATGCCAAACATCCTACAACGCATCGAGAAATTCCCTACAATAACAAATTATCTGGCTCCAAATATAAATAAAGCAAAGGTTGAGAAATCCCAAACAGTGTTTTGTTTCTGCTTGAGGGATCAGAAGAAACCTGTGAGAGTATCTTTTGGAATTGATCTGTTAGATTCAGTGATTCAGAGTATTCTGGGTGAAAATTCCTCTAAGGGAGACCAAAATTAGTGTAGCCAGAGCAGGAGGCCAAGGAAGTGGCCCTGAGCATCGGACCTCAGAGATGAGGCCCCTGAGCACCAAATGTCAATGCTACCAGAGCCACATCGGTGTGGGGGCCGAAACTTAGAGCTCATGCAAAAACCTGATATCCTGTTTTTACCACACTCCTTGGCCTCTGTGCCCTATCACCCTCAATTTTGTATTTATGTATGTATGTATGTATTTAAGATGAGAGTATTTGGATTTGAGAAGGAGAAAGGAGGCTTCCTGACATGTAGGCTTTAGGTCTGCTTCTTGAGGCCAACTGCCATTTACACTCTGGACACATGGAATGGGAGTGTCTTGCTGAACATTTCATATATCCTTTCTCATGGGGATTCTGAAGCAGGATTAGTCTCCTGTTGTGGTGTTTCTGGAAATGTAGATACTGTGCACATAGTCCCCAGATGACAATGATTCTCTGCATCTTCATCACATTACTTGTCCATTGTGAAAGACAAAACTAAATCTGAGACAATTTAACCAAGGCTGTTTATTCTTAAACTTGCAGCGAGGAAATTCATTTATGGTCACTTTCATTTCAGCATAGAATTAGTGTTAGAAAGAAAAGCAAGACTTACAGAGTTTAAAAAAAAAAAAGACTGAGGTGGACTCTGATTGTCAAGCATTCTATTAAAATAGGATTTTTGGAAGCAGAGAAGACCTTTTAACTGGTCTTCCGGTAGATTTAATAGGTTGAAAAAACAATCTGGGGACCTTTCAAAACAGGAAGTATTATTCAGTGTTAGCAGTGGGAGATTTTCTGTAGATGGCCATTTTCTGGAACAAGTTGGGGATTGACAAGTGTTTCTTTATGGCCATACTATCAATAATGGTTCTTATGGGGGAGAGGGTTGCCATGGAAGACAGTTTCTTACTTTCATGCGAGTCCGTGTGAAGAGACCACCAAACAGGCTTTGTGTGAGCAACATGGTTGTTTATTTCACCTGGGTGCAGGTGGGCTGAGTCTGAAAAGAGAGTCAGCTAAGGGAGATAGGGGTAGGGCCGTTTTATAGAATGTGGGTAGGTAAAGGAAAATTACAGTCAAAGGGGGGGTTATTCTCTGGCGGGCAGAGTGTGGGTCACAAGGTACTCAGTGGGGGAGCTTTTGAGCCAGGATGAGCCAGGAGAAGGAATTTCACCAGACAGTGTTATCAGTTAAGGCAGGAACAGGCCATTTTCACTTCTTTTGTGGTGGAATGTCATCAGTTAAGGCAGGAACCGGCGATCTGGATGTGTACGTGCAGGTCACAGGGATTATGATGGCTTAGCTTGGGCTCAGAGGCCTGACACTTACCACGTAGGTGGGTCTGACAGCTCCCTTGGGAATCTTGAAGCCAGGTTTTCTCCCTTTAACACATGGAAGCTATTTGCGCTTCTAGAAGATGCTGGCTAGCTTCTGGCTTGGTATATCTCCCATTCTTACCTCTGCCTGTGGAAAGGGCCTGTTTTCTCAATTGAAAATGGTTTATTCTTCCATTGATGGCTCAGATGGTGCTGTAAGGAGTTATATAGGTCATGATTAAAATAACTTAAACCATCTTGTAAATGAAGATTGTTTGTGGGAGGTTAGGTGATTTGGGGAATCTATCAAAGGGCGATTTGTAAGGCAGGTATGGCAGAACCAAGGAATGTAGAGAGAGCAGTTCAGATGCTCATCCACAAAGTTCAAGGTACATTTTAAAAAACACTGTAGGAACCAGCAAATACAAGAGTTGAAAGAGTGAGTATTGAAGTCAGAAACATTTGGATTCAGATTTCTGTAACTCATTACTTTAGTGACCTTTGGCAAGTTTTGTAACCTTTTGGAGCCTCATTTTTTAAATCTAAAGAATAAGGATGGTAGTAATGCCTATTTCTTAATGTTGTAAGGAATACCATACTGTCTGCCCAGAGTGTGTTTAGTGTAATGGTGGCTGTAACAATTATTACTGATGGGCAGGGAGGAAGCTGGGCAGCCAAGGGCCTGAAGTAACTATGAGTCCAAATATCCCATGAAATGAGAGTAAGAAGAACATGAGAGAGCCAGAGGATTGGGATAAAAAAAAATTGGGTTTTGCTAATTTGAGGGTTTTGAGGAGTGGGACCAGTAACAGACCATATATTGCAGCAATATGAGTGGTTAACATGAAGGGAGTGGAGATAAGGCTCAGTGAAGACTAAAGGCAGCTAAGAAGGACAAGAGGCTGTGAAGTTATGGCTTTGCCTGGGAAATCCACATGGATATTGGGGCCACTTATGTGATCCAGGAAACAAAGCAATTGATGGTAATGACAAGGAGGGACAGAAATCTAGTCTGATGGCATAAGCTCCAGTGCATGAAGGGTTTTGCATGGAGGTTACAGAACTATAATCTGCTATTCTGTTTTTACCATACGCCTTGGCCTCTGTGCAAAACCCTTCATATAGTTTAGTAGTGTTGATGAGAAGCTGGAGGAATGCTTAAACTACCTCCTGGCCCCACAGGTATGTGGGGTGGAAGAAAGACAGAACTTAATTGCCAAAGTTTATAGGGAAGTGGTATTTTTCAAGGGAAGACCAAGTTTCAGTTAATATTAATACTTGCTACCACTTTGTGTTTGTGTGTGCATGTGTGCATGCCTACTGCATACTAGAAAGTTTATAGAAACTGCACTACAGTCAAGAGGTGGGTGCTTATATTTTCATTTTATACAAACGTGAAGAACAAGAATCAGAAAAGTTAGAAGCCTCATCCTAAATCACACAATTAAATAAAAGACTAGGGATTGGAACATGAGACCATCCAACTGACAAGCCCACCCACACTTTTTCCACTCAAGTAGCTTATTTGCTCATTGGGCAAAGAGAAGAGAATTTTGAGAAGAGTGTGAAGATGTTTGGTTTTGTTAACCAGGTAATAGAAGTTTCAAATACACAGAAGAAAGGGGTAAAAGAGGAGGAAGACATTGGGAAATCTAGAAAATAGAGAACAACCAAAGATGCCTTGGGCTGGCCTTGGCAGAAGAATCAGTCATTAAAGATGCTGGGGAGGAGAAGAGTAACCAAGGGTCACAAGGAGGCAATGGGTGGATGGGACTGATTTTGCCTTAGGATCTCAAATTTGCTAGAGTCGTTTTGACATCATAGAAACTCAACCTTTTCAATAGTGAAGATGATGCTTTTGGGGAATTTCCTCAGTGTATCCCTGGCATCTGCCTGTCCCTGGAGAACTGTCAAGTAACTATGCCCAGGAGATCAAAGAAGAGGCGGGGTCAAGTACTTGGAATGCATAGACCTGGAGGTTGGCATGGCAGACGGTGGCAGTGGAGGAGTTGTCCGCAGATGCATGGCTTCCTCCAAGCACGCAAGGGCTTCCAGCATTCTTTGAAATCAGTCAGCGGTCTGCCTGTAATAATTGATGTGCCTAATCAGGGACTGGAGTCCAATGCCAATTGTTTCTTTTACTTTTTAATGGAATCGAACTCCATACCCGAGCTTAGAAAAATCAAAGCACTTCTGGAAGATATTTATTAGCGGCCAAATTATAAAAACACATAGCAAACCTTTAGTTTGCATTACAAGTGTTAATATATGCAGAGCCCCGTGAATAGCTCATCTTTCTGCCTCTCTTGTATCTTAAATTTTTCATTACAAATTTCCAGGGCTTCAAAGTAGAATCTCACAGCCGGCGCCTCTTTTCTCCCTTGCATGACAAAGAGCTGTCAAAAACGGTTCCTGGGCTGGCTAGTTTCTTCCCCTTTTTTCTCTCATCTAAATGTCAAACAACTTAGCTTAAATAAAGCCCAGCATTCTTCGTCTGGTGCTTCTCAAAAGAAAAACACCACCACAGAAGGCATCTACAAAGGCCCTAATTAATGTTTCTCATTGATTTGGTTTTAGTGTGATGTATTTTATTAAAAAAATATGAATCCAGAAGGCACTCTCATTAAAATCATTAGCGGCTCAACATTGGCTGCAAACAGCCTGGTGCATGGTAGGGCTTAAGAGCCCAGACTCATACAAACACACTGACACAGGACTCACACGTGCACTTGTACATACATACGACATGCTTTCCAGATCATGTATAATGCACCTGGGTGTGTACACATGCAGATTCATGTGCAAGATACACACAAAATATCTGCATGCACATGCATACATTAATTACTGATGCACAGGTATACATACGTGTGTCTCACAATTCACAGTGTGTATGTGCAAGCACAGCATACATACATCTGATTATACATACATGCACAGAATATACACTGTAGCATATGCTCACACATGCACATCCATACATGCACACTTAAACCTGTGAGCATGGCTGCTGACCATAAGCCAATGAACATCCACGTAATAGAGGACGAAGGGAAGAGAACTAGCTCATGTTTCTTAGAATTATGTCATGGAAGAGATTAAGGAATATCAAGGCCAGTGGTTTTTCACATCACTACTTTCTCTCTTATTATTATTACTTTTTCATTTGGCCTCCTAATACCATGATCCAAAGCTATTGGGACATATCAGGGATATGCACCTGTCCTCCTGCTGGGACTTGAGTTTTCTTTGGATGGGCTGAAATATTTTCTGGGGCTCTCTCTTCTGATTGGTCTCTTTGCTCCTCATTATGGGGATAGAAAAAAAGAAAAGAGGGATTATAGATCTTGATAGTGCAGGGAGAAGAACTCCATGATCTGAAACTACTGCAGTTGAGATTTAGGCTTTTTAGATGGCAGCTACTGCCCAGGGTGGTTTTGGCGTTGATGAAAGCCCTACTGCTTCCTAGACACTTGTTCCTATCCCTCACATTTTGTTTCCTTTCCATAAATTAGATTTTGGCTAAACAAACCCTGTCTTCTTCTCACATCTTATTTTTAAAGTATCCTTTTTTGTTTTTCAGGTATGGCAATTTTGAAGGGGTTTCATGACTTATAGAGGGACCCTGGGGAAGCTGCCTCCTCAACTTCATCCCTAAGATACATATTCTCTGCTCTCATTGTGATGTGTGGATATACCTTGATCTCTGGGCAGCCAGTTTGGGGGTTGGTCTGAGGTTAACTGAAATGTTCTTCCTCCAAGGCTAGCTTATTTTTTCTTTTTAAATCAAAGTAGATCATTTTATTTCTCCATATTTTCAGACATTCTTTAAAAATTTAGTACCTTTTTTTAAATTCACAATTTGGCATTTCAAAATCAATTACTTATGCCAAAATAATTTCTACTGGTGAACTTCTTCCAATTATTATCATTATTTTTATTATACTTTAAGTTCTAGGGTACACATGCACATGTATACACGTGTAAGGCTAGCCTATTAGAGTTCAACATTGGGCCCTAGCCATTGCTAGTATCAAAAAACAGATTTGCTCTCACATTAAAATGCTTTGCTGTTGTTTCCTGGGCATATATTTCTTTCAAAGATTTTCCAGGGTGGGATTCACTGAGCCAAGGCATGGTTTACGTATTTTCAGAGCCCATGTGTCAAGATATTATCTCAACTCAAATGATACATGAAACTTGGACTAGATATAAATAACGTGGCAAATCCTCTGAAATAATCAGAGACTCAACTTTTTACCTTGTCCTAGGGTTTTTTACTGAGTCCATAGGGAGTACAGACTTTTCTTTTAAGGGGACTCTCCTGTCCTTTCCCGGGGTGCAGGAGGGGGCACCTTTGCTCCTCCACACATTGCATGCTCACATCTCCCCTACACAGGAGAAGTCACTAACCCAAGTGTAGAAACCTTACATTTGGGGTCCATATCTTCCCATGGAAATCACCTCTGTGTTCAGGATCAGGGCTCGTGTAAATGCCTTCTTAAGTTCTTGCCTTCTCTTAAGCTTTCTGCCTCTTCCTCACCATGTGATGATTGTGGTATTAGGCAACCATTTCTCTCTTTCACTCTCTTAAGACATGAATGACTGGAGTCCCCAGGTTTTAGATTAGGAAAGCAGGAGAAAGCTTTTGTTTAGCCTTAGTCTTAAGCTCTGTTTTACAATCCATTTTTACCAAATGTTAGGGCTTTAGATACTTGTGTCCATTAATAATATGACCAATACTTTGCTTTCTGTTTGGTTTGACTAGTGACCATGGCAGACCATCACTTGGAACCCCAGAAGGGAGTAGAAATGAAGGCAGTTTTAATCCATAGCATGTATAAACACAAGCAACATTCACTAGAGACACATTGAAATGAAATAAGTAATGGCAACTTTACGCGTTGGAAAGAGCAGGGGTGGGCAGAGAAGGGGGATTTATGCACCAAAGCTTCCCCACGTAATTAAAGCACAGTCTTCATGTTTTGCCATTTGTCAGAACAAAGTAAATACTGGAATCTTACTACTTGCATCTTCTTGGCTAAATATCCTTCTGTGGCTGTTGCTCAAATATTGAAAATACTTGTGTAAGTTCTAGTGCAAAACTGCCATTGGAGTGATTTATGTGGAGACATAACCTGCTGCCTCCCTGAATTCATGCATTCACCATCACAGTTCATATCAATTTTGCTCTGGTCCCCATTAGCAATGTTGTCAAAAAAAAATCACAGAAAAATAATGACCCCGCAAAGCCAAGAAATTTAGATCCGGATATGAGCCGTAAATCTGTATTAATTTAATAGTTAAAGTGCGTTAATGCTTTGTAATATTTTTTCTTTATAGAGAACACAATAGTGAGGTCATCTGTAATAAAGATGTTAATCCTAAGCCACCTGCTAGTTTGTTTTGCCTCTTGGGGCAAGAAGACGTTAATGGATGAAATATGGCCTCCAGCTCCTTAAAATGGTGTTTTATGGCAACCTCTATGCAGGGCTATAAAACATTCACTCTGAGTGATAAAGAGTCTCAAGAAGGGATATACACTCTCCATCATGCCTGATCTGACATTAGCTTTGCTTAACTTATCACTCATCCACAGACACCCACTGGGCTGGGCAGCAAAGGGAGACCAGGGCTCAGGGAAAAGGAGGTGAGTTGTCTGGCCTTTTGGACCAGTTTCTGGGGCTCAGCCCCTGGAGGAGATGTCCATTCTGAAATCTGTTGCCTATTTTTCTCCCTGGCGTTTTGGTTTAGGAAAATGGTTCATTGTTCTATCATGGGTCTCCCGGCACGTTTTGTCAAATACATAAGAAAAAGAAATAAGTCATACTTACCCACCTATTTCCAAAAATACTTCCTGTTTTATATTGTGCGAAACATCCTTCATTTAAATTTCTGTGGTCTCTTTTCAGAATAACAGAATAAGCCCCATTTACAGCCTTCTAATTCCTCTTTTAATACCTATAATAATTTTCTTCCTTTCTTTTTGTTGAAACAGGTCTGTTACACTAACATGCAAAACCCTATTCAAATTGTACCAATCTTCAGGTGAGGAAACTTCACTATCTCCCCAGGAATTGCAGAATTAGGGGGTACATACCTCACTCTGGCATTCAAGGGTCTTGGACCATAATCAAGGAGAATGAGGAGGCAGAACGCTTGCAGCTTGTTAAAGCAGCAGGGATTGGAAGGAATGGCTCACATATCTTCCCTCAGCATACATGGGGAGTCAGCCCCTGGTAATCTCCCTAAGAGAACATAGGCTCTGGTTGGTCCAGGGGAGGGAGAGGCAAAGCTGCCAAGAAGGTCATAGTCAATTAGCACTCAGAGGGTTTGTTACCTAGACTAGCTCCTCAGCAATCATGGGGTAGCCAGAGAGCAGTACAGCTTTTAGGTAAAAGGGGGAAGTCTACATATGAAGTTCCAGAAGGAAGGACAAGTGATTCACATGGCAGTGGGGAGGCAGGCACAGGAAGAGGTCCTCAAAGCCCCTAATGCTGACAGCAGAGCACAGAAAATCCAAGCTAGCTGATACCTTGGCAGGATGCTTCTCAATATTGGTGGCTTAGGAGAGTGAAAATTAAATTAGGATTCCCCACAGGGGACTGATGGCTTGAGGTTCACACATGGGTACAAGCATTTGCACTACCTCTACCTCTTTTCTGGTGGGGACCAAGAACTAATACCTGTTCAGTGGTTGTAGAAGGAAGATGCAGCCCACAGCTCCTGTGTGCACCTTTGGAATACCCAGGTTGGCCCAGGGCTGACATAGGCTATATATCTATGGTCACATCCCCTCTGAATAACTGAGAGCTTGTATCTTAGCCACTAGACCAACTCATTGGATGTGAATAGGTGAGTAAATGCATAGGTGGCAGAGGTTCTCCTTGTTTTAGTTCTCCCTACCTCAGATTTTAAGGTCCTGCCATCAGCTTAGTGGATAAACACTCCTTAATGAGAGTAAATACAGACCAGTGTGGAGCAAAGCTTCCCTCTCCAGTTTATTTATTTTAGCTACTGTTTATTGTTCCCCTAATTGCTAAGCCCATCATAAATACTATCCCATTAATCCTGAAAATAATACCTTAATCAAGTTCCTATTGTCATTCTTTTCTTTCTTTCTTTCTTTCTTTCTTTCTTTCTTTCTTTCTTTCTTTCTTTCTTTCTGTCTTTCTCTCTCTTCTTTCTTTCTTTCTTTCTTTCTTTCTTTCTTTCTTTCTTTCTCTTTCTTTCTTTCTTTCTTTCCTTTCTTTCTTTCTTTCCTTTCTTTCTTTCTTTTCTTTTCTTTTCTTTCTTTCTTCCTTCCTTTCTTTCAATGGAGTCTCGCTCTGTCGCCCAGGCTAGAGTGCAGTGGAGGGATCTCAGCTCAGCTGCAATCTCTGCCTCCGAGGTTCAAGCGGTTCTCCCGTCTCAGCCTCCTGAGTAGCTGGGATTACAGGCATGTGCCACCATGCCCGGCTAATTTTTGTATTTTTAGTAGAGACTGGGTTTCACCATGTTGGTCAGGCTGGTCTCGAACTCCTGACCTTGTGATCTGCCTCCCTCTGCCTCCCAAAGTGCTGGGATTATAGGCATGAGCCACTGCACCCAGACTGTCATTCTTTTTTTTTTTAACCAATGATGAACTTGAGGCTAGAGGTGAATGAACTCACCTAAGATCACAGGCCAATCAGTGGCAGAATTAGGATTCGGTCTAGGTCTGTGTGTTTCCAAAGTCTGTGGTCAGGACCACTTGCTGCAGTCCCTCCACAACACCTATGACTTTAGTCTTATAGTAGTTGGTCAATACATATTTGTTGAATGGAATGGTGCTGGTGACAAATTTACTGTCAGCACTGCCATTTAGTTCTCTCAGAGTCACTAGGTTAACACATCAGGTGGGCTTCCATTCTCTTCCATGTTCCTCCTCCCCAGATATGACTCCTTTGTGTATTAGCTTTGAGGACCTAGAGGGCCTTGGAAGGCCTGTAGGAGAGAGGTTGGTGATCTTTCTGCTTCTCTTCCTTCTTGTTACTTACGGATTGCAGTCTCCAGTGGCATTTGATTATTAAATTAAAATTTAATAAATTTCAGCTCAGCTCCTAGGCTGAAGAAGACCCTTCATCGTGATGGTTCTGTATAATTTTGCCAAGGGCCAGAGACACATGGGGACACTGGGGTGAGCAGCGTCCACTTAATTAACTCAGCTTTCCTGTCAGCCACCAACTGGAGGCTGATTTCTGGAGTCTGTGGGCTACTGAGTTGGTAGAAAAGTCCTATGGGAATGAACATTTACTGAGCACTACTTTATGTCAAATACTATGTTAAGCTCTTAGTTATTAACTTGATCCTCATCTTAAACCTAAGGAGTGAGAGTTTTGCCCTTATTTTATGAGGAAGAAACAGGTTCAGAGGGATTTAGTTACCCACGCAAGGTCACTCACAGCAAATGAGCAGTAGAGTTCATTTGAGCCTAGATTTGACCATAAAGCACATAACACGTAAGGAAATTTGCAACAAGCAAGAAAGATGACTGAATGGATTCAATGGAAAACTATACATTGTTTAGAACGTACACTTGAAGTTTGTCTGATTTTAGCCTTTCATTGTCCTTGAACTACTTACAGTGTAAATTGTAGATAAATGATAGCAATGCAAAATAATGCTTGTCTATAGAGATGTAAATAAATTTTGTCCAGTGTAGGTTTAATTGATTCTCCCCCTACCCAGTTTCATATCTATTTGTAAATTCATTTTAATTTTTTTATATAAACATGTGGTTCTTTGATTTCTCCTTTGAACAGGTTGTAGCATCTTTTCCCATTTTTCTTTTACATACTTTTATTTTATATTGTATATTTACTAACATATGAGAGTCATGATTTTTCCTTTTTTAGAAAATTATCTTTTAACAGCCATGTGGTAAAAGGCAGGGTTCAGGATAAGATGGCTGTGCAATAAGGCCAGTCCCTGCTTAGTTGGATTGTATAAATCCAGAGCTGGACAAAGAAAACTAAGAGGCAAGAAGGCCCATCGTCTCCATTGTCCAAGCCAGGCTGGATAGCCTAGTTATTGATTAAAGGAATCACATACCACTGCTATTTATAAACTCAGGGCTCCAAAAAGAATGTTTGTTTTTTCCTGCTTTTAATTATTGAACATGAGATACTAGTGTTGTTTTGCCAACAGCGGCACAATAGGTCTCTAATGAAACTCACTGAGCTACTAATAATTAAACCATCAAGCAGAAGTAACCAGTGCAGTGAGATATCAATTAACATTCTTCAATAAACTCTCTTTGTTTTGATTGTTTTAAAGGAAAGTGTTTTTGCTGTTATTTCTTCAAATATATCACACAGAACTTCCACCTCTGGAGAAACTATGCTAAGGCTTGAGTTCTGAAATCAGAAATTCCCCAGTGCAAATCATTGTCTTTCCACTAACTACAGGATGACTCTGGGCACATGACTTCACTTTTCTGAGTGGAATTTCTTGATATGGAAAGAG
This sequence comes from Homo sapiens, assembly GCF_000001405.40. NCBI lineage: Eukaryota > Metazoa > Chordata > Mammalia > Primates > Hominidae > Homo > Homo sapiens. The sequence goes on from NC_000011.10 coordinate 15,374,986, forward strand.
GAGCTAATGATAGTTATTTGGAAGAATTATTGTGTAGTTAAAGTAGGATGATGTATTAGGTTGGTGCAAATGTAATTGTGTTTTTTGCCATTACTTTCAACAGCAATAAGTTTTGGAGCCTAACTTGTATTTAGCACATAGCAGAGGTTCAAAACATTTTAGGTTTCCTCCCTCTGTTCCTCCCTTTCTTAGTTCCTCCCTCTCTCTCTTCCTTCTTTCACCTTCTTTTTTTTTTTTGAGACGGAGTCTCGCTCTGTCCCCAGGCTGGAGTGCAGTGGCGCCATCTCGGCTCACTGCAAGCTCCGCCTCCCGGGTTCACGCCATTCTCCTGCCTCAGCCTCCCGAGTAGCTGGGACTACAGGCGCACGCCACCGCACCCGGCTAATTTTTTGTATTTTTAGTAGAGACGGGGTTTCACCGTGTTAGCCAGGATGGTCTCAATCTCCTGACCTCGTGATCCGCCCGCCTAAGCCTCCCAAAGTGCTGGGATTACAGGCTTGAGCCACCCTGCCTGGCCCTTCTTTCACCTTCTAATCTGTTTTCCTTAAGCCTTGTAGTCTCATCAGAGATTCCTATAGGTGTCTCAAACTGTGCTCCTATACCTTCATCTTTGAAATTACAGCTTCATTATGGTCTCTGCCAAAGGGATGGGTCTAGACATTTGTAAATGTATCATAGGACCCTAGCAATAGATGATTGGTTCAGCACTAATCAATTCAGGAAGTGGGTCAAGCCAATCAGATTCTCTATTGTAAGACTCTGTGCTAAGAGAAGGAAACAAATTAGTGGTGGGGTCTAACAGTAAAGCTAACAGGTCACACAGGGTCAAGGTGAGAGCAGGTGCCATGGCAAGGTCATCTGTCCTTGTGAAGGGAGAATGGGAAGTGTGAAACCAGAGGAAGCCATGAAGCAACAAGAAGCAGATCCAAGCAGAGATGAGTAACCACTGGAGAGAGAAAGTGAGACAGAGAAAATTTGCCAAATGAATTCCTGGCCCCCATTAAGCCTAATTGTACTTCCTTTAAACGTCCATTTATTAAAGTAACCAAAAGTAAAAAGTACCTGACTGAGCAAACTGATCTCTCTGGTAATGGGGCAGGGAATGGTCATGGGAAAAGGGGATTTTCTTAAAGAACAGGAAGATTTTAAGATGACAGTATGTATAGTCACACTTTTAAGGGTGGTCCAGTGGATAAGAAAGTGGAAGTGGCAGGAGAGGCCCCAGACTTGGGATGTTAGAGGCCAGGATTGGAGCAGGAGTGGTGACTTTTGGGAGGTGGCATGATGGGGCTTATTAGCGCATTCCCTCTGGAGTCTGAGGGGTGGGATGGAGAGGCAACTTCCTTTTATTAGAGGAAAGAAGACTCACGTGGCACCTTTCTTGAGGAGACAGGAGAAAGACTTGCCAGTTTTCATCTTTTAGTTACCTATAAGCTCATTTCATTTTAAGGAATCTGCGAATCACCAACTGGAGGGGACAAACAGTTTCTAAGTAAGAAAGAGAGGCATCTGGGAGGGAAAGGAGACTGAGGAGATGGAGGGAGTCACAGTTTGCCTGGTTTGCAATTTGGGGCAGAGTGCTTTCCTGGCCTGCCACTAAATTGAATTAAATACTGTCAATTCTGTTCAATTTAACAAACGCTTACCTAAAATATGCAAGACATGATGCTAGATACAACAGGGAACACAGGGATGGTTCTGTCTTCAAGCAAGGATATGGCATGCTCATGAATAACTCTAATAACAGTCAGAATATCGTGAGAATATAGCAATAGACACCAAAAAGTGATCTGGGAACTGAATTGAAGAGGAAACTACCCCAGGTTGGGGAGCTTCCTGAAGAAGGTGGATTGTAGATGATCCTTGAGTGATAGATAGTAGTTTGACAGATGTCAGTGGGCAGGTCCAGAGAAGAATTCCAGAAGGAGAAAACATCATGTGACAAAGTGTAAAGGCAGAAAATATGAGAATGTTTGGAATGCAGGAGTGGTCCTTCTTCGGGTGGAGTACCCGAGTATAGACCATGATAAGCTGGAACTGCATGCTAAGGCCTGTTCTGGAGCATCAACGCCAGGAAAAGGAATTTGTTCTGAGTTTGGCAGGTGTGATGGTTAATACTGACTGTCAACTTTATTGGATTGAAAGATGAAAAGTATTGATCCTGGGTGTGTCTGTGAAGGCATTGCCAAAGGAGATTAACATTGAGTCAGTGGGCTGGGAAAGGCAGACCCACTCTTAATCTGAGTGGGTACCATCTAACCAGCTGCCAATGCAGCTAGGCAGAAAAACATAAAAAGGCTAGAAAGCAGGCAGAAAAATGTAAAAAGGCTAGACTGGCCTAGCCTCCCAGCCTACATCTTTCTCCCATGCTGGATGCTTCCTGCCCTTGAACATTGAACTCCAAGTTATTCAGCTTTGGGACTCAGACTGGCTTCCTTGCTTCTCAGCTTGCAGATGGCCTGTTGTGGGACCTTGTGATCATGTGAGTTAATACTACTTAATAAACTCCCCTTTATTTATGTGTCTATCCCATTAGTTTTGTCCCTCTAGAGAACTCTGACTAATACAGATTTTGGTACCAGGAATGGTTCTAGAGGACATAATATTAAGGATGGAGTTCTTTCATTGGTTTTGGGGTTTCTGGAGTTGGCTGTTTAGTATAATTAGACTCCAAAATGCTAAGGACTCTATTTCTAATAGTATGGAGAACACTGATAGTCCTTGGCCTGAACTGCTTAGAGAGCTATACTAAATTAATGCATTTGACATTCCTGATTCACTGCTCATGAGAGGCAAGGAATTTTGTGACTCTATACATAATACTTTTGACTATATGTGGAGAACCAAGGAACATAATGAAGTTGATTGGCTGCTCCTAAGTTCACTGGACAAAGTGATGAAAGAAAATGATAACTCAGGGATTCTAACTCCTGAGTTATCTGAGTTATCAAATCTGCTAACATTACTGGGTGTGCATGCACTCAAGGCGATGCTGACATGCCAACCCCCTGCTGCCTTGGCCCCCTCCAGACTTTGGACACCGAAGAGCATGGGAGGGAGGCCAAGCAGGTGCTGAGGGAGGGAGGCTTGGCATGGGCCTGCAGGCTCTCCTCTGCATGAATAGCTTGGGTGCCATGGATGACATGATTGATGGTGGCAGGAGCCGGACAGGCCCCTGGGAAGAAATGGGAGGGTGCCTGGTGAAGCCCCACCTTCAAGCCAGAAATGGCCTGAAGGATGGGGGCTGGGCTGTAAGTTCTGGGTGGAGTCTGCAGCCTGGAGGGAGAACTTATGGTACTTTTTCCAGGCCTGCCCATGGCCTTGCATGGACCAATCAGCACATACTACCTTCTTCTGAAACCCATAAAAAGTCTGGACTCTGCCAGACTCACAGAGACATCCAGACTACCAGCTGTGAGAAGGAGCTACCCACTTCAAATCTCCTCTCTGTCGAGAGCTAGACACTTGTCGGGATGAGCTGGCTGTGGAAAGTAGCTATCCACTCCAGGTCTCCTCTCTGCTGAGAGCTAGACTTGTTGGGATGACCCGCCTGTGGAAAGGAGCTACCCACTCCAGGTTTCCTCTCTACTGTGAGCTGGACACTTGTTGGGACAACCTGCCTGCAGAAAGTAGCTACCCATTTTGGTTCTCCTAAGAGCTGTTCTGTTGCTCAATGAAGCTCCTCTCTGCCTTGCTCACCCTCCAGTTGACTGCGTACCTCATTATTCTTGGACATGGGACAAGAAAATCAGGACCTGCCTAATGGTAGGACTGAAAAACCTGTAACACAAACAGGGCTAATACATGCCTCCTCACTCTCCATGTTGTGGGTGACAAGAAGGAAAGAAGAGCTTTGGCCCTTTGGGGATCTTAGACCTAGGGGCTTCCTGAGCCAGGGCTGTGACACCCTCTTTGGGGCTCTGTATTTCCTGGCATCTCCAAGCTTCTGGGCACCACCATGTCCCCCTTGTCCAGATGTGGGTGCCCACAGTGGAAGCTGTGTATGGTACATCTCACCCAGCCACAGCCTCTCATGTAGCTGGCACCTGTGCCAGTGCCTGGAGCTGCCTGTTCTGCCACAGCAACCAGCGTGCCTGGCTTTGCACAGTGGCCTCACCCCATGCTTGCTCACTCATGTACCCCTTGTCACTCTGTGCCTGACTTGCCCTTGGCAGTTATGGAATCTGGGCTGGTAGCAAAAGCCTAGCACAGGCTGCTGGGCTGAGTGGGCGAATTGAGCCAAGTGGGCCTGGTCAATACTCAGGTATAAAGTGCCACTGGCCACAGAGGTTTCTGGCTGGGGAAGTGACATCACAAGGACCCCATGAGATCAGGATTTGGCCTTTTGAGGAAACTAGGCATGGGCAGCCCCATTTGACTCCAGCTTATTTATTTATTTATTTATTTATTTATTTTTATTTTTTATTTGAGACAGAGTGTTATGGAGGAGTAAATCAACATGGAGAAGCTTAGTTTTGGAGTGATGAGTGTGAGGAGCCTGAGGCTCACCCAGAGGGAAATATTCAGTAGGTGCAGGGTCCACAGCCTGACACTCAGGAGGGCTGCACTGTGGAGCGGAGCCAACGCATGGATGAAATGGCCCAGAGAAAGTATCCTTCCCTCAGAATCAACAAGACACAACACATGTACCCAAATGGTGAGGCCTGGAGGCAATTGCCTAAAACAGTCACTGGAGGGCCTGAGGCCTGGAGCCAGGCAGCGTATGGTGAATATTCAGCCCCCAGTCCTGGTTTAAGGATGTTCCATTCCAGGGCAGCTGCCACCAGTTCAACAGGTCTTCAGAAGACCTGGGCTGATTTTTCTTTCTGAGAGCCAAAGGGAATGCAGAAGATTTTAGAGCCCACACCAGGTCACCCCCAGGCCATTCTCCGCACACAGCTCTGGCTTTCTCGGGAAATCAGCTAACAGCTTTTCCTTGGCTTTCCTTGGACTCCTAATGCAATAGCGCTTATTTTCAGAATCTTTGTGAGGCTGAGGAAAGCATCAGAGTTTCATTGTAAATCATTATGTCTTCTTTGGTTAGAAATTATCCCTGACAAGCAGTCCCACAGCAAAGAAAAGTCAGTATTATTTTGCAGAATAAAGAGGGGGATTGACCTCTTCTTTTATTATTTTTTTATTATGACTGTCCTCCTTTTGGTTATGACATTCGATGTATTATTTAGTTTAAGTGCTTGATTAAGGAAGAACTGGTGGGGGGTGGTGTAGGAACAGCAAGGGGGGCAGTTGCGCAGATGCTGGTCTTCTTCCTCCTGTCTTGGTAGCTGGGATGGAAATAAACTGCCATGACCCTTTGGGGATCCCGAAGTGTTACCCTCAGCACAGGAGATCACGTTCTGGCTAAGGGACCTTCTGGACGTTTCTGGGTCAGCAGAACCTTGGTGCCTTTCTTTCATATGCCGGAACCCTTGCATATTTATTAAATATTAATTTGCTGTCAATAATTAAATGCTGATTATTTGATCTCTAATGGGGTCAGGATTCCCACAGTCCCATATTAGTGTAATAATGCAAAAGTAAAAATTGCCTTTCAGATGGAAAAAAATGTACTTATTATTCTTTCTTTGTTCAGAGTAAAATGGTTTGTCTTAAATTAAAAATTAAAAGCAGAATTTTCTTTAATCTTCGAATTAAATTAATGCTAATTAGTTCTATTTTCTGTACAACATTCACATGCTAAAATCTCGGCCATTCCTTCAGCGTGTTAATGGTGCCCTTTGGCTGTAATCAAGATTGTCTTACATTAAAAATGATACAGTTAACTCAATTATATTAAGATTCATTGTTCTCAAATCACAGGGTTATGACTAGAAGCTGTTGGAACTGGTGGAAGGGCTGAGACTGCCAGGGTGCAGAACAAAGTCAGCCATCATTTCCATTTCAGAATCCCAAATGCTGGTGTGAGGCTCACAAAGCATCTGAGATTTACAGGTATCCTTCGGATGAGTGGCAGACACAGGGGTCATGTGCAGATTTCATGCCCATCCTGTGGAGACCATGGCAACATTCACTACTCTCCTTTGAAGGAGGAGGAAAAAGAGAAAGCCTAAGGGAGTCCTCATTTTGGGGTGTCGCTATATATAGAGCCACCTGTTTCCACCTCATCCCTCACTACCTTGGGAAATAGTACCTGGATTTTGAGTCAGTCAGCAACAGCAGCAGCAGCCACAACAGCAATAACCACACCTACTACTACTACTGCTTATTGAGCATCTACTCTGTGTGCCAGGTTCTAGAAACCAAGTGCTGTAAGACATGTCTTCGTTTAAACAGTACCTTGCAAAGGTGGTATTGTTAGTCTTATTTGACAGTTGGCAGAGAGGATTGATGAATGATTTTTCAATATCATCTAGCTAGTTAGGTGGCAGAATCCACACTCACACCCAGGCGTGTCCGATTCCAAAGCCCATACTCTTAATTATGCTCTATGATCACGGCAATTCTTTTTCAAGAGGTGTTTTTTTCCCCACAATCAGAAAGATGCTGTATGTGTTTGTGTGCATGTGTGTTGGTGTGTTGGTTTGTGTGCGTACTTGCATGTGCACATGTGTGTTGAGAAAGGGAAGAGAGGGAATAAGTCTGAAATTTTCTGGCAAGGCGGCACAATTACTCAAACGCTTTTGACTTAAGAAAGATTCTTTTCCTTCTGGGCCAGCGTCTTTGTATGAAGTTGTATAGGGAGGAAAAGGAAGGTCCCATTCAAAAGCCCTACCATTGTATGACAGTTGTAGTTTCCATTGAACTATCTCTGTCCCCGAAGGAATCTGAAGGGCAGACTCCTACGAACTGTTACTCTTACTTATCCATGAATGATATGTCTCAAGGCCACCAGTGGATGCCTGAAACCAGGGATAGTGCCAAACCCTACATATACTATGATTTTTTCTATACATACATACATACCTATGATAAAGTTTTATTTATAAATTGGGCACAGTAAGAAAGTAATGATAACTAATAAAATAGAACAATTGTAACAATATATTGTAATAAAATTTATGTAAGTGTGGTCTCTCTCAAAATATCTTATTGTATGTAATATTTTTGCATTGTGATTAACTCTGGGTAACTAAAACTGTGGAAAACAAAACCACAGTTGAGAGGGACTATTTTATAGCATGGTCAGCTCAGATGCCATCACATTACACAGGCTTAAACCATAACCTGAACTCATTGCTGGGCCTTCCTCTACCTATACACAAGTACCTTTCAATGTTACTGATGTCGGTATGCAATGAACCTCAGCATTTGGAGTTCTGTGGTCATTTGGTTTAGGATAACTACTGTAGCTCTGATCTTGGGGAGAGGAAAATTCTCCCAGTATTTGTTGCAAACGTGCTTGGGCACCCAAACCAATTAATTGAGCATTATGCATGTATGAATTTCACTCACTCTCACAACAACCCTGTGAGATCACGTATGTCTATTCCATAGATGATAGAGTGTGAGAGAAGTAAAATAATTCTCTGCGGTCTTATAATTGAGATCCTGTCTTATGCCATATCCTATGCTCTTTCTATAACACCAGACACTTCATTTTGGAAACTGTGTTTGGATTCTAGAATTAGAATAGAACCACATTAGAAATACAGGTCTAGATCAGAACCTGGTCTGTCCTGCGGAGGACTGGAGCCAACTAGGGCTGCTGGGAAAAAGACAGTGTTTCCTCAAGGACATTATTCACCAGGTTTAATTACACCATCAAATAAGACTATCTGAAGTAAATATGTGTTTTTTACGATTCCATACCTTAACACATTAACAGACTTTTTTTTCTTAACCAATGCCAATACTGATAGCAGAGTGTCTAGTAGGTATTCATTCTTTGTCTGTCCTCCAAGACTTCCAGGCTTGAATTCTAGGTATTGGCTGTAAGATGAAGGTTTAATTCCACATAAGAGAGCTGCAATATCCTTTACAGAACTGGCACACCCTGGCTTGACAGTGGTTCACAAGCAAATGCCTGTGCCCTTTGACTCAGCTCATGGTTCCTTAGAAACTCCATTGTCAGTATTCTTCCAATGCTTCATTAGTCAATCTATAGTGTCCAGATCAAGGAAAATAATCTCATGGGTCTAAGCGAGAAAGCTTGAGAAGAGGATACAGACAAGGTCACATAAAGAGAAATACAGAGCAAAGGGAACAGAATCGGTGACAGACACCAAAAGACAGAGATGGAGATGAAAGTGGGCGAGAAGAGATAGAGAAAAAGAGAGATATGGAATGAATGAATGGAAATAAAAGAGAGATGGGCTGAGCGTGATGGCTCATGCCTGCAATACCAGCACTTTGGGCAGATCACTTGAGGTCAGGAGTTCAAGACCAGCTAGGCCAACATGGTAAAACCCCATCAAATACAAAAAAATTGGCTGGGTGTGGTGGTGTGTGCCTGTAATCCCAGCTACTCGGGAGGCTGAGGCATGAGAATTGCTTGAACCTGAGAGGCGGAGGTTTCAGTGAGCCAAGATTTCACCACTGCACTCCAGTCTGGATGACAGAGACTGTGTCTTAAAAACAAACAAACAAAAAGAGAGACTGCACAGGAAGAACTGTCTCTGTATTCTCTTATATTGCAGTAATGATAGCCAGCAAAATAAATGCACATTAATTTCATAATTTATGACAACAGGCCTTTCTTGTGTGTATGCTCCTTGAACTGGATTCCTCAATCACCTTTCTTACATAAACCATTCCCACAATGCAGAAGTTTTGATTTTCAGTTTTCATCCTGTTAAGATAGATCTATAACTTAATGATACCTCCAGAACAGTCTGAAAAAAGAATACTTCTAGACTTTCACCACTTATTAATAACTTTCAAGATCTGTGACAGCTGTTTTCTTACTATTAATTCATAGCAATATGTATTTTTAGCAACTCTCCTTTAGAAGTTTTCCGAAGTATTTAACTTAGTTTTCATAGAAACAAAATTCTTTTATTTTCTTTTGTTTATATTTAATTGATTATGGGATATTTAATTACGTTTATGATGAAAAAGAAGTGGAATTGGTGCAAATAGGCTTTGGTACAAGCACCCGAATAGTGAGAGCTGTAGCATGCAGCATCCCATGGAGCAGGCGATTGACTGCAGGAATTTGGGGTGGTGAGAATCAAAGTTTTTCAGAGGGACTGGAGAATGTCTTAACCGAGTAAGTCAGTTCAGTGGAGGTCGGCTGAAAGCACTTTACACTTGGGGCATGGCTGGGACTGGAGCCCTGGTTGGGGGTCTGGGTAGCTCTTTTCAACATGGCACATCACATTTTTGTCACAGTTTTCACAGTGGTGCTTCCAGGCTCTCATCGGTCACCACTTCCTCTTCTGATTTTTTACCTAACATTTTATTTACCTGTACTTAAAAGCAGAGGCACATTTCTGAGTTAGAGGGAATTTTGAAATTAGGCACCAAATGTCTAATTTTCAAATCCTGAATTAAATGTTTAAGACATATTTTTAATGGCTAAAAAAATAGTAATGTAAGAACCTGTATGTAGAGATTAGAGAAAGTGTCATCCACAGAAGTTCTGAAAAATTTCTGCTCCATCTTCTGTAGCTGGGGCCTGAAGGAGGGCACCAGAGAGTCTGACTCCTATTTCTCCTGCTGAGGAAGTGGCATGGTGGCCTGGCAACAAAGTACTGTAAAAACTTCTAGCGCCCTCTAATTTGGAATGGCAGTGATTGACTGTGAGGATGATGCTCATGACAGCTGGGGAGCCCTCATCTGCAATCATGTTTGCTGCTATAGATCACGCCCAAATGAATAAGCCACATGAATCTCCCACAAACAGAAAGGTCCTAGGTACCAGGGCCTCTTCTGATTCCAGGGGTCAGGGGCCAGTGGGCATATGAGATATTGATCAGTCCAAACAGAAAACATGATATGGACTGGTGGTCTTTCAGCATCTTCCAACATCAGAATGTGCAAAGCCACTTCCTCTTGCTGGGAGTGCTGGGCCGTCACCCTAAGCCTTTTGGGCTGCCATATCCCTGTACAAACCCTGCAAAACTGCATCTACCAGACCTACATCTTACAATCTGAATGGCAAATTCTATGCACATCAGGTGGACAGTTACACAATCCAAAGGGAATATCTCCAACCACTCTCTCTTTTGATAAACATCTGGTCTTAAAAGAGCTTTTATCATTCAAAACTGAGAATACAGAAAACAACAATAACATAAAATCCCTATTCAAAATGATGTACAACATAAAGAAGAACAGCATCGTTCTGGGTGGGCAGAGGAAAAGCAGAAACAGAAGTAAATGTTTTACTCTTTCTGCTTCAGGTTCTTAATAAAATTCAATATGATAAAACACAAGACTGAGAAGCTAATGAAGCTGATTGAGACAATGGCAAAACTGCGAGAGGAAACTGAATTAGATAAACAAGGCCAAAAATTCCACGGCAAAATTTAAATTGTATTAGAAGCCTTCAAGAACAAAATAGGCACTGTAGAACATTTAATCAGCAATACAGAGGACAAATTTGAGAATCTCCCCTGAAATGTGAAGCAGTATGTTAAAAGAGATTAAAACAATAAACTATAAGTTGATAGATGTGGAGGGCAGAGAATTAAAGTCTAATGTATAGATGTCTGAACTTCTAAAAAAAGGGACCAGAAAAAAATGGATCTGATGCAATTATATAAGACACAAAACTTAAAAAATAATTCTCAATTTTCAAATAGAAAATAACTCAACAAAAGTGGATTTGTTCTATTGAAAATTTGAATTTTAAGCCCAAAGAAAATATCCTGCATGTATTCATCTAAAAGACAAATAAGATTAGACTTTCTATTAATAAAATGGCCTGGCCACATTGTTCTCCACCACAAAACTAAACATCAGATGGCTGTGATATTATGAAGGACAACATGTCATGAGCCAGGAATTCTATATCCAGCTAAATTGTCATTCACTACAGGTGAAACAGGAATATATTCTTAGACATTCATTTTTTATTAAACCTAATGGTCTTCCATTTTCTGTTTGCCTACTGTCTAAAATGAATACTGTGAAAAATGTCTTTACACATTTTAACTTGTCATTAAAATTTTTGATCATAAATTATAGTAGTTGCAAAGAATGAAGAAAATAAATATTGACTTTTTAAAGTCAGCTTTATTAAATTATAACTTACATAGAGTAAAATTCCCTTTTTAAGATGTAGTCTGATGGGTTTTGAGAAACGTATGCAGACATGTAATCAACACCTCAATCAAAATATAGAATACTTGAATTATCCTAAAAAGTTGTATCATGTACTTTGTAATCAACTTTGCTTTCCACTTCAGTCCCTGACAACCAATGATCTAATTTCTGTTGTTATAGTTTGCCTTTTCCACATTGGCATATGGATAGAATGACATAATATATGTTTTCTTTAGTGGCTGGTTTCTTCCACTCAGCATAATACATTTGAGATTCATTTATGGTTGTTACGTGTATCAGGAGTTTGTTCTTTTTTATTGCTAAATAATATTCATTGTATGAATATATCACCATTTGTTTATCTATTCACCAGTTGAGGACACTGGAGTTGTTTCTAGTCTTTGATGATTATAGATAAAGTTGTTATGAACTTTCATATAAAGGTCTTTGGATGAACATATGTTTTCATTTCTCTTGGGTAAATATTAAGGAGAGGAATGGCAGGCCATATGAATATTTTTTAAATGAACTTTTTTCTAACTCTTTAAAATGCACTTAATGAAATGTAAAACACATAGAGATTTGCTACTTACTGTAGTCTAAAATGAAATCATAAACAAGTTTTCTTTAACTATTAGCACTTTATTGTTTACCTTATATATAGTCAATGTCCTCCCAGAATGATATTCTAGTGAAATATATTTGTATATTTGGGAATCTTTGATTCTCCTTTCGTTCTTCTCTGTAACCAAAAATATGTGCATAAGTATAAATTTATTTATTTTTATTTCCTGAAAACATATTACCTTAAGGGCTAAATGATTTATTCTGATTGACTTATTATTACAATTATTGTTAGTGTGCATGTGATCCAAACAACATACATATATTTAAATATTTGAAAAATTATTGAACATAAAAAGTACTTGTATTGGAAAAATATCTTAACAAGATGGGCAGAAGGTGGTGAGTCTTATTTAAATAAGCTTCTCTGATACCAAATAGTTAAAATTATCCATATGTTTCATGCCCAGGAATCTTTTATATTATGAAGCAATGTATCCTAAGAAGACATTGAATGTGTGAGAAGTATGGCTAAAGATAATTGTGAAAGGGGCAATGGCAAGGAAGCCCCACAAAGAGGTGAATCCTCAAGCAAATAAGTTATACTTAAAAAGTGCATATGGAATTTGAAGACGTGGAAAATAAGTATGTGCAAACTACCTATCCCCATAGGCCCCTGGAAAAGTTGATGTTTCTTGAAGTACACATAACCTACTCTGAAGATCTCTGCTCCAGACAACTGTGTAAAATGTGTAAAAGGTTACTCAAAACAAAGCATTAAAAATGAAAACTATTTTCTGTAAATTTATTTTACAGAAACAAATTTAAACCTAGAATCAAGCCTATGATTTTGCTATAAAACCAAATTTATATGTCATTAGCCCTGATAAATTTAGACACATAATATGGAAATGAGGTAATAATGAACTAAGTTTAAAACACAGTTCTTAACCAAACACTGTAATAGGAAGAGGGAAGGACAAGAAGAATTAAAAATGTGAAATGTTATTGTCTTTATAGAGGAAATTAACAAACATGGGTTTATTATTAATGTTGATAATTGGGGAAACATAGTTTTTTCTTAACATTAAGATAACCATTATTTATATGTTTTAAATCAATAAAATAACTCTTAGCCCAAATACTACAACATAAAAGCAAGCATAAGAAAACATTCAGGAAATATATATATATTTTTTTAAATTTATAATATTTATTAAAAATAAAAATTCAAAATATATAAAGGCCTTTTATTTCTCATATTTCCATTTCACATGTAAAATTAGGACATCTATAATCTCCTTAATTTTTTTTTATTATTATACTTTAAGTTTTAGGGTACATGTGCACAATGTGCAGGTTAGTTACATATGTATACATGTGCCATGCTGGTGTGCTGCACCCATTAACTCGTCATTCAGCATTAGTTATATCTCCTAATGCTATCCCTCCCCCCTCCCCCCACCCCACAACAGTCCCCAGAGTATGATGTTCCCCTTCCTGTGTCCATGTACTTTCCCTATAATAATTGATACTCTCATGCAATAATTCATACATGTCCAATTTCTTTTTCATTTTCTTTCAAATTCAGGAGGTATATTCATATCTCTTGATAAAGTTTTACGTGCATCACACTTTCAGAGTTAACGTTGTTCATTTATTAGAATTCAGAACTCTCAACTGAAAATGAGATAAGCAAGGAGTAAATTTTGAAAATATTATTGATTAATTTGGTTCCATTTTAGGCCAGGAAAGGAACATTACAATAAATTCTGGTTTCACTATAAATAAAATATTTAAACGTAAAACAATGTTGTGACTTTAATATACTATTTTCCTGTTTTTCAATATTTTTCAGACATTTTAATATTCTAGAAAAATTAACCCTTCAAAATACATACAAACATATACTACTGGGGACATATATTTCTTTTTGTCTCAGTCTCTAATATGGCTCGGCATGGCATTATCAGAAACTTGTTTTTACTTGAAAGTTGTAAATTTAGTTCATTATGAACTTTTTTTTATTGTTATACTTTAAGTTCTAGGGTACCTGTGCACAACGTGCAGGTTTGTTACACAGGTATACACGTGCCATGTTGGTTTGTTGCACCCATCAACCGGTCATTTACATTAGGTATTTCTCCTAAAGCTATCCCTGCCCCAGCCTCCCACCCCCTAACAGGCCCCGGTGTGTAATGTTCCCTTCCCTGTGTCCATGTGTTCTCATTGTTCAACTCCCACTTATGAGTGAGAACGTGTGATGTCCTTGTGATATTTTGCTAAGAATGATGGTTTCCAGCTTCATCCATGTCCCTGCAAGGACATATTTTTAAATGATAGAAGCACATCAGTTATTTTTAGAAATGCAAATTGCTTAAATGTTATACTGAGTGGCAATCTCAAATTGTGAAAATATGGGTTCACAGATTTTTTTAGGTTCACTGATATTTTACATTATTTGTAGATATTGTAAATGGGATTGCTTTCTTGATTTCTTTTCTTTTCCTTTTTTTTTGAGACAGAGTTTTGCTCTGTTGCCAGGCTGGAGTGCAGTGGCACGATCTTGGCTCACTACAACCTCCGCCTCCAGGGTTCAAGTGATTCTCCTGCCTCAGCCTCCCAAGTAGCTGGAATTACAGGCGTGCACCACCATGCCCGGTTGTATTTTTAGTAGAGAAGGGGTTTCACCATGTTGGCCAGGATGGCCTTGATCTCTTGACCTTGTGATCCGCCCGCCTCAGCCTCCCAAAGTGCTGGGATTACAGGCGTGAGCCACCACGCCTGGCCTGCTTTCTCGATTTCTGTTTCAGATTATTCACTATTGGCATGTACAAGTGTTACTGATTTTTGTTTGTTGGTTTTGTATCCTAAAACTTTACTGAATTCATTTGTCAGTTCAAATAGTTTTTAGGTGTAGTCTTTAGGTGTTTCCATGCATAAGACTATGCCATCTGAGAATAAGGCTAATTTGACTTCTTCTTTTCTGGTTTTGATGCCCTTTATTTCTTTCTCTTGCCTAATTGTTCTGGCCAAGACTTCCAGTATTGTGTTGAATGGAAGTGGTAAAAGTGGGAAGTGGGTATTCTTGTCTTGTTCCAGACCTTAGAAAAAAGGTCTTCAACTTTTTCCTGTTCAGTGCAAAGTTAGCTATGGGTTTGTCATATATAGCCTTTATTGTTTTGAAGTATGCTCCTTTTATATACAGTTTGATAAGGATTTTTGTGATAAAGGGATGTTTAATTTTATTGAATGCTTTTTTTGACATCTATTAAAATAATTTGAAAAAATTGACTCAGAGTAAATCAAAACATTGGTCAAATAAAATACAAGTTAAACAAAAGCAAGTAAAAGAAAATCAGAGATTACATTATTTTTAAGAATGAAAATAACTCAAGAAAAAATGGGAATGAGAGGTATATTTTTATTTATATAGATTTTAAGATACGACAAAGTTATAACCATCAACCAAGTTTAAAGTTATACAAAGAAAAAAATTGAAGATATAAGGAAAATGAATGAAAAAAAGTTTACCAAAATTGATGCAAACTGGATAATACATTAAGATTTAAACTAACATTTTGATAGTTACAATAAAACTTCTGCTATTTTTGGAAAAATATAAATCAATATATAATTTATTCAATAACTCAAAGATACAAACAAAAAATAACTGAGGACAAAAATTTTAAATGTTGTCAAAGTTTTAGCTTCAAAAAAACCACTGGATCAATATGACTCTTATAGTTGTCTTTCTAATTGGCAAATAAATTATTGCAACACATAATTGTAGAAGGCAGAAAATAGTGACAAGTTTCAAACTGATTTTATTATCAGTTTCAAAGTCAAAAACTTTAAATATAAAGAAATACAGCAGGGGTGGGTGCGGTGGCTCACGCCTGTATCCCAGCACCTTGGGAGGCCAAAGTGGGTGGATCATTTGAGGTCAGGAGTTCAAAACCAGCCTGGCCAACATGGCAAAACTCTGCTTCTACTAAAAATACAAAAATTACCCAGGCGTGGTGGCAGGCACCTGAAGTCTCAGCTACTCAGGAGGCTGAAGCAGGAGAATTGCTTGAACCCAGGAGGTGGAGGTTGCAGTGAGCTGAGGTTGTGCTACTGCATGCCAGCCTGGGTGACAGAATGAGACTGTGTCTCAGGAAAGAAAGAAAGAGAGAAAGAAATAAAGAAAGAAAGAAAGAAAAGAAAGAAGGAAAGAAAGAAAGAAAGAGAGAAAGAAAGAAGGAAAGAGGAGGAGAGTGGGGGAGGGGAGGGAAGGGAAGGGAAAGGAAAGGAAAGGGAAAGAAAGAGGGAGGGATGGAGGGAGAGAGAGAAAGAAAAAGAAAAGAAAGAAAGGAAAAGAAAAAAGAAATATGGCAGAAAGGAAGTAAAATGAATGTTGTTGAACTTACCCTAATCAGGCACTGTTTGAAGCCCTTTAAATATAAGAAAGATAGGAAGAAAAAAAGTCTGTAGGCTGGGCGTGGTGGCTCATGCCTGTAATTCCAGCACTTTGGGAGGCTGAGGTGGGAGGATCACAAGGTTGGGAGTTCGAGACCAGCCTGACAACATGATGAAACTTTGTCTCTACTAAAAAAAACACACACAAAAATTAGCCAGGCATGGTGGTGCATGCCTGTAATCCCAGCTACTCAGGAACCTGAATCAGGAGAATCACTTGAACCTGGGAGGCGAAGGTTGCAGTGAGCCCAGATCGTACCACTGGGTGACAGAGTGAAACTCCATCTCAAAAAAAAAAAAAAAAAAAAAATTTGTAGACAGATAGGCATACCGATATCATAATAAATACATGATCTGATCAAATAAAATATCTACCAATCAAATCCAGCAACATATTTTAAGGCACATTGCATTAAAACTAAGAAAAATCTATTATAAAAATGCAAGGATGGTTCAATAGTCATTCGGTTCAATAGCCATTCTCAACTTTTAAATTCCCTATACTAGAGATAGAAGAATTTATCCTTAAAATGACAAAGATATTTTCTCAAACAGGTACATAGAAAACTTTGAAAATGCAGAAGCAATTATGCTCAAAATGAAGACAAGAATCCCCATTATTTTTACTATTTTTAAATATATTTTTTTGGGTTCCAGCCATACAGTGCACAATTGGGAAAAAAATCATTGTGTAGTGATTGAGAAAAAAAGATATACTTTAAAAACTGTTTTATATTAAATATATTCATCTTCTTGGTAATAACTTGCTAATCTATTTGAGCTAGTTATTATATTCAGTATTGTTGAAAGTTTAAAACATAAAAATCAATACTTTTCCTCCATATCAACAATAAATAGTAACAAAAAATAAAATATTCCATTCTCTAAAGCAAGAATATACCAATAATACAAGCAAACAAATAGATATACATTGAGCAAGAAATGCATAAAAGTTTTATTAAGAAGATAATATGGATTTCTACTTCCAGCAAATTAGCAAGCCAAGATTCTTAAAATCCTCTCTGTTACATTCACAGAAGCTGGATAAAATATATGGGGAAAATGTAAATTTTTAGTTAACTTTGCAAAAAAGAAAATCCCCAGGAGCCAAACAAGGCAAAGAAACTGAAAATCAGAGTTGTAAGTGAGTGAGATGATGCTGTTGCTGCACTGTGGTAACTGCATTAATTCATGTTATGGATCCTCTAAGCCATGGATTTGGCTTCTAATGTCCTTCCAATCCCAGACGATGAAGAATTTATACCTAGGTGAGGGGATGCTGAGAGAGTGAGAATCCTGCATGAAGCAGAGACTGTTGAAGGGATATCTCCCTCAATATAAGAGGCAGATTAGGAAAAAAATAAAACAAAGGAGCCCATTGAGAGGCCAAGAAAACCTGTTCCTGAAAGATCTCTAGAAGAAGAAAAAAGCTCTCTTGAGATACCTAAATACTGACTTTGCTCTGCAAGCAGGCTTGGGATTGAAATTTATACTACCCATGAGGCCTGTAATCATAACAATGAGAAATTATTCCCCATCCAAGATATCTCTGTGATGTTTGGGAAAAGTAAATTCAAAACCTCTCTGAAAAAAACACTACCACAATCAGACTACATGGCATTATTACCAAGATCATTGAAGATGAATTCACAATTCAAAACACACACCACACACACACACACACACACGGTTCATTGTGAGTTGTGGTCAGCAGAAACAACAGAAAGATTAAAGCCCCGAGACATTCAAATAAAATGGTCTGAAAAAGAAATATGCTTAAAATGGATAGAGATATAAGTGCTAGATCCCCCCAAATAATAATAAGATATTAAGAAGAAAAACTAGGCTTTCTTTTAAAAAAGTATCCATTGTAACTAAAAGACATGCAAAATATAATCTGACATTCATAGACACTCCTGGTGAAAAGATGAAGAATAAACTTCTGGAAGAAGGAAATTAAATGTAGAAGAAAGGAGTAGGCTGCATAAAGAAATAATTTCTCTTACTTAAAAGAAATGAAAATTTACCAAGTGGAGGTGAAAAAAATCTGAATAAATAGAGAATTCCATCAAGTTGTTAAATGAGAAGAATCACTGTAAACGTGTCAGTTTCCTCAAATCAATGTTTAACTACATTCCAATTTTTCAAAATTTAGCTGTATTAAAAAATGTGAGTGTCTATGTCTTTTACATTTTCATGTATATGATTGTTTTCCCCTAGTATACCTATGGCATTCATGTGGTTTTCAGGAAAATGATGAAATGGTGTCATCAGTATTCTTACATTAAGCATTCGAAGAGTGAATATTTGGCTTTAGACATGGAACAAGAAAATAGAGTACAGAACTTATAAAGACAGAAAAAGATCTATAACTTCCTTGATCTCTTCCATTAGTCTATACAGTTGGCACTCCATAACCATGGGTTCTGCATCCATGGATTCAATCAACCATAAATTGAAAATATTCAATTCCACAAAAATTTTAAAAAGCAAAATTTGAATTTGCCACATGCTGAGTACTAAATTGAATCCATGCAAATGAAGTGATCTGTGTATTTTATTAGTACACAGTAGTCTAGAGATGATTTAAAATATATGGAAGAATGTGCATAGGTTATATGCAAATACTATGCTATTTTCTATAAGGGACTTGAGCCTCTGTGGATTTGGGTATCATAGACGTTCTAGATCACAGAAGTTTATCCAGAAAAGATCTAGAACTGACAGGAAGAAAGAAAGAAAGACTTCCTCTTCCATTCTGGATACTTTATAGGAATAAAGAAGAAAGAGGAAAATAATGCACATTTCTTATTTCCCTATGCACCTCCTGCAATGCTCTACCTCAGAGTGGAAAAAGGGGATACAGAAGCAGAAACATCCAGATTTGTTCCTGAGAGCATCATCACATGCAGTACTTTTCTCTAGGCATCCTTAGAAGGTGCACCTTCTAAGATGCTTTTGGAAAAGATCTTCATGAGACAACTTGGAACGTAGTGTAGGATGATAGTGCAGCAGCATCAATGGAGGTAGGCGGTAGATAATTACAGGCAGTGCTGCTGCTCCCTATGTCCTGCTTGTGGAATGCAGGGGGCTTGGAAATTCTCACACGCCCTGGTGAGGGGGTCCAGAGGGGATGCGAATAACCATGGATTGGCAGAAGACTATGCATATCTAAAGATGCCTCTGCAAATAGGAATTTCAAGAAAAAGGCTGGATAATTTTGACTTCTTCTTTCCCCCTGTAGCTAGCTAACTTTCCCATTTCATTTGGGACTTACTTGTCTAATGTTCTACTTTTATTTCTTGACTAGTTTTGTCAGAAAAAGTTATCTTTTAGAAACAAAATTATTATTTGATTTTCTTTGTCTTCTCAGTATTTTTTATTTTTGTTTCGATCATTATTATTGCCAACCTTCTTATTTCTTTGAATTTGTACTGCTATTATTTTCCCCAATTTTTTATTTTAATGCTTATCTCATTTGTTTTCATTCACTTTTGCTCTTTAATAAGTGGATTTAAAACTATAAAGTTGCCTCTAAGGACTGCTTTATCTGTGTTTCACAAATGCCATTCTGTTCTAACCACACTGTTAAATTTCCTTAATTTTGGCAGGGATGTGAGATTATATATGTGTGTGTGCATTACATAAATATAAATTATACTTTCTTGGTTATTTTATAATATATATTTTCTAGATTGATATATTAAACATGTTCTTTTTTAGCGATTTTAAAATATTTTTGCATTATAGATTAAGACTATAGTCTATATAATTTTTATTCTTTGGATATCACTGAGTTTACTTTGGTTGCCTATTATATGGTCAATTATTGTTAATGTCTCATATGTAAATGAACTAACGTGAATTTCCCATTAGTTGGGTGTAATATTCTATATCTATTTGTTCATTTATCATTTAACAATATTGAAATTATTGAGTTTTTTATCCAAATCTCTCTCTTTGCTTATTTTGTATCTGCTTGGTCTATTAGTTTCTGAGTGGGTATATTAAATCTCCAAATAAAATTGTTGCTTTGTTAACTTGGGGCTATATTGTTAGGGGTATTTATGATATATATTTTTTCTTTGCATATATTTGAGGGATATAAGGGAAGCTTTATTGCATAGATAAATCGAGTAACTGTGAAGTCTGGGCTTTCAGTGTATCCATCACCCGAATAGTGTACATTGTACCCATTAAATAATGTCTCATCCCTCACTCCTCTCCCACTTTGCAACCCTTCCAAGTCTACAATATCTATTATTCACATACTATGTCCATATGTACACATTATTTAGCTCTCAATTTCAAGTGAGAATATGTGGCTTTTGACTTTCTATTTCTGAGTTGTTTCACTTAAGATTTTGTCCTCCAGTTCCATTCATATTGCTGCAAGTGACATAATTTTTTTTTTTTTTTTTGAGATGGAGTCTTGCTCTGTCACCCAGGCTGGAGTGCAGTGGTGCAATCTCAGCTCACTGCAACCTCTGCCTCCCAGGATCAAGCGAACCTCCTGTTGCAGCCTCCTGAGTAGCTGGGACTACAGGCATGCCCTACCATGCCCAGCTAATTTTTGTATTTTTAGTAGACACCAGGTTTTGCTATGTTGGTCAGGTTGCTCTTGAACTCCTGACCTCAGGTTATCCACCCGTCTCAGCCTCCTAAAGTCTGGGATTACAGGCATGAGCCATTGTGCCCAGCCAATTTCATTATTTTTTATGGCTGAATAGTATTTCATTGTATAAATATACCACAGATTCTTTATCCAGTCATCCACTGATAGACATGTAGGTTGATTCTACATCTTTGCTATTGTGTATAGTGCTGTGATTAACATATGTGTCCAAGTATCTTTTTGATATAATGTTTTATTTTCCTTTGAGTAGATACTAGTAGTGGGATTGCTGGATAGAATTATAATTCTTAGTTCTTTGAGAAATCTCCATATGGTTTTCCATAGAGGTTGTACTAATTTACATTCCCACAGTGTATAGGAATTCCCTTTTCTCTGCATCCTCACCAACATCTGTTATATTTTTACTTTTTAATATTAGCTATTCTGACTGGTATAAAACAGTACTTCATGGTTTTAATTTGCATTTCTCTAAAGATTAGTTATGTTGAGCATAAAACACTATCTCATGGTTTTCATAATTGTTTTATAACCAATCATCTTGATTTTAACTAATCATCTCATTATTTCTCTGATGATGAGTTATGTTGAGCATTAAACAGTATCTCATGTTTTTTACATTGTTAAGTATAAAACAATACCTCATGGTTTTAATCTGCATTTCTCTGATGATTAGTTATGTTGAAATTGGCCATTTATATGTCTTCTTTTGAAAAATATTGATTTATGTCCTTTGCTCACTTTTTAGTGGGGTTATCGTGTTGTTGAGTTGATAGAATTGCTTATAAATTATGAATATTAGTCCCTTTTCAGATGAATAGTTTGCAAATATTTTCTCACATTTTGCAGGTTATTTTTTCACTCTTTTGATTATCTTTTTACTGTGCAAAAGCTTTTTAGTTTAATTAAGTCCTTTTTGTCTATTTTTGGTTTTGTTAGTTTTGCTTTTGAGGTCTTAGTCATGAATTCTTCACCTAGACCAATGTTGATGAGTTTTTCCTAGGTTTTCTTCCACTATTTTTGTAGTTTCAGGGCTAACAATTAAGTTTTAATCCATCTTGAGTTAACTTTTATATATGGTGAGAGACAGGGGTCTATTTTCATCCTTCTGCATATGATAATTCAATTTTCCCAGAGTCATTAATTGAAATGGGCGTCCTTTTCTCAGTGTATGTTTTTGTTGACTTTGTTAAACATCAATTGACTGTATATATGTGGCTTTATTTCTGGGCTCTCTATTCGGCTCCATTGATTCATGTGTCTGTTTTTAAACCAGTACCATGCTGTTTGGGTTACTATAGCCTTGTAGTATAGTTTGAAGTCAGGTAATGTGATATTTCTGCCTTTGTTCTTTTTGCTTAGGATTGCTTTGCCTATTCTGGCTCTTTTTTGATTCCATATGAATTTTAGGATATTTTTCAAATTCTATAAATAATGACATTGGTATTTTGATAGGGATTGCCATTGAATTTGTAGATTGCTTTGGGCTATATGGCCATTTTAATAACATTAATAATTTTGATCCATTAGCATGGGATTTTTTCCATTTCTTTGTGTCATTTACAATTTATTTCATCAGTGTTTTGTAGCTTTCTTTGTGGAGATCTTTTACTTTATTGGTTAAGTATATTCCTAGACATTTTGTGTAGCTATTGTAAATGGGATTGACTTCTTGATTTGGTTCTCAGCTTAATTGTTACTGGTGTATAGAAATGCTACTGATTGTTGTATGTTAATTTTGTATCCTGAAACTTACTGAATTCATTTATTAAATCTAACAGTTTTTTTAGGAGTCTTTAGGGTTTTCTAGGTATAAGATAATATCATCAGCAAACAGAGATAATTTGACTTCTTTTCCCATTTGGATGTCTTTTATTTATTTCTTTTTTTTTCTTTTTCTTTTCTTTTTTTTTTTTTTGAGGCTGAGTCTCACTCTGTTGCCCAGGCTGGAGTGCAGTGGCACCATCTTGGTTTGCTGCAAGCTCCGACTCCCAAGTTCACGCCATTCTCTTGCCTCAGCCTCCCAAGTAGCTGGGACTATAGGCGCCCGCCATCATGCCCGGCCAACTTTTTTTGTATTTTTTAGTAGAGATGGGGTTTCACCGTGTTAGCCAGGATGGTCCCGATCTCCTGACCTAATGATCTGTCCGCCTCAGCCTCCCAAAGTGCTGGGATTACAGGCGTGAGCCACTGTGCCCAGCCATGTCTTTTATTTCTTTATCTTGCCTGATTGCTCTGGCTAGAACTTCCAGCCAGAAGTTGAATATGAGTGGTAAAAATGGGCATCTTTGTCTTGTTCCAGCTTTTAGGGGTAATGCTTTCAACTTTTCTTTGTTCAGTATGATGTTGGCTGTGGATTTGTCATATGTGGCCTTTATTATTTTCAGATATGTTTCTTCTATCCCTAGTTTGTTGAGGGTTTTTATCATGAAGGGATGATACATTTTGTGAAATGAGTTTTTCTGCATCTATTGAGATGACCATATGGTTTTTGTCCTTAATTCTGTTTCTGTGATGAATCACTTAACACACATTTATTGATTTGTGCATGTTGAATCATCCTTGCATTTCCGAAATAAAACTCACTTGATAATGGTGTATTACATTTTTGACATGCTATTGTATTAGGTTTGCTAGTATTTTGTTGTGAATTTTTACATTTATCTTCATCAGCATTATTGGTCTGTAGTTTTCTTTTGTTGTGTCCTGTCTGGCTTTGATATCAGGGTGATAGTGGCTTCACAAACTGAGCTAAGGAAGATTTCCTCCTCCTCAAATTTTTCGAACTGTTTGAGGAGGATTGGTACCAGTTCTTCTTTGTATGTCTGGTAGAATTTGGCTGTGGATCCATCTGGTCTTCAGCTTTTTTGGATGGGAGATTTTAAATTACTGACTCAATGCAACTATTTATTATTGGTCTGTTCAGAATTTCTACTTCTTCCTGGTTCAATATTGGGAGTTTGTATGTTTTCAGGAATTTAACCATTTCTCTAGGTTTTCTAGTTTGTGAGTGTATAGTTGTTCATAGCAGTCTCTGATGATTTTTTGTGCTTCTGTGGTATTTGTTATAATGTCTCCTTTTAAATTTTGATTATGTTTATTTGAGTCATCTGCCTTCTTTAATTTTTGATTGTATTTATTTGAGTCTTCTCTCTTCTTTTTTTTTTTTTTTTTTGGAGGAAGTCATTTTATTCAAAATTTTTACATACTCACTCAGGCCAACAAATGTTTCAAGAACTTTTTACCTGCCAGGCACTATGCTGAGTAATTAGGTTAACATAAGTGAGACAAACTGACATGGTGCTTTGCCCTCATGGGGTTTACAATCTTGTAAAAAGACAGGTTTAAATCAAATAATCATACAATTAAGTACAAGCCTTGGTAATTGTTACAAAATGTAGGGTACATGAGGGCATGTAACAATTGAGAAAGCAATGTTTTTACCGTAAATTGAAGGAATAGAAGTGGGTGATGAGAAAGAGATTTCTTTTTTTTTATTTTTTATTATACTTTAAGTTTTAGGGTACATGTGCACAATGTTCAGGTTAGTTACATGTGATGTATACATGTGACATGCTGGTGTGCTGCACCCACTAACTCGTCATCTAGCATTAGGTATATCTCCCAATGCTATCCCTCCCCCCTCCCCTCACCCCACAACAGTCCCCAGAGTGTGATGTTCCCCTTCCTGTGTCCATGTGTTCTCATTGTTCAATTCCCACTTATGAGTGAGAATATGCGGTGTTTGTTTTTTTGTTCTTGCAATAGTTTACTGAGAATGATGATTTCCAATTTCATCCATGTCCCTACAAAGGACATGAACTCATCATTTTTTATGGCTGCATAGTATTCCATGGTGTATATGTGCCACATTTTCTTAATCCAGTCTATCACTGTTGGACATTTGGGTTGGTTCCAAGTCTTTGCTATTGTGCATAGTGCCGCAATAAACGTACGTGTGCATGTGTCTTTATAGCAGCATGATTTATAGTCCTTTGGGTGTATACCCAGTAATGGGATGGCTGGGTCAAATGGTATTTCTAGTTCTAGATCCCTGAAGAATCACCACACTGACTTCCACAATGGTTGAACTAGTTTACCGTCCCACCAACAGTGTAAAAGTGTTCCTATTTCTCCACATCCTCTCCAGCACTTGTTGTTTCCTGACTTTTTAATGATTGCCATTCTAACTGGTGTGAGATGATATCTCATTGTGGTTTTGATTTGCATTTCTCTGATGGCCAGTGACGGTGAGCATTTTTTCATGTGTTTTTTGGCTGCATAAATGTCTTCTTTTGAGAAGTGTCTTCTCTCTTCTTAGTCTAGCTAGTGGATTATCAATTTTGTTTATCTTTTCAAAGAACAAGCTTTTAGATTCTTGATCCTTTGAATTTTTGGTCTCAATTTCATTTAGTTCTAACCTGATCTTTGTTTATTTTTGTCTGTGAGCTTTGGATTTGATTTGTTCTTTTTTGCTAGTTCCTTGAGGTGCAATGTTAAGTTGTTAATTTGTGATTTTTTTAAGATTATTTGATGTAGATATTTAGTGCTGTAAACTTTCCTCTTAGCACTGCTCTTGCAGTATTCCAGAGGTTTCAGTATGTTGTGTTTCCATTTTCATTCATTTAAAAAATTTCCATCTCGAT
Source organism: Homo sapiens (assembly GCF_000001405.40). Taxonomy (NCBI): domain Eukaryota; kingdom Metazoa; phylum Chordata; class Mammalia; order Primates; family Hominidae; genus Homo; species Homo sapiens. The sequence goes on from NC_000011.10 coordinate 15,400,459, forward strand.
TTCATTTGTAAGATAACTTAGAATCATATTGTTTCATTTTTACATATTTGTATAGTTTTATGAGTTCCTTTTGGTATTGACTTCTAGTTTTATTCCACTGTGGCTTGAGAAGATATTTGATATGATTTTGACTTTTTAAACTTCATTGAAACTTGTTTTATGACCTAACATATCATATATATTGGAGCATGAGGAGAAGATTGTATATTCTGTGGTTGTTGCATAGAATGTTCTGCAAATGTCTGTTAGGTCCATTTGGTCTAAAGTCCAATTTAAATGTAGTGCTTCTTTGTTGATACTCTGTCTACTGATGTGAGTGGGGTGTTGAAGTCCTCCACTATTATTTTATTGCTATCTGTTTCTTTAGGTCTAGAAATATTTATTTTATGAATCTGGGTACTCCTGTGCTGGGTGTATTTATGTTTAGAATTGTTGTATCCTCTTGTTGAATTGATCCTTTATCATTATATAAGGTCATTCTTTTTCTTTTTTTAACTGCTTTTGATTTAAAACCTGTTTTATATAAGTATAGTTACTGCTGTTCACTTCTGGTTTCCATTTGCATGGAATATCTTTTTCTCCCCTTTACCTCCAGTCTGTGTGTCTTCACCAGCAAGGTGGGTTTCTTGTAAGTAGGATATAGTTGGATCCAATCTGCCAACCTATATCTTTTAAGTGGAGCATTTAATACATTTATGTTCAAAGTTAATATCGATATGTGAAGTTTTGTTCTTGTCATAATGTTAATTGATTTCTAATTGGTTGTAAATTATTTGGTGTGTGTGTGTGTCTGTGTGTGCCTGTCTTTGTAGTTTGGTGGAGTTCTCTCATGTTGCCAGTTGATTTCTTTCTCTTCCTTTTTTGTATAATTGTTTCATAGGCTTATGAGTTTTATACTTTCATGTATATTTATAATGGAGAATATTGACCTTTTGTTTCCATGTTTAGAATTCCTTTGAGCATTTCTTTTAGAACTGGTCTACTGGTGATGAATTCCCTGAGCATTTGCTTGTCTGGGAAGTAATTTAATTTCTCCTTCATTTATGAATCTTATTTTAGCAGGTATAAAATTTATGGTTGACAGTTTTTGTCTTTAAGCACTCTTAAAATTGATTTCAATGTTTCTGGCTTGAAGTTTCCTGCTGAGAAGTTCACTGTTAGTCTGATGGGTGACTAGACACTTTTGCTGATTTTAGCATTTTTTCTTTCATTTTGACTTTAGACAGTCTGACAACTACAGGTCATGGTGAAATTGGTCTGGCAATATGTTTCTGGTCTTTGTTGGGCCTCTTGTATCCGGATATCTAAATATCTTGCTAGACTAGTGAAATTGTTTTGTCAATTATTTCCTTAAAAAGGTTTTCTAAACATTTTACTTTTTATTCTCCTTTGGGAATACTAATAGTGTACAAGTTCAGTCACTTTATGTAGTCCCATACTTCTAGAAGGCTTTGTTCATTTCTTAAATTCTTTAAAAAATTTTTTTCTGAGACTGGATTAATTCAAAAAACCTGTTTCAACTTCTGAGATTCTCTCTTATGCTTAATCTATTGTTGAAACTTCCTTCCTTCCTTTTTTTTTTTTCCATAGACAAGGTCTCACTCTGTCACCCAGGCTGAGTGCAGTGGCATGATCACAGCCCACTGCAGCCTCAATCTCCCAGGCGTAAACCATCCCCCTGCCTCAGACTCCTGAATAGCTGAGACTACAGGCAGGTACCACTATGCTCAGCTAATTTCTGATTCTTTTTTTGTAGAGATGGCATCTCACTATATTGCCCAGACTGGTCTTGAACTCCTGGCCACAAACAATTCCCCAACCTTGGCCTCCCAAAGTGCTGGCATTACAGATGTGAGCCACCATGCCCAGCCAAAACTTTCAACTGTGTTTTGTAATTATTTTCAATGCATTTTTTTATTTCCAGAAGTTCTATATTTAAAAGATACCCATCTCTGTTGTAATTTTCTCCTTCATATCTTGAATTGGTATTCTGTTTTATTTTATTGGTTTTCAGATTTCTTTTGGATCTCAATGAACATCTTTAAATTCAGTATTTTGAATTCCTTATCCGTCATTTCAAAAACTTCTTTTTGGTTAGAATCTATTGCTACAGAATTAATATGTTCCTTCGGAAATGTCATAACACCCTGCTTTCTCATACTTTCAGTATTATTACACTGATTTCTTAGCATCTGTAGAAACAGTCACTTCTTGTTTTTCCGTGTACTTTCATTGGGGTGAAACTTTTTCTTTCCTCTTGAGGATATGACTATGATGTATATAGAGTAGGGCCATTTGGCTTTGCTTTTGAGTGTGTTCAGTAGTGAAGAGTTTATGATTTTCTTAGTCATAAATAGCCTTAGTATGGTGGCTTTCTCAAATGTCAGTTGTAGTAGCAGTGTACTGGGTGAATGAGTGGGCCAGCTAGGTATCCAGGGTGGCATGAGCAACATTGGTAGCAGAGGTTACGAGAAGCTCGTCTCCTTCTCCAGTGCTGTGCACTTGTGTCAGCAAATATTGTAATGGGCTGTATGGATTGACTTCAGGGCCAGTGGGTGGCACTTGCAGGTGACAGTCAGGTGCAGTGGGTGGTGGTAGAATTTATGCATAATCTTTGTTAACCAGGAGAAGTACTTGGTGTCCCAGGTGATGGGTTGGGCCATGGAATTCTCTGTGGTCTAGGTCCCACACTCTGCCTCTAAGTTTGGTGGGGCAAAGCCAGGTGGGGCTGGGCTGGGCAAGACTGTACTCAGGCTCCCCAATGGTGGCTGTAAGTGCTGGCCCCAGCAGTGGTCAGTGGTATTCCTCAGGACCCCAGAGAAATGCTCCAGCAAGGAGTGGAGCAACTGCTGCTGTGCCAAAGATGCAGGATGGGGAAAGAAGGGTGGCTTCAGTTCCACAGACCAGCGTGCCATAATGAGATCCACTTCACCCTCATGTTCTGGACCTGGCAGAGCTCTCTCCCATGGCCTGACCTCAGTAGCAAGTCAGGACAGTTAGTTATGTCACAAGCAGTTTGCTTTGAGTCTCTGAAACTATCTCACTCCATAAAACTTGCTATCCAGGACAAAACCATGCCTCTCAGGCAGATCTCTCCCTGTTCTGGTCCCACGGAGTGGGGGTACCCAATTCCAGTGCCTGTGGCTGTGGCGCATGTCACACTTGTCTCTCAGTTCTGACTGATGGGGTCCCTCTCTCCACTCTAGATCAGCTCGCCAATTCCTGGCCCAAGTCTGTCCAAACCAGTGACTGCTGCCCCTGCTCGCTGGAAAGTTCTTGCATAGCCCTCTATGAGCTAGAATCAGGAATGGCCTCCTTCTATTGGTGTCCAGGTCTGGAAGCATGCATAGGACACTTCCAGTGGTATTTCTTCACGGTCTTCTGACTACTTCTCAAGTCAGATCCACAGCTTGGTGGGGTCAAGGAGCTCCCCTGTGGCCAGGATTGCCTGGCTCCCCAGTGGGAATGTGAATTGTAGAGACACTCACTCCCCCTCCCATGCACTGGAGATTGATTCACCATTTTCTGCCAAACCCCGCCACATGGGCTGCTGTCTGCTTTCTTTTTCCTGGTATGTGAAGTTTTCTTTTGCCTTTATGTTGAACTCTCATGTTCCTTCTTGGATAAAAGTTCACAGTATGACTCTCTATACACTTTTGCTAATTCCAGGTGGGTGAGGCATGCTGGCAAAGCCTCTATTCTGCCATCTGGTAGTTGTGATATTTAATATTATGGTTTCTTGATCTATTATTTCCTTTACTGTCTATAAGATTCTTCTTTATCCATTTAGATGTTTTTAAAATTAATTTCTAATTTTTCCTAATAGACATTAATATTAATCTTGCTATCCTGTATTTATTTTGGTTTATTTTTGAATATTCTGACCCATAGTCAGGTGTATTATCAGTTGTGCTACTGGTCTGTCCTCATCTTTTGGTTTATTTTTGTGTGATATATCTTTTCCCAATCTTTCTGTATCTTTTTATTTTAAATACTTGTCTTCTTTTCTCAGTTCAATCTAAGGCCCTATTCTTATTTAAAAAATAGATTCTATTTCTGTTAAAATCCTTTATTTCTTTATCTATCTTGTTGATCTTTGTTCTATTATCTTTAAAATACTTATAATAGGTATTTCAAGTTATTGCTTGCTAACTTCAACATCTAGATAGACTCTGTTCTTTTATTTATTAAGCTATTAAACTTATTTTCACAATTTTTATTTATCTCATAGTCTTTGCCTGTTTCATATTTTTTGTATGCTGGACTTCTGTATAAAATATCCTAGTGATTAGTATGGATGTCATTTTGCACTAGTGGGGATTTATACTTTTCTCTCTTAAGCAGATGAGATAAGAGGAAGCTCACATCAATGTAATTAGTTATTGTGCTGCATTGATCTGAGTTTTGGCTTACTGTGAGTCATTCTATCTTTGGTTTCTGGTAGATAAACTGGTGGCAAGTTTTAGGCTTCTCTAATTACCAATCTGTTGTGTCAGCTATAAAGCTATCAGAAAGCTCTCTGGTTCCTCTGTTCCCTGGTACCACCTCTCTATGAAGCACCAATCAACCCTCAGCCTGTGCCTAAGCTCAGAAAATGCCCTTGGGGAAAGAACAGGTAGTAACCTCAGCTCATCCTAGGAAGGGTTCTTTCCCCTTTGAAATTTTGTTTCATCTAATCATCTAATTCTACAGCTATAAATATGGTTTAAAAAATATGTATTTTTTCCAGCTGTTGCAGCATGAGGGATGGCTTGTTAAAAACTAATGTATCCTTCCAGGAAATAGAAACCATGTATCTGATTTATGATTAGTGATTTTAATTATATATGTTTATTGTAACCACTGACTATTTCTGCCATTGTGTATTTTCTATTTACCACAATGTATTTTTTCTCCTTTCCTTTTTTCTCCATTCACTGCATTTAATTTTCTTCTCCTGCCTAAAAATTATATTTTATTTATCCTGTCTCTCTCTCTCTCTACACACACACAGAGTAGTATGCTCTCACCTCAATCGTGTCTATCTTTGTTTTCATACCTGCCATATTGACATTATCACCAAGATTGGGCTTTAAGACAAGGAGCTAGTAGCTCCTCATTAATTGAAGGAAGCTTCAATTAATCTCTTTAAGCCACTATTTCTGTAACTGAACATTGGAAGTATTTATATATTTTATTTGTGTATTAATTATATATAATGTATTTATATATTATTTATATTTAAAGTACTGGAATATAGAAATGAATAAAGAAAGCAGGATTCCTGTCATCATAAAGCTTATCTACCTGAGTTAAAACTGAAATTAGATTCTGCCTTAATTACAAAAATTATTTCACATATTTAGATGAAAAATATGATTAGTATTTCATAGAGGCCATAGTGCAGGTCATGTTTTATGGATTAGATCATTGCCCCTTCACCTTGATCTACCAGAGAATCAGCTTTTCAATTCCTTTCCAGAGGTGCTCCGTGGCTCTTTGTAGCATGGAGCTTCTGGTTGATTTGACTAATTGGTGGGAGGAAAGCACTGTCTGGACCTTTTCTACATCATCTCCCTTATGAGGTAGATATTATTATCATCTGTTGCTATAGATGAGAAAAATATGTTTCATTGACATTAGGTAACTTGCCCAAGGTCACAGCAAATAAGTACAAACCTAGGATCTGAAAGCCTTGGCTTTTGTCGCTACATCTTAAAAGCAAAAGCTTGGTATGACTTGGAATGTGAATGGCTTTTGTTCCTCTTGACTTACCTTGTCATTTATGATTTTCTTTCTACCAACATTCAGTCTTCAAACTGGTTAGATTTCTTATAGTACAAGATAAAAAATGGTCACAACTTTTTCTTGCCCTGTCTCCATCCTTCTAAGTCAATAATACCTTTATGTATCTGTAAATGAAGCAATTCCTTCATCCCCTCAAATAATATTGGTGTTTTCTACCTCAGCATCCTATTCCAGATGGAGAGCCATGTTGGCATTTGAAACAGAGAGACTCAGAGAAAGGACTCATAGATATTTTTATAATTCTGACAGGTCTTCCATGCCTTTCCTTCTGCTTTATCATTTCCCCCTAATGGAACTGATTTTAAGATTCAGAGCTGTTATGCCCACAGATACTCTTTAGATCTCCCCAAGCTGGAATATCCTGGTAAATCCCCACCTCCTGCTGCTATGGGAAATAGAAAGTAAGATTTTTGGAACTGATATTTTTGATCCCCTTAATTTATCCAGCTTATTCGGCTCAGAATGACCAACCTTCATTCTCTTTCCAAAATCCAGTTTAGTCTACCTGGAAGCCTTCCAGAGACAGAACACATTGTCTTGCTCTTTTCATCCCAACTTTTTAATTCCACTTTTCTCTCCTCCATTGGCTGCTTGTTGCCACTTTCTGGTGAAGTTGCTGTAGATCAACTCTCCTTATTAGCTAATTTAATAAACAGATTGTCGCATGGAGAGTCATAGCCTGGTCTCAAGAGCTTGGAAATTAGCAGGAACTCATTTGCAAGTTCATCATTTTCCTTTGGAAACAGCCACTGCTGTTATAACGTGGGGCTTGTCTGTCTTGCTAAAAGTTCTATTACTCAGGGTTAATTACCACTGGCCCCACACTTTCTACTGTCACCAGAGCACCACTAAGAGCTCAGTCCAGCCTTTCAAAGTCAAATTGGATTTTGTCCTCTATGAGTTATGCTACTGGTATGTTTAGTGTTGCCTGAAAGCAGGGCTGAAGAGATAGGCTCCTCAGCCAGTTCTGAGCCAGAAGTGGGCATAGCTTCAGGAGATCTAGACTGAAATCTAAGCTTGCCTTTCCCTAAATATGCGGCCTTAAGCAAGTGACCTAACTTCCTAGAAGCTTGATTTTTTTTTTTCTGAAAAGAGAGAAATGTATACCTTCCTCGCAGCAATGCCATAGAATTAAAGAGGCAATGTCTATGATAACATAGTTCTTAACACACAGTTAGTGCTCGATAAATGTTTATTGGGTCCAGTCTAGTTGAAGTACCAGAATTATCTTGTGATCTATCTTGGAGGTTTGTCTCTTTGTTCGGCTCTGTGTAATTCAATTATCCTTTGACAAGCACCTAATATTGAAGTCTAAGTACTGCACACAACATGAATGTATAAAGATGAGTAAGACCTGGTCTCTGGTCCCAAATTTATAGTCCTGTGAGAGAAGGATGGGGAATTTGAAGGAACGGACATAAGAAAGGCTTAATTAGATGTAGTGGCTTTGTAAAGTGCCAACTTAGCTAGGCTGAGTTACACTCCCTAGAATTTCTTTTCCTTTATATTTCCAGTTAGGGTGGGCTGTGGAGAGATTCTTGTGGGCAGCAGCCATCTTGTAGCTCCCACACATTGCCACTCATCTTCTGGCTTCCCTCCTTAGTGTGAGCGACAGACTTGCCTGCCATTGCTCCACTGTCCCCTGGATCCTTCTTCAGCTTCTCTGACTCCTGGGCCAGTGTGTATATTTAGCTCCTTGATGAGGGACCCTGGCTTCTGCAGGACACCCACCCCAACAAGGTGAGAGATTGCAAAAACTGCTACAGGTTTTAGTCTGTCCTCAGCTCCAGCTCATGCTGTGGGTTCTGGTTTATTCTTGCTCTCCCCGACTTTGCATCGTCTTCCCTCCCTAACTCTGTCTGCCCTACAGTTTTCACACTCCAGGATCAGAGTAAAGACAACAGCCTTACAGAGAATGTTTAGTGACCTCCATGAGGTTCTGCTTCTCTGAGTGAACGCTGACTTGGGTAAACAGTTGGGGGAAGAGTTGTCAGAGGGGCACAGAGGACAAACAGGAACATCCTGGCCAATTTTCTGCCCATAGAAAATTTCTGCTACAGAAAATTCTGTATCCCTATCTCAATGAAGATTTTGAAGTAAGAAGATTTCAATAGGATCCCTCTAATATTTTATCACCTTGATTTCTAACTTTATTTAGTAGTGGAATGCTTTCTTTAAATAAAATTTTCTGTAGGTGCTCAATATAAAAGGCTAGTTGTAGGGGGTTGAATTATGTCTTCCAAAAAAATATGTTTATGTTCTAACCTTTAGTACCTGTAAATGTGGCCTTATTTGGAAATAGGGTCCTTGCAGATGTAATCAACTGAAGGTAAGATCATTTTGGATTAGGGTGGGCCCTAAATCCAACAACTGATACCTGCATAAGAGAAAAACGAAGGAGATTTGGACACAGAGACAGAGACATACAGGATAAGAGCCAGGTGAAGAGAGAGGCAGACACTGGAGGGACGGATCTGTAAGCCAAGGAAAGCCAAAGTTTGCCAGCAACCACCAGAAGCTGCAAGAGAGGCCTGGAACAGATTCTCCATCAGAGCCTCCAGAACCAACCCACTTGACACCTTATTTCAAACATCCAGCCTCCAGAACTGTGAGAGTAAATTTCTGTACTTTCAAACCATCCAGACTGTGGTACTTTTTGTTAGAGCAGACCTAGGAAATTAAAACATAGGTCAAAGCTGAGCTGAATTGGGGTAGAGCCCCACCAGCTCACTCTCATCTCCTCCCCAAACCCAGGCAGCTACTGAGATGCTGCTGGGAACTCCGGGGCTTCTCAGGAAAAACTGGAAAAATCCTTGTCAGAGTTTTCTTGTTCAACAGTCCCCAAGGGCACATCATGGTGGCAGAACCTTATAGCCCTGATCTTCCAATCCCTACAACATTCTGCAAGTTGAGTCTTTATTTCTATAGAGAGGGATGGTATCTGGGCAGCCACATGTCTAGGGCGGGCCTGACAATCCCAGAGTTAATCAACCCTCTGAGGACCCCAGCCCGGCTGCTCCCCAAGCCTGGTGAGCACCCCAAAGGCGTGATTATCCGATGGTTCTTGCGCAACTGGCACCAGGGCCTTTTGCTTAATTAATCACAGAAATGCTCCTGCCTAACTTCAGACAACAAAATAATGAGCAGGCCTGTGAGAGGTTCAAAGACTGTCAGAAAAACAAGTGCTCCCTGAGGAAAAGGCCCAGTGAAACAGGGAGGTCAGAAAAATCACTGGGATCTACTAGAACTGCTGCTTGCATTTTTTTGCATGCCCCTTTTAATATAAATATGATAGTGTAAATGTGTGTACATAGGAGATTAACACATATACCATTTGGATTTTAGAATCAGAAAATGTCGAGTTTTGAGAAGGACCTTAGAGACCTTCTGGGCTAACTAGCTCTTTTTATAGATGAAGAAAAATGTTGTCCATGGAGGTTAAGTGACTTGCACAGGGCCACGTGGCTGGAGCATGACAGCGCCATCCTAGCACCCAGATCACTTATGTCAAAGTCTGTAAATGTGAGGATAGAGCATGCTGGAAATAGAGGCTGCTTAGAAGTTACAGAGAAAAACAAAAACAAAATCAGAGGATAGAGTTTAGATAAGAGCTTACGGGAGTTACGTGTCAAATTAGAGCACAGAGCATGTCAGAGGGTGGAGGTAATGAGAATGCATCAGCAAAGTCAGGGGGTGGAGGTCAGGTGAGAGCTTGTAGAATAGTCAGAGAGTGGAAGCGAAATTAGTCCTCTTGACAGTTTATGGTTTTAGCATTAGACTTTGGGTGTTATAAGTTTAGATGAGACAAGATCTGTTTTTAAGGAGCCTGAGACAGTTCAGGAGTTAAGAAGAATACACCTTGAACACCAGAAAGAGCTGATCAGTACTGGAGGTGTAAATGCTAAGGGGGTACAGAGGGCCAAGTGGGGGCTTCCAAGCTGCAGTTTAAAGGATCAGAGCCTGATAAGGCAGGAGTTGTTGGGGCATGTGAAATCTGGGGCATGGATGTATCAGGGACAGGGACCAATCTGAGCAAGGTGTGATGGAGCGAAATATTGGGGAGGTAGAAAGACTGGGGAGTTCAGATTGACTGGAGCAGGAGGGATGTAAAGGGAGCACCAAGTAGGTAGTGCCAATTGAGGAGGTCTTACCGGGGGTTCAGACTCTAGGAGTTCAGAAGGAAGCAGGAAGCCACAGAGCAGGACCACCATGCATCATTTTCAGGTTGTGTCTTGCACATGGGTACTGTGTCTATGAGGCCTTCATTCGCATCATACCCATAATTTTGATGAGTGCCTGGGGAGGAAACAGAAATACCAGACCTCTCTGCTGGATCCTGGAGCAGCAATGAGGAGCCCCTTCCTATGTAAACCCACACTGGCTCTCAAAGCCATGAGCACATTTACTTAGCACTCACCTGTGTCCAAGGCTGCACGCATCCTAGCCATTTTCTAGACATCCCTTGAGGTTGTTTCTCAATCTTACTCATGTTGGAAGCCTGATCTGTTCCCCCGACTCTGCCATGTAGGGCTGCCTGGAGAGTTAAAGGTGCACATGAACTACTATTTTGATTTTCTAACTTGAGGAAGAATGCCTTTGCCAATAACATTGTTGTGCATAGTTCTACTTTTGGAGCAGTAGTCTGGCAGCTGTATGCAGGATTAGTTAGAGGCGGCAAGACTCAAGGTAGTGAGCTGAGTGGGATGGCGGTAGCACTTTCAGGAGGCTGCTGGTGAGGCCAGAGCGTCTGAGGTGCTAAAGTGTAAAGGGAATGCCATCTTAAGGTACAACCACAGACTTCCTACCAGGCAAGATTCTCTCACCCAGACTGCCTGTGTGATCTCAACTTATACATCCCATTGCACACTGCACCAGCAGAATAACTCCCTGGACATATACCTCATTTCTGTGAGGTTTTAAGGTTTTGGGGGAAAACAGTTTTTCAAAAAGCTTAGCCATAGTGTCCAATCCACATACTATTTTAATTGTTAATCATAAAATATTCAGAAGGATGATCAACCCCTTCAGAAATGTGTAGCATGCAAAATCAAGATGTGAAGTAAGACCTATCTTTTCTTCCCTGAAGAGGAACTGGGGGCTGTGGGTGACAGTCATTGGGCACAGATGGTCACAGGCAGAGTCTGCATTTGGGGAGACAGGTGTTCCCAGCAGCCAGGTGGTTGGTAGGCCAGTAGAAACCTCGTTGCAGCATATGAGAAGCAGTTGCCAGGAAACGTGTTTATAGGTAAGAAACCCATGCTCTTCCAGAAGCTGGCAAGGCCATACCGATCCACCCAAAGGGAGCACCTATGCTGTGGAATGCACCACAAAGATGGGAAGGACCAGGGAACAACTAGTTTAGGCTGAGGGTTGTTGGTCAGCAGTGCTGGGACCTCCAAGTTTTGTTACTGGCCCGAAAGACCAGATGACTCCGTTTTTTTCTTGCCTCAGCCCCTGGTTAGCTGTGTATCTTCCATTCTCTTTGGATTTCAGCTCCCGCCAAAGGAGGGCCTAAATGGCATTAGATGACAGCTCTGAAAAGCTGTGATGTTTCATTTCTAAATATGAGGTAATCCCTAAATGCTATGAGTACTGTGCTTTTTCTTAGCATGTCTGTATCTAAACAGTCTTTGTAAGCAGATTTTGTCTTGCATCTCTATCACTCTTTGTTACTCCAAGTGCTGCGCTCTTGTGACCTAGATCCAGCAGTTAGCAATGGAATTGGAGGACCAGAGCCTTTGGGAAGTTGAGCCACCTCATTTAAACTGTGTTGATGATACAAATAACCTTCTGAAGTTCTCACCCCCGGCTGCCTATTAGAATCACCTGGGAAATTTGAAAACACCATGTTGGCAGGGTCCCAGCCCACTCTTGCTTTAATTGACCAGGCTGGGACTCATGACTTTTTGTTTTGTTTTGTTTTGTTTTCCCAGACTTCTCAGGTGAATAGAATGTGCAGCCAAAGATTGAAGCTGATGTCACAGATCACTGGATGGCCAGTCATCACATCTGTTATGTCCGTTCCACTTCACTGGTGCCAGCCATTTATGCCCTCTTTTGAGTCATCTATTGTGCTCAGTAGGCGAGGCTGTGGTGATCACCTGGCAATTTCCCCTGTGCATCTAGGCAGGAGGATTGATGGCCCACAGAACTGGTGATTGCCATCCCTGAGTGGAGAAAGGATCTGGGGAAGGGGTCTTATATTTTGGATCAGACAAGTTAGTAAAATTATTGTAATAAACCAACTGCAGGTTCTTTCACAAATTCGTGGGGCCCCCTATGGCCTCAATGCTAGATATTTTTATACTCTCATAGCACAACCTCATGACACTTAGCACAGTGATGAAATTTTAAAATTTACTTGTGGGATTATTTGATTATTATTGACTACAATATCCATGAGAAAAATGATGCTTTGCTCACCATTGCATGTCCAGTGCCTGGGGACTCAAGAAACAGATGCCAAATAAGTGAACCAAGGAAGGCATCGGGGCAGGCCCTGACTTATTGGCATTTAAGGGTCCCTTGGAGGGTCAACTGTGGATCAGGGATAGGCCTTGTGTCTCCTGTGTCTGAAGTCCTGTGGGGACACAGCAGACAGAAGCTAGGCCTCCACTCTCTTCTGGCTTGTCCAGGCTCCACTGAGAGCCTGTTGTCGTGGCTGCTCTCCCAGATATACCAGAGATGGATAGACAATGGGAAGAGGAGGCTATTGGCTGCATGTCTGAGTTTGCACTGGTCTCAGGAAACCTTGATACCTGCCAACTCTTTAAGGTAGCCTTTTCTGAAGGCAAAATTGAGCTGAAGCACAAACCTAGGAGATGCCTTGTTCCTGCGGCCTGCCTCCATACACTTCATCAGGAGCCATCTTTCTCAGAAAAGAATAATAAGGGCCACTGTTCCTCCCACTCCCAGGCCCCAGGGTAGCCTTCAGAGGAAAGCCGTGGGTCATGAGGTTGCAGCACTGTGGGAGTGGGAAGAAAGAAAATGGTTTCCAGAGCAGATATCAGTTACCGGACTCTCAGAAAGTTTTTAGCGGCTTCTTTCTCATTTCTATCCAGGAACATGGGAGGAAGGGTGCTGGGTTTGCATGGTCAAAGTAATACATACAGAAATAGTTCCAAGGGAGGCACAGAGAGAAGGCCTATGAAGTGATAATGGCTGTTTCATCGCAGGATGGCAAAGCCTGGCTCTGGGCCTGTGTCTCCGTCAGGGTCTTGGAGGTGATATTGTTCATACGGCTGTCCCTTCGGTACTTAGAAGGCATCCCATACTTGTCTGGGAGAGTCCTGGATACCTTTGCAAAATAACTCTGAATTTATTGAAGATTCTTTAAAAAATTTATTATGAATTGTATTCATATAAAAATGCATGGGGGCACAAAATTTATAAATAATAAAATATACTCTGAATATTTTTGTTGATTTTTATCAAAACCTATAAGCAACATAGTATTTTTACACTGTTAAAACAAGTTACTTGTCAAAAGTCCAGATGAGTTTTAGTTGTGTGAGAAAGGCAGGCAGTGAGGTCATGTAATTTGATGTCTTATAATAGGAGTTCCCAAATTACAGGCCACAGACCAATCGTGAGAAAAGGATACTACAATGAGTTAGGGAAATGAATTAACTAGCACTGAGCAATGATTTACACCCAACTAAGGGCAAGCACTACTTTGCAGTGGTAGAGCTAGCAGCACAGTTCCTGCTGTGCCTCTCCACAGCAATGTTTACCTGCATGGAACTGGGGAAACCAATGGTGGGGACAGGGTGCATGTAAGAGCAGCATTAATGGGCAAGTCAGCCAAGCAGCTAAGTCCAGGCGGGAGGGAAGATGGGACATGGGGATAGGAGGCATTGCCATGGGGAACTAGTAAAAGGCATGTTTAGTGGGCAGATGGCAGGCTGTGAGCAGAGAGGGGAATTTCTAAGTTCCAGGATTTGACATGGAGTCATTTTAAAAGATAAGAAGGTACTACTCAATTAGCAAGTAATAGTGAGTGGTTCTTCCTTTTTTCCAGAAAAGTGAGTCTTCTTAGAGAAGAGGAGCTTGGAACATATACTATTTTACGGACAAAAATAAAGCAGTAAAGTGGTATCAGGAATCTGGGAGTAGAATGGGGTGGGGGTAGGGCTGAAAATGGGAGCAAGTATCCAGGTCAGCAGGTGGGAACATGGTGGACAACACAAAATAAAAAAGAAAGAAGCAGTCCAGACCCTGGCAAGTAGTTCAGAACTAAGGTGGATAGTGCCAGTGCTGGAATGTAGGTGGTGGTTCAAAGTAATGCATAGGACCAGGCAGAGGTAAGAGAAGAGGTTGCTTCTTGAGGAACCTGTACATCTACTAGTTCAGTCTTTTGGGGAGCTTAGTATGTCTAGCATAGCAGGACCCCTTCTTCCCATCCACTCTGGATTGGTAGAATTTGGAAAGGCAGAGATGGAATCACATTTGCTGTATGGAAACCACTGGAGCAAGCAGAAGAGATGGAGAATCCCAGTGTGACTATGGTACAACTGGGAAACAATCTCTCCATTTCCTGTGATGCTCAGTCCTCAGGTTGGGTATGTGCCTTTTGTCTCACTTGGATCTATCTCACCCCACTGTTGGCCTGTCTGTCTGCATTTCTGTCTGTCAGATTCCCTTCCTTCCATTTTGCCCTCTTTGCCAAAGATAAAACACCAATGACCAAGGTCAGATGCCCCTCCTCTCCAAAAGAACTACCCATCTAAGAGAGCTCCAAGTGGACACCTCAAATCCGTGATTAAACACTAATGCATCTACAGAAAGGAGAATGAAACTGACATTTATTGATCTAGGTCCTTCAAACATATCTTTGTCTAGTTGAATACTCATCAAAGTCCTAAATAATGAAAATTATTATTTCATGATTAGTGGTAGACTCTATGGTAAGGGATTTACATGCCTTACATTTATTTGCTGTAACATCCCTATGAGATAGGCACAATTATTACATCAATTCTACAGTTGAAGAAACTTAAGCATAGAAATGTTAAGCAACTTGCTTAAAGTTACACAGCATTAAATTAAAGCACAGGCTTTCAGACTCCATGTTAATCTTCCATAGTTCAGAGAGTTTACATATTATCCTGTGATTACATAGCTAATAACTGAGATTCAAACCTAGATCTGAACCCAAGGGCCTTACTCTCTTCCAAGAGACAAGAGGATGCCCCTTCTCCCATATTGGCATCTTCTAGTGGGAGGAGAAGGGAGGAGGGTGAAGAGGAGTCATTATCATTAGGGACCTCATCCCTGTCTCAGGAATGGGCTACTGAGGAGTCTCACATTGGCAAGTCCTGAGTCTGTGAGTCCTCAGGGATCAGAGCATAACTGCTCTGAGCAACCACTTCTTAGGTTCTTCCCTACACTATCATGCCTGTTCCTGCTGGAATAGCCCATGCTACTGCATCTGACCAAGCCTGCATGTTCTGCATTGAGTCCTGCTAGTCCTCATTCTCTCCCCACGACCCATCTGCTTGCCAGTGTGTTTTTGTGGCCTTTGTTTTCTACGTCCCCCTGCCCTCTTGCCACAATTGGTACCACCTCACTACCATCTACTTTTGCCCACCTTCTACAGAGGCTCTTTGTTTTGCCCTTACTATATGTGTCTCCCACTGTGAATTTCTTTAGAAAAAAGAAAAAAATGCTTAATTGATATTTAAAAATTAAAACTTGGAGAGGAGAGTGGAGATAGATAATTTACCTAGTGCTCCATATTCAAAAATGAGCACATAATTACTGTTTTAAAGTAAGGTGTCAGGAAGCAAGATTGATTTAAACCTGACATCTGTTTACACACAGTGAGTGTCATCAGATGCATATGTAAGGTCAGCAGATCAATGTTCTGTCGCCATGACAAGCTTAGCTTGGTTATGGAAATTTGGCTCCATGTGCTTCTGCAAGTGGGCAGCAAGACACCTTCCAAATGGGTGGCAGCTCATGTGCTCTGTCTCTTAACCAACCACCATTGTCCATACTATCTTAAGCACATGCAATAAAACAGTTTGAGATTGTGGGATAGAGTGTGGCAGGGAGGTTAAAAGCATGGGCTTTGTAATAAGAAATCTGATTCTGGGCCAGGCACGGTGGCTCACGCCTGTAATCCCAGGACTTTGGGAGGCTGAGGCAAGAGGATCACGAGGTCAAGAGATTGAGACTATCCTGGCCAACATGGTGAAACCCCGTCTCTACTAAAAATACAAAAACTAGCTGGGTGTGGTGGTGTGCACCTTTAGTCCCAGCTACTCGGGAGGCTGAGGCAGGAGAATCACTTCAACCTGGGAGGCAGAGGTTGCAGTGAGCCGAGATCACGCCACTGCACTCCAGCCTGGTGACAGAGCAAGACTCCATCTCAAAAAAAAAAAAAAAAAAAAAAAAAGAAGAAGAAAGAAATCTGATTCCAATCCTGTCTCTGCTAGTTCCTAGCCAGCAAGTCATATAAACGTTCTAAGCCTCAAATTCCTTACCCATAGAGCAGAGTTAATAACAACAATTCATTACAGGTCACTGTCGGTTTAAAGTGATGTGTATTCAGAGCACTAGTCCTGGACCAGACTGGAATAGATGCTCAATAAATGATGGTAATTTTTATTATTAATATCACACAGGATCCTGATTTCAACACACTTGGGATCTTTTCAAGGAAGGAAGATTCACTTAATAAACAATCCAGGTAGATTTCACATGAGCTTCATTAGGCTGTTGGAGTTCAGAGGAAGAAAGATCAACTTTCTGGTAGGATGTAGAAAGATGTTATGAATGAGGGGGGACTTGAACAGGCCCCCCAGTATGTTTCTGTGTAGGAAAAATTAAAACTCATGGGAAGTGGCCCTCCATGTAAGACATCTGCCTGGAATGCCTTTACCAAATGTGTTCTCCATGCAAATTCTCACTCTCATAAGTGAGTCCTCCTTTAAGGAGTCTTCCTTGTATCTCTCAATCAGTCCTCAGGGAGTCTCTTTATTCTCAGAACGTGACCCTTACTCCATTTCAGCACTCATTGGTTTCTATTGTTTTGCAATTGATTTGTTCTTTCTTTTTCCTGTGGATGTTTTGTTTTTGTCTTTTCCTTTCTTAAAGAGTTAATGTTTTGAAATCAAAGTCATTCATGCACGTATTTTAGATAGCCAAATATATCTGCATGGAATGTTATATAAAAGAGCAATATACCCTCATATCCTTTTCCCCTCTTCAGAGGCAAACCTTTTACCTCTTTTAGCTGATCATGTTGGCATTGACTTCCCTTTCTCTAAAAACATAGCTGTATTGCTTCCTCTTGATTTGCTGGCTTTGTCATTATCCTTTGATTTCTTCCTGTGCTATGTGAAAGATGAGACTTAGATTTCTTTTACCTCCAGCACCCCCACTGAACACACATGCATGCTTCCTGTCCTCCCCATCTTTCCAATATAATTTGTCATAACTTTGGTTATATCAATATTTGATGTTTAAATTATTATGACTGTGTGTGATGGTTAATTTTATATGCCAACTTATCTAGGCAATGGTATCCAGATATTTGGTCAACATCAGGCTAGATGTCACCATAAAGGTATTTTTTTAGATGAGATTAACATTCAAATCAGCAGACTTTGAGTAATTCAGATAACCCCCCACAATGTGGGTAGGCCCCATCCAATCAGTTAAAGGTCTTAACAGAAAAAGACTGACCTCCCCTTAAGAAGAGGAAATTCTGCCTCCAGATTGCCTTCAGACTTGAGTTGCAACCTTACTTTTCCCTGGGTCTTCAGTCTGCTGGCCTGTCCTGCAGATTTTGGACTTGCTACCTCCCACACTTGTGTGAGCCCATTCCTTAGAATACATCTTCCTCTCTATGCATCTTATTGGCTCTCTTTCTCTGGAGAAACCTGACTCATATACTATGCAAACAGTATTCACAGCTGAGCCATGAAAATGAACAATTACTTTTTCTTTTTCTGCCCATTCTTCTTTTTCTTAGAAGTAATAGTTGTCTTATTTTGTTGTTGATATTTGCTCAGTTTTCTATTTACTCATCACTAATTCAATCCCAATCTCGACTGATTGTCTAAATCTCCTCTCGAGACTGGCAGATGCATGAAGTGTTCTCTCGATTGCATCTTCCTGAAGTAGTCTCCAATAATGAGGCTGGCTTCAAGGGCAACTTGTGCAATCTCACAGGACCCTGTTCTTGGTTTAATGCTCAATTGTTGCCATCTTTAAATTCTTCATTTTTTTTAAACAAGGAACCCCTCATTTTCATTTGGCATTGTGCCCTGCAAATTATGCGGTTGCTTCGGTCTACCAGAGCTTTCTGATTAGCTCTAATCTAGACAGATGCGTAAGAGTCATCTTGGTATTATTTAGGTATCTCCCTTCACCAGTCGTAGAGATTATCTTTACTCCTCTGCTATGTTGCTTCTCCTGTCCCCCCATCAATATAAGGTTTCTTAAAAGCAAGTCCATGTTTTATTCATTTTTATTTCTCAAACACACCTAGCACAGTGCCTCAGGCATAGTGGTGTGTGTGTGTGTGTGTGTGTGTGTGTGCATATATATATATATATAAAATCAAGGTGAACTATTTAAATAGAACAGGAGAAGGGATGTGGCCATACTTTCTGGGAAAGAGAAACAGCATGAAGAAATCAAGGAGGTGGAAATGCATTTTTGGTGGGTTGGAAGCGGTGAGAAGCAACATGACTATGTCAGAAAAAGGCATATTGAAACCAATGGGAAATGATGTTAAAATTATGTGGGAGTCAAATCGTAGAGAGGCTTGAATGCCAGACTAGGAATTTTCTACAGACTTGTAGGCCTCCAAGGACTTATTTCCCCATCTAATGACATCTGATATGTGTAGTTAGAGCAACTCCAGCTGGGTAGAATTTCACACTTCCCTCTTTTTGGCACTGAAATACGTGAATGGAGTTGGATGGGCAAGGGAGAGAGCCTAGCAACTGAAAAAATGGAGCTTATAAGAGAGTGTTTCATGTGAATTAAAAAACCCAGCCTATACAGAAGCAGGAGTAAAGCCATTAGAACCCTGGAAGATAGCCAGGGAGGTCTGGAGAATGCTAAACATAGGCAGAACAACCCCAAACTGGCAGCCCAGTTATCACTAAACTCACACGATTAAAGGCCAGCAATCATTAGCACCTCATAGGTATCTGTGATACTTACGGCATCAGCACTAAGAAAATTGAGCTTGCCCTCTGGAAGTTTTCACACTGCAATGAATGTTTCTGGTAAATATGAAGATTAGTGGGTAATGGGGACCTCTTGCTCTTTGAACCTCAGCCACAGCTTGTGTGATACGGAATCCCTGAGCTTTCTTGACGTGCATGAAGAAATAAAAACACCTTTCCAAATCAGTGGTAATATTGTTCCAAAATGCATATTAGCATTCTAAAAGAAAGATGTTTACAAGGTCTTGAAAAAAACTTAAATGATACCCAACAGAAATGCATATAGTTTCCATACCAACAGGTATATGGAAATATGTTCATTATGCTACTCTTCATAATAGCCAAAAGCTGGAAACAACCCAAAAGTATATCAACAGTAGAAATTATAAATAAATGTGTAACATTATTTATACAATGGGATAGGTGCAGCTACGTAAATGAATAAACAATAACAACATGAGTGAATTTCATAAACATAATGTTGGGCAACAGAGACTGAAGTGTACATACTATATGGTTTCCCTTACATAAAGTTCAAAAACAAGCAAAGCTATTTTATGGTCTTACAAGGTTAGCAGCATAGCTGCAAAGGACCAGAGAGAAGCCTTCTAGAATGCTACTAATGTTCTATTTCTTCATCTGGGTGCTTGTTACTTTTGTGTGCCATTGTGCAATAATGCACTTTATTTTATTTATTTATTTATTTATTTTGAGATGGAGTCTCACTCTGTCACCCAGGCTGGAGTGCAATGGCACAATCTCGGCTCACTGCAAACTTCACATCCTGGGTTCAAGTGATCCTCCTGCCTCAGCCCCCCAAGTAGCTGGGACTACAGGCACACGCTACCATGCCTGGCTAATTTTTGTATTTTTAGTAGAGACAGAGTTTCACCATGTTGGCCAGGTTGGTCTCAAACTCCTGACTGCAGGTGATCCACCCTCCTCAGCCTCCCGAAGTGCTGGGATTAGAGGCATAAGCCACTGCACCCGGCCAGTAATGCACTTTAGATAAAGAGACACAAATCAACTGAAAGTTAAAGAATGGGAAAATATATACTTTGCAAAGAATAAGCATGGCAAGGCCAATTTTAATGTCAGCTATATTAGTATCAAATAAGGTAGACTTTAAGATAGGTGTAATATCAGAGATAAAGGGATATTTCATTATGATAAAATAATTCATCAAGAAAGAGTAGCATTCTTACATGAGTATGTACTGGATGACATTGCTTTGAAATACATGAAGACTAATAGAACTAAAGGGAAAAGTAGACAAACACACATCTTTGGAGATTTTTTTTCATACCCTTCTTTCAGTAATTGATGTAACAAGTGGAAAAAATGTAAGTAAAGATATGGAAGGTCTTATCCAACCTAATCTAATTGATTTGTAAAGGGACCATACTCAACAAATGCAGAATATACTTTTTTTTTTTTAAATGTCTGTGGAACCTTTACCTAGATAGACCTGCTAGTCCATAAAACAAAACTTTATAATTTCAAAAGAATGTAATCTTATGGGATATGTTTTATAACCATACAATAACAATTTAGAATTCAATAAGATATCTAGAAAATCCACAAATATTTGGAAATTAAGCCACTTCTAAATAAACTCCTGAGTCAAGCAAGACATCACAAGGGAAATTGAAAAATACTTTAAAACAAATGATTATAAAACCACGTGTTAAAATTTGTGGAGTGCAGATAAAGCAGTGCTTAGGTGAAATTTATAGCTTTAAATGCTTACATTAGGAATATAGAGAGGTTTAAAATCAATGATAAAGAATGAAATAAACTTAATGGATGAATATTATACAAATAAAAGCATAAATCAGTGACAAAAATGCAAACAAATAATCGTAAAACATGAAAGCCAAAAGTTAGTCTTATAAAAATATTAATAAAAGTGATAAACCCTAGAAAGACTGATCAACAAATAATACAAATTACAAATATTGATAATAAAAGAGGGCATGTTGCTATCATGTTACAGACCTTAGGAGGAAAACAAAGTCCATATCATAAACAATTTTATGCTGATAAATTCAATAACATGGAGTTCTCAAGGAACTCAAATTACTGAAAAACACTACTTACGTAAACTGACACAAGAAGAAATGAAAATTTGAAAAGCATTTTATTTATTTAAAAAGTAGAATTTGTAATTAAACAGCAATAACAACAAAACCTTCCTACAAAGAAAACTCTAGGCCAGATCAGATCATACAGACTCTCCTTCTTTTCCCATCTGGCCCCACAACTGGAAATGCTTGAAATGGCTATTCCATAAGCCCAGCTCCCTAAGAGAATGTAATGGGCAGAGCATCCTCCCCCTATCACCCACCCCAATGGCTTTCTTGAAATGAACATGCAGCACTGTGATTTGGGGTTGATTATATAGCATACCTAGCCCATCCTGACTGATACAACATCCATGCTTAATTTGGTGAGATTATCTTGATTGGTCAAAATAAATCAGGGGCTAAGAGAAACTGGATTGACCCTGCTCTAGTTAAACCAAAAAAAAAAAAAAAGTCAGAGCTGAAAGGTCAATTGTGTTGTCTTCATGGCTTAAGTATAGTTCCTAGTTGGCTTTAAGTTTTCCATGACTGGTTTAATTGTGGAAATGGAATGTTAGAGCCCAAACTCTTAAAATGGGTCACTTCAAATCAGGAGATGGATGCGTGTGAATCAGAGAAGGGAATATGACTATAGTAATTTCTTTATTTTCCATATGGTGGGCCAATACATAAGGTTTCATTTTTAAGTTTGCCAGATCAAGCAATATGATTTTTTTTTTATTATACTTTAAGTTTTAGGGTACATGTGCACATTGTGCAGGTTAGTTACATATGTATACATGTGCCATGCTGGTGCGCTATGATTTTAAAATGCAATATAAAGTTATATAGATAACCACTAGCGAATAAGGAAGACTTCATAGAATCATCAAATTGAAGGTCATGGAGGAGGAAAGAACAGAAAGAAGCATAACCAAAAAACAAAACCATATGAAAAAGATTAGAAGAAGGAAAAGTAGAAGCAGCAGAAAAGAAAGGAGGAATCAACCAGAAAGCATTAAACACAAAAATTAAAATGACTCGAAAAGTAAGATGAAATATGTTCATTGTGATAAATATAAAAATGAAAAAATAATCTATTTAAATGTAAAGCTCTCAGATGGAGTAATTAAATTCAAGTATGTAAGTTCCTCAAAATAATTCATAAAACAATGGTTCAGAAAATTTAGAAACCTTTTCATTGGATTCTAGCATGATGGGGAAGCCACGGGGGGGCTTTAAGAAGGAAAATAATATCAAATAGTTATATTTCAAAAGATCATGCAAAAACAAACAATCTAATAAGAAGATCATGTGGACTGCTGTGTAGAAAGGGGATTGAAGTGGATGAGGAGCCAGTTAAAAGGCTGCTTCAATAGTTTGAGGAAAGCATGATGTTGGCTTGGACTACGATGGTACTGATGGAGATAAAGAAAAGTGGACAGATTGAGAGATATTCTGGAAGTAAAGCTAACAGGATTTTTTAATGGATTGCCTGAAGCGTAGACTGGGAAAGGAATGGGTCGGGGGAAAGAGTATAGGGAGAGCAAAATAAAAAGGAAGAGAAAAATAACAAAATCAAAACTGTTGACTTTGCTATTTTATATTAGTAAAATGAAGTTTAAGGTTTCTATTGGATACCCAAGTAAAGATGTCAAGTAAGCAACTGGAAATTGTTCTTTTTAATTCTGCACCTGACTCTCATAATCATGAATTAAATCATGTGTCCACTTCTAAATCAATTACAGTGGCTGAAAGGTTGGAATACACCATCTGATTCTTTTATGTCATGTCATAGGTCCTTGCCTGCTCAATTCCATCCAAACTCTATGGATGGAGCTTGAGTATGGAGTTGTTTCTTCTAAGGAATTTGAAGGTATTATTGGTAGAAGATGAACAGATATTGAGCAGAAAAAATAATGGATATTCCCTGCAGAATATTATTTTTTAAAAATGAAGGGGGGCGGGTATGGTGGCTCACGCCTTTAATCCCAGCACTTTGGGACGCCAAGGCAGGTAGCTCATTTGAGGCCAGGAGTTCGAGACCAGCCTGGCCAACATGGTGAAACCCTGTCTCTATTAAAAATACAAAAATTGTCCCAGCCTGGTGGCTCACACCTGTAATCACAGCTACTTGGGAGGCTGAGGCATGAGACTCACTTGAGCCCAGGAGGCGGATGTTGCAGTGAGCTGAGATCATGCCATTCCACTCCAGCCTGGGTGACAGAGTGAGACCCTGTCTCAAGAAAAAAAAAAAAAAAGTATAGTCTACAACAAAAATGTACACTACTATGAATTTTCATATACTTAATAACAGAATCATGAACATATATAAAGCAAATAAGGAGTCAGAAAATACAATAAGTATATAGAAACAAAATACAAGTAAAACATTTTAACAAACCTCTGTTAAATATTTAATTTAATTTAAACTTAACTTTAAATATTTCATATGATTTTTGTTAATGACTGAGTAGATGCCCAGACATAGATAGCTAAAAATGTACAAAAGCAGACATCTTTGGGGTTATGCATGACTGCACTCAGGAGAATAGGGGCAAGCAAAAGAATCTTGGAATCCCAAAAGCTGATTTGTAGGAAATTTCTAGACACTGGGAAATAATCAGAGGTTGGGATAAAAGCCTTTGAATATGAAATATTTACTCAATTTCTGGGTGTTAACATATTAGCACTTCTCTTAAAGGCAACTTAGATGATGTATGCATTTGTAGGTAGTGCCACAATTTCAGTTAAGCAGACAAGTCTATAATCAAATGGACTTGGAATAAATCACTGAACATGTCTCAGCTGTCATTTTCTTATCTGGAAGTGAAATTAAAGTCATCTACTTCACAGGATCATTGTGAAGAATTAATAAAACGTATAGAGCATTAATTCAGTGAGTAGCATATACTAAGTTCTCAACCAGTGCCACTTATCCAACCACTGGAGGCTAGCTTTAGTTTTAACTTTAGCTTGAGCTTGAAAAAAAAAAAACAAAAAACTTTTGATGCTCAACCACCTACATTCAAATCCTGGCTTTGCTGTGTGACCTTAGAGAAGTCACTTTATCTTTCTGTTATTCAGTTTTGCCACTGGTAAAATGGAGATAAAATAGTATCTGCCTTATGTGTTTGACTTGAGGCTTAACATCTAAACTTCTTAAAATAGTTTCAGGCATGTGAAGCTCCGAATCAGGGTCAGCAATTGTTCTTGTTGCTGTTATTTTACTACTTTCCAGAGTTCTCTTACGAAGGGCCTCAGAAGCGAAAGGTAGAATTGCAGTGTGAAGCCAGGAATTAATTATTGGGCTTTCCAGTGAGCACAAGTGCCAAGTGAGGCCAGAATTAGAAGGAAGTGAGAGCCGAGGATTTGGAAGGAGAGGAGGTGAGTTAACAGGGCTCAAAACTGGACAGGAGAACAGTAATTACATAAGATCCTGGTGTGCAGTTAGTGCCTATATAATAATGTGTGTAAGAACCTATCTATAATAGGTCATAGACTGTGCATTTTCTAGCCATTATATAATTCAGTCTTCCCAATAACCCTGACAGCTGGGTATTATTATTTCAATTTATAATGAGAAAATGAGCTTTAAAGGGGTAAAAAGTCAATTACTGAGGCCAACTAGTTTGTATGTGGAGGACTGAGATTGAGGTATAGAACCAATTCTCAAGCCAATAACCATCCTTCCCACTAGCCTGCTTCCCTCAGTATTGAGAGCTAAGCATTATGTATATTATCCCTTCCCTTATTAGGAGAGTGGCCAGGGTTTAACTTGAAATGAAGCAGCACAGAATCTAGCTATGGACACAGACATATGAATGACTTGGATTCTTCTGATAAGATAAGGCATTTCTTAGCAATTACCCACTGTGTTTAATTGAGAGGGAAAAGTCTCTTGCCTTCAGAAGAGACTTTTCTCTCTGTGCCCACCTCCAAGGTGCAGGCCATAGCAGCTCCTAGAGGAAATTCTAACCTGAATCTATCTCTCGTCTTTTCCGCTCCCTCAACCTGGCTTACCCTAAGAGTTCAGTTCAAAAGCCTTGGTGTTTTAGACCTAAGTTTCTTCATCTTTTGCAAGACCACAATGCAAAAATGACTCCTCTTGTTCACCATCGACTAATTCCCCTTTTGTCCCAATCATTATCCACTCCCTTCATGAATAACTACATTTGGAACAGGAAAAGTTGTGATTATTGCTATAGTTTGTGAACAACTCTGGCATTGTCTAATTTCTTGATGGGTAGTCTTCATCTTAGATTGTTGTTTATCTAGGTTTCACTGTGGCCTTTAATTTCACACAGGTTTATAGGAGGAGAGTAGGCAAAACAAATCAAATTAGGGCCAGGCCCTTTAGTCTGGTTCTCCTGATTGGAGACTCCTGATTGGCCAAGAGTTTAAAGCCCTCTGGTCTCCAGTGTCCTAGCAACACTGACAGCAGATGACCCTTCTCTAAGTTCTTAAAGAGTTTTCTTATACAAACCCCTGCCATTATACCAGTCGATTCGTTCCCATAGTCATTCTTATTCTTTCCCTCCCTCTCTTCTTTTATCTCCCTTCACTATCTAGGGCTCAGTCAACATCCCTAAAAAAGCTACCATGTAATTCATAAGACCAAATTAATGTTAAGATTCACTTCTCAGTGTATAGTTGCCAATTTAGGTTTTCTAAGAGAAAGAACAGAAATTATTTAAGAATTACCCAGCTTTGTTGAGACCTGGACAATTAGTTTCTTGAATGTTGCAGAACCATTTAAAGCGTCCACTGCTTATTTGCAGAATTAAAAGGCCTTGGTTATTATTTCTTGTTTAACAAACATTGACCACACTCAGGCTGCGAAGCTCCATACAAAAGACGTACAGGCCTGAAAATTTTTTTAAAAAAAAACTGATTAAATTTTAACCAGCTGCTGGGCAGATAGTTTGCCTGAGGCACATTTGTCAGTTTCAAAGGGTCTTTTTATTAATTTTGCATTTTGTATTTTGTTAGTGGAAAGAGCTCTCTCTTTGGGGACTGCCAAAAGCTATAGGCTGCGAATCTTCAAGCAGCCCAAGGACGCTTCTGAGAATGCCAAGTAGATTTGGATTCCCGAGCACTCCCCATTACATGAGCTTTATGGGTCCTAAAAATATATTAACTTTAGGGGTGAGCTATTTGAATTAACTTTACAGGATTCCTGCTGACTCTGCTTTGATTAATGTGAATCCTGATATTTGTCTATAAGACTATGAATGACCTTGCTGTGTGAACTTAAGCAATTTACTTGACCGCTCTGAGAATCAGGTTTCTGGTCTATAACATAACAGAGTGGGGAGTTTATCTTTATGATCCCTGCAGCACTGAATTAGCTGGTTTGTGACTGGTTGGGAAGTTCTGACACGGTAAAACTCTCATGTGTTTTTCTTTTGTGTAAGTGGCATATGGCATCTAAGTCAGTTATAAGCTATCATATTCATGATTGTGGTGATAATTATATTATTAATAACTAGAAATGTTATTTAAAATTTTGTATGTCAGGTTCTGTGTTAAGCACTTTACATTTATTTTAATATTTATTTTTTCAGAGAAAACCTCTGAAGCAGGAGCTATCATTATTCCCATATTACAGATGAGGCAACTGAGAGTATAAAAGATGAAGAAATTTACTGGAAATTGAATAATAAGTGGCTGAGCCAGGATTTGAAAATAAATCCACTTAATGCAGTCTGTTTTCTTCTTCTGGAAGTAAGGATCAGTTTCTGTTTCTAAGCTGGAAATATGCTCTGATTTCACACAAAGATTTCCAGATTCCAAGTGTGGCTGGGATGGGGCTTGGTGAAAATATTTATGCCAAACTCAATGGTGTCCTGAAAGGTTCACACAGGCCTCTCTTGGCTTAGGCAGCTCCAGGCTGGAGGTGGCCACCTGCAGCGTAGAGACAATTTGTGAAGAGAAGACAGAACTCAGGGGTTAAATGGAAAATACAAACCTCTTCTGTGATGCTGGGAATTTCATAAGATCCACTCAGGCATCTTCAAACAGCATTAAATACAAAGTAAAAAAGTCTACCCTCAGGCTAGAATTTGTAGACGACTTACCTGCAGGAGAATATAGCTAAATTTCTGCCTGAAGACAAAGAATCAGGGCTTACATTTACAAAGTGGAAGGAAAAAGCAATGTATACACACACACACACAGACACACACACACACACATATGGGTTTCTTTCTGAATGTATATTTCTTTTTTGTATTGCAACTTTATATTTTAGACATAAATATATCATTTCACCAGTGAGACTTTTTATGCCAAATCAATACCTGGCAGACTGACTTTTGCATTATTTAATGTCCTTACCTATTGGGAGGGACAGGTACTATCAGCCTCAATGTGCTCATATTTCTGTGGTCTTTAAATTTCTGCAAAGGATTCACCCTTGAAAGCAAATTCTCTAGGGTATGTTGCTCTCCCTCAAGTTTGGCTTTTTTCTTGCTGCTCAAGTGGCTTGGGTTCTTCAGTCAAGATGACTTAACCTATTGATTTTTAAAAGGGGGAGGAGCAAACTGCACAAAATGTTGTGTGATACTTGGAGTGGAGGAATGGGACATGTCCCAAGAGGATGTATGATTCTTTTTGAGCTAAACCCTCTTGGATTCCTGCACTCATAATTGGCCTGCTCCTTGGTATACTATACCTAGCAAGATGGAATGGTGCTTGGACTGGTCCAGGAACCCTAAAGAACTTTCTCATCAGTGTTATTTAAATAAAAGAGATGCATACACTTGTAATAACATTTAAAAGTTACTTTACTTGATAACTGCTCATAGACTTAAAAAAAAACTTTGAAGAGGAAATTTGAAATATATTGGACACATAGTTTATCATTAAATATGGGAATTTCTGGGTCAGAAAAATGACATGTTCTCCTGTTTAGGATGTATGCATTTTTAAAAGAATTTTTAAAAAGTGAATATCTATTGGTGACAAGTTTGTGATAAGTTTTAACATAAGGAACTTTATTTTATCTACATTTTAAAGGACATTTTTGTAGATTACAAAACTTCAGCTCACAGATATTATTATTTAGCACTTTGAAGATACTCCTTTGAAGATTTCTTTTCAAGCATCCATTATTATAGTCAAGAGGTTTTATAGTCAGCGTGATGGTTAATTTTATTTCACAAATTGACTAGGCCACAGGATGCCCAGACAGTAGGTAGAACATTATTCGGAGTGTGTCTGTGAGGGTGTTTTGGGATAAGATTACCATTTAAATTGGAAGACTGAATAAAGCTTTGGCCTTCCTAATGTGGGTGGGCTTTATCCAATCGAGTGAAGGCTGAACAGAAAGGGTGGCCCTCCCCCAAGTAAAAGACAATTCTTCATGCTTGACTGTTTCCAAACTAGAACATTAGCTTTTTTCTGCCTTTGGACTCAAACTGAAACTTGGACTCTTGCTGGGTCTCAAGCCTGCTGACTATGAACTGGAACTTACACCATTGACTCTCCTGGGTCTCCAGTTTGCTGACTTGTTCTGCAGATCTTGAGACTTGTCAACCTCTGTAATCATGTGAGTCAATTCCTTATAATAAGTGTCTTTCTCTCTGTATACACATCTTACTGGTTCTGTTTCTCAGGAGAACCCAGAATAATGTGGTCAGTTTGTCATTTTTTTGTAAATGAACTGTCTTACCCTTTCTGGCTGATTTTGACAACTTTTGTTTTTTTGTCTTTGGTGCTCCATTTTACCTAGTGTAGATTTTATGTGTCTTGGTTAGTAAATGTGCTTTTTGCATTTATAGATTTATGTCTTTCTTCTTAACCACTTTTAAAATGTTTATTTTCCACTATTTTCTCTGTTCTCTCTGAGACTCTGATTAAATATATATTAGATCTTCTCATTCTATCCACCTGTCTTAGTTCATTAGGGCTACTGTAACAAAATACCATATATGGGATGAATTATAAACAATAGAAATTTATTTCTCAGAGTTCCAAGATTAAAGCGCCAACAGATTCAATGTCTGGTGAGGGCCTGTCTCTTGGTTCATAAAATGATGCCTTTTTGCTATGTTCTCTCGTGGTGGAAAGGGCAAGGCAGTTCTCTAGGGCCTTTTTTATAAGGGCACTAATCCCATTCCTGGGACCTCTATCCTCATGATCTCATTACCTTCCAATGGTCTCACCTCCTAATACTATCATATTAATAACTAGTTTTTAACATATACATTTGGGGAGACATAATCAGACCATAGCACAAAATCAGGCCATGTTTTTATCTTCTAATATTTTTAGTCTTATTCTTTGGGCTACAATCTGGATAACTATTTCAAATATATCTTCCAGTCTGTTAATTCTCCCTTCAACCATAGCTATTATTTATCATATCCAATGAATTTTTTAAAATTTATTTTCAACCACTATACTTTTCATTTTATTTTGTACCTTTTCTAATCTGCCTGTTTTGTAGTGTTTAGTTGTTTGCTTTTTTATATTTAAAAAGTTTCACATATAGTTGTTATATATTTTATCTGTTAAGTGCAATATCTAACATCCTTGACTGACTTAGCCTAGGTTGTCCAGAAACCAGAAGTTATATGTGACTGTTTTTTAGTAAGTACCATCCTAGGGAGCAGAAGTGAGAGCAAAGGTAGGTAAGGTTAAGAAGGAGAGAAAGTCTCAATGAAGATGTGCTGTTAGCTGGCTGCTACTAAATTCAATGGATTATTCGTAGCATAGGTCTATGCTAGGCAATGACCCCTCAAGAAGCCATATGAAATACTTCCCAGGATCATCCATCTAGGGGAAAGTGTGAGAAAGAATGTGTCTATTGATTCCCTCTCTCCCATTGGTTAGTTTTGCCCATAGGGCATTGACTTCCCTACACTTCTGGCTTCCACATGTATGGACACTGAGCAGGGTCTCTCCATGTCTCACACCTTAGCATCATCAAGGAAGCCCTGGAACAGGAGGCAAGAAGCATTCAGAGAAGCATGCAATACAAGAATGAGGTGAGACACTTCCGGGCTGCATCTGCATAAAGTTGATCAGAGTCCACACACAGTTGGTCATGAGAGTAGTGACCAGAGTGTGAGCCAAATTAGGCCAAGCGTATCATAACTGGTATGTAAGATATGTCCAATACTGTGTCCGAATGTGGCATTTGTTGTTTTTGCTGATTCTTACTCATGATGGTTTATTTCCTTGTATGCTTAATGATCTTTTATTGTAAACTCTTAGTTGACTGATTTTAAATTTCTGGAATTCTGTGTGACCTAAATCAAGGATGCTTTCTTCCAGATAATAATAATATTGGTATCCACCAGGAGCCAAAGAGTGCTACCTACCTGGGACTGTTTCAGATTTTCTTCTGGATTTCTTACTTAACATTAGTGTTTAAGGGTAAACAACTACACCCTTCAGCTGGCCCAAGTCATAATCACCAGAATACAGTGCTAATATTGGCATTTACTTCAAAGTTTGCCTTCCATATTTGCTTACAGGTCACACTCATCTTTTTTATCTTTCTTTGCTTTTGACAGAGAGGGTGGGTGTTTGTAGAGTTTCTGGGAGCCCAGCAATGCATTCAAAATTATGTTTCATAAGCATATAGTTGGTATGCAGTGGGAGAGCACTTCTAAGTATCTAATTGCCAAACTCCCGGAAGAAAAGGCCACTCTTTCTATTCTTTTTCGAAAAGGAACAAGATGAGGATTACAGCCTAAAGAAAACTTCAGGAGATGCAACATAGCATTGATCTCATTCTAGATACATATTTAAAGGCTGTGGATGTGTTCTCATGTCTTCCAGTAGGAACATGCTGGACCATTTCTTCTACTTTCAACCTACTGAACCATTTCTCCTGCTTCCTTGGAAAGGCTAAGTTCAGGCTGTCCTTGGAAAGGAAAAGATCAAACCAATTCATCTAATGTTCCTAGAAGCTGTGGCCTAGTGCCTGCTGGGGCATTAGCCATGCTTGATACCCCTTTTTTACAGGCTTGGCTCTGGAGCAGGTGTTTTTTCAAGACAGTGCTGACCACAGGTGTGAGTGACACAGACAGACAAGTGTGAGACATGAAAAATACAGGCTTTAGCAGCATGACCAGGTGTGTTAGGAGACATCTGGCCACTGAACCCCAGGGGGCTGGCCTCCTCCTGCTGGAAATGGAGTAGAGTGGGCACAGGACACAGAAGGAGAGCAGAAACCCTGTGGAGATAAAATGGGGAAGCTATTAGACCCAGGAGATAGAAGTGGGACCTCTGTAACACTCCAAACTCTCAACAGAGCACTAAAACTGGGGGAAATTGAGGCATGACAGCTTGGCTGAGAATAGAAGTGAAATATGAAGTTCTGGACAAGAAGCAGGTTTTGCGCAAATGACTTAAGAATGCCAAAAAGAGTAGGACCACACAGAATGTTGGAGCTATAGAAGTTTAAGTATCATCCAATTTAGTGCTTCCAGCCCAGGACTCCTACCTCTGCTGGGATGAGAAGCTTTTGTCTAGTCCAAGGGCATGCCTTTATATACCACTTAACCCCTAAAGAGAAAGTTACTTCATTTTCAGATCTATTTCAATTCCCCTGTTTACCAAGAATGCCATTTTTACTTTTTAACAAAGATATAAAGCATTTGGAAGGCAAAAATGCCCAGTTAGAACTTGATGACAGTGTTTTGTTTTCATTGAATTAATTTTTTTGGGTTACTTTTTAGGTTCATCAAGTGATAGAAAGTTTCCTTTTACAGTAAATTTAATTTAGCAAAAAAAGTGAGTCAATTTAAGAAAAAATATTAAAAAATGCTATGGGCCAGATGTGGTGGCCACACTTAAAATCCCAGCATTTTGAGGTGGCTGGATTACCTGAGGTTCAGGAGTTCCAGACCAGCCTGACCAACATAGTGGCCAGTGAAACCCCATATCTACTAAAAATACAAAAATTAGCTGGGCATGGTGGTGCACACCTGTAATCCCAGCTACTCAGGAGGCTGAGGCACAAGAATTGTTTGAACCTGAGAGGCAGAAGTTGCAGTGAGTGAAGATCATGCCACTGCACTCCAGCCTGGGTGACAGAGTGAGACTCTGTCTGAAAATAATAATAATAATAATAATAATAATAATAATAATAACAATAAAGATGACAGATGTGGCACAAACACAAAGGTGATACAAGTATGATCAAGCATTAGGAAACACTGATCTGATACAATCTTCTGATTGTATGGCTCAGGCACAGGAGAAATGGAGAGGAAATTACCTTCTCAAGGTCACATGTCCCATTAGTATCATAACAGGAAACACAGGCCAAGTCTCCCAACACCCAATCCACGGTTCTGTCCACCATCCCAGGCTGTGTCCCTAAACTTAACAACAAAATGAAACAGATTGCCTGCCGCTCATGGCAGAGGCCGAGCCTAAAGTAAAAGGCCATTGTGCCCTGAGCTAAATGCCGACTTAAGGAGGATGACAAGACATTTGGAGATGTTAAACAATGCTATTTGTTTTCTGCTGCAAGTTTACTCTTTCTTTCCCCTTTTCTCCTGTCCTATTTAATCAAGGAAGCTGTTTTTTAGGTGTTCATTTCTGTAAGAAAGGGATGTGACTGTCCTTATTATTTAAACGACAGTGCTCTTAGGCGAAAGCAGAAGACTATGGGTATCGCAAAATGTTAGATAATCTGAGGGAAAACATTCTCCTTCTCGCCCACACACAACTAGGAATGCTTCTCCTGGTCTTGGGAGTGTTAAAAAAAAATGGAGGGAAAAGCTACATGTGTAAAGATGAGGATGGGTCATGGAGAAGGAGATTCTAGACTCTGATTCTCAGACCGAACCCCTGGCAAGCTAAGAATTCCGGGTGGGTTTATGGAATCTGAGAGCAGAGGGTCCCTGCTTCTCTGACAGAACTACAGGGAAGCAACAAGGTCACAGAGATGGAGCGCCTGCTTGGTGCACCTAGAGGGAGAAGGATGAGGAGAGCCTCAGACAGTCCTGAATAGCATGGCACCAAAGTAAAGGAGGGATTCGCCAATGAAGAGACCATGCAGGTGGGGATGGGGAATGGTTTGGCAGTGACCAGCAAGGAAAGACAGCAGAGGCCCAAATAAGATGAGGAGACGTTTGAATAAGTGTTAGACTATAGAAAACGAAGTTACATTTTCTACACCTGATTTGGTGGACTGAAATTCACATTAGATTTTAAAAAGTAGGAATAAGAGCATGGGTGCACTCGGAGTGCAGAGCAATTTAATAGCCGAATCCATGAAATGGCATTTGGATCAAATCTTAGAGGATGAATAGGATTCCAAAAGGCAGAAGGGCTGGGAAAGGAATGGACATGCAATAAACCAGGGCTTTATTTTTGGTAAAGCAAAGGAACAAGTCTCCTAAGAGAGGTGCAAACAAAATGCAGTAGGAGTTCAAAGGAAGGAGATTCTCACTGGAGAGGTGAGGGCTCTTTTCCGGGGAACGTATCATGTCACCCAGACTTGGACAGGTGAGTAGAGAAAACTCTGTGATTTTCAGTTCATCTTCTGAGGAGGAAGATGACTTCGTGATCAGGTTGCACAAATGATCCTGAGGTAATGGCCTAATGCTCCCCAGCTACTACCCCATTTTGTGGTCTGGGCAGAGAATGGATGATTCTGGACCTTGATCTGGGGATAGCTTATGAAACCATGATGTATAAGTACTTTCGAGTTCTACAAGCCAGGGCTCAAATCAGTGATCTCCCTGGGCCTCAGTTTTCTCATCCAAAGAATGGGAACAATAAGCTTACTTCATATGATTGTAGGGAAAATAGTAGATAATAGTAGACATAAAGCTTGGGACATGGTGTCTGGCATAGAGCAAGGTCCCAATAGCAATTGTTTTTCCCTGCTTTCCTCTGTGAGGAGAGAGACTGTCTTTTCTCACTTCTGTATCCCTCACTGTACCTAATATCATACCTTGTATGCAGAAGGGGCAATGAAGAATTTCTTGTTTTGACTTGCTCTGATTTAAAGAACATGTATAATTCAAAAACAAGCAAATAAAATCAGCATTGGTTGTATCACCAACTGTTAGATGAACAGATCAGAGAAAGTTTTCCATTAACCAGTGCAGTTTTTCTTTCTTTGGCTGTCAGTCAGCACAAAGGTAATCCCAGGAATCAAGGCACTGAAAAGTGAATTTCTGGCTGGACTGATCACAGCAACCCTGACATCATACAGCCACTGCTTTCCATAATCAATGCCAGAGCTTAGTTTATTCACCTTATGAGTCCCTTGTGAAATTCCAAATCCGGTACCTGGATGGTAACATTTCCCCTAATTGATGCATGTTTGCTCTTGGAAAAACATCCTGTTTGATTAATTTTGGGTTTGATTTTCCTCCTCCTGGTGCTATGATTTTCGTGGACAGAGTCATTCTTTTGATGCTTTGCATGTGGTGGAGGGAGATAGATGCACGGGCAGTGAGCTGGGTCCTAATGCTAGCTTTCTGACTTTGGGGAAACTTTTCTATAGGAAAAGACCCAGAAATGACAGCCGTGGTATATTTTGATGCAACATTTTCACCTAGTGTTAGGAAAGGAAGGAGAGTAACAATGAGCACTAGACAGTGGGCTAGATAAATTATATGCACAATTATGTAATCATTATGGGTTCTTTTTGTAACATGAGAAAACTGAGGCTCAGAGAAATAAAAATCACAGACTCAGTAAAGAATAGAGCTTTTGTTCAAGTTCCTTGTTCTTTCATCTCCATTATACTTTAAAAAAGTTAAACTAGAATAGGTTCATAAGAAAGTAGACTTATTTTTTAAAGAAAAGTGTCCATAATTCTACCATCACCCCTCATAGCATGTATCTTCTTGCTGTCTTGTTCCATTTGCATGTTTGTTTTTGGTACGGTTGAAATCATACAATTCATAGTATGACATAGCATGTCCTTAAATAAATATTTTCTTAGAAATAGCTTTACTGGAGTTCTCAGAAATGAAAATTTCATCTCCATTTATTGAACCCAAGAAAATAGTAAAGAACCCCTGGAGGGTCTAGATGGAGACCTGCCTCTTGGGTCTTAGTAGATCTGGGGAAGAAGAGGGTTTGCTTAATGATGACTACAGGATACAGAGAATCCCCTCACAGTGTAGTTATCCTGTCATGTGTCTTTCTGTCAAGGATTCCCAAATGGTAACTCCTTTTTGAATCTCTTCTCTGGATTTCTTGAGTAACCTGTTGAGTGCTATTTTCCTTTGTATGTTTATGTCTCAGCAAGAATGTCCAGTCTGTTTTTGAAGAGTTTTCCTCTTTATCTACGCTATACCAGAAAGCCCTGTGATTGTGGGCAAACAACTTAAAAGTTACTTAGCCTCAGTTTCCCTGTTCTAGACTAAAGGGCTAATAGCACCTATCTTAGAGAACACTCAGGAGAACTCAATAAGGTAATGTGGGCATTGTGCCTACAGCAATGCTCAAATGTGCTGCGAAGAGAAGATTAAATGCTCACTTTTGGTTTCCTAACAACTCAGGGAGCCCTAGGATACAAAGATCCCCATAGAAGGCAGGGGATGGGTCAGGTGCGGTGGCTCACGCCTGTAATCTCAGCCCTTTGGGAGGCCAAGGCAGACAGATCACCTGAGATCGGGGTTCGAGAGCAGCCTGGCCAACATGGTGAAACCCCATCTCTACTAAAAATACAAAAATTAGCTGGGCATAGTGGTGGGTGCCTGTGGTCCCAGCTACTTCGGAGGCTGAGGAAGGAGAATTGCTTGAACCCAGGAGTTCGAGGTTACAGTGAGCCAAGATCGCGCCACTGCACTCCAGCATATGCGACAACAGTGAAATTCTGTCTCAAAAAAAAAAGAAAAAAAAAAAGAAAAAAAGTCAGGGGATGAAGAGATAATAGGCATCTTGTCCCACAAAACGGCTGTTTTTATTTTGAAGGTGGGAGGAAAGAGAGATATAGTAGAGTCTCAGAAGATAGGTGCTTCAAATGCAGCACTGAGAGTAGTTCTTGAGGATTTGGAGTAGGACACCCAGGACTGGTTCTGCTGAGGCTAGGAAGCTGGGGTGAGACAAACAGATGGTCTTTGAACTTCCTGCTGCTGGGTACGTGGAATTTGGCTATGGGTGTACAGTAGAGAAGGGTTATGATGTGACAAAGCAGCTGGTCTTAAGAAACTGCAAGAAGGGCCAGAAAATAACCATATCGCTCCAAGAAGTCCCCAGACCCAGCTCTGGTAGGGGGAGAGAGTCTTGGGTATTTATCCAGCAGGCCCTTGGATTTGTCCAGCTTTGGAATGTGCTGGATAATGTTGATGCTTCAGAAAGATCCAATTTGGTGCTTTGGGATCCCAGCTCATCATTGCCCCAGTTCTTGTTCCTGCTGTGGTGCTCTTGGAGGTGTCATACTTCTCTGGCCACAGTGAGATTGCTTATAGGGTAAATAAATTAAACTCATCCAAGTTATCCAGGAGCTTAAGAAAAGAGGAAGTAACCAGGATTGAGATTATTTGGAACACTTACACTTATTTGGAATAAGCATAAGAATAAGAATAAGAAGTCCTGAAACTGAAGATAATACTCCTATCTACCTAAACCTAAACCTGCAGATTAGAAAGGGCTACTTGAAAGAGTGTGTAGAGAGCTTTGTAACTTCATCTTGAATGAGGACTGCAGCTTAATTGGGGAGGGAAAGTGGGGAAGGAAGGGCTATGAAACTCTGCCCACGGGGAGCTCACATTGCAATTTAAGAAGCCAATATTAGGGTTACCACATATCCTGATTTGTCCAGGCAGTCCCAATTTATGCTTCTTATCCCTGTGTACTTATTAATGGTGAGTTCTACTTTAAAAACTTTCTTGATTCAACAAATAAGTTAATGGTTACCCAGCTGATATCATTAAGATGGCATTGACAGATACCTATTTTGAAGGAATATGTATTTCAAAGTATTTTGAACATGTATTTTGAAATGCTGTAAGCATTTTGGATAAAAAAGTCATGCTTTTATGTAGGGAACGTCAGGATTCCTGGGAGAGGACTTGGCAGCATCTTAGGGAATGAGATAGCCCAGTGGTCAGGGCTTGTGTGGCATTTAACCAAAAAGGACTTGACCTTGTCTGATACAAGCTCATGCAGTTGATGCCCAGTACTGCTGGTGCTAGACCCTTATGATGAAGGATCTGACCCATAAGAACTCTGGCTTCCTGTGTGTTGGAGCCCCATTAATTCCATTGATGGTGTAGGAGACTGGCATATGTTGCTCTGCAGATACTCAGATTAATGCCTTATTCTTCATGTCTCAAACAAGTTAGCCAGAATATTGCAGTATGGGCTTAGGGGTGGTGGTAGTAATAAGAGGTGGGAGAAGGGATATGTTTATAGCCATTACTATTACTGGGCTAAACTGGGCCAGCAGATCTGTTCAAATCTCAAGTGATTTGGATCATTTATTTGTCTGGGACGCTGAGGACAGTCAGGGCTCCCATTTATTAGGGACAGAGGAGATAGCACAGTAAGCATTGTTTCACTTAATGCAAATCGAAAGTACCCAGGGGGGAAGTAAATATATTCTGTGGAACCAGAAAGGTCATGTCATGTTTTCTGAGAAGAAGTGGGGAGAGGGGAAGCAATAAGTCACATCTTTGCAAGGCAGGTCTGAGGAAGCATGAAGGGATAATGGATAATGGAAGAACCAAGCCCATTGTTGCTTTCCCTAATGTCCTTTTAGTCAGTCAATTGGCCTATCAATCAATCGACCAATCAATCCATCACTAAGCACACACTGAGGACCTACTATGGGCCAGCCACTAGGACAAGTAGAGAAGATATCCAAGTCACAGTTGCTCTCATCAATGAGCTCATTCTTCAGTTGGGAATATGAATAGGCTATGCCAGCCCTTGTCTTCCTCCACCGTTATTAACTACAGACTCAATCATGTGCAATCCCTGACCCGAAGTCTACTGGTCAGGCAGTATAAAAAAAGGCCCAGCTCCTCCAACAGGCAGGGAAAAAAATTAATTGTGCATTAATTGTGCAAAGAAGTTAATTGTACATCCAACAGCATGAGATCTGTTGTTCTTGGGGCTTACTCCAGACCTTTATTTTCCTTTTAATTGAAGGTGACTCCCAACCCCTGCTCATAGGACAGCTCAACCTCAGCTTCCATTCCAGCTTGACAGTACCTGTAGAGGCAATGTGATTTAAAGGACAATGTATAGTCTTTGGAGTCTAGTGGTCCTGGTTTGAATCCTGCCCCTGCCACTTTTTTTGTGTTGATTCAGTCACATAACCCTTTACTGCAAAAAAAGAGATGATGATATCCAGTTTAAAGATATTGTGAGGAATTAATGAAGTACTTGGCTGTACAACCTAATACAGAGAAGAGATTAAACTGATGGTAGCTATTAGCACTGTTGTTATTACTGGCAGTAGTAGTAATAGTATTAGTAGTAGATGCCAAAATCATTGTAGTTGTTTTTCCCACAAGGAATGAATTCCTGCCCTAGTGAATAAGGTCTGTTCCCAGGCCCATGGTTTTCCTGGATTCTTCTCGTTACAGTCAAGTATGTCTTCCCTGGCCATGACTTGATATCTTCTTACAAAGAGACCAATCAAAACATTAACGGTGCTCCTACTTGAGCATCAATACTGGCCCTAATCAATCCTGAATTTACTGTGTCTCCATGGACATTTTGTTCAAGGCTCGCCTGGATAACCCAACAAAGGACTGGCCTCCCAGTTGATATGGTTTTTCTAGAATAGTCCCACCTGGTTCTGGATTCTGCCCTCACTTACCTGTCCCTGCTGCCAAGACCCTTCTCTTCTTCATGACAAAGTCTATATAGGTTAGGACAAACAATTTCAGGAAATCATGTCAACTGCCAGGGCAGTGGCATAGAAGGTTGGTTTATGGCTACTTTTGGAATAAAGCTGGAGAGAAGCAGAATTCCCAAGGACTAGGGGTGGCTGAATGGAGGTTTGGAATAGTAATTCAAGGCAGGGTCCTGATGTGAGCAATGGCGTGGAAAGACAGCCACATATTTGGCCATACTGTGGTCAGAATATAGAGACATAGTCTAGCTAAAAGGTCTTGAAGATCAAACAGAAATGTTTGGATTTACTCCTTGACAAAGGAAGGATGTTAACTTTGGAAATCCATGGAATTTCCCAACACAGAGATGCTCTTAAATAATTTATCTTATAAGAATAGACTATTCCTGTAGCTTACTCTGAGCCAATTAGTTGGCTAGAGCACTTGCCTCATCTTTCCTGTCCTGTACGCTGTTTATTTCCTTTGGTCCCCATCATACCTGGTCAGCACTCTTCCTCTCTGCTATTTTTGCTCGACTTCTCTTGAATTTCTTCACTTTTTTCCCCTATAAAATCCATCCTTTACAAGAATAATCTCTATACATGCATAGACATCTATTTCATTTCTGTCCTCTTCTCCATCATGAACCATGATATTATGAAATATATATATATTTGGTCTTTGTCATCATTTCCTGACATGCAGCTTCTAAAACCCTTGTAGATAGGGATGATAAGAGAATCTTTTATTTTAACATTTGGTCTTTGACCCCCAGTTCCTGACACAGACTTCCTAAGACTTTTGTAATGTCCTGAGTGGTATGAGTGTCTTTTGTTCTAAAGAGACCACTCTTGGTGGGCTCCTGGATAGCCTCAGGATAAGGGCTGGTTGCCAGAGGAATCAACTATATAATTAGAGAGTTGGAAGTTTTAGTCCCACCCACGAGAGAGGGGAGAGGTTCTGAAGGTTGAGTTGATCACCAACGGTCAATGAGTCAATCAATCATGCCTATATAATGAAGCATCCCTAAAAACCCAAAAAGGCTGGGCTTAGGGAGCTTCCAGACAGCTGAACACTTGGAGGTTCCTGAAAGGTGGGATGCTCGGAGAGAGCATGGGAGCTTCAGGCCCCTTCCAACATACCTTGCTGTATGTATCTCTTCCATCTGGCTGTTCTTTATCATAAATGAGTCCTATGAGCCACCAAAACAAATTAACTGAGACTGAGGAAGGGGTTGTGGAAACCCCTGATTTATAGGCTATTGGTCAGAAGCATGGTGAAAACCTACTAGTTGTGACTGGCATCTGAAGTGAGGGACAGTCTTGTGAGACTGTGTGTTCTGAAGCTATCCTCAGGTAGATAGTATCAGAATCAAATTGAATCAGAGGACATCCAGCTGGTGTCTGCTGGAGAACTGCTTGCTTGGTATGTGGGGAAACACTCCCGCACATCTGGTGTCAGAAATGTTGAGTTGTGTGAGAATACAGAGTAGGGAAAACACTTTGGTTTTGTTTTTTCCTATTGTAAGATAAACTTTTATAGGTAGGCTTTTCTTCTCTTTCTGTGAATCAGAGAAGTCAGACACAGTTGATGAAAATTCGATATTATCTTTGCTTTCTGTACAGAAATGCAACTTTTCTTGATTGAATTCTCAGGTTTATATTATGACTACATCATGTTCTCAGTGAGTAAGGAAAATTTGTTTTGATTATTTTAGGAAAGATTTCATTCAACTTTACAAATATATTGCATTTTTCAACATCAGAAACTAGAGAATTAGATGGGCTGCAATTTTGATAAAATTATGTTGGCCCCACTAAAGATTTTTGAACCACAAGTCCTGGATCCTCATCCTTCAATCTAACTCTAGACAAAAATAAGTTTGAATTTGCTTCTGAAGTGACCATAACTTCCGAATGCCAAATCAGGATATGAATTCTAAAAGAAAAGACCTTGTTTTAACTGTTTTTTAGTTATTGTTCTTAAAAATCAAATTGTATTTAATTAAATACTTTATGATATTTCTTTACCAAAATATATTAATTCCTATATGAAATTGAAGACCTCCTGGGAAATTCTTCCTCAAGGTTACTGGACTTTGCCTATACTCCTGAACACTTGTTATTCTTTCTCTGACTATGCCCTGTTAGAATCCTTTGAAGCTTTTTCCCTGGTCTCCTTCTATCTTCATGCCACTCTTAAACTATAATAGGGTTTTACCCTTTGTAGCTGCAGGTTCCACATTTACAGATTCAACAAACTAAGAATAAAAAACGAGTCAGACAAAAAATAACAACAAATAACAATACAACAATAAAAAATAATACAAATAAAAAACACCACAGTATAACACCTATTTACATAGCATTTACACTGTATTCGTTATCATAAGTAATCTAGAGATGATTTAAAGTATACAGGAGGATACACATAGGTGCTGTACAAATAGGACACTATTTGATATAAGGGACTTGAGCAAATACTGGCCACTGGGTACTAGAGCTGCCACC
Organism: Homo sapiens; assembly: GCF_000001405.40. Taxonomy (NCBI): domain Eukaryota; kingdom Metazoa; phylum Chordata; class Mammalia; order Primates; family Hominidae; genus Homo; species Homo sapiens. The sequence continues at coordinate 15,441,783 of NC_000011.10, forward strand.
CCTGGGTGCAGTCACCATGAATGTCTTGTATCTGCTTGGGGCTGCTGGAAAGGTGCCCTGGAACCAATCTCCCATGGATACCAAGGGATGACTATACAATGTTGACATGTGGCTTCAATTACCAGCTATTTACTGATATAAGGCTCATTTATCTTTTTTTTTCATAATTTTCCTGTATCCTAACACCTTTCCACTGGAGGGCCATTCCATAGTGTAATTCTTCATCTTGATAAGATACAACTTTCTATTTCTGCAGGAGAAGATGGATGGGAACAGTACAGGGTGCTGCATTGTGCAACTCCAGGGGATACATTCTCATCACAATTTGTATGAATAGCTGTACACTGCATAATTCTAGGAAGCACAAGTTTTACTGTGGTCTCTGATTAGGTGACCTCTGTGAAGCTCCTGGACATGCTATTTATGTGCACTCTAAATTAGAGCAGTTCTGTGGCTCTGGGCAGATACTTCATCTCACTGTTTCCTGGAAGTTAGGATATGGGTGTGTGACTTCCACTTGGCCAATCACATGCTCTCACTTAATAGTTTAAATCTCAACAAACGAATGCAAAGATGCAAGGCAGTGATGAAAAAGGCATTGCGTGGTGGCTGTACCCAGTGGTGGCAGCACTAGTACCCAGTGGCCAGTAGCAGAAACAGAGTCTAGTGGCAGTGTTGTCTAGCAGTGGTGGTAACAGTGGCAGATGTGCCAGTAGTGTTATCTTAACAAGAGTGATACTGAAGCATCTGGGATGTGACTCCTGCTGCTGGTCTCCTCAACTACCTGCCTATTGAGCAAGACCAATTCTAAAGCCTTTCTTTGGATTCTGTGCCCTATCTGGTATGCTTTCAATGAGTTGCTTTGCTGCTTAAATCAAATATAATTGGTTTGCAATTGAGAAACTCATTACAGAAATTGGTAACAGAAAGAGGCATATGTGGGTATATTTGTTTTCTGTTGCGGCACAACAAATTCCTACAAACTTAGCAGATTCAAGCAACACATATTTATTACCTCTCAGTTTCTGTAGATCAAAAGTCTGTGAGCATAGGTTAGCTGGGTTCTTTGCTTCACGGTCTCATTAGGCTGCAATGCAGGTGTTAGCCAGGATTTTACATATATATATATAACATAATAATTATATATTATATATATGTGTGTGTGTATGTATATATATGTGTGTGTGTATATATATATATGTATTTTGAAGAGTCACAGGGAAGATAACCAAATTCAAGATTATTCTTATAGGTTGTGGAGTTCTACCAATTGAATATGGATCAGTTCTTGTGTCACAGTTAAGGTGCTAATCAGGAAGAATTGAGACTCTAAAAGTTGGAGGGGGGGATATGTGGGAGGATTCAGAAAACTTGGAATTTCCCTTGATATCCATTTGTCTCTGTCTCCCCCTAGCCCACTAGGCATCCTTTTATCCTTGTCTGATGAGACTATTTTATCTCTACTTTCAGATCTTGAAAGAGGAATCAAGTTGTCCTCTTGGACTACATCTTCGGTTGTAGAAACATAACTAGAGTTAGCTCTTCATATAGTTCCAGGGTCCAATTACAAATCAAACCTCATAAAGAAGATTTACCCTACAAAGAAATTAAAGTGCAAGATATCTTCTCATAATGAATCTGTCTCCCATTTTTCTCACTTCCCCTGACTTATTAAGATTTTAAAATATAACAACGCCTGGTGGTGGTGAGAGTGTGAGTGAACAGGCTTTTTCATATACAGGGAAGGGGTGTTTAAATTTGCATAAACTTTCTTGATAATTTGGTAAAATGCATCAGACAACTTAAAAATGTTTATACCCTTTGAATTAGTAATTCCATTTCTAAAAATAAATCCTAAGGATATAATAATGCAAATGTGTAGAGATTTAGCTACAATAATGTTCATCATAATATTAAAATAGCAGAAAATTAGATAAACCTAAATTTCCAACAGAAAGAGATTAGTTGAATAAATTTTGGTATATCTATGCAATGGAAATTCTTTACAGCTATTAAAACATTATGTTATGGAAGAATATTTATTGGTAGGGAAAGATGATCATTATACTTTTAAGGTAATTCAACAGGTTATAATATAATATGCACAGTATGATTTCTTATATTTGTTTGTGTGTCTGTACATGTGGATGAGACATAAATAAGCTTGAACATATTCACACCAAAATGTTCACAGTGGTTATTCTCAAGGAAGATATTATGAGTAATTTGTATTTTCTCCTTTTCTTTTTTTATGTTAATTTGTAATCTTTCCAGGGAAAAATTGCAACTACCCAAAGTCTCATTCTCCTGGAGAGATGATCAAACTGTTCTTACTCTTATATAAGAATGGTGGAAAGAGAGCCTTTGTGATGATTATTTTATCTAAGATGCTTATTTCACAGATGAGGAATCCCACAAAGGGATTCCTACAGCAAGTCAGAATGGATGGAAGAAGTAAATTCCAGAACCCCTGTGATTTAACTGGAGTTTCCTTCTCTCAAAGCTGTCTCCTGAAATAACAAAAGGACTAACAGAGAATTTTGGCTTGTTGCTTTCTAAGTATGCTTTTAGAATGTAGCTGTCAGAAGAGATACTTCAGGAACTGTGACGGTGGGCACAGGGGTAGGTGAAACACTGTCCACTTTGATTGCCTAAACTGAGCTGCATTGAAAGCAGTTCTGCTTGCCATGTTTTATTATTTTGTTTTGTTTTCATTGTGGACATAGTGTTCTTTTCCTTCCCTTAGTTAATATGATCCCCAACTGGTATCAGTCAGGATTCTTTTGTTGGAAGTATTGGTAAATCTAACTTAAAATGGCTTATAAAGTAGGAATTTATTTGCTTTTATAGTTATGAAGTCAAATAGGGGGCAAGCTTCAGGGATGGTTCAATCAGATTATCAGTTTGGTTTCTCTAATATATTCTAAGCTCTTTTCTTCTCCATTTATTGTCTTCTTCCTCTGCCTGGCTTTCCTTATGATTATTTTTTTAGTTATATACAGGGAGCAACAATTCATGTTCCCCCTCCCCATTCCCCACAAAACCATCAAATTGAATTCCTCATATTTGCTCTGATTAGAATATTCCAGAGCCAATCACTGTAGTTACTGAAATATTATGCGCTATTCAGCTTAGTCATCACTGTGTCAAAGGGCGGGTGAGGGTACCTTGATTGGCTTAGTAGACCAGTCTACTGCCACAGGCCAAATTCACCCTGCTGCCTGTTTTTGTAAATAAAGTTTTATTAGAACACACCCAGAGTCTTTTGATTTACTTATTGCCTATGGCTGCTTTCATGGTACAACAGAGTTGAGTAGTTGCAACCATCTGGCTCACAAAGCCTAAAATATTTACTCCCTGGTCCTTTTTGGAAAAGTTTGCTGATCCTTGGTCCATGTTTCTCCCCTAGTAGTCAATCCTGCCCAAAGCTTAAAGTTGCTGCAGAACAGGAAGAATGGATGTAGTAGGGAAAACTCTACAATCCATTAGAAAAATTCCTTTTCTGACAGTCCAATTCAGACAAATCCTTCAAGTTCACCTGGTACTACCTTTTCTCACTACCATAGAGAGGGCTGTGTTCCAAAGACCTCTCTCACTCTGTAATCCTAGTTGGCATTAATTTGCTGCCAGCAAGTCCCTACCCTACTTTACCTCCATCCCATCCCTTAGCCCAGTGTTATCCTTTTCTCTGGGTCTTCTGCTATACTGGGTTGCTCTGCTCAAGTGCCAAGAAATCCTTGCTGAAAATAAGGCAAACACAGCTGGGGTTACCCAGTCTTCCCTTTGTGCAGGGTGGCTCCATGGACACCCAATTACCCTAAATATTCCAGTTGAGTTTTCTCTGCCAAGTTTACATCCATTTTCTTGCCAATGCTTTCATCACATTCGAATACTATTTTCTTCTCCAAAATCAATGTGTTTGCTCTCTTTGGGAGGTAACTTAGGATAATGACTAACATTGGTAGTATACTAGGCTAAGGATATATATGCGATATCTCTTAATCTTCACAAAACTCTAAGAGGTAAGTTTTATTTATAGACACCCATTTTAGAGATAAAGAAATCAAGGCCTAGCTAGGTTCAATACTTTTTTCTGTAGTCATCATTTAGTAAGAGATGGAACAGATTTGAACCCAGGTCTGACTGAATCCAGAGTGCCAAGTACTTAACTTCTAAACCATATGCCTCTTCTTGTTTCTATCACAAAAGCAACTGTCTCTAAAACATTTATCTGAATCCTGTCTAGTTCTTTTTCCCGTTTTTTCAGTTCTTCAAGGAACCTTGTAAACTAGATTCACAACCATCCCATCCTCTCCGGGTTGGTTCTGATATTGTCTTCTCAACAAGGTTCAAGAGTTTTCAGGTGAGTAGGTTAATCTTCTTCTTCTTCTTCTTCTTCTTCTTTTTTTTTAAGCTAGAACTAGAATATGCCCTTGGAGACCTTAATTTATATGCAACCAAATGAGGGAGAAACAGTTGACCAGAGGCAGACTTAGGGCAATTGAACAACAGGTCCCCAGTGTCTTTCCTTGCTCACATCCAATATTCCCATCTTCTAGCAGGAGAGAGGTTCTCATTCCAGTGGGTCCTTTGTAGGAGTCCAGCATTCAGCACACAGGCAGGTGGCTGAGGCAATTCAGCCACGGCTTCTCCTTACCCTTAAACCAGCGGTTTACATGAAACCTAGGAAAGTGAAGCTCAGAGAAGATAAATCTTGCTTCATGTGCTGTGTGCTAGTGATAGAACAGGAAAGCAGGATCACGTGATGATTAAAAGCTTGGGTGTTGAGGTCAGATGCATACGTGAATTCCAGTTTTGCCACTCTCTGGCTATGGAAACTGTCAAGGTACCTCAATTCTCTAGGTCTCACTTTCCATATCTTTAAAGTGGTGATTGTAGTAATACCTACCATATGGGGTTATTGGGAAGACCTAGTCAGGTAAAGCACATAGTCTTTCACATAAATGCCAGACAGGTAATAAGTGCTTATTAAATGCCAGCTACAATTAGAGCCCAAGTGTCCTCCCCTGCCATGGATGGCTCTTTCCACTTCATGGGCACTGTCGTTGGTTGAGGTCATCCACGCTTCTCATTTTCCTCCTTAGGTTCACCATGAGGTACAGCCTTGTACCACCCCCCAGTGTCTCCTTGAATTTGCTGGCCTTGCGTCTGAGCTCAGTCTGGGATTCTGATGACACCAGTTGCCCAGCATGGCTTCCATTAACTGTAAGCATTTGTCCTCTCCTCCTTCAGAAACACTCTGTGCCCTGGAAAATGAATGTCAAAACACCAGACCTGTTGCAAAGGGCTTTTTCTTCCCCTCACTTAAGAGTCCTCAGAGGTCAAAAGAAAATAGATTTAAATGTTTCCCAGTCAAATGCAGCCCTCACAGGGCTCTACAATGGACCCACGGTAGGAGCTTTTTACACCTTCCCCAGCCGCCAGCTGCAAATTGATCTAATATTGACTTCCCTGGGGTTTGCCTCAAGTCATTGTAGTCAAGAATAGCAGAGTGCATCTTCCATTAGTTGTGATTAGTGGTTAAAGCTACTTTTTTTTTCTTCCTTCGAAGGTGGAGGAAATAGGAGTTTCTCTTTGGAGAAGAGAACTGAGTGGAACATTCACTCTGCGTCTTTTTCCCCTGGGTTTGCCAGTTGTGATTGATGAAGTCAGCTTTCAATAAAACCTGTAACTGAACGGACAAATATCTAAAAATAAGTTCAAAGAGAAATAGAGAGAAGAAAAGGCTTTGACCATAAATCATTCATAGGATTCCTCACATGAGCAGAATAGAAACAAGACTGCCACATTCTCAGAATCACAGACCGCCACAGCCATAGACGAGAGCTCCTCTCTGGACTTGGAGAGGAAGGCCCGGCTGGGTGCGTAGGTCTCCTGACTCCCAGGTTGGAATCTTGGCTTGTATCCGCTGTACTGGCTCTACCACCCTGGAGACTATCAGCCTTACATGTACCACTTTTATTTTCTCAAGCTGTTTCCCTCTCTGTAAATCGAGCATTGATCTCCCTGCATTATTTGAAAAATTATTGAAAACACTGAAAACATAAATGGAAATGTGCCTGTGAGAAAGTGGCACCAGCACTTCATAGATTGACAGCAGATGTGTGTTGAATCTAGATAAAGTATACTTTTCTATTTTTGGCAGTGGAGGGGATTATCTGACATTTTGAATTACAGTACCCCCCACCCCAAGCCCGCCCAACCCTGCTTATCTATGGGTTTGCTCTATCACAGGTTTTAGTTATCCGTGGTACAGTACAGTAAGGTATTTTAAGAGAGACCACATTCATGTAACTTTATTACAGTATATGGTTAGAATTGTTCTATTTTATTATTAGTTATTGCTGTTAATCTCCTACTGTGCCTAATTTATAAATTAAACTTTATCATAGCCATGTATGTATAGGGAAAAGAAACATAGTATATGTTTCTTTGGTAGTATTCAAGGTTTCAGCCATCCCCCGGGGGTCTTGGAACGTACCTCCCTTGGATAAGGGGAGTGACTATCTCTCCTCTCTATTAAATTTATCTTCATTTCCTTTTTTTTTTTTTTTGAGACAGAGTCTTGCTCTGTCTCCCAGGCTGGAGTGCAGTGGCATGATCTTGGCTCACTGCAGCCTCCGCCTCCTGGGTTCAAGTGATTCTCCTGCCTCAGCCTCCTGATTAGCTGGGATTACCGGCACGTACCACCATGCCTGGCTGATTTTTGTATTTTTAGTAGACACGGGGTTTCACCATGTTGGCCAGGATGGTCTCCAATTCCTGACCTCATGACCTGCCCACCTTGGCCTCCCAAAATGCCAGGGATTACAGGTGTGAGCCACTGTACCCGGCCATTTTCCTAATTGGATTTGAAGCACTCACAGGTGCTTAGAACACTTGTAGATTGTTTTGAGTCCACTGGGTTATTGACTCTTTTTTGTTCAGTGCCCACAGCTGACCTTATGTGTGTTATGGCCTGTATATCTTTTAAGTGGTCATGTATAACATGTACTGGCTGGATCAGAGGAGGTAAAATATACCTTTTGACACTAGGATTTTCTTTTTCTATTCTTTTCTTTTTCTTTCTTTTTCTTTCTTTCTTTCTTTCTTTCTTCCTTCCTTTCTTTCTTTCTTTCTTTCTTTCTTTCTTTCTTTCTTTCTTTCTTTCTTTCTTTCTTTCCTTTTTTTTTTTTTTTGGCAATTTGAAGAGAACTGCACTGTCTCCCAGACTGTCTTGCTCTGTCACCCACACTGGAGTACAGCGGCACAATCATGGCTCACTGCAGCCTCAACCTCCTGGGATCAAGAGATTCTCCCACCTCAGCTTACCTGCTAGCTGGGACTATAGGCATGTACCACCATGGCTGACTAATTTTTGCATTTTTTGTAGAGACAGGGTTTCACCATGCTGCCCAGGCTGGTCTGGAACTCCTGGGCTCAAGCAATCCACTGACCTGGGCCTCCCTAAGTGCTGGGATTACAGGTGTGAGCCATAGCACCCAGCCCACACTAGGATTTTCTACAGTCCAGGTTTCCTTTCCCAAAACTGTGTAAGGCGAGTAGAGCAGATATCATTCTCACCTACATTTTTCAGGAATGAAACTTGAGATTTAGAAATTTTATTAACTTGTCTATGTCACAGAGTAATTGAATGGAAAAGCCAAAGACTAAAGCTTGAGTTTCTTGAGTACCTTTCCAGGGTTATTTCTACCATCAGTGGATCAGGGAACAGCAGCTTATGTAAAAACCATCACTAGCCCATGATCTGTAGCTCTACTCTGCATCTAATTGCCAATGGACAAGTCAAGGGAAAGATTGATTGTCAAAATGAAACGTATTTGTAAACAGGCTGGTTAATTAGGTTAATGGAACTTAATGTGGGGATGACATTTTACAGTTTCTAAAATGCTTTCATATGCACTATCTCACTTGATCTTAGAAACAGGCCTGAGGGTAAGCTTACTGTTACTATTTTGCCCATTTACTGTTGGAAAAAATGAGACTTGGAGTAGTACAATGACTTAACCCAAAAGCACATGGACAAAAAATGTTGGAAGCTACATTCACGCCTGTTCTATCAATTCTTTCATATTTCTGTTAAACTCCATCTAGTAATGTACAGGTAAGATATTTTTAGTAATAATCATCAATGAGATTATGTATTTAATAAATTTTCACATGCCAAACCCAGTGCTGGGTGAAGTGTGATTAAATTATTAGTTAAATAAGCCAATACACTAAATATGTAAATTGTGCTAATTAACTAAAAAATACACTACTAGCTATTATTGTAAAAATGAGATCAATAACAACTAATTCTTTCCTTCAATTCCTGGGTCTTATGTGTTTGTTTCTTTCTTAGTTGCATCTGTTGGTTCCTTGATGGTTTTCTTCCCATATGTGCCTAAGGGTGCTAACACTCATCCACTCTGAAAACCCATCCAGGTCAGCTTCCTCCACCTCTGCTTCTAACCCTCCCACTTCCCTGAGATTCTCCTGGAGTTGTTTAGCTGCTCGGTCCCTTCATAATGATTTCTTGACTTTGATTTTACCATCTCGTTCAGATATTGACTCCTGACTGCCCCTCTTGGCTCTATGTACTAGGTGCCTGGCTCTATGGCCAAGATGCTTAACCTCTCCAAACTTCAGTTTTCCTCGTCTCTGCACTGGGAATAATAATAGTACCTACTTGGTAGGGTTCTAAAGAGGATTAAATGGGGTAATAAATGTAAAGTTCCTAGAATAAATACCCAGTAAATGCTAGCCATTTGTATTTCTATTATAGCCTTTACATAAGTGATATATCTCCTCCATATTTTCCTGAGTTGCTAGAGCCAGGCTGGGTGTGGCACATACCCCTAGCTATCTAAGAGGTGATCTGCACAGGATCTATGAGGACTATAAGCAGGTACACTTTCTGAATGAACCCATGTGTTGTGGAATTGCTCACATATTGGTTAAGTTTGCCTCTTAACCTCTTGTTTTCAAAGCCCACCAAATTAACTCTGGGTGCTGATGCTCATAGCTCCTAGACCAGGTATCACCTTCCCCTTCCACATCGAAGAGGTTTCCTAGGGACCTTTTTGCTTAGGGCTTTCGATCCAGGATCTCTGGGGACAGCCAGCCTCTTATAAACATACAGGATATATCCCACCTTTGAAAGGCTTTTGGGAGTGCAAGGGGCAGGGAAGTGGGGAGTGGACAGCTTTGCTTACTTATATGGATTGCTTTTTGTTACACACCCGAGTTTATAAGGAAATGCAATTTGAGCTGCCATTATGTTTTAAAAAATCAAGACACTCAGTTATAAAACATAGAACATATAATTAACTTTATTGAGCAGAACAAAGCATTTTATAAAAACTCACTCAGACTGAATTAATATAAGGATACTTAGCATAATGTGTATAGTTTAAATTACCGCCTACTAATCATCAAGCAGTTGAGTGGTAAAGTTGTTAGACTTTCAATTTGCAAACAAGTAGATGGAAAGGCCTATTTTTACTTTCCGATGATTAGATAGAGCACACATTTGTCCAATCTCAGTGTGTGTGGGTTCACATCAGAGAGATAGGGCTCTGTTCTAAGTCTTGATATCTTAGGTTGGTGACATTGTTCTGCATGCCGTGTTTCATGCCCAGTATGGGAAAATGGGCAATCTGGCTTCTTGTCCCATGCAGTCACTATCTCCCTTTACCTAAGATCCCCTGAACCCCACCTGCAACCAAGTTCCCCTTCCCATCTACATCCTGTTACTAATTCTTATCCCAAATGAAAGATACATAAAGAGCTGTAATCTAAGCCTAACAACTTAGATTCAGCTTCAGGTTACGCTTTCTGCTTACTGACATGTCTCTTTATGCTGTCAGTCCCTTCTCCTGGACTTCCACATATTTCCAATTCCAGGTGCACCATCATAAAAAATTCTACCTGCTTGATTTTCACTTCCATCTTTTTCATACAAAAGTTTCCAAATTCAGGGAAAACACAACAAGGGATGAGAAGGCTATATTTATCCATCTGAACAGCCTGTCCTATTGGGGAGAAAATAAAAAAGATTTGGAAATAAGAGGGTAGTCTCAGCTTAAGCACAGAGGCATTTGTTTATATTATACTGAAAAGTCCAAAGGTAGATATTTCTGAGCTTCAGGTGGGTCGATATGGTGTCACTGGGCTTCTACTTCTCTTCTCCTCTCTGCTATCTGCTGTAATGATTCCATTCTTAGATAGGCTTGTCTTTCATAGATGGTTGAAACCCCTCTTCACCTTATTTCCTCTCACCGTAAGTGTCTCATTGGGTCTAACTGGTTCTCATGTACCCACCTATGAACCATGGCTAGGCATTCACAATGTATTGTTTAGCTTAAGCCAATCAGGATTACATCTGGGCCTCAGTGCTCTTATCTATAAAATAGGCATCAGACTAGAACAAATTTGTCCAACTCTTATTCAGGAATCTACTGATTGTGCAGAACCCCTTTAGGGACTATCAGGGAGAGAGGGACACGGTCCTGGCTTTTAGGAAGAGATGGGTCAAGGCTGCCTCTCCTTTACCACTGCTTCAATCAGATCAGATTTTATTTCTTCTGTTTTTAACGTGGAGCTTTCTAGTGAATAGATCAGTTAGCTTCTGCTGCATAACAAAATGTGCCAAAGCATAGTGGTTTAAAACAATCATTGTTTATTGAGTGTATGTTTCTGTGGGTCAGCAATTTGGGCTGGGCTCAGCTTCACCTTGTCTCAGCTGGAATCACTCATGAGACCAAGGGTAGCTGGCTGGTCGGTTTATGATAGCCTTGACCGGGCTGCCTGAGATGATTAGACCTCCCTTTATGTGATCTATTATTGTCTAGCAGGTCAGCCTGGGCTCATTCACATGGCCATCTTAGGATTCCAAAGTTCCTGCAGGAAAATAGGATAAGCTGCAATGGGCAAGTGCTTTCCAAGCCTCTGCTTGCATCAAATTTGGCAATATTTCATTGACCAAAACAAGTAACAGGGCTAAACTGAGATTTAAAAGATGAAGAGAAAGACTTTGTCTCTTGATAGAAAAAGCTGTAACAACACAGTACAAAGACATGCATAAAGGACTGGAAGAATTTGGGGCCATTTTTTTGCAATCTACCAAGATAAACTTGAACATTTGAAGAAAGGGTGTTATATTTTTAAAAGTTAGAGAACTCCGACCAGAGGGTCTCTAAGAATTTTCCTGATTGACTGTCTCTAAATTTGATTGCTCTTGTAATTTTGTACCTTACTACTTGTCCAGTATTCCCAACCTTCCCCTCTGCCTTTCTTGGAATATCTGTCACAGCTTGAGGATCCAATAAATGAAAGCCAATTAGTCTGGTCCAGGTCTGTGACCTAATTCAGTGTGAGCCTCCAATTCATGCATACAGTAGGAAACATGTTAATTTATAACTTGCCCCACTTTAAAAGTTTCAATCTTAACTTGAGCCAGATTTTATGTTTTTTTTAAACTGAGGTCTTTGATGTATAGGCAAGAGCTTCGCATCTTAAATAAATAACAGGTCAGATTCATATTTAGAGACATGAACCAGGAGCGGTACAGTTTTTATTGCTAAGAATACTTTGTGCTGGTTTCTAAATTAGCAACCCTCCCAAGAAGCCTGGGGGTTCCTCCTTTTCATGACAGATGAAGACTGTATATGAGTCTTCAATGTGTCCATTCATCTCTTAGCCTGGCAATCTATGGCTTAGCCACACTGAACTGTTTGGAGTTCCTGAATGCTCTATGCTTCTCCTTGTCTCTATGCCTTTATTTATACTTTTTCCTCTGCCTGGGACACCTTCCAAATGCTTCACTGGGTCCTTTTCATCTGGATATTTTATTCATGTTCTTGAGGCCCTACCTCCTCCCATAAGTCTTACTAACTTAACACTCTACTAAGCCACAGTTAAAGGCCCTTTCTCTGTGTAACCTTGACATCCTATACTTAACCAGTCAAAGCAATTGTAAATTGCCAAAGTACTGTACTATAATTGCCTCTTTTCTAGACTCTATTCCCCTCTAGTCTGTGAGCTTTGGGAGACAGGGACTCATCACAGCTATTGTAACAGGGCTTGACTTACAGCATATTGTCTATAGACATTTGCTGATTGAATTAAATATCTTTGCTTCACTTATATTTCCCTTATTTTCAGAAGGGTGAGCCAACATATTATTTAATAATAACAACTAATATGTATTGAGTACTTACTAACTATTGTACATCTATTTTATTTGCATTATCCCATTTAATCTGCCAAAAATTCAATGAGGTAAGTATTATTATTAACATTATTATTATTACCCCTAATTTAGAGATGAGGACACTGAAGCACAGAGCAATTAACTTAGCTAAAGAAACATATTTTTATCAGTTAGGATGCTTCTGGATGCAAGCATCAAAAACCCAAAGTAAAATAATTTTTTAAATATGGATGATTTATTTTCTCATATAACAGTAAGTTCCCTCTAATGGTGGCTCCACAGAGCTGGGTAACTCAGCAGGTTAAAAATTTTATCTAGAATCCAGGCTCTTTCCATCTTTTTGTTCTGCCTTCCTGTTTGTCAGACCCATCCTCAGACAAACTCATCTAATAAAAATCAAAGTTCCAGGCTTCACATTCATGCAGAACCACATCCAGTAAAGGAAGAGGAGAAGAGAGATGACTCTTCATCAACAAGACACCTTTAACAGCAGCCACCCAGTGGAGTTCCACTTCTATCTCATTGGCCATACTGTATCACATGGTCACCTCTTAACCAATGCGTGAAGGAAGAATGAGATTACGTCTAGATTTATCGGGGAACCAAGGATAGAGCCACCAAGGAGAAGGCAAACAAAATAATGGCCTGTAGCAAAAAGTGAGGGTTGAAGTAGGAAGGACGAAGTTTTGGGTAAATAGCTCTTGATGTTTGCTAAAGTGTGCAAGCCAAATTTAAAAATCAAGCAATCTGACTGCAGAATCAGCATTTCTATACATTTTAGATTTAAGATATCAAGTTCTCTAAAAATTATGCAAGGCCTTTAACTGGTGTTGCGTTGAATCTATAGATCAATTTGGGGAGAACTGACATTTTACAATATTGAATAGTATGTTTTATTGAATGTTATGTTTATTTTTTTACTTAGGTCTTCTTTAATTTCTCTCAGCAATGTTTTATGAATTTCTGTGTATAGACTGCACATATTTTGTGAAATTTAACCCTGAATTGTGGTTTTTGATTCTATTATAAATAACATTATTGGTTTTTTAAAATTTCAGTTTTAGTTACTTGTTGCTAAACTATAGAAATACCATTGATTTTTATATTTGAACAAATATCCTCTAACTTCACTAAAGTCACTTATTAGTTCAAATAATTTTTTGAAGATTCGTTGGGAGTTTCTACATAATCATATCATTACAAATAAGGACAGTTTTACTTCTTCTGTTCCAATCTGTATGACTTTCATACCTTTTTCTTTCATATTTCAGTGGCCAGAATCTCCAGTAAATGGTGAATAAAAGTGATGAATGTTGACACCTTATCTTAGGAGGAAAGTATTCAAGTTTTACCATTAAATATGATATTAGTTGTAGGTCTTATAATGATTTCTATTTTTTCAGTTTGAGAAAGTTCTATTCTGTTTCTTGTTTAGTCAGAAGTTTTATCACAAATAAAAAATTTTGTCAAATGCTATTATGTATCTACTGAAATGATCTTACAAATTTTCTTTTGAATCTGTTGATATAGTAAGTTATATTGATTGGCTTTTGAATGCTGAACCAACCTTGCATTCCTGAGATTAACCCCACTTCATGGGATTTTGATTTGCTAATGTTTTGTCAAAGAATTATTGCTTTTCCATTTATGAGGGTTATTTTTCTGCAGTTTTCTTATATCTCTGTCATGTTTTGGTATCAGAGTAATGCTGGCCTCATAAAATAAGTTGGAAAGTTTTATCTCCAATTCTACTTTTGGGGAGTTTGTGTAGAATTGATATAACTGGTATAATTTCTTCCTCAAAGATTTGCTGGAATTTGGCAGACAAGCTATCTGAGCATACATAAGCAAAAAGTGTTTCTGGTGAGGCAGGATGGAGGGTGGTGGGAAGGATTTAATAACACATATTTGTTTTTTAAAATTTTTATAGTCAGGGTTATCTATTTTTTCTTGACTGAGTTTTGGTAATTTGCACCTTTCAAGTAGTGTGTCCATTTGATTTGAATTTATTGACATAAAGTTTTGTATAACATATCATTATTATCTTTTTGAGATCTGTAGAATCTGTAGTTGTGTCTTTTTTTCCCCTAACATTGGTATCTCCTTCCTCTCTCATGCTCTTTTTTCCTTGATTAATCAGCCAAGAGTTCTATCAATTTAATGATTTTTTCATAGAACTAGTCTGGTTTTATTGACTTTCTGTATAAATTTTCTGCTTTAGAGATGGATGATTTCTACTCTTACCTTTATTACATTCTTTCTTTTGCATGCTTTGGGTTTTGCTCTTCTTTTACTAGCTTCTTGAGATTGAAACTTAGATTATTGATATTCTTTTTTTTTTTTTTTTTTGAGATGGAGTTTTGCTCTTGCTGCCCATGCTGGAGTGCAATAGCACTACCTTGGCTCACTGAAACCTCTGCCTCCCTGGTTCAAGCGATTCTGCTGCCTCAGCCTCTTGAGTAGCTGGGATTACAGGCATGTGCCACCATGCTGGCTAATTTTGTATTTTTAGTACAGACAGGGTTTCTCAATGTTGGTCACGCTGGTCTTGAACTCCCGACTTCAGGTTAACCACCTGCCTCAGCCTCCCAAAGTGCTGGGGTTACAGGTGTGAGCCACTGCGCCCAGCCTAGATTATTTATTTCTAATATAAATATTTAATGCTATTTATTTTCTGAACAAGAGGGTAACAAATATTTTCTGTAAAGAGCTAGATAGTAAATACTTTTAGACTTTGCAAGCTATAAATTGTTCCTGTCAAATAATGATCATTGTCATCCTCTTTAACTTCTACTTCTTGTTTTTTTATTTTTACAATTATTTAAAAATGGAAAAACTATTATTGGCTTGAAGGCTATAGTTTACTGACCTCAGCTCTAAGTGATTCTTTAACCACAGACACAAACTTTGATACATTGTTTTCATTTTCATTCAATGCAAAGCGTTTTCTAATTACTCCTGAGTTATCCTCTTTGACCCACATATTATTTAGAAATAGGTCATTTAATTTCTAAATATTTGGGAATTACGAAAATATCTTCCTGTTGTTTATCTCTAATTTAATTTTGTTTCTGTAAGAGAGCATACTTAGTATGATTTTAATACTTTTAACTTTGTTAAGGTTTGTTTGATGGACTGGAATATGGTCTGTTTTAGTGAATGTTCATTTACACTTGAAAAGAATGTATATTCTGCTCTTTTTGAATGTCACGTTCTATATATAAATGTCAGTTATATCAGATTGGTTCATAGAATTGTTCAGGTTTTCTTGATTCTTATAGATTTTATGCCTACTGGTTCTATTTATTGCTGAATGAGAGGTGTTGAAGTTCCCAGCTATAATTTTGGCTTTGGACTTGCTTTTTTATCCTTCAGTCCTATCAGTCTTTCCTTCATATATTTTAAAACTCGTTCAATGGATGCTGATTTAAGACTGTTATGTCTTCTTGATGAATTGATCCTTTTGTCATTATTTAATATCCCTCTCTATCTCTGGTAATATTTCTTATTTAAAGTCTACTTTTTCTTGCAGCCATAAAAAGGAATGAGATCATGTCTTTTGCGGGGACATGGATGAAGCTGAAAGCCATCATCCTCAGCAAACTAACACAGGAATAGAGAACCAAACATTGCATGTTCTCACTCATAAGCAGGAGCTGAATAATGAGAACACATGGACACAGAGAGGGAAACAACACACACCGGGGTCTGTCAGTGGGATGGGAGGCAAGGGGAGGGAGAGTATCAGGACAAATAGCTAATGCATGCAGGGCTTAAAACCTGGATGACGTGTTGATAGATGCAGCAAGCCACCATGGCAAACGTATACCTATGTAACAAACCTGTAGGTTCTGCACATGTATCCCGGAACTTAAAGTAAAATTTTTTTAAAAAGCTGAAATTGTGATATTCGATTTTTTAAAAAATCAGGAAACAACTAAAGACTCATGCACATGTATGTTTATTGCAGCACTATTCACAATAGCAACGACTTGGAACCAACCCAAATGCCCAGCGATGATAGACTGGATAAAGAAAATGTGGCACATATACACCATAAAATACTATGTAGCCATAAAAAACGATGAGTTTATGTCCTTTGCAGAGACATGGATGAAGCTGGAAACCATCATTCTCAGCAAACTAACACAGGAACAGAAAACTAAACACTGCGTGTTCTCACTCATAAGTGGGAGTTGAAAAATGAGAACACATGGACGCGAGGAGGGGAACATCACACACTGGGGCCTGTCAGGAGGTTGGGGATTAGGGGAGGGATAGCATTAGGAGAAATAACTAATGTAGATGACGGGTTGATGGGTGCAGCAAACCACCATGGCATATGTATACCTATGTAACAAACCTGCGTGTTCTGCACACATATCCCAGAACTTAAAGTATAATAAAAAAAAATCAGGAAACAACTCTATGATGTCTACCTTAAATATTGAACTACAGATAGAGTAAAAGCAAAAGTATAGGAAAGGTATACCAGGCAAGAACTAATCAACAGAAAGCTGGAATGGCTTTATTAATACCTTTAACCTATTGCAATCTAGCTTCAAATTATATCACTTTCATAATTCCCTGCTACTATACTTTGTGCTATTATCATACATTTTAATTCTACATATGTATAAAACTCAAAATATATTTTTATTATTTTTGCCTTTACAAGTCCATTATCTTTTAAGGACATTAAAAAAGGAAACAAGTTTATATTTACCCACATATTCACCGTTTCTTAATTTCACTATGAAGATCTGAATTTCCATCAGGTATTTTTTTTTCTGTCTGAAGAAGTATCTCTAACATTTCTTGTAGAAATGCTGGCAATATATTGTCTCAGTTTTTTGGATTTAAAAATGTTTTTATTTTGCTTTCATTTTTTAAGAATAGTCTCCCTGAGCTGACAGGTCTTTTGTTGTTAATTTTTTTTTCTCCAGCACCTTAAAGATGTCTTCTGGTTTGTACATAACTTGCAAGAGAAATCAGTTGTCATTCTTATCTTTGTTCCTTGTTTTTCTCTGATTACTTTTAAGAGTTTCTCTTCATCAGTAGTTTATAGTAATTTGAATATAATATGCTTTGTTTATCTTTTTGTTGCTTCAGCTTTGATCCATTGAGCATCCTGCATGTATGGGTATATAATTTTTTATCAAATTGAGACATTTGATAAAATTTGATAAATTTCTAACAAATTGGGAAACTTCAGCCATTATTTCTTCAAATATTTTTCCTTACTTCTCTTTGCTGTCTTTCTTTCTGGAAGTCCAATTACATGTATGTTAGGACACTTGATATTTTTCCCTAGTTCATCGAAGCTGGTTTTTTTTTATTCTGTTTCCCTTTTTTAAATCTATTTTTTTTGAGAGAGAGAAAATCTACTCTGCTAGTTACTTTCAAGTATATAAAATATTATTAACTATAGTCACCATTATGTACAATAGATCTTGAATGTATTGCTCTCATCTAACTGAATTTTTTTTTTCCTTTGACCAACATTTCCCCAGTCCCTTCAACCTCTAGCCTCTGGTAACCACCGTTTTACTCTCTTTTTCTAAGAATTTACGTTTTTTAGATGCCATATATAAGTGAGATTATGTGGTCTACATCTTTCTGTGCCTGGCTTATTTTACTTCACATAATGTACTTCAGGTTCATCCATGTTGTCACAAATGAAAAACAAAATTTTTAAAAATCTAAATAGTATTTCATTGTGTGTACATACTACATTTTTTTAATTCATTCATCCACTGATGGACACTTAGATTGATTCCATATCTTGGCTATTGTGAATAATGCTGCAATGAACATGAGAGGGCAGGTATCTCTTCAACATACTGATTTCCTGTCCTTTGGATATTTACTCAGTAGTGGGATTGCTAGATCATATGGTAGTTTTAAATTTTAAATTTTCTGAGGAACTTTCATACTGTTTTCCATAATGGCTATACTAATTTACATTCCCAGCAACAGTGCGCCAGGATTCTTTGTCTCCACATCTTGGAAAACATTTGTTGTTATCTTTGGTATTTTCTATAATAGCCATTCTAACAGATATGAGGTAACATCACATTGTGGGATTAATTTGTATTTCCCTGATGATTAGTAATGTTGAGCACTTCCTTATAAGAAAAAATTGGCCATTGAAATGTCTTCTTTGGGGAAATATCTATTCAGGCCCTTTGCCCATTTTAAATTTTTATTTATTTTTTATACCAACAAGAATGAGCTTGAACTTTGTTCATTTTTAATTGGGCTATTTGTTTTTTTTATTATGGGCTTGTTTGAGCTCCTTACGTATTTTGGATATTAACCCCATATCAGATGTGTGATTTGTAAACATTTTCTTCCATTCCTAGGTTGTTTCTTCATTATGTTGATTGTTTCCTTTGCTGTACTGCAGCTCTTTGGTTTGATGCAATCATATTTTGTTGCTATGCTTTTGGGGTCGTATCCATAAAATCATTGTCCAGACCAATGTCATGGCACTTTTCCCTTATGCTTTCTTCTAGTAGTTTTACAGTTTCAGGTCTTACATTTAAGTCTTTAACTTATTTTGAGTTGATTTTTGTATATGATGTGAAATGAGAGTCTTATTTTATTCTTTTGCATGTGGATATCCAGTTTTCCCAGCACCATTTATTAAAGAGACCATCCTTTCTCCATTGTGTGTTCTTGGCATTCTTGTTGAAAATCAATTGACCAAAAATGCATGGGTTTATTTCTGGGTTCTCTGTTCTGTTCCATTGGTCTAAGTGTCTGTTTTTATGCCAGTACCATGCTGTTTTGATTACTACGGCTTTGTAGTCGATTTTGAAATCAGGTAGTGTGGGGTCTCCAGCTTTGTTCTTTTTGCTCAAGAATGCTTTGAGATCTTTGTGGTTCCATACAAACTTTAGGATTTTTTTATTTTTTATGAAAAATATCATTGGGATTTTGATAGGGATTGCATTGAATCTGTAGGTCACTTTAGGCAGTACGGACATTTTAAAAACATAAGCTTTTCTAATCCATAAACATGCGTTATGTTTCCCTTTTTTTGGTCTTTTTCATTTTTTTTTCCATCAATGGGTTATAGTTCTCAGTGTACAGATCTTTCACCTCTTTGGCTAAATTTATTTCTATTTTTTTTGTAGCTAGTATAAATGAAATTGTGTCCTTCATTTCTTTTTCGGATAGTTCATTATGAGTGTATAGAAATGCTACTGATTGTTGGCCAGGCACCGTGGCTCACACCTGTAATCCCAGCACTTTGGAAGGCCGAGGTGGGTGGATCACTTGAAGTCAGGAGTTCAAGACAAGCCTGGCCAACATGATGAAACACCATCTCTACTAAAGAAAAATACAAAAATTAGCCGGGCATGGTGGTGGGCACCTGTAATTCCAGCTACTTGGGAGGCTGAGGCAGGAGAATCACTTGAACACGGGAGGCGGAGGTTGCAGTGAGCTGAGATGGTGCCACTGCACTCTAGCATGAGAGACAGAATGAGACGTCTCAAAAAAAAAAAAAGATTCTGATTTTTGTGTGTTCATTTTGTTTTGTATCTTGCAAATTTACTAAATTTGTTTATTATTTCCAACAGTTTTTTGATGGAGCCCTTAGGGTTTTCTATATACAAGATTGTGTCATCTGCAGAGATAATTTTACTTCTTTCTTTCCAATTTGTATACTTTTTTTTTGTTCTCTTGCCTAATTGCTCTGGCTAGGACTTCCTTATTCTATTTTCTTTCTGTGTTTTGTGTTGGAGAGTGTCTGTTGCTATATCTTTGTACTCACTGACTTTGTCTTCTGCAGTATTTAATCTCTGTTACTCCCAGCCAATATATTTTTCATCCCAAAATTATTTTTTTCATCATTAGTACCATTTGGCACTTTTATGTGTTTCCCATTTCTCTTCTCATCATGTTCATGTTTTAATTTACATATTTAAGCATATGAGTTAGATTGATAATAACTGCCTTAAGGTTATTGTTTACTAATATCAGCTCTTTTTTTCTTGGTCTATGAGTCATATTTTTACATTTCTTGACATGCCTGGTAGTCTTTGATTGATATCAGATATTGTGATTTTGTATTTTTGGGCAATAGATTTTGTTGTATTTATTTAAAAGATGTTAGAATTTGTTTCGTCATACATCATAGTAAGTTGTAGATCAGTTTGGTCATTTTAAAGCTTACACTGAAGCTTTGTTATTACAGGTCCACAGCAGTCTTTTAGTCCAGGAAAGAGTTTTAGCCCAACTTCTATGAGGTGAATTACTCTGAAGATTCTATACAATGTTTCTCCACCTGGCCATGAGGAACCCAAACTTCCCATTCCTGTGCAAGCTCAGAATTTTTTGACCCACTGTCTTCTAGTGATTATTTTTGTCTCCACCTTGTGCAGTTTGCTCTCGTGCTTTCATAGATCAGCCAGCACTAAGTAAAATACTTGTGAAGAACCCTCTGAAGATCTCCAGAACACCCACTCTCTCTCTCTCTCTCCCTCCCTCTCTCTCTCTGAGCAACTCACTCTTTCCAGTACTCTGCAAATTCTAAACACTTTGGTCTTCCTCAAACTCTAATCTCTGTCTCCTCGATTCAGAGAGACTACTGGGCTTTGCTTTGGATTCCCCCTTACATTATCACCTAGAAACACCTCCTGGCACTAAGAGGGCGCAATCAGAGAGCTAATCTTTTTTGGTTCTCTTCTTCTAGGGATCACAGCCTCACATTACCTATTGTCTAATGTCTGAAAACCATGATGACATATATTTTGCCTAGATTTCTAATTGTTTATAATGGGAATGTACTTCCATAACAGTCAATTCTTCACTGAAGGAACTACAAGTCTCCCTGGTCTGCATATTGAAAGTTATTTGAAAAAGGTTTGGCAAAGAGTGGGGGAAGGATGGGACAAACTAGTGAATATAAGCAAACTCTCCAAGAGCACACAGTTAACAACATGGTGATTTGAACTCAATTCTGTCTTATATCACAGCTATCCCTGACTATAAGGTAGCAATATTCTAGTGATAAAAGTAGAAACACTTATATGGTAATATAATGTGCCATGATAAGGACTGTGCACTTTGAAAGAGAAGGGGTTATGTCTTCTTTATCTCTGGGTACCAGTGCCCAGATTGTGGCCTGGTACTCCATAGACACTCAAGTTAATATTTGTTGCTTCCAAAAATGTAATGCAAACATAGAGGAGAGTGTTGTCTCCTCAGCCTGTGCTTGAGGCAGGTGGTGGAGGTAGAGATGCAATTGCAGTATGAAACTAGGACTCAGTATCCAGAGGTTCAAATGGGATCAGTGGTAATAGAATTCAACCTTACACTTTCATAAGTTGGTGTCAGTGATTCAAATGAGACATTTGGCGAAGGTAGTTCAAGTTAGCAAACAGTGTTTGGT
The DNA here is from genome assembly GCF_000001405.40 of Homo sapiens. Taxonomy (NCBI): domain Eukaryota; kingdom Metazoa; phylum Chordata; class Mammalia; order Primates; family Hominidae; genus Homo; species Homo sapiens. The sequence continues at coordinate 15,463,403 of NC_000011.10, forward strand.
GATGTATTAGTTAGGGTTCTCTAGAGGGACAGAACTAATATATAGGAGAGTTTATTAGGTATTAACTCACATGATCACAAGATCCCATAATAGGTCATCTGCAAGCTGAGGAGTAAGGAGAGCCAGTCCAAGTTCCAAAACTGAAGAACTTAGAGTCCAATGTTCGAGGGCAGGAAGCATCTAACACGGGAGAAAGATGTAGGTTGGCAGGGGTTATAACAGCTTTTGGAAGTTATGAGTAGGTCTTCACAGCAGCCAGTTGGTGATTCTATCCAAGCCTAGAATTATCTGTCCTCTTCCTTTGTTTGAAGCGGTCTTCCTGATATAAGTGAATAAGCACTGGCTGATGTGTCCCATGCACAGAGATGGACAAGGACAGTCAGCTAGTGAGAGAAGTGAGGATTGGGGAGTCTGGAGGAATCACAAACCCAGAAGGTTTTCTTTTTACTGAAGGAGGCCATGTCTCAAGTCTCTCTGCCTGAGGACTCCAGGGCTACTGGTCTGTCATCCTAACTACCATGCTACCTATTAATGTTTAGAGCTTCCTAAGGTGATACTTGCAAAGTATCTACCTGTGTAGCTCACTCTGTTACTTCCACACTGACACCAGGAACTGAGCCAGAAACAAAGCCTTTTAGACACTGCCTTGGCTGCTAGCCTAAAGCCCCTCTGCCTGCCTGGTTGCCTTTTGGTTATTGCCGCTCCTCTCAGGATGATCTCATGGCAGCTCCCAGTTCTCCCTGGCTTTGAATGGTTATTTGAGAGCACCACTCTTCTATACCTGACTCCTATATGTCAGGAATAATGAGTACTGATGACCAGTGGAAGGGACTGAGGTCCCAGAAGGCTCAGGAGCAGAAGTCAAATAAGTGAGAAGAAATGGGTTCTAAACTGGGAAAGGGAGGCTGCTGATGAATTGTGCCCAAAGGGCAGGTACAGAAAGAGGAGCTAGGTGAATTAGGGGTGACCAGGCAGAGTCAGGGGAAGGATGGAGATAATGAGAGTGCACCAGATTCTGAGATGAAATCAGCTAGATGAGATTCTCCTGCTTCTGCTGTCTGCCTCAGTTGTTAAATAAGCGTAACCAACCCACATATTATGTGCTCATTGTCCCTGAGGCACCATGGCTCAGATCCTGCAACCACTCCTTCCAGCCGTATTGTTGTTTGGCATCAGTTCTGCCCAGGATTTGTTCCCTGTTTCTATCCCTGTATCTTTCTGCCCAGCACTCAGTGATCAGGTATCCCCTTAGTATTTTTGTGCAATACTTTCTGGCTGCCAAGATTCATATTATACTAGGTCGGTGTCCTGCTCTACCTAAGGCAGGATCTAACACCCTCACACACACTGACATGTTTGGCTGATGACCTATCCAGACCTATCCAAGCCCTTTCAACAAAAGTTTAAACAGCTACTAATGATAATCATCTGGTTTTTTAAAATGTACTTAGTTATGAGCTTGTACTTGACAGATATGACTACATCATTCTTCCTAAATGAAGAAGGCTAAGAAGGTGAAATGAATAGGTAATATTCATCTTCCCAAATTCTAACCCTTGCAGGAGGGCAGCAGAGCCCTGACTAGGCCTAGGCCTCCTAGAATACATCCAAGAAAGCCTCTAGGATTTCTGTCTCTGGGGTTAAGGTTTTAAAGAAGTTACTGAGTTTTAAGGACATGGCCTCTTCGTTAATTGTGGTGTCACCATCTGTAGTCTCGAGGGGAGATTCTAGTTCATCTGATTAGTAGTAAATCTGTTCCTAATGAGAGGGGCACACAGGATGATTGAGGGTCATGTATGCCTTGAGCAGAAATGTGATGTGAAGCTAGTTCACAAATTGGAGCTGGCGCCAAATATTTCTTACTTACAGCTCTAATATATGGAGGAGGTAGCTCACTTTAAAATATGTTGACTGTATCTTCTAATTAAACACTGAAAACTACTTTTTAATATATATTCAAAATGATAAAATAATTGCTAAATTATGCAGATTTTTATGGTGGGCCAGAAACAAGACAATTTTTTTTTAATTGGCACCTTTTACTGATTCGAAATGTTAATCACAGGGACCCTAATAGGCCTATCAGACTTCTCTAATGTATTCAAATAAAATGAGCAAAATCATTAAATGTCCAAATATTGATTTAAAGTGCTCCAATTGGTAATGAAATTTGGCTCTCTACTTGAGACAGGGCACACTGGCTGTGTGCTTTAATTTTAAAGAAACTGCTGAAGTGTGAAGTAGTTAGAGATAAGAGAGAATGGAGGAGAGAGAGAAAGAGAAAAACACAGAGGGAGATGACCTTAAGAAACACAAGATACCAATCACTGGACTAGAATGGACCATTGGTTTAGACAGAAAGAAATAGTTGAAGGTAGATTTGGTTAACCCAATAAAATTATGTTAAGTACCCAAGATAAGTGCCAAGACAGAAGGTCCAGAGTGCCTTTAGAAAGGAATGTGGAGAGGAGAAAATGTCAGACACTGGGCTCCAGCCACTTCCCTTTAAAGGCCAGCATGAGATGGAATTCGGAAATGATGTCCATTACAGACAGGGCAAGTCCATGCATACCTGTGACCCAGACTCCCGTGTATTAGTTTCCTAGGGCTACCATAACAATTTACCCCAAAGATCGTGGCTTAAAACAACAGAAATTTATCTCTCCAAGTTCTGAAGACCAGAATCTAAATTAAAGGTGTTGCTGGGGCCATGCTTCCTCTAAAGGCTGTAAGGAAGGATCCCCTCCCCTTCTGGCTTCTGGTGGTTGCTGGCTTCCTGGGCTCGTGGCCACATCACTCCAGTTTTGCCTCTGCCTTCTCCTGTGTGTATCTGTATTTCTCCTCATCTGTCTATCTCATAAAAGTACTTGTTATTGGATTTAGAACCCACCTGGAGAATCCAAGATCATTAATCACACCTGCAAAGACCTTTTCCCACATTAGGTAACATTCTTAGTTTCTAGGGAATGGGATGAGGATCTGTCTTTTTAGGGGCCACCATTCAACTTACTACAATGTGTTATTCTTTTAGTTCACCTTGTACAAACCCTTTAGGAGCACTGCCTGTGGGATGAAGATGAACCCTAAGGTATATTTTATGAAGATATATAGGGGAGGAGAGGACCCAAATTACAGTCATGAAAGACCTAAGGTTGCATTCAGAAGGATAGGCGAGGGAGTGTTTCTGGTAGAGGGAACAGGTTAGGACTAGGCATAGATGCAAGGATAAGAGTTGGTGGTCATATAGGAGGAGAAAGTGAAAGGGGGCGCATAGAACAAGGCCTGCATTTTGGGAATTGTAGAGTCACATACAGCAGGGCTGAACAGACCACACAGAGTTTGGATATATTCTGAGAATAAGGGGAAGTTGCAGAAACATTTTCATCTGAGAAGGGATAGAATTTTCATTTTAGGTACAGGAAGGAGCCACAGAGAAAAGTAGGAAGACCAGATGGGAACCTGTTATAGTTGAGATAACCTGGACTAGTTTAAAATGAGGGATAGGAGAGGAAGCAGGATGAGTCAAGGGAAACCCCATGTGTCAGTTTTGCAAGTGGTCTGGATGCAAGCAGTGTGGCTGAATGAACCATGCAGGTCTGGGCACCCTGTGTTCTTCTTTGCTTGCCTCTCTTCTGACTGTTCTGCTCCAACTGCCCCTGACCCTGGCCCTGACCTCAGCTCCTTTCTTGGGTGGGTCTATTCTTGTTTGGAAACTCACTCAAATTGGGCCTGTCCCTCTGGCTCTGCTATAAATTCATCCTATCTTTTGCCTCTTTGGAATAGGGCTTTAACTCAAGTCAGCTCTGGGGTTTGTTATAATAATTCCTTAGCAGCCTTCACATCCACATGCAATCCTAGCCCTCACACCCAAGTCCCCTTTCTGCCATAAGTTTTGGCAGCAAGTACCCAGAAACAGCATCTAGAAATTAAAGGGGATCTCAAGATGATGGCTGGATTACGAGTCCAACTCTCCCCTACCTTCCATTTTCCTATTCGTATGATCAGTAAGGGAGCTAACAATGGGGAAAAACAAGCATCAGTGCCAGAAGTCAGGGAAAGGTCACAGATGCACAAAGTGGAAGAGATCATATATTCTAAAGAAAAGAGAAAGAAGATCAATTTAAGAACATTATTTGAGAAAGGGAAATAAGTGAGGGTTGGGGGTGGGGAAGGGCATGGAAATCAGATTCCAGAGGTCCAAAATATCTAGGGTAATGCAAGAGGAGAGAATTGGATACACAGAAGAAAAAGAGAAAAAACATTCACGATGTAAAGAAATTGATCTATGTATTAAAGGAGCCCATTGTGCACTCAGCAAACATAATAAAAACAAACATCTGGACTTATTCTACTGACTTTTAAAAAACATTTAGAAGTAAACAAAGCACAGCAGGTACATACAAAGAAAAATAGTTATCTGAAAAGGAAGAAAACAAAACATGCCAGCCTGACTATTCTAACAAAACAAAACAACACAAAAACCCACTAAATTCCAATAGTTAAAAAAATTACATCTATGGAGGACAAAAATAGTTCTTCTATTTTTAGTAGAAGATGAGAAAAAATAGAAGCTTGTAACTAAAGAATATACAATAAATTAAGAAGAATATATATATTAAGAATATATAATAAATTAAGAAGCTTACTGTATATGAATGAAAGAAAAAGATACTTTTGGTTCTCAAAGGGCTCAGCAGATTAAACAACTCTTGAACCCTCTCTAGGGGAAAAATGCATGTGGTAGGTAAGTGGGTGGTGTTTATAACTTGAAGACCTATTTCAGCTAAGATATGAATCATAACATAAAGAATTGAAGAATTGAAATGTTAGCAGTATAAAGTAACTAGTGGTAAACAAAAGAACCCCAACTAAATATAGATTTGTATATTAGACAAAATGTATACATATATATTAATGAGACATTGCTTTAAAATAATTTATAGTAACAATAATCAGGATCTAAAATTGAAAATCATAATAGCAAAGGGAATAAGTAGAAAAATTTAATGTCTATTCAGTTCTTATCTAATAGAGGAAGGAATGGCACTTTCATTCTCAACACTGATGAAAAGTTTTAGATAAATTGTAACACGATGATAATTTCTAATAGACTAGAACATAATATTATCCTTTCAAATCAGTAAGAAAAAAAGATTCAAAAAAAGACATTACTAGAAACACAATCATAGCTTCTCTGTACACATTCCCTCCGTGCGAATCAGTCCCTTGGCCAAAGCCCCAACAGTGGGGATGTAGCACGTGACCCACACACTGAGATGAGTACTGAACCCAAGGGACACTGTACAGAGGCTAATCTGAACCATCTACATTCTTCTGCTTGAGAATTTGAATTATAAGACACAAAGATTTGGGTCAGCACTCCTGCAGGAGTAGGAGCCAAAGCCTCAAGTGACCTGGAATGAACAGTTCAGAGAGGCTGTGTGTAAATAGAAAAGGTGGTTTGTCAAGAAAAGCAAAAGAATGAAGCAGACCCACAGAAGAGATGAGTGCCCACACAGCCATTGGTGTCATTTTCCATATCTGTCTGTCAAAGAAAACTACTTAACATCCAAGGAAATGAGGAGATTTCTTTTGCTTATATACCATTCTTGTCAAACCAATATAACATTGGTGATATAACACATTCAGACTGTAGCAACATACAGTGGAATATTATTCGGTCTTAAAAAAGAAGAAAATCCTGCAATATGTGAGAACATGGATAAACCTTTTTGCTAAATAGAATAAGCCAGTCACAGAAGGAAAAATAATGCATGATTCCACTTATTTTAGTTATCTAAAATAGCCAAACTCAAAGAAGCAGAGAGTAGAATGATGGTTGCCAGGGGCTGGAGAGAGTAGAATGATGGTTGCCAGGGAGGGGGAAATGGAGGGAACTTATTCACCATGCATAAAATTTCAGTTACGTGTGGTGAATAAGTTCTAGAGATCAGATGTACAGCATTGTGTTTATCAATACCAATATTGTGCACTTAAAAATCTGTGAAGAGGGTAGATCTCCTTAAGTGTTTATAACACAATAAAAATAAATAAATAAATGTGACCTAATCACCCCTGCTTATAATCTCTCAGGGACTTCCACAACAGAGATTCTCAACTTCAGGGTGTCAACACCACTGTGTTTAGAAATATGGTATGGTGTCTCCCAGCTAAATTTTTATTATTAATAAAGCATTGAAGTTGACAGTAAAGTATTGAAGTTTGAAACTTCTGAGTTTGACATTTTCAGCCCTTCATGACTGATCTTGCTTACTTCTTCCGTATCTGAAATTGCTCTCTACAGTTTAATAGTGCCAAATGCTTGCAGCTTCTAGAGAACAATTTCATACTCCCTGAGCTTTGCAAATCCTGTCCCCCAGTAGTTTGCTGGTAAACATTCAACAACCAGCTCTCAGGAGAAAACCAAACCAAAAGCAAAAACCCCTGATTTGTAACATTTATGAATTTCTCTGGTATAAATGTCCCTACCATGACTAATACAACATGAGGCCGTTGAATGCAGAGTGGGGAAGACATGGGTGGTAGCACATCATTATATGGTATCTTCACCACTAGATATACTAGAGATAAATAATCTCCACAACACAGATTACAGAAAAATATCATGAAATAATTAGGGAGGCATGAGTTTTGAGTATTTTTAAGGTTTAAACTTAATGTAATTTATTTTAATATGTTAATAGAATTAAATTTTTAATTGTGGTAAAACATACATAGCATAAAATTTAACATTTTCACCATGTTTAAATGTTCCATAGCATTAAGCACATTCACATTGTTCAACCTTAACCACCATTCATCTCCAGAACTTTTTCATCTGCCCAAACTGAAATTCTGTACCTAGTAAACAATAACTTCCCATTTCCCATTCCTCAGCTCTGAGTGACCACTACTCTATTTTCTTTCTCTATGGATTTGACAACTGCATGTATTTTGTGTGAGTAGAACCATACAGCATTTATCCTTCTGTGTCTGGCTTATGTCACTTAGCATAATGTTCTCAAGATCATCCATGTTGTTGCATATTGCAGGATTTTCTTCATTTTTAAGGCTGAATAATATTTCATTATATATATTCTATTATACATATTCCATTATATATATTCTATTCTATATACACATTCCATTTTATATATATTCTATTCTATACACACATTCCATTATATATATTTAATTATATATACATTTATAGATATTCTGTTATATATATTCCATTACATGTGTATATCCATTGTATATATTCTATCATACAGGTATATATTCAATTATATAGAAATATATTCCATTGTATATATTCTATTATATATTCCATTATACATGTATATTCCATTATATATACATATATTCCATTATACACACACACAATTATATGTGTGTGTGTGTGTATATATATATAGATATATATATAAAATTTGTTTTCTTTATCCATTCATCCACTGATGGACATTTGGGATTTTGGGTGCTTTCTGCCTTCTGGCTATTGTGAATAACGCTATGGACATGGGTATACAAATACCCATTCAAGTCCCTGCTTTTAATTCTTTTGGGTACATACCCAAACGTGAAATTGCTGGATCATATGTAATCTTGTGTTTAATTTTTAAAAAGCCACCAGACTCTTTTCCACTGTGATTGCAGATATAGTAATTTAATTTTTAATAATGATTATGTTTAACAATCAGCTCACAGAGTTTCTGAGAACGTGGTGATGAGCACCATGAGCCAGCGCAGGTCTGCTCCAGTGCACTGCTGGCCTGGAGCATACTTCTTGTCACACAGTACTGCCACTTCCTCTATGACAGCTTCCATGACTTTCATTATTACCCAATTAAGTCGAACCCTCTCTTCTCTGCACTCTCTCTGTTCCTTGTATTTACTTCACATGACTCACATTACAGTTCAGGTGTTTGCTTTTATGCCTTTTGCTCTCAACACGCTGTGCCTTATTATGTCAACCACACAAACTTCTGGCTCACTTTAGGCCCTCAATGCATGTGTGTTGTACTGATCTAACAGGTATTGTGTTTGGATCTATAAAAGATAAACCAAGTGGGCAGCATACTCCTTTCCCCCAACCTAGCCCCCAAGGCCATCCATGCCCAGTGCTATAAGCTGGTGGGAGATAAGAAGGGCAGGGCTAGGGCAGAGTTCGATCCTGAGCAATTGTCTAGTACTCACTCTGGAGGTTAACCAGAGAAAGCAAGACCTGAGGCCAAGGTTCTACACTGAACCAGAGGCGTGTGCCACATGCTGAGTTAAGCACTGTAGATTTCCATCCTCATAACATTGAATCCTGAAAGTTAGGTTTTATTATCCCCATTTCACCAAGGAGAATACATTACCTAAACATACAAAGTCAAAGTTCATGGTTACACTGCTATAAAATAGAAGTCACGACAACTACCCTACCATCTGCATTAGACTTCAAGGTTTTTAAGTTTGTCTTCCTCACTGGAAGGTGGTACCAGGAAGCTCAACTTGTCTCTCATTTTCTCTTGCATTCTGGACTCTGCACAGTGACTGGCAGTCAACAAATACTCATTGATTTATGTCATAGGAACAATGGAACTTGAAACCCACTGAGAAATAAAGTAGTACCTGGCCCTGAGGTGTCGACCTCTCTCTTCTCCCATTGCAAATCATGACTTGCCTCTCACCAGGGAGATAACGCTCTTCAAGCAATTAATTATCATGAAAAAAGCCCACTCCAACCCCCACTCCTGTGGAGCCTTACACCTGCCAATTGGCATGTTGTTGAATTATAATGTATAACTAATTAAAGGTGACCTCACACCGGGGGTCTAGGTCTCCTGTGTCAGGACCAACCACAAACTGGTCATCAGAATATTTCCTCGTTCTCTCACCCAGTCTCCCTATCGTGTGTGTGTGTGTGTGTGTGTGTGTGTGTGTTAATTTCAAATTCTTTCCCTGCATCAGCGAGCAGATGAGATCCTCAGCCAGCTTTCATCTTTCAGAAAAATGAATAGTGCAGAGAGAACATTATCAAATGAGCTGTTGAAGAAGTCAGTGAATATGTCATTGAGTGTGACTGCTTCCCGAATGAATTTAGATTTATCTCTGTTATCTTCCCACCCCCACCCAGCCCCCCTTGCCAAGCTTGCCCTCAGGGCAGGCACATGCCTGCCATGAATCCTGACCGACAGCTGTCTCTCCTGGCTGACAGGTCCAATCGGGCCTCTGAGCTTGTTCAGGAATTTGGTTTGTTAACATTATGAATGAACTCATTGGATAGTCCTGTTAAACACCTCACACCTCTTGCTTCTGCAGTTTCTTAAAGGATTCCATTTCCATTAGGCAGACTCTCACTCTGAAGTGTAGGACAGAGCCACACTCTCACTCTGAAATTGTTTTATCACATCAGGAGCTGCTGAATGGCTGTGACAACACAAGACCTAGAAACCCTCTCTTTTCTTCCTCTCTGGCTGTTTTATTAAAATCAGGGTGCTATAGTTCTTGCACCATTCATTCATTCGCCAACTACTTGCAGAACAGATCTGTTCATGGGAGCAATTGTGTTAAGGCAAAGTATATATTGGTAAATAATACAGACATGATCCCTGTCATAGTGTAGCATACGCTTTAGTTTATGATCCACATCAGAAAGCAATTTCTGTTGATTTCCAAGTTCTCAAAGGAATAAGCTTTGAACCAAGAAAAGATTTTTTTTAGGCAGAATGTCATGATCAAAACGTGATCTTTGGGGTCAGGCTGGTCTGTGTCAACATTCTTGAGTAGAAAAAGAGAAATTAGTGCATCTGAAACAAGAACAGGATGCTATGAACAAGGGAGTCACAAAAGCAGGAAAAGATTTTGGAAATTAAAAATATGGTAAGAACATTTTAAAAATGCAATAAAGGGGTTGGAAGATAAGGGTGAGAAAAAAAGAAAACAATGAGATGGAAAATAGGAGAGAAAAGAAAATCAGAATTGAAAACGGGGTTAATATGAGTTCTAGAGAAAGAGAACAGAGAAAAGAGAGGAGAGGAAATTGTCAGAAAAATAATACAGGGTAATTTTCTACAGTTGAAGAAAATAATACAAAATAATTTTCCAGATTGCAAGGGTTTATGGCGGAGTTGAGAAATAGAATGAACAAAACACTCACCTGAAGGCACATCATTTTGACGTCTCAGGATACAAGGATAGAAAAGATGCTAAAAGCTACAGGGGTTATGGGAGACAAGGAAGGAAGTCACATACTGAGGACCAGAAATAAGAAGGGAATCAGGCTTTTCAACAGCAACACTTGCAGGAATGCCTCAAAAATTCGGAGAAATGATTTGCAACCTAGAATTCTGACCAAGCCAAATGATTGTGACATATGAGGATAGAATAGATACAGCAGGCTCCCCTTATCTGCAGGAGATGTGTTCCAAGATCTCCAGTGGATGCCGAAACTGAAGACAGTTCCAAATCCTATACATGCAATGTTTTTTTCCTAGACAGAAAAAGTGAAAGAGAAAATAAAAATACCATGAGCAATGCATACAGTAGTGTAAGAGTACATACCTATGATAAAGTTTAATTTATAAATTAGGCACAGTAAAAGATTAACAACAATAATAAAGATCGTGTAATTATATAACACTATACTATAATAAAAGTTGTGTGGTCTCTCTCTTTCAACATGTCTTACTATATTTTACTCACCTATTTTCAGACTGTGGTTAACCACTGATAACTGAAACTGTAAAAGCTGAAACCTGGGACAAGAGGAGACAACTATACAGTTGCCCTTGAACAACATGGGTTCAAATTGCATGGGTCCAGTTACATGCAAATATTTAGAAATAAATACAGTCAGCTCTTCATAGTCAAGAGTTCCTACATCTGCAACCAAACACAGATAGAAAATAAAGTATTCATGGGATGAGAAACTCACATACATCGATGACCAACTTTTTGTATGTGAGATTTCACAGGGCTGACTGTGAGACTTGCGTGTAGGTGGATGTTGGTATGGAGGGATGTATTAGTCAGAGTTCCCTAGAGAGGCAGAACTAATAGGATATATGTATATATGAAAAGGAGTTTATTAAGAATTGACACATATGATCACAAGGTAAAGTCCTACGATAGACCATCTGCAAGTTGAGGAACAAGGAAGCCAGTGGTGGATCAGTCCAAGTCCCAAAACCTCAAAAGTGGGGAAGCCGACAGTGCAGACTTCCACCTGTGGCCAAAGGCCCAAAAGTCCCTGGCAAACCACTGGTTTAAGTCCAAGAGTCCAAAGCTCAGGAACTTGGAGTCTGATGTTCGAGGGCAGGAAGCATCCAGCACGGGAGAAAGATGAAGGCTGGAAGACTCAGCAAGTCTGCTCTTCCATCTTCTCCTGCCTGCTTTATTCTAGCCGTGCTGGCAGCTGATTTAGATGGTGCCCACCAAGATTGAAGGTGGTCTGCCTCTCCCAGTCCACTGACTCAAAATGTTAATCTCCTTTGGCAACAACGTCAGAGACACATCTAGAAACAATACTTTACCACCTACCTAAGCATCCTTCAGTCCAATCAAGTTTTCACTCAATATTAACCAACACAGGTGGGGGCCTGGCACTAATCTCCTGTGTATACCAAGAGATGACTGTATTTTCAGACAAATGAGGTCTCGAAAAATGTCTCCCATGTATTATTTTTTAGGATATTATTGCAAAACGTGCTTTACAAAAGCAAAGAAATAAAACTATAACAACAAAAAGAAAAACAGCATCTAGGAAACAAGAGCTCCTAAAGGAACTCCAGAATGTTGGCAAAATCATGCCCTTTCTAGAACAAGGGCATGTAGAGCTGTGGGTATAGGTTGGAAAGGAAGCTGAAAGGCTTCAAGAGAAATGTTTCCAAGAGATAAGCAAAATGATACTTTTCTGGATGTGTTTAATTATACCAAAAAGAGATTTAGAATCCTGTCGGAATCTGTGGATGAATGAAAGATATTAAGCATTATAGAAGGATTTGCTAAAGAAATAAAACTAATAATAGCTGAAAGCACACTTTCTAGGTAGTGGTTCACCCAAGCTTACAAAATCATCCCGTAAAGGACATAATCCATGTGATAGAGATAAGAAGCTCTGTAATTGCATGGCAGACCAAGTCTCTGACCTACCTGGGTTCCCCATCAGTGAGACTTGGGTCCTTTTTTTTTTTTTTTTACCACCGTCTAGGCACCTGTTTTTACATCTAGTATAAACCTGAGATTGTAGATTTTTCAGGGAAATATTATTCCAGAAAAACAAAACAGATCTTAGTAAACTGTTCTGGGAAAGAGAGTGACAGTGTGATACACAGGGAATGGAGGGTGGCCTCATTTATTTATTTATTACTTATTAAGCACCTACTATGTGCTAGGCTTTCTAGGCAACCTGGTGACTTCAGCTCCATAATACCTGAAAGTCCTAATGGAAAGTTGGGGACATAAAACACAGTGAGAATGGGGGCTTCACAAATGGAGAGGAAAGTGGAAAGGTGGGCACACCAAACCCCCTGCATTTTAGTCAAGCTGTGTGTGGCCAATGAGGTCTCAAAATAGAGAGATATCAGGAAAAAATGAGGTAGAGACTGAGAAGCAGGGAGACAAAGAGTAAGAGAGTCAGAGAGAGGGAGGCGGAGAGACATTACTAAGAATGAGACAGAAGGAGAAAACAAGGATTTCGTTAGCAATGCATTCAGTAGTATAAGAGATAAAAAGGAATATCCAATTAACACACCATATAATTGCTTGAAGACATTCTTTTTTATTTAAAGATGAAATAGCTAAGAGTTCTAATCAAAACTAGGGTCACAGCCTACATATTAAATGAAAGAAATTGATTGGGTTTTTATTATGCCCTGACTACTGCCAATGCGCCTGGATCACAGATTGCCATAAATTTATACTTATAAACTACTAATTGCCCAAGTCATAATGGTAACAATGGGATAATGAAATCATTCTGATCAAGCTGAAGCCAAATTCTGCTTGACAACATGGGGGCTTTGCAAGGGAGGACAGACAAGAAGAAATTGGATACAAACCCCAGATGCTCTATTCCAATAAATACCAGCAGGAAACATACAAAGACCTGCAAAGGTTCTAAATTCTGTTCCAGGGGGCTTCCTTTCTAACAAATCACTTAAGAAGGGGGGCGGTTACATTTGTAATACAAGCACTTGTATCCTTTATTTGTCTTGAAAAACTAATGACTGACTTAATCACATTTGATTAAAGGAGATGTGTTGATGTAGTCATGTGTTTCTGATTGCATTAGGCTTGATTGAAAGTGGCAGGGAGAGTATGTAATAGCCTAACTGCCCCCTATATCTTGTCACTGGGGCTCGGCAGGCATGACGTGGGAGAATCCTGAGGGAATCGTTGTGGTGAACAATGTCATCTTTCAACTTGGGGGAGGGGGCCCGGAGAAGTAATCTCCAACAGAAAATCAGGGCTCCCATATCAGAGCTGATGAAGGATTCAGAACTGATCCTCACACACTTCCATGTTTAGAGGACTGAAAAAAATAAAAATAAAAGGAAGAATGAGCCTGCCCACATAACAATATTCTCTTTCTAGAAACATTCAGATATTAAATGACAAGCCGGGAGGGTTTTTAAACTTCTTTTTTATAAATAATATGCACAAGAAGACAAGCACTTAGCTTTAGGAATTAACAGGCCAACCCAATTTTTAAAATGAATTTGTCGAAAACCTGCGTTTTTATGAGAGATATTTACATTGGTGGAAAAAAAATTGATTCCTAAGTCTTGTCCTGGCCATACATAAATTCAGATTGTGGGTTGTAATTCAGGACATGGAAACACCAGCTCAGCCTTACCTGGACATTGAGCATGACAGGACTGGGCTCTGACAGCAATTCTTCATCATTCTTCATCATGTCTCACCATGTTGACTGACAGGGCTTTTACTCTTACCACCACATTTTCCCCACCAAGCTATGCTCTCTAAATACTGCTCCAGCATAGTGTAGAGGTTCCAAGCTCTAGCATGCATCAGAATCACTGGAGGGCTTATTAAAATTAGATTTCTGGGTCCCAACTCCTTGAGTCTTGGATTCAGTAAGTCTGGGCTGGGGCCTGATAATTGGCATTTTTAACAAGTCTCTGATGCTGGTATTTCAGAGACTAAGTTTTGAGGACTGTGTGCAAGAGAAATGTTTCTAATTTGTTAATTGGATCATATTTTACATATGCTCAAAATTCTTCAGTGTTTCCCAATTGTTTACCAAGTGAACTCTAAATGTCTTATTCTTTCCTTTCGAGTCATTTTTAGAAGGAGGTGGCATTTGAGGACAGAAGGACAGACAGACATGCCAGATATATAAGCAACCCCCTAAGCCTGCTATTCTAAAGTTCTGTATCACCTAGCCCCAAATGACTTTTCAAATTAAAGAGTGTTTATGTATTATAAAATAAATAAATAAGATATCCCAGAAAAATTGGAAAGTACAGGAAAATACAAAGAAAACATGCATCTGTTTCCTGGCAAGCAAAGAAGTCTGTAAAGATAGATACCCACTCTTTATTAGTGAGTACAACTTGGTGGTGATATTCTGCATGATTTTCACTATTCTTTGAGCTTTTCTATATTGCTCAATTTTTTATGAAAACAATACAGCTATTTTCCATGAAAAAAATTAAGAAATCATCTCCAATCCTCTTATCCCGACACTTACTTTTAAAATCCTAAACTTTGTGCTTTATCCTCATGTAGCCAATTTTTCAAAGTGAACTATACTTAACTCCCCAAGTTCAGCTTGAGCTCCTCTTCCCTGCCCGTCTGCTCCATCCTCCTGGTGTGAGTGTTAATATCAATAATGAATCAATGCGAAGTCTGTCATCCCTTGAGGAGGCCACACCAACCTTCTGTACTTATTTACTGAGATGGTTTGGGAAGTGTTCTGAGTTAGAAGAAGACCTCTACTTCCAGCCCCAACTCTTTCATGAGCCTGTTGTGACACCTGAGGGCCTGGCCACATCTCACAGAAAACATGGGCTTGCTACACTTCTTTTCAGCTCAGTCATGCTCCAGCTGTGTGACCAGTTAAGTTTTCTGAACCTCAGACCCTTGGTCTATAGAACAGTCACATAAATACTTAATGGCAGGGCTGATTGTGGGTTAAATCACATGGGAATGTGCCTGTCCCATAAGAGGAATTCATTCAACATCATTCCCCTGTCCCACCCCACTTTCTCATCCCTATAATAGAGATATTCCTCATCAGTGCTACCTACCTCACCTTCTGATCGGGTTGCATGAGGTTTAGATGTGCCTTAATACTTTAAAACAAAAAAAAAAAAAAAAGGAAAAAAATATCTTTTGGAAATTTGACTATTACACGTGGATTTTTGTAATAATAGACAGAGTCTACGGAGATGAGGATTCTGGATTCATATTCTGACCCAAATTCCGTTTCTCTATGCCCACTCCCTGATCAGTCTACTCCCTTAGAAAATTGTTGAGTGGCAGGCGTGGGGCGGTGGCTCACGCCTGTAATCCCAGCACTGTGGGAGGCCGAGGCGGGCAGATCACGAGGTCAGGAGATCGAGACCATCCTGACTAACATGGTGAAACCCCATCTCTACTAAAAATACAAAAAAAAAAAAAAAATTAGCCGGGCGTGGTGGCGGGCACCTGTAGTCCCAGCTACTTGGGAGGCTGAGGCAGGAGAATGGCGTGAACCCAGGAGGTGGAGCTTGCCATGAGCTGAGACTGTGCCACTGCACTCCAGCCTGGGCAACAGAGTGAGACTCCATCTCAAAAAAAAAAAAAATCGTTGGGTGGCTTAAATGAGCTGTGTCCTCTTGGAAACCCTTAGCCCTTCACCCCTTCCATACACTCACCCATCTATACCATAGGAGGGTGGGTCTGATTATTTTTTTCAACGCCCCCCACTTTTTTTTTTTTTTAGCAGAGTCTTAGTTCTAACCTTCTTTGATTCTATGAGCTTATGAAATTAATAGATGAATTAATAGAAAAAAGTAGGCAATATGATAATTGGAAGAAGAAAAGATAGGTGGTCAGCAAGAAAAATGAGCGAGAGTAAAAAAGGTGAAGGAAGCAATGGAAAAATGGAGCAATGAACAAACAAAAAATGGAGCCTTGCACATTAGCAAAAGGAAGAGGCACCAGACCGCCTATCCACAGAGAAGATAGACATATATGTTTTCCATACAGCTATTTTTCACCCTCACATACAATGAAGGCAGAGCCATAGTTAGAATTTTTAGTAGCTTGAAGCTAATTTAAACTTCATCGTTCTGTTTGACTAGCATTAAAATATCATATAGATTTTTCTCCAGCGGGTTTGTACATCACCACATAATTGGCACCCTCGATACCTGCTATTACTCTCTCTTCCACAATAGAGGTGGTCAGAAAGTTCAGAGGAAAAAAATCCCCCTTCTGCATCTACTTGATTTCACAACACAGAATGAATGTGAGACATGGATCTGGTTTTAAATAAATTATTAGCACCATATAATTTCTTGTCATATAATCGAGAGTACATTTCATGTGGAAAAAAAGTGAGAAAATAATTTGCAAATAGGTTTCAGCATGAAAACATGCAAGGAGAATACCTAAAACAGAACTTTTGGTGATGAAAAATGTTTTATAAAATATATGTTTGCTTCCTTTTGTGGTTTCTGCTTCTTTCCCCCTTTTTCAAAAACAGAAAAAAAATCATTTATGTTGCAGATAACTACTCTTGTTATGGTTTTCTCTCCTTGCATTCGGGGAACTCCACCACGTATTCATTTCAGTTTCATTTTGCTGTTTAAGAATTGGAGATCCTCAAAGTTACAAGGAAAGTCTGGCTTTGTCTGGGCTAATGTCCTGTCCAAAGCCGATCCCTTCTACAGCTTCCCAGGCATTTTGTCATTCTGCCTCTGGTTGTATAGTTTCAGGGACAGGCCACCTGAACATTTATCAGGAAATCATCAGTCTCAGTTTGGGGTCTGTGGGATGGACTTAAATCCTAGATCTACTGTTTACCTGTTGTGAGACCATGGGCAAGTCATTTGACCTTTTAGGGCATTGGGTGCTTTCTGTGAAGTGGAGGTATTCTTAAACCATAGAGGAGATTTCAAAAAGAACGTGGCTATAGGAATCCTAGCACAGTGCCTGGTATGCAGTGGTGCTCAATAAAAGTGTAATCTATTCTGCATGATGGCATCTATTCTCTGCTTGACAGATTCCTAGTTCTGTCTGAGAATGAGCTGAAATCTGTCTCCAGGTGACTTCTGCTCCCAGGTGACTTCTGCTCCCAGGTGACTTCTACCTATGGGTTGTTGCTCTGACCTTGGACCTACATAGAATAAGCTACCCCTGAGCTTCCTCCAGGTAATGGAAATTCTCAAACATCATGTCTCTTTGGCTCTTCTCATCCCCTCACTCAGTAGCCCCAGTGATAACTGAATGAGCACACCGGATAACACAGATTGTGTTAGGGATCACCAAAAATCAGCCAGAATGCCATATCCTAAAGTTCATCTGTCTATGTAAAATGGAAATGGATTGGTGGAGAGGTGTGTACAGGCGTATTCTATAGACATATCTGGTTTCAGAGGCCCAGCTGAGGGGTCTGATAGAAATTTCTAGTTGCAAAAGTATCAGGCTCTTTATCCTAACACAGTTCTCTCATCTGTAGCAGATTCATCCTCCAAGCATTTGCTACTAATGAATTATGCATCATACCTAAAAACAAACAACTAAGATATACAGTGACTTCTTTAAATGGTTTAATAAATACAGTATTAACCAAATGTTGATAAATAAAGCACTCATTTTTGTCCTTATCTCAAGAAAGAAAGAATCATCTGGAAGAAGTAGTGATGATCAGTAGATAAGGGCAGATGACCACCTACCACTCACATGCTTCTCAGAAATTCAGGAGGACGCTCTAGCCTCCCCCATTAAAATAGGATTTCTCCTGTGTGTGTGGATTTTGTGCATGTACCTGATGATTTTACTTCACTTAGATCCTTTCTGTCTTCCCAGTCCTGTTGTGACTGCTTTCTCTCAGACCCTTATCAGGTCTTCTCCGGATGAGTAGAATAGCCGATCTCCCTGCATGTAGGCTCAGCTGCCTCTAATACACAGTCCCAGGGTTGTTTCTAAATACCAAATCCAAGTGTAATGCACTTCTATTTAAAGTCGTTAGGTGGGTCCTGATGGCTTCACAAATAAAATGCAATTTCACAGTCTTGCACACAAAACTCTTCAAGATCTGATTCCAGCTGACACACTTCTTCCATATAACTTATTTTTCATTGTGTGCACCATGCTTCTTCCTGTCTCTGCTTTGTGCCTGCCGTTTACTGTGGGTGAAAAGCCAATCCCTCCCCTTCTCCATTTGGAAAATATCTTTTTTTAAATTATTTTATTCCCCCCCCATCAGATAGAAAAAGATTCAGTGCACTTTAATTATGGTAGTGTAACAATTCCAGAGAGTGTCATCACTTGACTGGAACATTCTTCACCTCTCCGTTCAAATGTCACTTCCTCTGGGAACTCTCCATGACTTCTGCAGGTGGCATTAAAAGCTCCCTTTTCTAACCCCCGTAGTGTTCAGCATAGACTTCTGTGTTAGAACTCAACACACCTGTAGCATGTGGTGACTTTTTTTCTATTTGACTTTGAGCTCTCCAAGGGCAAAGTCTGTGTTTTGCTCATATTTGTTCCCATCCTGCTGTCATCTTGCCAGTTTTATTTTTGACTACTAGAGATCAGAAGATTTACTTAATAGATTGGGAAATTGAGACCAAGCAGCCAAATGAAGATTTTACTTATAGATAATCTGTCCTAGTAGACACTGTATTTGATGCTTTAGGTTCACATCCTCGTTTAATTTCCCCAAGCCTCTGTGGTAGGTATCTTACGCAGAACCACTTTACCTAATAAGCCAGGGGCTGGGTGGTGACAAGGGGACCTGCTAAATGTCACAGAGTGAGTCGGTGGAAAATCTTGTTCTTCAACCCTGGAGTCCTGAATCTCCTGCCCTGGGTAGCCCATGGGTTCCTTCCTTCTTTCTGCTTCCAGATTCTCCTTTCTTTCCATTCTGTCTTCCTTCTAGATTTTCCATCAACTGCCTTCCTCTCTGTCGTTCTCATTTTTGCTCTCTCCTTTCTTTTTTCTTTCCCAGTCTTTCTCTCCACTCAATTTTTCCCTTTCCTTTGCCTCCCTCCCATCTCTTGTCCCAACTTCTGTTTCTCCTTCTCCTTCTTTTCCCTTTAATTCTGTTTTACTCTTTCCAGCCCAGAAATATTTCCCTAGGAAAGTGAACTTTATTGGCTATCACATCTTTCTTCTTCTGTGCTCAGTTTCCTCCCACCCCCATTTCTTTGGCCCTGGAGCCTCTGGTTACCATGCTCCTCAACCTGACACCCATTCCCTATGCACATGACCCTCTGCAGGTCTGGACACGTGAGCAGCCATCTCATCAGAGTGGAGAATGAAACTTGACACACAGAGTGAGTGCCTATCACTATCTAAGCTTCCAGGTAAAATATGCAGCAAAAACCTTGGTCCAGATAATCACCACGTTCTGAAGATGAAAAATAACAGCTGTCTTTGGTACTCATTTGCTTGTAAAAACTTTTCTCTAAGAAAATCTTGTGAAGTCCTATACGTTTGAAATGTACTTGTTCCATGATCTTTGAAATAAATGCTTAAGAACCATGAAATTACTTTGGGTGAGGGTGGGGGGATGTGTTGATTATTTGATTGCAAACAATTTTGTTCATTTAACTATTCATTAACATAAAAAGATGAAAAATTCTTGGAACATATTTTGCATAGATTTAGAACTTAAAGAATTTAATCAAAAGTAAATATAACCTTGAGAAATTAAGCAATTAAATATTAGGGAACTAAATGCTAGACTAGTATGATTAATACTGTGGGTATTTTTTTTTCTTTTTCTTGTGGGGGAAGTCCTTGGTTATTAGAAACTTGTAAGATTACTAAGGACATAACCTCAAGGGACTCACTTCTCAATATCCAAAAGGAGGAACAGAAAGAAAAGACCTCGTCTTAAAAGGTCTGGCTTAGAGATGCTTATAGATATAGGTTTGAAAAAGCAATCCCCTATAGAAGTAGGGAGGTGAGAGAAAACTCAGCAGCCTTAAATAAGCAAAGGAAACTTTAGTAACTCTAGGAAAAGTAGAAGTGATTTTAGCTCAATATCTCATAGCTCTGTTCCATAGGGCTGCGAGCTCCTTAAGAGCTAGCCTGTGTCTAATTCATCTTTGCTACTCCAAAGCCTAACATAGCACCTTGGCATAGTAGACATCCAATAAATATTTGTTGAGTGAATGTTACCTAATGTTTCTTGAGTGCTTATTATATGTCAGGCTAAGTCTAAGTGCTTTACGTGTATTAACTTTAAATTTCATGACAACCCTAAGGGGTAGATACTTTTAACATTGCCATTTTAAGAGGAGAAAACTGAGACACAGGTAATTTAAGTAATTTGTTCAAGGTTTCACAAGTAGCATGTGGCTCAGCTAGGATTTGAACATATAGGGTCTGATTTAATGCTTATACTCTTGAAGACTCCTTGGGACTCTAATATAGGGAGTTCGTGAACCATGAACTCTCTTGGTTCCATGCCAGCGAAAGTGGAAGTAGGGTTCCAGTAATAATACTTGGGCAGGAGGGAGGGTCCTTTAGAGATAAAACCTTATTTTGTGCCAGAAAAACACCCAATCTAATCTTATTTAACATTGTCACTAACTCTATGTGGTAGGCAATATTATTCCCATTTGGAAAATTGAGATTCATCAAAACGAAGAATGTGTTCAAAGTCACAGAGCTAATAAATAGCAGAGTCGATGTTCTTTTCACCATGGAATTGTACTTGTTCCACGATCTTTGAAATAAATGCTAGAGAACCATAAAATTGTGAGGTTCACTGACCTCACGCCAAGGTTCTATTGTCACTTAAAAACTCTAGTTCCTGGATTTTTCTTGCTCAGGAAATGTGGCCCAACCTCTCCATATCTCTTGGTTTGAAGAGCATCTCAGCTGCTACTGTCTTCATCTGAACCCTGCTTGAGACAGATCAGTGGGGTAGGGGAAGTGAAACAAAGGAAAAAGGGACATTGGTTTAATGAAGAGAATGAGTTTGTTTACGAGAAATGTGTGGACATTGAGCCAAATGCTTAAAGAAACAGGAAGGTTGTTCTAAGAGAGGAGGATGGGGTGGATGCCTTCTGGGCTGAGCCACCATCCTGTCCCAGAGGTCCAAAGATCAGGACCCCAGTCTGTGTTGTAATAACAGAAGAGTTCAGCTTCCCCAAGAGAAGGTCCCGAGGAATCCTGAACTCCATTCTTTTCAAGTGTGTGTTGCTTTCTGGGTTCTGCTTTTAAGTCTACATCTGGGGAAGGCCTTTGTGAGTCTGATCAGCTGAGCCCAGTCACATGACCAAGTCCTAGCTCAAGGGACACCATGATTGTGGCCCAGCCAGTCACTCTCTCAATCTTGGACTTTTGAATTTTGAGTGAGGAACACAAAGAAGTAGGGGTGGTAGAGATTTTGCTGAGCCTGCTTCTTCAGAGTGCCAGCAATTTTATGAGCTCCTCAATACTCTTAGAAAGATCCCTGATTAGTGCCAGGGCCCCAGAGAAGTCACTCTCTTCTCTTGCCCAGTTGCAAATTAGTAGGCTAATTTTTGTCCTCCCAGGAAGAGGAAGGAAGCCAAGGAATCTGAAGCCATGTTCAGCTTTTGTCCAGATTCCTGTCAGGAGCCATGTAGAATGCCTTTAAATACCAAGGTGAGAAGTGGACCTGGAAGAGCTAATACCTTTAAGCAAGGAAACAGCAGTGTCAGCTGAAGGCTGCCATGATATTCTAGGACTATGATTCCCAAAACTGAGCTGACCCATCTGTGGGCTCCATCTGGAGTCACAGGCCTTCTCTCTTGGAACTCACGCATATGCCTATATTCACTCTGATGCTCAACTACTGTCCCAGTTTTAGGAAATTGCCTATACTGGTGTCTAAGTCTCCAGCCCTTCACTCAATCTGCCTAATGGACCTTCAGGGGAATCTGACCTTCCATGCATATCCATTTCCAGCTCACAAACAGTTTTGTAAAAATGGACTAAGCTCAACCACAGGGGAAGAAGGACCATAAACCTTCAAAGCCAAAAGGAAGAGACTTGGGTGAAAACCTGCCTGTGTGACGTCATCTCTCTGAACTTCAATTTCCTTGTCTGTAAAATGGGAAAAGAAATGGGACCTACCATAGGGTTGTCCTGAGGTATGAATGAGACAATGCACATTTAAAATCCTTGTATGTTCAATAAATTATCTCGTTGACTTGAATTTATATCCATCTTTTTTCTAGCCATCATAACACCAGAGAAATATTCTATTCCTGAATTTCTCCCATAACTGCCATACTTCACAATGATTTCACACCTATTATGTAATTGGCTTTTAAACAATTCCTTTGAAGAAAGCAATAAAGAAATCATGATGTTTGCCACTTTCTGATGTCTGCCTCTTTCAGTCCTTTAAAATGCAAACAATCTGCTCATGGGAGGGACCTGTTATTTGCTTAGACACATTCACCTTCATTGATTCCTGCAGGTTACCCATACCTCTTTGGCTTAAAATTTTGTTTCCATTTTTCAGACTGACACCGTTTGATGTGACCAATATTTTAAATATCTATTTGGGTCATACCTTGATTCTACCCAGTTAATCCCATGGATTGTGAAGTGTCTTTATTCAGACCATCAGAACCCCACTCCTGCAGGCTGCTCATTTGCTCACTGGCTCCATTCACAGAAATCATGAGTAAGAGGCACGTCCCCTGTGGCAGCCCAATTTCCAGCCTGGTTTGATGTTTCACCACTGGTAACCCCGATTCTAGAAGGAACTCTTTCAGTTTAGATGGCTTTCCAAGGAGTTAATGTCACTTGCTTGTATTCATTTATAATTTTTAATTCTTTTTAACTCAGTGTGTACTGAATTTGTGTATTGCTGTGGTGCCCACACATGATCCTTCTTTCCTTCTCAGAAAATAAACACGTGGGCTCTGATGGCCTGCGGGCTCTCAGCACTTTCAGTGAAATCAGAAACCCTATGTAGCAGATAGGGCCTCTTTTCATTATAGGACCTAGATCCCTAGTGGGTAGTATCTGGTATTAACAATGGCTCTAGGCTCATCTGGGTCATTGTTTAAGCTTTGCCATAGTCTAAGCTTTGTCTCTAACTCCATGAAAATTGGTTACATTATTTCACCTCTATAGATTTCAGTGTTTTCATCTGTGGTGCTAGAATAATTATATCTGCCTTGATTAACTCCCAGGATAGTTATGAAGATCCAAAGATATGTGAATATATTTCAAAAAATTATAAAGTAACATACAAATGCATGATGTTCATATTATTAAATTTAATGCTAATCAAAGTAATTGGCTTTGAAACTGAAATGATACAGAGAAATGAAGCATTTTAAGTATTGGTCAGATGTTAACATTAACCAGCTAATCCCTAAAGTTCTGAGTTTGTGAAAATACTTTGGAAATAATGGCTACGACTGGGCCAAATTTCAGATTTTAGTAGAAACATCTAAGTAGATATTTAAGAAATATGAAATCAGGATTTGCCTCTCTTGTGCCTTCTTTATTAGCCAAGTAAATATAAAGGCACATATATGTGCTCACGTATATTCTCTCTGTGTGTGTCACAAACACATGCACACACACACACACACACACACGGAATGTTATCCAGTTAAGAAATAACAGAACTTTTTTTTCCAGCTGAGTTAGAAAGGAATTTATCAAGCTCCTAACATGTGCCAGTGTTGGGCTGATTACATGAGATATGTCAGCTATTTGGTTTCTACAACACAACCATAAGGTAGGCATTATTATTCGCATTTTACAAGAGAAGAAAAGTAGACTTGGAAATATATGACTTGCTTCTAGTCACACTGTTAGTAGCTGGTAGGATTAAGATTAAGATCATGACTATGTTTCCAAAATCTCTGGGCTTTCCACCGCCTACCCCATTGTTCCCAAATGCTTCCCCTTTTGACTGGTTTCTGACTGTCTGCTTCCCCAGGTTCAGGGAACAGGACAGAAATAAAGATTCCTAGGCTTCACTCCTGAAAATTCTACTTCAGTAGTTCTGGGCCAAGTCTTACAAATCTCTATGCTTAACAAACATCCCAGAAAATTATGAAGAGAGGTCAGTTTTAGAACACTTTTAAGGCCAATATGCCACATGAGAAAATATCAAGAATGGTGGTAACTTCTGGAAAGGGGGAGAAACTGGTGACATCTGAGAAATGAGACACACACACACACACACACACACACACACAGACACAGACACACACACACATCCTTCCTTTCCCTACTCAAAAATGTAAGCTTCACTTACATCTCAATCCAATCCAAGGGAAGGGATGTTTTTTTACTTATGCACTCAAAGTGCCTAGAACAGCCTCTGGCATATGCCAGAGTGTTATAAATATTTGCTAAGTGGATGAATGAAATTCATTAGCTTCCTTGGCAAAAACATAAATATGCAAATAGACTGGAAAAATAGGCATAAGTCTCTGGTCCTATGTTTGCTTATTTCTGTGTGATATTTTGTAAATGGTTAATGCCTGGTGAAGATGTTTCAATCCAACAATGTGCTGGTCCTTTTCACAACTCTGTAATCTTTCTCCTGAAATTGTTCATGAAAGTTGGAGAAAAACATACTAGCAGTTCCGTTCAAAATTGGGCTCCTCCGTCCCTTTGGTTCATTTCCTCCCAAATTCATGAATTCAAGAAAAGCTTGTCAACTCTCTGAACGAGACGACTGTGGCAAAACAAATTTATGAATCCAATCAGAAGTGAACAGAAGTGATTCTGCTGGTTTGATGAATGTGCCTCAACAAATCCCTGCCTCCCTCTGAAGCTAGGGGGTTGGAGGAAGTTTGGAAAGAGGATATGAGAAATCCATTTGTGACGCGCTATGGATCCCGAGTGAACAGGCCCAGAGGTAGGGAAGGCAGTAGTCTGCATCCATTAGCATCGCCAACATCTGTCCTCCTTCTAGCCACCTCCACCGAGGCCCACTGACCACAGTCTGTCACTAGATCTTGTGCTCAGATGTTCCGCTCGAGCAGAGCATTCATAGCACTAATGCCACAGTGAGCCCAAGCATTAGAGGGGAAAATATAACTGGGGCAGGGGTGGCATACAAGTCAAGGCTAGCAAACTTCTCCAGTGATGGCTACCAGGTTGTTAAAGGAATTCTAGAGGATCAAATTCTGTACTGTTAACAACATTATACCCACCCCCAACATCATTAGGATCAGAAGTTGTGCTGACACGTGCTTGAGTTTATTTTACCCCAACTAAAGCAGGCACGTTTTCTCATGCCTAGCCTGTGCCATTCAGTCACAACCAGCTTCTCAGAAATCATAATCACAGCTAACGTGTTGGGGACTTGTTGCGTACCACGTTTCGTGCTAAGCACTTTCAGGCATAACATCCTTGAATTCTCATGATTAGATAGGAATCTGAACACCCATATTGCACAAATTGAGATGCTGACGTTCAAAGTTAAATAACTTATCCAAGACTACACAGTGGGTAAGAGGTAGAAATGGGGTTCTGCCTTGTCCAGAGCCTGAGTTCCTATTCACCATGAATTATCAGTCTTTGAACCTATACCACTGGGGGAACATTCCACCCCATCCCCAGTCTATCAGATTTCACCTTTCAGCTCCTCTTCCAAATATCCTGTCTCCCTTATCTCAACTTGGGCACTCACTTGGCTTTTACTAGTTAATTTTGGAGTCTTTGCTCTTCAATTCTGCCTCAAGCCTAGCAATTAGGACTTCACCTACACATATTGTCTACCCCAGCAGTCATAAGTCTTCTTGAGCTCCTTCTGGCCACATTGCACAAGAGTTACAGTTTCTCCTGCAACTCCTGGTATTTCTGCATAATAGAAAAGCAAACAAGAGGCAGAGAACCTTTTGATATTGGTGAACAGCACCCAAGAGGGAGTCACAGCATCATTAGGAGTGAGGTAACAGGGAATCTGAGGTGTGTGTGGCTCATGTGAAGGTTCCAAGAAACACAGAGCTTAACTCCTGACTCATTTGCTGTGTGACATGGGCAAGTTACTTAACTTCTTTGGTCTTCTTATTCTACATTTGCAAAATAAGGAAAATTGTTCCTATAAGACAGAGCACAATTTGTTATGAAGGTGAGGCCCATGGGACCCATGGCCCATTGCCTGGTGCTTAGATGATTTTATAATGTTGGTTTCTATAACCCATGCTGTGAAAGGGATGGTTTCTGGAGAGTTCCTCACTGAGGAGTAATTTCAGTGAACACGACATTGGGTCTTCTCTGTTAGACTAATCTTGTTGCCCCAGAACTTAACCCCCAAAATAACCCCCGACCACCCTTCGCCTGAGCCTCAAGTGTGCCAAGAGCATGGAACTGTCTGATCTTTGGCGAAATCCACACTTGGGAGACATTCTGGAGAATAGAATGGAGCCCTTTTCTGTGAGTAATCAATAACCACCATCCTGAGGCCCCAAGAAGAAAGTCCCTTTCTATAGGTTCCGTTCACACTACAGCTCCCAGGTTAGGACCTCCTGGGTGTCTGCTGGCCCTTACCCAGGCGAGGAATCTGCACCGACTAGGGGCTCCTGGATTCATGGTTCAGAATAGGTAGAAGGCTCAGAACAGGGAAACTGGGGAAGTTTCCTAGCCATAAGAGCTCTCAGCCAGATCCAAGGTGAAGAGGGACAGGTGGGAGTAGGGAACCATCATTGGCTGGGTCTTGCTCTGTGTCTGGTTCTCCTCTCCTCACTGCCTACATTACTCCAAAAAACTCTAACAGGGCTGTATGCTGGGTATTATCTCCCCACTTTTATGGAGGTAGAAACTCGTAGACTTTAAGTGACTTGCTCAAGGTCACACAGGTTTTGAATCTAGGTCTATCAGACAGCAAGGCTCATGGATTTTTCTTTATTACGCTGCTCCACGTGGGAAGGGATGGCAGGAAATGAAAGGAACTGAGAAGAAAGGGGCACTGAAGAATTCTGAGTCCAGGGCAGAGGGCCTGCAGCAATGTGAGATCTCAGGCTCTGAATGTCAGACTCTAGTCTTAGACATCTCCTTGCATTTGCCCCTGAGTCTTTCTTTTCAGAAGACAATTGTCAAGTGAGGCTTGGACACCTGGTCCCTCCTGCTTGCAATCAGGAAGGTCATCTCATAATTAACTTTGTGACACAATTCATTGGAATGAGAAGGGTATTCTTCAGTTGTTTTGTGGTGCAGAACAAATGCCTCATGAATCAGCAACACATCAACCTGAGCCCAAGAACTAATAAAGAGAGAGAGAGTAATGAGTTGGCATCACTGAGGACAAAACTGCAGCCACAAGCTCATCCTTCAAAGGGGCCCACAGTGCTTAGACTTGAAAGATGGACAGTCGCAGGAGGGATGAGTGGCAAGGCTGGGCAAGATACGGGGGGTGAGAGATGCAAAGAGGAAGAGAAGGAGGAGAAGGAGAGGGCTCCTGCAGGTCTTCTCACAAGATTTTGGGGAGGAATCAAAGGTACAGAAGTTTGAGGGTCACGATACTATCACTAACAAATGGAGCAGGGACCAGACCGGCTTGGTGTATGGAGCACCCGTCAGAAGTGAAATGGCTAAATCATGGAGCCATACAGTCATGGGCTCTTGGTTCTCAGCATAGCATCCATGGGCCCATTCAGAGAAGAATGCAGACATAGAGATGAGACCTCTAGCTCATGTTCTGATTTTGAATCACACAAACTATGACTTTATTTTTCCTTTGCTCACTCATTAATTCACTCCTTTCTTCACCTATTCAATCAATAGTCATTGTTGAGTGTTGACTTTGGGCTGGATAAATATGGCAACCCTGGTTATGTCACACTGATCAAAAGTTCTGATTGACTGCTATGCATTGTAGACCTTTCATGTGTTGAGTCACAATGATATAATCCTAATATCCAAATTTTAAAACGCAGTTTTAGTTACCTTTGATTTCTAAAACTAAAATATAAATTATTACACAACAGATGCATTTTATTTGCAAACAAAAATTTTAAAACATGAGATTCAGTGAGGGCTAAAAAAGTCAGAATCATCTGAATTAGGATTAATCTCTTATTTTAGACATGAAGGGACTGAAGCCTTCAGAGAAAAAGGTTTTGCCCAAAGTCAACACAACTAACCTGAAACAAAAAGGAAATGGAAACCCAGAGAGTCCTGACTCCCAGCTCCATGCACTTCCCACTACATTCATATCATGGAAGGAACAATAGTTGATCTTCATGCTCATGATGAGGCTGGCCTAGCTTTTAGGACACAGGCCAGCTTTCCTAAGCAGAGTATGACCAAGTACTTGTAAAGGTTCCCATATGCCTGCTGTGCAAGAAGCTGTCCTGAGCTTTCACATTCCTAAGTCTCCTCAGCCTTCCTCGTCTTCACCCTAGACCACAGCCTAGCTTGCATCAGCCTAGCTTGCATCAACATGAAGCCACCCTTCCCTCCAACTCAGAACTCAGTCTCCAGCTTGATGTGGGGGGCCTTTGGAATAATAAGGGACTCAGTAAAGGGCTTGGAGACTTTGACACAAAGGGCTGACAAGGAGACCTCACAGGAACGTACAGTGAAGTAACTTAGTTAGCAGATGGGAACCTTTGATTAAGAGAAGACATCTGAGGATAGGTTTGTTTTTTCAGTGACTGTGGGAGGGTTGAGATGAACCCTGACTTTGTACTTAGCCTTATATTACCAACAAGTCTTTACTTTTATTTTGAGAGACAAGACTTATCACAAGAATAACCCAGGGAGGGCACCAACTCTAGTCAGTACTTTGCAATACTTATTTATGTGCATTCCTTGACTCTTAAAAAATTGTATATATTTAAGGTATACAACATGCTGTTTTGATATACATACATGTAGTGAAATGATAACTACAGTTATATGAACCTACAGTCAGGCAGCCATTGCCTCTTAAGCATCCTTTCCTTCTTAGAGTCTTTTCTTTCTACTCCCTCAGTATTATTAAAATAATGGGAATGTGCGCTCCAGATGCTTTTCAACCCCTACTCTTCTCCCATTCTCTTCCATTCTTCCCCATCTCCAATTAAAATACTTCAAGGTCTCTCCTTCTCTCTCAATGTATATCTTAAAAGTGGCTTGTTTCTTTCATGCTCTTTTTTCCTGCCCATCTTGCTCTCTTTTTTTTTATTTATTTATTTATTTATTTATTTATTTATTTATTTATTGCAATGGAGTCTCGCTCTGTCACCCAGGCTGGAGTTCAGTGGTGCAGTCTCAGCTCACTGCAACCTCTGCCTCCCAGGTTCAAGCGATTCTCCTGCCTCAGCCTCCCAAGTAGCTGGGATTACAGGTGTGTGCCACCATGCTTGGCTAATTTTTGCATTTTTAGTAGAGATGGAGTTTCACCATGTTGGCCAGGCTGGTCTTGAACTCCTGACCTCCAGTGATCCACCCACCTTGGCCTCCCAAAGTGCTGGGATTACAGGCAAGAGCCATCGCTCCCAGCCTCCTGCCTATCTCTTGGTCTCAATTTTTCCCACTCTCTCCTTGAATCTATATCCAGTCCTATGAACACATTTTGTTATTTCCTGCACCCGGGCTTTTATATGACACAGGCTTATAGATGAGGAAAGCAAGGTTCAGAGAGATGAGTCATTTACCCAAGACCACAGGACTTTTAACAGGAAGCCAGAACTCTACTTTGGGCTGACTTTCTATAACTGATTTCTCCCTATGGAGTCTTGTAAGATCAGGTAGGATTCAATGTAGAGCGATTTCAATAGCCAGGCTTTCATCCAATGTGGTAGTGCCCTCTCAAGTTGCTTGTGATTACAATTCTTTGCCCTGCCAGCAGGTGAATGGAAATTAACACTTGCTCTAGACCACACAGATAAAGGGAAGGTGAGACTCATTGGTGCTCCCTGATGGTGAGTTTTATCTAACTTTCTCTGTCTTCCCTGGCTGGGGCAAAGGGTTTCCTTGTGTTTCACTCAAGTGCAAGAATTAATACCCATCTCATCCTCATCTTCTTCCCTCTCCCCTCCTCTATATTCTCCTTTTTTACCTCCTGCTTCTCTCTTTCCATATTCTTCTCCTCATCTGCCACCTTTTATCTTTCTCCTTTTTTCTTATCTTTTTCTTTATTTCCTTTTTTTCTTTTCTCACAATCCAAAGCAAGACAGCGTTTTTGATCCTGACTCTCACTGCTCCTTGGCAACTCACATGTTATAGCAGGAATTCAATAGCCCCTCTTTTCTCCTGTGCCTCTCATTCCAGTCTTCTACAAATTACTTGGTCTCATCCTACTATGCTATGCAATCTGGAGGTCTTGGGATCTGAAATCAGAACATGTGTTTGCACCAGGGCTTGTTACAGCCTATGGGACCTTGAGCAAGTCACTTTCCTACTCAGAGCTTTTGCTGCTCTTTTTGGAGCCCTCAGCTGCATTAGGATTTCAGTACCAGAGCAGCTAGTGACCCTGCATTAACAGGAAATTAAGGGAAGCTGGACATGTGTGTTTACAGTGTGACTTTCATGAGATACTTCATTTACCTGGCAGATAGCCAAATGCCCAGTTGTCTGAACCACAACCAGGAGGTTCCTCTCACAGGCATCTTGTTTATTTTGGCAGAACACTCTTGTGGCTTTTCTATGACCTATGTCCAGTTTATGCCAGCCTGACCATTGCTCTGCTGCTGGGAACTTATATTCCCTCTGGTGTCCTGGGGAAAATCCAGCCTGAAACAGCCCCTAGTTCTTTAGATGAAAGGTACAGATTCAATACACCACCACAATAGGAAACAAGTTCAAAGATTTTTTACTTATAGATCCCGAACAAGGAGGATGCAATGAGTCAGGAGGGCAGTCTTTTGTCCCCAGGTCATGTGAGGCAAAAAAAAGAAGAGTCAGGCAGAGAGAGACAAAAGCATGTGGCAACTAGCAGGATATATAAGGAACTAGGATATGGGTCACTTTAAGTTCATAAGCAAATGCTTGAATAGCCTGCTTAAAGGAAATGGAGGGAAAGTGGGAGCTCCATCTGCTAGGCAGGAAAAATGCATCTAAGTTCTTATCTCTGACCCCTAACTTGAGCCATTTGAAAGTGGTGTAGAACTAGAACTAGAAACTGTGTCAAGGGTGGCTGAACGCTGCTACAGGTGTGAGAATGTTAAACTTCTTTTCAAAAGGAATGCTAAGACAACATAAAATTATAATAATTCACTCCAGCTGCCTTGCTTTATAGTATGGATAACTAAGACCACCTCCCTGGACTGTGGTGAGGATTAACTTAGATAAGATGCAATTAAAGTATCACGGTTAGCTACCAAGTGTCCTCTAAACTACAAAGTCTGGAAGGTCTGCTCATTCCTATGGATTTACTATCCTCCATTGCACCACATTGCTTGGACTCTGTTCTAGGTAAAATTGCTGCCACCTGCCCTAAGGAAGCATTCTCATCACTGCATTTGTGCCTTAGCCCAGATCTGATCTGCTCATTTGTCATTTTTCATAGACCAGTTCCTACATAAACTCTTCCAGAAGCCTTCCCTGTAGCTGTCTCCCTAAACATTGGCATTCCCTCCAGAACTGGATTCTTCACTCTAGGCCTGTGGATGAAGGCTTTTCTAGTCAGTTAGGTATAAATGACAGAGAAAATATTTTTCTTTACATTCTCTGTGGTGCTATCCTACTTCTGAGCACAGGTGACACTCAGTCAATACTTGGCTTATTGATTTCCTGAAGTTCTCCAGAGTCCTAGCTTATTTTTTTCCTGGGGGTGTAGAAGACTGAAGATTTTTGAGTCATGTCGACTCCCTTCAATCTTTTTTGCAGAAATTCATGAAAGTATTTATAAGGATGAACAGAACTCATTCTAAGGCCCAACTCTACGAATCTCCTCTGGCTGTGTGATCTTAGGCATATTACTTAACTTCTCTGATCCTCAATACCTTTCTCTGTAAAATGGGGATGTTACCTTATAGGGTTATTGTGAGGATTAAATGAGAGTATGGTTATAGGTTCTTCCAAAAATTAGTCTTAATTATTTTTAGGTCCACCACCTCTAGTTTCTTTTAAATGATTCATCTGTCTTGATTTCTTTCCTCATAGTACACACTGCAGTCCTTGACCTTTGAGCGTTCTTTCCTTCATAAAGATGTCAGGTGAATATCTGAGGGCAACTGAGAAATCTGTATGTATGAATTGCTCAAGAGGTGAAAGGCAGCATTCAGAAGGCCTTTCAATCCAGTCGTTTGGAGGCAGACTTGCTGCCTTTCAATACTACGGACATTTTGACATACCCTCTCCTCTTCATTTTATCTTACCAAGTCATGGGTACAACAGATACCATTGTGGCATACTTGTTCCTACTCCACCCTTGAGCCCAGCCCATGCCACAGTGGCCTTAGCAGAATGTCCACCTTCATGCCGGGAGAGGTAGTACAGAGGCCAAAAGGAAGTTGCTGAAGAGTGTCAACTGAAGACAGTGGAAACAGAGACCAACCTGTTCTGCTAAGGGGTCCATGCACAGAAGTGCAAACCAAAAAACTGGCATATGTCAAAACTGGAGTGGCTGCTATAAGATCAAGGCATGTCAGAATATGTCACTAAAGATCGAAGCAGATGGGGGGACTGGTCCCCCAGCAGGAAGAATGGAGCAGCCCTGGGAGCTCACACTGAATTCTTTGGGCTCCAAATTCTCATTCCAGCTAGATTTTTAAAATGTATTTGCTCAATGAGAATGAAAAAAGAATTAATTCTTAATTGAACCTCTGCCATGCGATTGGCACATTCATACATGCTTTATTCCATTTAATTGTCAATTAAAAAGTTACGAAAATAGCCCCCTGTAATGTGATTCTGACCTCATCTCATGCGTGCTTCTCTGCTTGGCTCCTTCCTCACTCTACTGCACCACACTGGCCTCCACCCTGTGGAGGAGTAGCTGGGATGAAATTAAATCTAGCTGGAATGAGAATTTGGGGCCCAAACACTCTGATCTCACTCCTACCTCAAGGCCTTTGCACTTGCTCTTTCTTCTGTCTGGAATATTTTTAGCTCAAATATTCGTATAGCTTACTCTCTTTTTTCCTTCAGATCTTTGCTAATGTGTGCCATATTCTCAGAGAGGCCTACCCTAAGAATGTTGTTTGAAATTACAATTCACCACCATAGCATTCCATATCTCCACTGTTTGTTTTTTCCTCCATGGAAATTATAGGTGTATGATATACATAAATGTATTTTTTATTCTGCTTTTTATTATTTGTCACCCTGCACTAGAACCTAAGCCTCTTTGAGGAAAATCAGTGTTACATGCCTGGCACTTAGAACAACACTTGGCATATAGCAAACAAAAGTGCATTCAAAGAATGGATGAATGAATGAATGAATGGGGATTATTTTTGTCATTTCATCAATGAGGAAACTGAGGCTCAGAAAGGTGAGATCCTACAGCCTGTGGTCATCCAGCAAGTGAGTGCTGAGCTGGGATCAAAGCCTGGTCTGCTAACTTCAGAGCCACCATGGCCCTTTCCACACTCCTTGTGTGCAGGGCAACACGATGGCGGCAACAGGGCATGAAACTGCATTGGGCTGAAGAGAAGTGAGAGGGAGAATCTGAGAAGTTCCCATGAGACAAGGTTGGAGATCTAGAAAGCAGTGCTTAGAGCATTTTCCTATAAACTGTTGGGGGGCAAAGCTGAGGCAGCTTAGGCCAGAGTTAGTTTTCCTATCTGAGGCCAAGAATGGCCAGATGTGAGGTTAATGGTTATGTGATCTCTCTTTATCCTCTGTATGAATTACATAGTATTATCACCAGCGTCATGTTATAGACAGGCAATTCAATGTTAAGAGTATTTCAAATACTCTGAACTTTACTTTTTCATGACTGCACAAACCAGATCCTGTGACCTTTATCCCTTGCCCCTTCCTTTGCCTCTCTCAGCCTTTTCCCTGGTACCTGGATCCACCTGGCCACTTGGGAAAGCCAGAGTCAGGCTGCTCCCCCGCTGCCAGAGCTGACCTACAGCCAGTTCCCTACGCCTACCCTGACATGACAGTTCATGGGCTGTCAGCTTGGCTCTGGACTTGGAGCACACAGCTGGCCTCTGCCAGCCCTAGTTCCTGCCGGGCCAATCAGTGTATTTTCTCCACATGCAGGGAGGAACGGGGAATTCCCCACGACAAGAAACTGAGGTGTTTTATCCTGTAAAAAAATCACACAAGGCCCTAATTTAAATTCCTCACACCTCACAAGAGGGTGGAGGTGCTGGAATCATTCTCATTTATCTGGTTTTAGTGCAGGACAGCCAGTGACAGGAATAGTGCTTGGTCTTGAACTTGGGAGCTGGAGAGGTATGACCTGGTCCACGGTGAAAAAAACACCTTGGTCAGGGTGGTGGCAAATGGGAAGTTGTGACAATCTAGATAGGGACCGAATGGAAGTCTATTTGCTCTGACTGTGAAGAAAGTGTTTATGAAGTTAACGAGAAATATAAACAAGAACTGGAGGGGAATGCTACTGCTTCTAAGTGTGCTTGATATGCTAATTACAAATTATGCTTATCTTTTTGTATTAAAGCCGGTCCCCTTAGGAATTTATATGTTAGCTAGTTGCTATGAGTATTTGAAAGATATTAGATGGGATTTCTTTAAAAATATGTTATAGCTTAAGCAAGCATTACTATCTATTTACTCATTCATCAATTTATTTAATAAATATTTACTGAACTCTTATTTTGTGACATGAACTAGGCAAGGTGCCTAAGGGAAAATAGCGAATGGAATGGAGGAGGACTCTGCCCTCAGGCCCTTCTTTTCTAGTCAGGGAGACCCTGTTCTTGTTGGACAGAGATGGTGTAGCTTGCTACAGTTTTAGAAGCAGAGTGAGCACATCTTAGAAAGCACATTGAAGGAAGGCCACCCTCTGTGCTCAAGAGGCAGCATACTAGGCCGCACAATAACTGACACCCTGGTCTTTTTAAGCTTTCCTTGCAGTGCCTGAGAGATCTAAGTTCCAATCTTAGCCCTACCACTTATTAGCTATGGGACCTTGATGAGTCCCATAACCTAAATGAGCCTCAGAGGATAAATCTGCAAAATAGGGATACCAGTTTGAACCTCATGGGATTTTATGTACTAAATGAGATGAAGGACTTAAAACACTTGTCCTAATAGAGAAAACAACATGTGGTGGCCAATATTATTATCAGCTTTTATCTCTAAAGTATGAGAAGTTATGTAATATTCTGAGCTTTAGCGTTATTCCCCTTAGCACATGCAGACAGGTGCATATATGGAAAAAATACATATTTGTGTGTTCAAACACACACATACCTTCACTACACACAAATACATTTGCCTATGGACCTGCAAGATAAGTACCTGCATATTCACAAACACATGCACATATCCCAGTGCACACGCACTTCTTCATGGTCACTACTCCTTTTCTAGGCTTTCTTCACTCTCACCTGCATAGGCTTCTTTTAGTCCTCCTTCAAATTCCAAATATGAAGGACATCAGGACAAGTCACTTTGCTTGTCCGGCTTCCTCAGTTCCCCCAAGGACAGGGCTGGACTTAGTGATCTTAAAGATCCTCTTTGCTTGCTTTCCCTCTCTCTTATTTGTATGATTTTATTTCTTTTTATCCCCCTTGGTTCACTATTTTTCTCCACTCTACACTCACCCTTGTCCCCTCTGAGGAAACATTCCATGGAAGATTCCTGTGATTTTGAGTTTACTCCAACCAGAAATTTTTCATTCTTACTTTTCAAGCTTTGACTCCTGCGATGCTACTAGGGTTCTTCACTCTTACCTTCCAATGAACTGTGGGATCTAACTCCACCCCAAGGATTCTGTCAGCTTATCCATTGTTCTCTCCTCAATTTGGTCACTCCTGTCAAAGTTTCCTTTCATCTACAGAACACATTTGTGCTTCTCTAGAATGTTTGTAATGGAAAATGGGAGAGCTGTTGCATTAGTCCATTTTCACACTGCTGTAAAGATATTACCCGAGACTGGGCAATTTATAAAGGAAAGAGGTTTAATTGACTCACAGTTCCACATGGCTGGGGAGGCCTCAGGAAAATTACAATCACGGCACAAAGTGAAGGGGAAGCAAGGACGGTATTCACATAGTAGTAGGAGAGAGAAGAATGAGTGAAGTAGGAAGATCCCCTTATGAAACCATCAGATGTTGTTAGAACTCATTCACTATCACGAGAACAGCATGGGGTGAACTGCCCCCATGATCCAATCACCTCCCACCAGGTCCCACCCTTGACATGTGGGGATTACAGGAATTGTAACTAGAGAGGATACTTGGGTGAAGACACAGGTGCTGTGCTCAAGAGGCAGCTGTTGCTGTCCTCAGTGGTGAAATTGGAGATGAATTCACCCTCAAACATTCATTCAGAGCCCATGCCTAGGCATGGACAGAAGCGCATGCACTTGCATTCTGGGCAGACACACATGCTCTCATATACTCTTTATTTTATCTGCTCGTTTCTTTCTGCTGCCCTTTGGCTCCATCCTTTCAAGTTTACCTACTAGAAGGCAGACCTCAGGTGGAAGGGCAAGTTGTGTTTTTCTGCTTCAGTGGTGTTGTATTTTATTCTGCTTCTCAAGAGGGCTTTATTTCCACCGAAAGTGAACCTGAAATCCTAGTGTTTTACTCCTCTTTCTAGGTGTTTATTGGAGATTAACATGCAATTGAAGTGGACCTAGAAAGCTGGTAGGAAAACAGGGAGCTGGTCCCCTATGTAGAGAGGCTATTGTGATATTTCTTGGATGGGCTAGGAAGAGTAATTTACAGTTTTAGAAAGTCTAAAGTTTTGACCTATTTGTCAAGCAAACATGATTTGATTATTTAGAATACAGACCAGAGCAGAAATAACTCCTAGAAACTTCCTTAGCCACTGTTCCATTCTACTCTAGACACCTCCAGCCTCCTGAGATCACCTCTATCACAGTCCAGACTATTTTTGCATATGATTTTTGGTTTACTTGTGTATCAGCTAAGAAACAGGTGGCACGCTCAGATTGTGTCATTTAAGGAGTGTTTACCAAAAAGTAACCATTTACAATGATGCGGACAGGGCTTAGGGAAACCAAAAAAAAGATAACACAGTACCCCAGAACTAGTAACAGTGGGAGTCCTTGCTACTCCAGGTCTGCAGGCACAAGGGAAATTAGTGGTTACCTGATAGGAGCTGTGACTCCTGATAGAGGGACTCAGCCATCGTTTAGTGTGTGTTTTCAGAGGGAGCTGGAAATGAACATCCTGACTTCATCGTCTTTCCACCGTTTGATCTCCCAGCGCCTCCCACTGACCAAATCCAACCTGAAGCCAGTAGGCAAGGTAGCCCACTGAAGTGGTTCAGCAGCCTTTCAGAACACAGAGTGGGACCAAGAAGAGTAGAAAGTAAATCTCAGAGTGATGGGGAGAGGAGATGGGTGGATGGGATAGATCCAGCAAACTGTTGTCTCCTTCCCTAGCCTGTGAGAGGCTTTTCAACTGGGCATGTAGTTTTCATTTTGTAGCCCAAGCCCAAATTCAAGCCCTGACAAATAGAAAGAGCTTCATAAACTCTGAATAAGTGAATGGATATAGAGATGGTAAGTAGATGAAAAATTAAATGACCAAATGACCGAATGACTGAAAGGTCGGTTGACAAAATTTTTCCTACTGGAGAAGATGAGCTGCTCTGGTAACTACCCAAGAACAATTTGTAATTAACATATCAAAAATACTTCTAAAGGCCTTAAAAGACTTTGTCTCTTCTGCAGTTTAAGTAGTCAGCACAGAAGCTTGTGTACAGGGTGAAATTCCTTCCTTCATAGCAGAGATTAAGCACCTCCCACCTCCTGTTCCAAAGATCTCAAATTCTGAATTAGGAGAGACATGAATTAATGAGTTCTTCGTGTAACAAGAAAAACCTCTTTTAATAACTAAGAGTTAAACAGAGTTTGGATCCCTGCTGATCTTATTGGCAAAATTAAATAAAAGTGACATTCTGCTGGCCCAAGCAAATTAGCAGCCAGCCTGTGTAAAGTCTCAGTTAACCCGAGACATTGTGTGATGTATTACCCATTGTTTGACGTACTTTCATAAGAGCAAGACGAAGTGTCCCATCCTTTAGACTCTGGTAATGTGCCTCATTGTTAAATTCAATAGGAAAAGCGATTCATACTGTGGTATGATTGAAAAGAAAATTGAATCCTTTTGATGTTATAAATGTGTCTATTACTGCGTGTGCACACAAATTTTCCATGGAAATTATGGTGAAAGTAGTGATTCTCCTCGAAAAATGCATTAGTGTTGACATGTTCAATTTTATCTGCATCAGAATATAAATACCCTTTAACCATGGTCAAATTGTGCGGAATGTATATACCACATCTGCATAAGTCACTTGTCTATCCACCTACTGGAAAAAAAAATGCATTGAGCCCTGAGAGCTATCCTGGTTCTCCATTTACAGTTTTAAAAATATATATTATTAAAAGCATTGGCGCAAGATTTGT
Organism: Homo sapiens; assembly: GCF_000001405.40. Taxonomy (NCBI): domain Eukaryota; kingdom Metazoa; phylum Chordata; class Mammalia; order Primates; family Hominidae; genus Homo; species Homo sapiens. Next base: position 15,502,041 of record NC_000011.10, read on the forward strand.
GTGAGGGTATTTTTAATTTAAAAAAACAGTTTCAAAAAGCAAAGGTCTGTAATTTCATGTCCTGATTACACAAAACAAGTTTGAGAGCTTGGAGAGACCTGGAGAGTTGTTGTCTGAGTGTCATGCCAGCATGGACCCCCAGGCCATTACTGGTTATGCACTAACTGAGTGGGCGTGGAATCTTTTTATAAGGACATAGGTGGTGTGCCACTCAACTTGGCATCGTGGTTTCAAATCTCTTCGCTTACAAGCCAAATGAGGACAGTAAACTGCTGGCTACTTCTTGCCTCCTTCCTCCTAAGTCAACCCCTTATTTGGCTCTGCTCCTCTATTCTCCTGCTCCTCCCTAGATGTGGAACTCCAGGGAGTCCCTTCTCCTCTCTGGACTTCAGCTTCCTCTCTGCAAATCAAGGGGATGGTTTCCACGTCCCTCAAAGTTAAATGCCTGATACTGTTTGAATGCATTATGCTCCTTTTTGCTTTCATCGCTTTATCAGTTGGCACTTTATGGGTCACAAACAGCAGGACATTTAACACAAAATGACTTTAGAAAAATGAGAATGTATGGTTCCTTTGCCATCCTGCACTCCACAAAAAAAAAAAAAAGATCAGGCGTAAATCTGGCAGAGAGGATCAGAACTGGGTGCCTCTCTTGGTTCTTCTCTCTCAGTGTTGACTCCATCCACAAACTCTCTTGGTGATCCCTTCTCCTGGTGACAAGATGGCTGCCCTCATGTTTATATCCTTTCTATTCCAAATTCAGCAGCGTGCGCGCGCGCGCGCACACACACACACACACACACACACACACACACACACACACACACACAGAGAGACACACAGAATGTATTTTTGAGCAATATTCCTGGATCTGGCTCTCCTTGGCCCAAGTCATGTCAGTGCCTACCCCTGAAGAAGTCACTACAGCCAGTGGCATCTGATGCTCTCATTCACTGTGTTGGGGTCACATCCATCTTTGGACTGAAGGGAGAGAGCTCAACCTATGGCATATGAACTAAGAATGGGAGAAGAGTAGTCATGCCAAGAAAAATCATGTTTCTGTTATTAAAAAAAAGGACAAATGTACACTGGAGGGGTTGGGTAGACACACATGATGTAATGTGTTTATGCAAGCAGTTTCCACTGCCTGAAATACCTCCTTCTCCTTATCAGTGTGGTGAATCCTTGCTTATCTTTCAAGATCAAGTGTAAATAACCTGTCTTCACTGAGCCTTCCAAATTCCTATCTGGCCTCTGTACTCTCTTAGTACTGAAACATAACTCTGCTATAGAACCTGTCACATTCATCCCTCCCTCAACAAATATGTAGTAAGCACCTAGTAAGTGCAAAACCTCACCAGTTCTAATTTCCACTAAAGAGCTGGAATGCCAGGATCTATGTGTGCTGGTACATGACATGCTGGAAGGGAAACCTGGGACAAATTCAGGAAGAGGGCAGTGAAAAAGTTGGCAGAAGAATAGCAGAAACTAGCAGAAAAGGGTGACTGAATAATTGGCTTTTCTAGGAGAGCATTGGAAAACCAAGATTAAGGTTGCTCTTGGGTGTGGCAAATTTTGTCCAGTTCCTGGGAAGATTTGAGAAATGGAGAGAAATATTCTGGAATGCAGGGCAGAGTACAGCCACCGAAGTGCAAAAAATAAGTTAGTGAGAATTTGAAGCAAGCAGTTTATCTACAAACAAGGTGGACAGTGAGCAGGATGTAGGGCAGTGGTCCCCATACAACCAGGATATTGAACACATAAAGACCAGAAAAGAAGACTGGCCTCTTCAAAGTAGGACTTTGATCTAAGGACCGACTGCCTGACCTTGACCATCAAACATTAGCCTGGACATTCTCACCTGATGCTTCCAGAGACTAAGCTTTCAGGGATCTAGGGGTAGGCTGACCTTTCTACAAAACTTCAGCCTCATACTTGTTTTTCACTCTCTTCACCTCCTAACCTATTCTATGTCCTACATGGATTGGGTTTCTTTGGCTTACCTTTCATTTCTAGTCCACCCCTCTTGCTTGAAGCCAGATTTGCCCTTCCTTCTTCCTTCCCTTCTTCTACCCTTCAGTGTCCCTTGCCATATCCACCAGCTGTACCTGCTCTGGGTTTCTTTGAATAGCCAATGTGCCCACCTTAGATCTAGTCCTGAGTTCACATATTGGCACCTCCCTCTTGCCTTTCCAACCCCTCCCTGTCACTCATTAGCATCATTAGTGTAGAGCCTGACATTTTTCCACTGAACGAGATAACAACATGCCCTATTTTCTTTTTTTTTTTCTTTTTCATCTTTCATTTTAGATTATGGGGATATGTGCAGGTTTGTTACAAAGGTATATTGTGTGATGCTGGGGTTTGGAGTATGATAAAAATCTTTCACCTGGGAAGTGAGCATAGTACCCAGTAGCTAGTTTTTCAGCCTCCTGCCCTCTCTTGTTTCCTAGTGTCTATTCCCATTTTTATGCCCATGTGTACCCAAGATTTTACTCCCACTTATAAGTGAGAGCATGTAGTATTTAGTTTTTTGTTTCTGTGTTAGTTGGCTTAGGATAATGGTATCCAGCTGCATCTATGTTGCTGCAAAGGGCATAATTTCGTTCTTTTTTATAGCTGTGTAGTATTCCATTATGTAAGTGTGCCACATCTTCTTTATTCAATCCATTGAGATGGAAACCTGGGTTGGTTCCATGTCTTTGCTATTATGAATGCTGCTGCAATGAACATACAAGTGCAGGTGTTTTTTAATATAATAATTTATTTTCCTTTGCATCTATACCTAGTAATGGGAATGCTGGGTCGAATGGTAGTTTCAACTGTTAGTTTTTTGAGAAATCTCCAAACTGCTCTCCACAGGGGTTGAATTAATTTACATTCCCTCCAACAGTGTATCAGCGTTCTGTTTTCTCTGCAGCCCAGCCAACATCTGTTACTTTTTGACTTTTTAACAAAAGCAATTCTGACTAGTGTGAGATAGTATCTCATCGTGGTTTTGACTTGCATTTCTCTGAGGGTTAGTGATGATGAGCATATTTTCATATGTTTGTTGGCTGCTTGTATCTCTTCTTTTGAGAAGTGTTTGTTCATGTCCTTTGCCCACTTTTTAATGGGGTTATTTGTTTTTGGTTGTTCATTAGTTTAAGTTATAGATTCTGAATGTTAGGCCTTTGTCAGATGCATAGTTTGTGAATATTTTCTCCTATTCTGTAGGTTTTCTCTTTACTTTGTTGATAGTTTCTCTTGCTGTGCATGCACTATTTCTAAGCCTATCCAACAAGCTCTGTGTCACTGATAACAGTCCAAAGCAACTAGAAGGCAGGATATGTGGGATTAAGTACATAGAAACAGAGATGAGTTTGAATCCCAGATATGCTGTTGGTTAAGCAACAAAGGGCAGACTTTATAACTACTTATTTAGCAGATATTAATTGAGCTTCTGTTATGTACTGTCATTGTTGAGGCTATAGGGAATATAGCGGTAAACACAACAGCTTCATATGTATCTTCTGCATGTGATAGTCACCTTTTAGGGACGGGGCCATGACTCTTACTTTAGTAATCATAGTACTTTATTCCAGTGTCTGGCACCTAATAAACACTAAACACACACACACCTGATGTAAGGTTGAGAAACAGAACCTTGTGATTCTTAGCAGTGTGACTTTCACCTATTTTTATTTCACAGAATTGAATCTTTGCAGAAGGTCAAACAGTTATTTCTATGGGTTCTCAGGACAATAGCACTAAGGCAGCACTTTACCTGTGTTGCTGCAAGTAATGGTCCCAGTCCAGACTGAATGACGCCTCAGAGGCAGCTCTCATAAGGAAGTGGGGCCTGTCTTTTCTGATAGTCCAAAACCTATTCTAAATGACTCTCAGCATGGTCTCCAGTTAGGTCCCTAGGAGCCCTCAGGACAGGCCAGTTTATAGAATCAGAAATGCTCTGGAATTTGCTATTGTGAATACTGCTGCAATGAACATACAAGTGCAGGTGCTTTTTAGCAAATGGGCTGGGATGCTCATTTGACTTCACTGTATCTGATTCCTTAGTCTAAGTATCCTTGGCCTGTGGCTGATCAGGCTCCTCATGCACACTTCCAGTGACAGGCAACCCACTCAGAAACAGCCCATCCCATGCTTGCACAGGTCTGACTGAGCTGAGATCTACTTCCCTTCAGTTTCCACCCATTGGTTTTGATTCTGCTGTGAAAGATTTCCTAAACTGTTCTTACCAATATCCTTCATTAATTTACTCAGTGTATATTTATTGAGTATCTATGTGACAGATATTGGGATAAATTAGTGAAAAAAAACATACAGAGATACTTATTTTTGTGGAGGGAATCTGGAGGAGGGAGTTCTAGGTAAAGAAACAGCTGGTGCAAAGGTCCTGGGGTAGGAGTGTGTTTAACTTTTTTAAAAAAGGAAAGCAAAATGAATAGTGTGGCTGAGAGGAAGAGCAGAAGGAACTGACATCAGAAAGCTATCAGGGTCTGATCACGGAGGACCTAGTAGAGCATTCTAAGGATTTGGGATTTTACTCTTCAGCCCACCATCCAAGTCTTGAGTGATTCTAGTGAACAAAAAATTCATTATCAGCCTGTGGGGAAAATGAGGTTAGAATTTGATTTGTTTTAGGAATCCTGAGTGCTCATGAAATTACCAGGTTCCCTTCACCTATTTATCCCAAGCTGTAGGAGTGGATTTCTGCCTCAGTTCCTTACTAATAATTCTTGCTTACCAGCTAACTCTGCTGAGGCACCTGACACCCTGGTGATATGGACTAAATCTATGCCTATTGCTCCTGGCGATAGTAGGAGAGGTGCAGGAATGAAGATATGGAGGAGGGCAGAGAGATAGAGGAGTGGAGGGGGGTGGAGTTTCGTGTTCAAGAACAGGGTCTGTGAGTCCGAGTGCTTGGTTTGAAGTACAGCTTTGCTACTTACTATCTACGTAGCACTGGGTAGTTATTTACTTGCTCTGAGCCTCATTTTTCTTATCTGTAAAATGGGAACAAGAATGCATGTTCCACAATGTACTGTATGATATTGTATGTAAACTGCCTAGCATAGAATAATCAATCCCTCACTAAGTAGTCTCTATTACTCTACTGGCCATTTTCTACAAATCCTTTCCACCTGGGTTTGGAACAGTTCTTTATCCTTCCATGAACTAGCAGGGTCTCCATTTTCTCAGGGCCATGATGCTACTGCATACTTGGACTTTCAGAGGCACCAGACACCTGGGTCTTGGTTGTCCCTTACCACAAGAGGGGACTACTTACCAAGAGCTGACTTGGACCCTTACTGGCTCTTAAACCCTGTCTGAGATATGCCCCATATCACCATATACATTTAGACCTGGAATATTGGCTGATAGTCACTTCTCCTCACTAGGGAACAACTGGAGAATTTTCTTATTTATGCCCATGGTGGTTCCATCCCTGTCTAATCCCCAGTCTCATTCTCCAAGCTTGGCTAGACCCAGCAGGACTAGTGGCCACATCTTAACAGAATCATGCCACCTGCCTGCCACATTCTTCCTAATGCAGAAAGCCATTTCACCTCTCAGATAAAAATAACCAGGACAGTGGCCCCTCCCTAGGGAAAAACTCCCTTGTGGCATTTCTCTGCCTCTTGCTCCTTTCGGTTTCTCTCTCCATATGGCAGTCGCTGCCTCTCTCTCTCACATGCATCACGTGAGCATTGCCTTGTAAATTGTTCGGAATCCAAGTCTGGGTGGGATATTTACCCAGAGCGAATTATGGCTGGATGCATTCCTATGTCAACATGTGCCACGCTCATTTCTTATAAAGTAGTTCATTATTCTGTGGGGCATAAATAGTATTACCAGATTGATATGATTAAAGCTAGTGAGTCATTAATTAGCATCTAATTAAAAGAGATGAGTTACATACCCATGTACAGTAGCTAATGTTATTTTTTCTTTGAAAAAAATGATTAAGTATACAGTGATTGTGTTTTCAAAGAAACCACACCAAACTACGTGTTCAGTTTTCGTAAGATGCAGAGACAAAGTCTGCCCTGGGCCAGCAGAAAATTGAGTTTGCTACTTCCCCAAGATGTGGGTGCTAAAATGGGCTAGGGCTTTTCTTGTCACAGGAAACTGGATTGAAATTTGCATAAGTTCCAGAAATATCAACAGGCAACCATCGGGGCAGCTTCCTGGTGCTCAAAGCCCAGGCTCTAATATCGCGTCTTCTTCTGTTCCACCTTCTCCTGTGATATCCACTCACACTGCCAACGGTTCTCACACTCTAATTTAATTCTTACAAAATCCATATTCCTTTTATCCTTTTTTTTTTTTTTTTGAGATGGAGTTTCGCTCTTGTTGCCCAGGCTGGTGTGCAATGGTGCCATCTCGGCTCACTGCAATCTCCGCCTTCTGGGTTCAAGCGATTCTCCTGCCTCAGCCTCCCGAGTAGCTGGGATTACAGGCACACACCACCACACCCAGCTAATTTTTTTTTGTATTTTTAGTAGAGATGGGGTTTCAGCATGTTGGCCAGGCTGGTCTCGAACTTCTGACCTCAGGTGATCCACATGCCTCGGCCTCCCAAAGTGCTGGGATTATAGGCGTGAGTCACCGCATCTGGCTCGTATTCCCATTTTATAAACCAAAAAACTAAACCTCAGACAGGACTCAGTTGTGGCTGATTTGATGACTGGCGAATTTCTTTCTTTCTTTCTTATTTATTTATTTATTTATTTATTTATTTATTTATTTTCTTCTTCATCTTCATTTTCTTTTTTTTAATTATACTTTAAGTTCTAGGGTACATGTGCACAACGTGCAGGTTTGTTACATATGTATACATGTGCCATGTTGGTGTGCGGCACCCATTAACTCGTCATTTACATTAGGTAAATCTCCTAATGCTATCCCTCCCTCGTCCCCCGACCCCACGACAGGCCCCGGTGTGTGATGTTCCCCTTCCTGTGTCCAAGTGTTCTCATTGTTCAATTCCCACCTATGAGTGAGAACATGCGTTGTTTGGTTTTTTCTAAAGAAGCACCAGGACACATTTCAACCACCCACGCCAGACATTCAGGGCCTCTGAGGCCTGATCTTGATGTCTCCATGTAACCTCTTCTCTCCCTATTCCTTACTCTCTAGCTTTTTTTCTAGTTGAACTGCTCATCACTGTGTTTTCCCTAATGCCATAATTCTGCTCACAGCCAACTAAGAAGACTTTCATCCTATCCACCCACCCACATTCCACCTACACTTCTGCAGGCAAGCCAATTCTAATTTCACCCATACAGCCTTGACTAAGCCATATTCATATCACTTTTTAGTTCAGTGGATTCTTAGTAATTTATATGCGAGAATCCAAACTGGAAGATTAAGTTCACCTGACTCAAACTCTCTACTATGAAGAGATTTCCATCATAGCATCCCACACATGTAGTCACTGAGCCTCATTTTACAGCAATGGGAAGTCTAGTGCTTTCATTTTTGTCAAGCACCACCTCTGATTATCAAAGTAATATGTGAACATGTTCTAGAAGGCAGTAGGAAAAATAACTGTGGTTACTCTTCCAGAAGGGACTAGCATGGGAATAGGTCAGAACGCTAAGAGGAGCTTTTATGTATTATTTATATTTTTGACAACACTATTATATTCATAGATAGCTTGTGTAATAAAAAAATTCATAAATAAAAGCAACACACTCATTGGAGGAACCAATATCTATTTATAGGAAGGATAAATAACAAATAGAACAAAAGAGAACTGTTAATAATTGGTATTTTTCTCCTACTTTGTTTTTATTACCTTATATATTTAGATATCATAATACTTTATAAGAATCGTGAATCCTATTTGCTTAATATTTTAACATATGTATCCCCCATATTATTAAAAGTTTTCATTAACACCAATTTAAATTATAGCATAAGGAATAAAATATCATCCATGTAATCTTTCCCTATGTTGGACATGTATGTTTCCAATATTTTTTCAGTGTAAATATTGCTGAGGAAAACATCTGTTTTTAATTGGAAAGTTTAAATTATTATTTTTTTTTGTCATCACTAGTATACTCGTTTGTTCTTGTCCCGTTATTTTGATTATATTTGATTCGTTCTTGCTGTTTACTGTTGAATCATTCTCTCTTTCATCATGGTAGTTTTTGTTTTTTAATTTTAGAGATGGGTCTTTCTGTGTTGCCCAGGCTGGAGCAGCGTCTGTTCACAGACACAATCATAGGACACTACACCTTCCAACTCCTAGGATCAAGCAATCCTCCTGCCACAGCCCTCTAAGTAGCTGGGATTATAGACGTGCATCACCTGTGCTCCCTCAGGTCATTTTGAAGATCTATATTTTGTTTTTAACTCAAATAAATAAATGCTTCCTTTTAAGTTTAGTACATAATGGCAAACTATTCCAAGTTGTCTCCTAAAGTTTCAAATTTTATTTCTCCCATACAATGTTAACTAGCTAATACTGCTAATAAACCATCTGAGTTCTTAATTTCAGTTATTATGTTGTTCTTCATTCTATAATTTCAGTTTGATCTTTTGACATCGATTCCACTTATCTAGAATATTCCTCAGCCTATTGTTTCAGGTTTTCAAAACGTGTTCTTTATTTGATTAAAATAATTATATCATTGTTTTTCTTTATAACTTTGAAGCTATGATATTAGGTACATATAGATTTAGAATTTCCATATCTCAGTGATAGAATTTGGCATTTATTATGAATTATCTATGTTTATTTCAAGTATATTTGCCTTTTAAATTTCCCTGTCTGATATTACTGTGGCTATATCAGCTTTTTTTCCTTTTCTTTTCGAAGTATAAATTATGTGGAGGGAGATTACAGTTTTTAAGTATTGAACTTCAATGAGTTTTCATAAATTCATATACATGTGTAACCTGTATCCCTTTTAAAATACAAAACATTTTCAGCACTCTAGAGGGTTCACTAATGCCACTTCCAAGTAAACTTTTTTAAGTTCTTTTGCTGTAGTTGAGTACTTTTGCCTGTTTTATGAACATCTATCTATATTTAGAAATACATATAGATATATATTTACATAGATTATAAACACATATATATACATTATAGTATGTATTCTTTTGTTTCCAGTTTATTTCACTACACTTAAGGTAATGTCTGTGAAATTCATCCATGTTGTTGCATGTATCAGAGATTTGTGAATTTTTTTTTCCTGAATAGTATTCTGTTATATAAATATACCAATATTTATGTATGCATTTATCCATTGATAGACATTTGTATTGTTTTCAGTTTGGGACTATTATGAATAAAGCTTCTACAAAGATTGTTGTACAAGCATTTGTATAAACCTAAGTTTTCATTTCTTTTGAGTAAATGTTTAGCAAAGAAATTGCTAGGTCATAGGGTAGGTGTATATTTAATTTAATAAGAAACTGCCAAACTATTTCCAAAGAGGCTATACTATCATACATTCCTACTTCAAATACATGAGAGTTCTCATAATTCCACATTATCAGTTTAAGGAAGTTCCATTCTATTTCTAATTTGTTGAGACATTTTACCATGAATGAATATTGAATATTTTTGACGTTTTTACTGCAGCTATTTAACTTATCATCTGATTTTTCTGCTTTAATTTGTTCATGAGTCTCCTTTAGTCTGTTAATTAATATTTTAATGTTAAATTAACCTTGCTTTTCTAGAATGAACCTCATGATACATTACTACTTTTATATATTGCTGGATTAGATTGCTAATATTTTATTAAGAATGTTTGTGTCTTTGTTTACAAGATATACTGTTCTGTAATTTTCTTTTCTAGGAATATCTTTGCCTGGTTTTGGTATAAAGGTTATGCTGGCCTCATAAAATGACTTTAATGGTATTCCTTTTTCTCTATTTCTGGAGAGTTAGTAGGATTGACATTATTTCTTAAATTTTTGCTGAAATTCACTAGTGAAGCTATCTGAGCCCAAAGTTTTCTTTACAATAATGTTCCCATTTACAAGTTCAACTGATTTAACAAATATGGGGCTATTAAGATATTCCATTTCTTCTTGTGTTAGTTTTGGTAATTTACATCATTCAAGGCATTTATCAAATTGTCCCAAGATGTCAAGTTTATTGGCATAAAATATTCCATAATATGGCCGGGCATGGTGGCTCATCCTTGTAATCCCAGCACTTTGGGAGGCCGAGGCAGGTGGATCACGCGAGGTCAGGAGTTCAAGATCAGCCTGGCCAAAGTGGTGAAACCCCGTCGCTACTGAAAATACAAAAAAAATTAGCCAGGGATGGTGTTGCGTGCCTGTAATCCCAGCTACTCGGGAGGCTCAGCCATGAGAATCGCTTGAACCCGGGAGGTGAAGGTTGCAGTGAGCCAAAATTGCACCACTGCACTCCAGCCTGGGTGACAGAGCGAGACTCCATCTTAAAAAAAAATTTCATAATATGCCTTTATCCTTGTAATGTCTATAGAATCCATAGTGATGTTGTTCCCGCTGTCATTTCTGATATTAGTAAACTGTGGTTTCCCTCTTTTTTCTTGATCAGTTTAGCTAGAAGTTTATAAAGGGTTTTGCTTTATTTTTCCTTTGAATACAAGCTTTTAGTCTCATTGCCTTTCTCTATTTTTTGTCTATTTTACACTTCATTGATTTGTGCTCTTATTGTTTTCTTCCTGCTTAATTTGGTTTAGTTTGCTCTCGTTCTTCTAGCTTCCTAAGATGGGAGCATAGATTATCGATCTATTTTTTTTTAAGTTAGTTTGTGCTACAGTCTGAATGGTTGTGTCCCCTCAAAATTCATGCGCTGAAACCCTAATCCCATTGTGTGGGTATTAAGAGGTGGGGCCTTTGGTAAATGATTAGTTCATAAGGGTACAGTCCTCACGAATAGAATTAGTGCCCCTATAAAAAAGGACCCAGAAAGCTGCTTTGCCTTTTTCACCATGTGAGGACACAGTAAGAAGGCATCACCTATGAGCCAGGAAACGGGTCCTTATCAGACACTGTATCTCTTAGCACCTTGATCTTGGACTTCTCAGCCTCCGGAACTGTAAGAAATACATTTTTATTCTTTATAAGCCACCCAGTCTGTGGTAATTTGTTATAGCAGCCAAAGCAGACAAAGACAGTTTAATTGAAGTAGAATTTAAAATACAATAAAATGAATTATGAAATATACCTATGCGACCACCACAATCATTATGTAAAATGTCTTCATCTACCTGAAGTTTTCTCATGCTGCTTTGCAGAAAATCCCTAACTTCAAGACAACCGCCATAGTTAAATATCTTCTTGTGTTATACTTCCTTCATACAACACAGTAATTTTGATATACATCTATGTTATTGTGTGGATCAGCGTTTGCAATATTCCATTTTATAAACATACCAAAATTTGTTTATTTGCTCACCTGTTGATGGACATTTGAACCACTATAAATAAAGCTGCTTTGAACGGTCATGTACAAGCTTCTTTATAGACATATAGTTTTATTTCTCTTCAGTAAATATTGAAAAGTAGAATTACTGAGTCATAGGAGAAGTATATGTACAACTTCATAAGAAAGTGAAAAATATTGTTATTGTTTTATTCTATAATTCTGCCAGCATTGTATGAAAGTTCTAGCTCCTCTACATCTTTGCTGAAACTTGATATAAACATTTCTTAAGTAACCTGCACAATGTGCACATGTACCCTAAAACTTAAAGTATAATAAAAAAAAAAAAGTTAGCCATTCTGGTGGGTATCTAGTAGTATCTCCTTGAGATTTTAATTTGCATTTTCCTGATGACTAATGCTATTGACCGTCTTTTTCTATGCCTGTTGACCATTCTCATATCTTGTGTGTGTGGCTGTGTGAAATGTCTGTTCAAATATTTGCCTATTTATTATTGAATATGTATTATTATTATTGTTGATTTGTAATATTTATTTGTTTATTCTGGATTACCAGTCTTTCATCAGATATTTGTTCAATGAATATTTTCTCCCAATCTGCAACTTGTCGTCTCAATTTCTTAATGGTCCTTTTGAAGAGCAGAAGCTTTTAATTGTGATAAAATCCAATATATCTATCCTTTCCTTCATGGCTTGTGCTTTTTGTGCCTTAAGACATGTTTTCTCCCATAAGATAATAAAGATTATTTTATGTTTTCTTCTGAAAGCTTTATATTTTTAGCTTTAAATTTAGATCTATGATCCATTTTGAGTTCATTTTTGTGTATAATATGAAATAACACCCAGTATTTTTGCTTTGTTTTTATTTTTCACCGCATAGGTATTCAGTTGTTCCAACTCCATTTGTTGAAAAGACTATCCTTTTCTATGGACTATTTTGGTGTTTTTGGAAAAACAATGATCGTATGTATGGGTCTCTATTGATTTCATATTTTTGAGGTCTAATCTGTCTCATTTATGTCTCATTCATTTATCTTTATAAAAATACCATTAGGTCCTAATTACTGAGATTTTTCTAGCAGATTTTGAAATTAGGTAGTATAATCTTTCAACTTTGTTCTTAATTTTCAGATTGACTTTGGTTTCATTAGTTTTCTCTATTCATTTTATATATTACATTAATTTTCATTCCTATTGTTATTATATCCTTCCTTCTATTTACTTTAATTTTTTTATGCTCTTAAGGTAGAAGCTTAGATTATGGATTTTAATATTTTTTCTTTTCTAAAATAAACAGAATTTAAAATGTCTCTCTAAGCACTGCTTTAGTTGAATCCATCAATTTTATTTTATTATCATTATCATTCAATCCAAGATATTTTCTGATTTTTCTTGTGATTTCTTTGACTTTTGTGTTGTTTAGAAACGTACTGCTTAATTTCAAAATATTTGTGGGTTTTCTAGATACCTTGTTTTATATTTTAATTTTGTCATAATTCCACAACACTTGTGTAGAATTTCAATCCTTTGAAATTTACTTAGACTTCCTTCATGGCCCAGTGTAAGGTATATCTTGGTGACGGTTTTATATGTGCTTGAAAAAATATTTCTTCTGCAGTTGTTGAGTGTATTGCTATATACATGTCAATTAGGCTACTTTGATTGATAGTGCTTTTCAAATCATCTGTATTCTTACTAATTTTTGTCTAATTATTCCATCAGTGAATGTTAGAGGCATGTTACAATTTCCAACAGTAATTGTGGATTTTTCAATTTCTCCTTACAGTTCTACCAGGTTGTGTTTTATGCATTTTGAAGCTCTATTATTAGATGCATACTCACTTGGGATTGTTATGCCTTTTTGATGGATTAGCACTTTAATCATTATGAAATGTCCATCTTTATCTCTGGTAATAATTCTTTGTTTTGATGTCAGCTTTGTATGATATTTGTATAACAACTTCAGCTTATTTTGATTAGTGTTTGCATGGTATATCATTTTCCATCTTTTGCTTCTAAGCCACCTGTCTTTATATCTAAAATGTGCATATTGTTGAATACTGCTTTCATATCCAATCTGTCAATCTCTGCCTTTTAATTAGAGTGTTAATGCCATTTATATTTAATATAATTATTAATATAATTGTATATAAATGTAACATATTTTTTCTATTTATCACATCTATTTTTTGTTCATTTTATTTCTTTTCTTGCCATGTATTTTGGACTAATTAAGGGTTAGTTTTAAAATTCTGTTTTATCTCTCTTATCTATCTTTAGCTGTAACTATTTTACTATTTTACCTTTAGTGGTTGCACTAGGAATTGCAAATTTTTTTAGTCATAATTAACCATGGGTTAATATATCACTTCTCACATAATATGCTAGCCTTACAAGTGTAACCTCCAATTTACCCTCATCTTTTGCTCTGCTGTTGTCATACATTTTATTTCTACATACATTATTATCCTACAATATATAATTAGTTTTGCTTTAAGCAGCCAATTATCTTTTTTAAGAAATTAAATGTAAAAAAAGTTATATATTTACCTATGTATTTGCCATTCCTTGATCACACTATTTCTTTGTATAGATTTAATTTTCCTTCTGGTATTATTTTCCTTCAGTCTCAAGAACTTCCTTCAGCATTCTTGTAATGTAAGTCTGTTAATTATGAATTGATGAATTCTCTCAGGTTTTGCTTATTGGAAAATTTTTCTATTTTGCCTTTATTTATGAAAGATATTTTGTCTGACTACAGAATTCTGGGTTGACAGCTTTTCGTTTTAGCACTTTAAAGGTGTAGTTTCTGTGTCTTCTAGTTTGCTTTGTTTCTGATGAGAATTTGATGCTCATGTTTACTCTCAGATGCCTCACAGTGTGTGTGTGTGTGTGTGTGTGTGTGTGTGTGTGTAATGCATCTTCATTGTGGGTATAGAGCCTCTTGAATCTGTGGGATGATAGTTTTCTTTAGTTTTGAAAAACTCTTAGCCAGTATTGCTTCAAATACTGCTTCTTCCAAATTATCTTTCCTCTCTTTATGACACAACAAATTCTTCTATGCTAGATCTTTTTGAAACTTCCCAATATATTTTTTCATGGGGTCATTACTTTTCATTTCCATTTCTCTTTCTCTCTGTGCTCCATTCCACATATTCTACAGATCTATCTTCTAATTTACGAATCCTTTATTGCTTCTAATTAATGGTTAATATTCTGTTAAATCCATCTATTGGGTTCTTAATTTCAGTTATTACTATTTTTGAGCTTCATAATTTCTATTTAATAATTTTGTATAGGTTCCAGGTCAAAGTTTTACCTTTTCATTTATATTGTTAAAAATGTGTCATATCTGTTTTAAAAAATCCATGCTAGATAACTTCAAATAACTAAATTATCGATTAGTATGTCTCTATTTCCTTTCTTCTCTTGATTTTTAGTCATTTAGTCGTGTTTCCTGGAACGCAATTTAATTTCTATTGACACTGGACATGTTTTATAAATAAAATATGCTAGCATTTGCTTCCTCCAGTGATTTTTTTTTCTTTCTTGAAAGTAAAGTATGAGTAAATCAATTTTATCCAATCACAATTTGAAACTATTTGAAGATGTGTTTCAGGAATTGCAAGGGTCAGTTTATTTATGGCTTGTCTTAATCCTTAAGCACAGCTCTTCAGGTGTCTCAGCTGAAAGCTTAGGATTTCCTTGCTAAGTCTGAACTCCAATTCTTGTGTTTCCAAGGCCGTAAAACTGCTGAAACTCTGCTTAGTAGTTTAGAGTCTTAGCAGTCATTTTCTCCTTGTTTTCTTAGATTTGGGCCTTTTTCTGGGAATATGTGTGTCTTAAAACTCAATAAATGGTTTTAGGGGGAAGTCAGGCTCACTTCTCTAAGGCTTCTTTTACTTCTGACATTTTGGCTCCTTAATCCTAGTTACCTTGATAGCCTAGGACCCTAATGTTTGTCTTCTGGAATAATGCAACTGCCATTAGTCTCAAGCTGCCACTTGCTTCTCAGTGACTATGCTCCAAACCCTGAATTGGAAAATGCCCCAAGGGGAAAGAGCAAAATTGATTATGGGGCCTCAATGTGTTTCTCTTCTTTCTGAAGTCTTATATGCTCAGGTCCAGACTACTTTGGTTATTCTCTCCTGCCTTCAAGTGGCTGGATTTATTTTCTGCATTTATTCTGTTTTTATAGTTCCTCTTTGTGGCAGAGTTAGTCAAATACAGGGTATTTTGTCATAGCTGGAAGCAGAAGTCTGTACATTTATTTTTGTCAAAAAATATACTTGAGCCTATACTATGAATGCATCTGTAATTATTTACTACCTTCAACAAAGATGGATAATATCTTTTGTCATCCTTATTTTAGCTGCTACCACCAGCTTTAATTGGTATAATATGATAATTTTACCCAGTTAATTATTGTTAATTTTATAAATTAAGAATCTTCTCTTTCAAGAATTATTTATGACACTTTCATTCTGTTTTGTAACCATATTTACCACAGTTATTTAGAATAAATTATGTGCTTAAATGCTTTCAGTTGCTCATTACCAGTTCTTCCACACCATGACTTTATTATTTATGAGTTTTAAATTTTGATTTATTTTTTTTCAGCTGGCTGAAGTAGACGTTGGAGTAATTTTTCAGGAAGAATGCAGGAGTCAAACACTTCATGAGTCCTTGCATAACTGAGATTATTGGTCTGTTGACTTCATATATGAACCACAATGTTTAAGTATTCAATCATTTACCAAAAAAAAATTACCTCAAGCAAAGTAGTGTGCTGGATGCTAAAAATACAGCAGTAGCAAAATGTGCACCATTGATGTTTTTATGGATTTTACATTTTAGTGGGAAAAACAGATATTAACAGCTGAGTCTACAATTAATTACTAGTGATCATTACAACAAAGGAGAATCACAGAGTTTGAGCTCTAATCACTGAAGAGAAATGAGTAGAGATGTGGTGTGACCAGTCCTGTCTTTTTATTAAAATCACACTAATTCTGCTGTAGAGAATAACTCAGAAAGGTGAAAGAAGACGAAGATGGACCAGCAGGAAGGCTATTTGTTATGGCAAAGGCTCCAGCAAGAGATGATACTAGCTTGAACTAGACAAGTAGCCGTGGAAATTGTAAGAGGTGGATATATTTAAGGCCATGTTAAAAACATCTTTCACTCTTCTATGTCTCACCCATTCAACATTAAATCCATTAGCAATTCTGTACATTTGAAATATATCATTTCTCACCACTCCCTTCCCTTTCACCCTAGTCCAAGTCACCATTATCTTTTGCCTGGACTACTGCAGAAGCCTCCTAACTACTGTTCCTGTGTTTACTTTTGCTCCCCTTCACAGAGTGATCCTGCTAAAACATAAATCAGATTATGACACTTGTCTCAAAACTCAAAACAGTTTCCCATCTCAGACTGAGTGAAAGCTGAAGTTCTAACAATGGTCCACAGGCCAAATATGATCTGGCCTTGTGTTTTCTGGCATCATCCCTTATTACTCTGCTTTGCTTTTATAGTCTAGCCATACTGACCATGTGTCATTCCCTGACCATGCCCGGGGCCTTTGCACTTGCTGTTCTCTTTGCCAAGAACACTCTCCCTAAATCTTTGCATGACTTGATCTCTCTTATTATTCTAGGCTCTATTCAAATGTGTCAGTTTAAGAGACATCCTCCCTGACCATCCTATTCAAGAACTCATGCTCCACTGTCTATCTCTAATTCTCTTACTCTGTTTTATCTTTTATCATAACACTGACATATTGAATAGCTTTGTATTTATTTGTATTGTCTGTATTTCCTCAATTGGAATGTGAGCTTCTTGGCAGCAGATGTATTGCTATGTTGTTTCTATATTGTTATGTAATCAAAAATATCCATCATGTGATTGATGTGGTTGGATGTGGCCATGAGGAAAGAGCAAGTACTGGGAACCACTCCTAGGTTCTGTCATGGACAGTAGGGTAGCCTGTATTGCCATTTGCTGAGAGAAGGAAGTTAGAGGAAAAGGGCTTTGAGAGAGATAATGAGTTCAGGATCAGACAGGTTGAGCTTAAGATAGCCATGAGACATCAACTGGAGATGTCTAGTAGCCTATTTGGTAGTTGTCATCCCTAGGGTAACCAATTCATTTCCGTTTTCTTGGGACTTTCCCGATTTTAAACAGTGAAAGTTTCTTGTCCTGGGGAAACCCCTCAGTTCCTGAAGCAACTGAAGTCATGAACATGGGGGATAATTCACACAATGAGAAAAGCAGTCAGTTTGGCCAGGTCTGAGCCCTGAGGAGCTCCAGTAATAAAGGCAGAGCAAGACCACTTCATCTCCTGCTGGGCTGTGGACTCCCTGAGGGCAGGCAAGCATAATCCATGAGAGCTGCCCAATCACACTTGTTAGGAATGAAAGGAAAAAAAAAATATTTAAAGGTTGAATAAACAAGGCACAAAGGACATAGTGAGAAAGCTATCAAGTCAAGGAGTAAAGGAGAATTTCAAATTAAAATTTTAAACATCATCTCACTCCTGTCCTTTGCTCAAAACTCTTCAGAGATGTCCTCTTTCTTTCTCTCACATTCAAAGTCCTTACTTGCAAGGCTCTGCATGCTCTACTCACACCCTACCCCCACCACACCTCACGTCTACTTACCTTTCCCTGGCTCTCTGCTCCAGCCATCTCTGCCTCCTTACACTTGCTGGTGGCCTTTGCGGACACAGGGTCTTTGTACTCTGCCTGTTGTGTTCTTTCCCAGATGCTACCCACAATGCTGGCAGAAGAGGAGACTGGAATCAAGAGGGGTTGTTTCCATTTTTACCTTCTCTCCTCCCTCTCCTCTGCCCTACCTTTTCTTTTCTTTCTTTTTTTTTTTTCTTGGTATTATAAGCTTCTCTAATTTTAGCCATGCTGGTGGATATGTAGTGGTATCTCATTATGGCCTTAATTTGCACCTCTGTAACAAGTAACAATGTTAAGTACTTTTTTGGTTGTTTGGAGACTCTTTTGTGAAGTGCCTTTTTAAGGCTTTTGTCTGTTTTTCTATTGGATTGTCTCTTTTTCGTATTATTTTGTGCAAATTCTTTTTTCTGGATACTGATATTTTGTAAGCTGTATATTGTAAATATTGTTTCCTACTCTATGGTTTGCTCTTTCCCTTTTTAATGTTGCCTTTGATAAATTCTTTTTTTAAAAAAAGTAAAATTTTTGATTAATAAATCATAATTATATATGTTTATGGGGTACAATGCTATATTTTGATATATCAATACAATGTGGAATCATTAAATAAAGTTAATTGACATATTTCATTACCTCACTTTCCTATCATTTTTTAATGGTGAGACACTTGAAATTTACGCTCTTAGTTATTTCGAAATATATTTTATTGACAATAGTCACCATGCTATGCAATAGATCTAGAAATTATTCCTCTTTTCTATCTGAAACTTTGTACCTTTTAATCAATAACTCACCACCCTCTCCATTTCCACTCCAGACTCTGGTAACCAGCATTCTACTCTCTACTTCTATGAGTTGAACTTTATTATTCTACATATAAGTGAAATCCCATGGTATTTGTCTTTCTGTGCCTGGTTTATTTCACCTACCATAACGTCTTCTAGATTTATCTGTATTGTCCCAAATGACAAGACTTCCGCCTTTTCAAAGGCTGAATAGTATTTCATTGTGTATATAGAATATATTTTCTTTAGCCATTCATTCTTTGACGGACACTTAGGTTGATTCCATAACTTGGCCATTGTGAATGATGCTTTAGTGAACATGGGAGTGCAAACATCGCTTTGACATATCAATGTCAGTTCCTTTGGAAATATAGCAAGTAGTGTGATTACTAGATTAGTGGTAATTCCATTTTTAGCTTTTTGAGGAACCTCCAAACCATTTTCCATACTGGCTGTCCTAATTTACAGTCTCATCAAAAATGTATAAGAGTTCCCTCTTCTTACATCCTCTCCAACACTTGTTATCTTTCATCCTTTTGATAAAAACCATTCTAACAGGTGTGAAATGATATCTCATTATGGTTTTAATTTATATTTCCCTAATGACTATCGATGCTGAGCATTTTTCCAGATACCACCAGATGCTTTTCCCCAGCATTTCTTTTATGAGAAATATCTGTTCAGGTCCTTTGCCCATTTAAAAAATATTCAGTTATTGGTTTTCTTGATATTGAGGAGTTGTTTGAGGTTCTTATATATTTTGGATATTAATTCCTTATCAGATACATGGTTTGCAAATATTTTCTCCCATTCTGTGGGTTGTCTCTTCACTTTATTAATAATTTTCTTTGCTGTACAGAACGCTTTTAGTTTGATGCTATTCCATTTCTCTATTTTTGCTTTTGTTGCCTGTTCTTTTGGGATCATATCCAAAATTTGTTGCTCAGACCAATGCTATGAACTTTTCCCTGTATTTTCTTCTAGTAGTTTTGCAGTTTCACATTTTCAAGGTTTTAATCAATTTTGAGTTGATTTCTGTATGTGGTGTAAAATAAGGATCTAATATCCTTCTGAATATAGATATCCAGTTTTCCCAACATCATTTATTAAAAATACTGTACTTTCCTAATAGTATATTTATGACACCTTCCTCAAAAATCAATTAACTGCAAACAAGTGGGCTTATTTCTGGGTTTTCTAGATAAATCCTTAATTTTAAAAGGGCTCCAGTGTACCAGTCTTTATGGTTTGTGCTTTACGTGTTCTACATTTTTTTTTTTTTTGCCTACACCAATGTCATGAAGATATTCTACTGTATTTTCTTCCAGAAACTTTACTGTTTAATATTTACATCTATACCATCTGGGACTCCATCTTTTCCATACTGTACTACCATGTCATCTTTCCTATAAATCAAGTGTGGGTCTCTAAATGTGTATATGTGTGAATCTGCTTTTAGATATTTTGTCCTATTTCGTTGGTCTATTTTTCTATATATGGGCTAATGCCACACTTCCTTAACTACTGTGGCTTTATAAGTATTGATAACTGGTAGTGTGCTTCCTATTTGCTTTCTATTGCAAATAGGAAATATTTGCAAACCATACAAAAATCATTCTTGAGTAAAGATGCCAAGAGTATGCATGGAAACTGCCCATTCACCTGCATCTGAAATCATATGTTGGCTAATTGAATGTGGCACAGGCCACGAAAGAATCTGCACAACTTGTTGTGATCCTATTGCACCTGGTGTGAAATCCAAACTCCTTACCAGTGCCTATGGGCCCATATTCTTCTTCCTATCCATAGCTCCAATTTCATGTTCTTCACTCTCTAACTCACCACATTGCAGTAGCCTTTCCTATTCTTTTAAAGATGGACATTTCAGTTTTAACATAATCACACTTACTGTTCTTTCTGTCTGGATCTCTCTTCCTCAGATTGTCCCAAGTTTAAGTCCTTCATACAATTCAGATGTCAGCTCAAATGCCCCTTTCTCAGAGAGCCTCCTATGATCACCTTCCCTAAATAAACTTTTCCTCCCCCACCTTCACTTGCTCATAATCTACCTCATTGTCCTGTGCAATTATAAGACTTATTGATATCTGTTTGTACATTTGTTTGTTTAGCATATCATAGGTCTTCCTCCCACAAAAGTGTAACTTCCATTGGTTTTGGAAGTCATCATTTTTTTTGCGTTATTGCTAGAGGCTTAGCGCCTAGAACAGTGTTTGGCACTTAGAAAGTACTCAGTAAATATCCAAGAAAGGAACTCGCTTTGCCTAACTTATTGGCCCCAGTGTCGTCTGGAGACCAAGTTTTTTGTTTTGCTTTGTTTTTCTCTCTTCTTAGTGAAGTTTTCAAGACATCTAAGGACACCAATCACGTCTTCCTGGAATTTTTCCTTCTTAAAATTAAATTTCCTTAGTTGCTTCCACTTATTACATATGGATGCATCTTATCTCTGGCTTAGCTGTTTGGTTTATCACATCGTTAGCCCGTGAACACTTTGGGTCATACCTTGTGCCTTCTATCTCACTATGCATGTATTTCTAACATATACATGTAAATACATCTTGCCTTTCCCAATGCTGGCCATGCCAGGGGACCCAGAAAACATTTGCTGAATAAAAGGCTGAATGAAAAGTGCTATGGGTAGAGAATCCCTGGGTGCTTGGGCCTTGGGGGGTGAAGAAATCAAGCACAGCTTCTCTGCTAGATTTATTACACTCCCTCTCACTGCATCCCATCGCCCACACTCCCAAGGCCTTTGTAAATCATTTGGTGTTATTCCTTCACGTACACATTTTTTATGACTGTCCTTTTAGGGCCACATAAATCAGATGTCAAATCAGGTTATTAGCAGGAGCTATTTTTTTCTCTCCTGTCAACAACCTGGTATTTTAATGCACTTTGGACTTCTCTATTTCTATTTGTAACCCTTCTCTGGGATGTTGGATGCTGGCAGAAAGGTTTGCTTCAAAGAGAAAATAAATGTTAGGCCACAGATTAAAAAATGCATAGTCTTGTAATGATGAGGGGGAAAATGAACCTTCCACCTTTGTCACTGAAAGATGACTATTAAGGTGATCTCAGAGTTAACCTTGAGAATCAGGAGATTTTCCTTCCAAACTGAGGAAAAACTAAGGATTCTTCCCTAGCCCTTAGCATGAGAGAAGCATCAACTTTAGAATAGAGATTAAAGTCATTCCTTTATTCAAACATATTTGAGTGGACTCAGGAAGAAATGTAGAGATGGAGGAAGTTACTTGTTTAAGTTAACAGCAGAGTTAACAGCAGAGATGAGTTATAAACCTAGGCCTCTTGGCAACAGAGATTTAAAAAATTTTATGTCAAAAAATTCTGTAAAATATAAATTTTTAAAAAATTCTCCATATTTCTGCCATCAACAATCAAGAGTGTAACATTTTGACATACTTTTTATTTCCTTTACATGTAGATCCCTTTTAATTCTGAGCCCCTCACCCTCTCCACAGATGTAATACTATTGTGATTTTGTTTTATTTTTAGCCTTTTAAAACATACACTTTTACATTTTTATGTGCATCCGCAGAACTCTATAGTATTATTTGGTATGTGTTTTTAAGGTTTAAAGTGTGATCAGGTTTATAGCAATTTGCAGTTTGCTTTTTTAACTCAACAGTGTTTTTTTTTTTTTTTTTGTATTTTTTGTTTTTAGATCTCTCTGCACTGATATGTATTGACCTAAATGTTTCTTTTGATTGCTGTATGGTTACCATGTACCCACATTTATTTCTTCATTTTTTTTTGATTCACATTTGAATTGTTTCTAATGTTTCCAATTACCAACAAATAGTTTTATGAAAATACAGGTGAAGGTCTCAGTGCTTATTACTTCAATTATGTGGCATTCTGGAAAAGGAAAAACTATAGCATTGGTCAAAAGTTCCATTTGCCAGGGGGAGGTGTAAAGGGGTAGGCCTAAATAGATAACTGGGGAAGAAGTTGCTGGGTCAAAGAGTATGCACACTTTTTTGTTTTAATAGAAAGAGTCAAAACTTCTCCAGAGTGACTATACACATTTACATTCCTATTAGAAATGAACAGCAACTACTCTTTTAAAAAAGCCTTTGCAAACAATATTATCAGAGTATTTTGAAGTTCTTCAATTTGGCAAGTAAAAAATCTCATTTGTATTTTAATTTCACTGAGCTTGAGTATCTGAAGTTTTTGATAATCTTTAAATTATTT
The DNA here is from genome assembly GCF_000001405.40 of Homo sapiens. Taxonomy (NCBI): domain Eukaryota; kingdom Metazoa; phylum Chordata; class Mammalia; order Primates; family Hominidae; genus Homo; species Homo sapiens. The sequence continues at coordinate 15,525,151 of NC_000011.10, forward strand.
TATTTATATCATTTGTCTTATTCATATCATTTGTGTCATGTTTTTATCTTTTTATTATTGCTTTGTAGGAATTCTGGATCTTGAAACTTGGCCGGGTATTAGGCATTAGAAATAACTCCTCCCATTCTATGACTTATTTTTTCCCTTTGTTTGTAGGACATTTTATTACATGTATATTTTCCATTTTTAGTGTAGTCAAATGTATCATTTTTTTCTTTATTATTTAGCACTGTACTCTCCACTCATCTGTGCTCATTGGCCTAGGATCTAGAAAAAGCAGTGGGTAGAATGCCGTGATGTCAACAAGTGGTGACATAGGAGTTTTCAGAGCTCATCTTATCACAGAAACATCTATTTGAACAACTATCCATGCACAAAATTACCTTCCCAAGAGCTAAGGAGTCTAGGTGAAAGATTGTAGTACCTGTGTAGAGCACAGAAATAAGAAAATACACATTTGAAGAATGTAGGTAGGATAGTTTCATATTACCCATGTCTTACTCCCCTCAGGCCCACACAGCACATCATGAAGAGAGATACCTTCTGTGTGGGGGAAGGACAGTGAAGTGAGCACTCAACTTTAGCATGAACCCTAGCACCAGGCCTACTTCTGTGAACGTTGGCACTATGCCAGTCTCCATAGACCTAGGCTCCAGGCCAGCACCTGTAACTCCAGGCTCCAAGTTGGCACCCACAACTATAGGCACCAGACCAGTACCCAGAGACCCAGGCCACCATCTGGGGATCCATGACCTAGTCCTGCCCACCACCAAGTTGGCCCCTGAAATTTAGTTTCCAGGCCCACACTAAGGACTCAGGCTCCAGGCCTGCTTCAGTACCAGGCCCACTCCCATGGATTCATGCTTAAGGCCCATCCCAGATCCAAGGCATACCCTATCTACCAAGGTTTTAGGTTCATCCCCATGGACCTCGGCACCAGGCCCACCTGAGTAGACTGATGCACTAAGCTAGCTCCTACAGCCCTAAGGTCTGCACTATGGACCTAGATTGCAGGCCCACTCTTTCAGATCCAAGCCCCAATTCAGCCTCTGTAGACTCTGGCACTAGGCCTGTTTGCTGGCTCAGATACCAGGCCAGCCTGCCCAAGGACTCCAGCAATAAGCTTGCCCACAGACCTCACAGGCAGCCTGACCAATATCTCTGTAAACACTGAAGCCAGAAGCCAGTCTTTATCGACTGGAAAAGGTGCTTACTTCTTCAGATGAGCAAATACCAATATGAATCCACAAGGATCACAAATAATCAAGGAAGCACAATGGACCAATGACTGAGCCTAAGGAAATGGAGATCTACAAAGTGAATGACAAAGAATTCAAAATAATTATGTTAAAGAATATCTGTGAGCTACAAGAGAACACATAGACAACTGAATAAAAAAAGAAAAACAATATATGAACAAAATAAAAATTCAACAAAGAGATAGTAACCGTAAAAAAAGAACCAAAAAGAAATTTTGGAGCTGAAGAACACAAATGAACTGAAAAATCCCATAGATACCTTCAACAGCAGACTCAAATAAGCAGAAGAAAGAATTAGTAAGCTTGAATATAGATCATTTGAAATTACCCATTCAGAGGAACAAAAAGAACATAGAATAAAAAATAGTGAAGAAAGCCTACAGGACTTATGGGACATCATGCAGTGTAACATATACACATCATGGGAGTCTCAGAAGGAGCAGAGAAAGGAGAAGGAATGAAAGCTTATTTAAATAAATAATGACAGAAAATTTTTCAAATCTGAAGAGGGAAATAAACATCCAGACCCATGATTCCCAAAGAACTCCAGATAGGTTAAACATAAAAAGATCTTCTCCAAGATCATAATCAAATTCTCAAAAGTCAAGACAGAGATTTTTGAAAGCAGCAAGCCAAAATTGACTCATTACATACAAGGAAACCCCATTAAGACTATAAGTGGATTTCTCAGCAGAAACCTTGCAGGCCGAGAGAGTAGGATAATATTTAAAGTACTGAAAGAAACAAAACAAAACAAAAACAAACAAACAAAAAACCCTGCTAACCGTGAATACTGTACCTAGTAAAGCTGTTTTTCAGAAATGAAGGAAAAATAAAGATGTTTCCCCCCACCAGATAAACAAAGCTGAGGGAGTTCATCACTCTTAGACCTGCTTTATAAGAAATGCTAATGAGGGTACATCAAGTTAAATTTAAAGGACATTAACAACATAACCTATAAAAGTATAAAACTCACTGTAAAGGTGAGAATATTGTCCAATGCAAATACCATCATACTGTAATGTTGATGCATAAATCATTTTAGCTTTAGTATAAAGGATAAAATCCAAAGAATTAAAAATCAGTATAGTGGCCAGGCACAGTGGCTTACGCCTGTAATCCCAGCACTTTGGGAGGTCAAGGTGGGTGGATCACTTGAGGCCAGGAATTTGAGACCAGCCTGGCCAACATGGTGAAACACTGTCTCTACTAAAAATACAAAAATTGGCCAGACACAGTGGCTCACATCTGTAATCCCGGCACTTTGGGAGGCCAAGGCAGGCAGACCACCTGAGGGGTCAGGAGTTAAAGACCAGCCTAGCCAAAGCGTGGCGAAACCCTGTCTCTAATAAAAATGCAAAAAATTAGCTGGGCATGGTAGTGGGTGCCTGTAATGCCAGCTACTTAGGAGGCTGTGGTGGCAAGAGAATTGCTTGAACCCAGTGAGCGGAGGTTCCAGTGAGCTGAGATTGCACCATTGCACTCCAGCCTGGTCAACAAAAGTGCAATTCTGTCTAAAAAAAAAAAAAAAATTAGCCAGACGTAGTGGTGCATGCCTGTACTCCCAGCTACTCAGGAGGCTGAGGCAGGAGAATAATTTGAATCCAGGAGGCGGAGGTTGCAGTGAGCCAAGGTCATGCCACTGCACTCCAGCCTGGGTGAAAAAGTGAGACCCTGTCTTAAAAAAAAAAATCAAGATAGCTACAATAATTTATTCATGAGTATACAATATACAAAGATATAAATTGTGACATCATAACATAAAATGTAGAAGTTTGTGTAGAGTGTTTGCATGCAGTTGAAATTAAGTTGTTATCAACTTAAAATAGACTGCTGCAACTGTAAGATGTTTTATGTAAGCCTCATGGTAATCACAAATAAAAAAACTGTATTAGATACACAGACAATAAAGAAGAAAAATCCAAGTATATCACTACCAAAAAAAAAAATCATCAAATCACAAAGAAAGAAAGGAAGAAAAAAGCAAAGAAACTACAACTAAAAAATAATCAATATAATTGCAAAAAACAGCGATATTAAGTTCTTAAGTATCAATAATTACCTTAAATGTAAGTGAATAAAATTCTCCAATCCAAAGACATGGCATGGTTAAATGGATTAAAGAAACAAAATTTAATTATATGCTAAATAAAAGAGACTCCCTTTAGATTTAAGAAAACACATAGCCTAAAAGCAAAGAGATGCAAAAATATATTCTATGCACATGGTAACCAAAAGAAAGAAGAGGTGGCTATGCTTACATTAAAGTAGACTATAAGTCAAAAACTGTCACAAGAGACAAAGAAAGTCATTAGATAATGACAAAGGGATCAATTTATCAAGAGGACATAAAGATTGTAAATATATATGCATCAATATTGGAGCACCTAAATATATAAAGGAAATGTTTACAGAACTGAAGGAAAAAAATAGATAGCAATACAATAATAGTAGGGGACTTTAATGCCCCACTTTCAACAATGAATAGATAGTCCAGAAAGAAAATGAATAAGAAAAGAGTGGACTTGAACACTACAGACCAAATGGACCTAATAGACATAAACAATATTATTCACACAATAGCAGAATACACATTCCTTTCAAGCGCACATGGAACATTCATCAGTATAGAGCAAAAATGTTACACTATAAAACATACCTTAACAAATTTAAAAAGATTGAAATCATATCAAATATATTTTCTGATGACAATGATATACAACTAGAAATCTGTAACGGAAGGAAAATTTGAAAATTCACAAATACTCCCGGACAACCAATGAGTCAAAGAAGCAACATACTCCTGAACAACCAACAGGTCAAAGGAGAAATCAAAAGGGAAATTTAAAAAAAAACTTGGAACAGGAAAACATGGAAACACAACATACCAAAACTTATGAAATTATGTTAAGGGAAATAAGGCAGGCAAAGAAAGATAAATACTGTTTGTTCTCACTTATACATAGAAGCTTTAAAAAATTAATTTCATAAAAGTAGAGAGAATAGCGGTTACTAGACAATGGAAAAGGTAGGAGGGTTGGTTGCGGGGATAGGGAGAGGTTTGTTAATAGATACAAAATTATAGCTAAATAGAAATAATAAGTTCTAGTGTTCTATAGCACTGCAGGGTAACTATAGTTAACAATAATTTATGATATATTTTCAAATAAGTAGAAGAGAGGATTCTGAATGTTTTCAACAAAAAGAAATAATAGGCGAGGTACGGTGGCTCATGCCTGTACTCCCAGCACTTTGGGAAGCAGAAGTAGGTGGATCACTTGAGGTCAGAAGTTCAAAGCTAGCCTAGCCAACATGATGAAACCCTGTCTCTACCAAAAACACAAAAATTGGGCCGGGCGCGGTGGTTCACACCTATAATCCCAGCACTTTGGGAGGCTGAGGCGGGTGGATCACCTGAGGTCAGGAGTTTGAGACCACCCTGGCCAACACAGTAAAACTCTGTCTCTACTAAAAATACAAAAAATTAGCTAGGCATGGTGGTGGGTGCCTGTAATCCCAGCTATTTGGGAGGCTGAGGCAAAAGAATGGCTTGAACCCGGGAGGCAGAGGTTGCAGTGAGCCGAGATGGCACCATTGCACTCCAGCCTGGGCAACAAGAGTGAAACTCCATCTCAAAAAAAAAAAAAAAAAAAAAAAAAAAAAAAAAAAAAAAAAAAAAAAAATTAACCAGGAGTGGCGGCTCATGCCTATGATTCCAGCTACTCGGGATGCTGAGGTAGAGGTATGAGAATCGCTTGAATCTGGGAAGTTGCAGTGAGCCAAGATTGCGCCACTGGACTCTAGCTTGGTTGACAAAGTGAGGTTCTGTCTCAAAAACAAACAAACAAAAGAAATAATAAGTGTTTGAGATGATGGTTTTGCTAGTTCCCTTGATTTGATCATTACCCATTTTATGCATGTATCAAGATATCACTCTGTACCCCATAAATATGTATAATGATTATGTATCAATTAAGACTAAAAATGATATTCAAACTAAAATAAAACTTATGAGATGTAGCAAAAGCATTTCTAAGTGGGAAGTTTTTAGTGATAAACACCCACATTAAGAAAAAGGAATGATCTCAAATAAAAAGCTTAATGTTATGCCTCAAGTAACTTAAAAAGAAGAACAAACTAAGCTGGAGTTAGCAGAAGGAAGGAAATAATAAAGATCAGAATAGAAATAAATGAAGTTGAAACTAAGAAAGTTACAGAAGATCAATGAAATTGGAGTTGGTTATTTGAAAAGATAAACACAATTGACAAATCTTCAGCTAGACTAATCAAGAAAAGAGAGAGAAGGCTCAAATAAATTAAATTATAAATAAAAAAGAAGAAACTACAACTGATATTCTTATGATATACAAATAATCAAAAGAGACTGCTTTGTACAGTTACATATCAACAAATGGGATAACCTAGAATAAATAGATAAATTCTTAGAAACATACAGCCTACCAAAATTGAATCATGAAAAAATAGAAAATCTGAGCAGACTAATAATGAGCAAAGAGATTGAATCAGTATAATCAAAAATCTCCCTACAGGCCGGGTGTGGTGGCTCATGCCTGTAATCCTAGCATTTTGGGAGGCCAAGGCGGGCGGATCACTTGAGGTCAGGAGTTCGAAACCAGCCTGGCAAACATGATGAAACCCCATCTCTACTAAAAATACAAAAAATTAGCAGGGCGTGGTGGCAGGCACCTGTAATCCCAGCTACTCAGGAAGCTGAGGCAGGAGAATCACTTGAACCCAGGAGGTGAAGCTTGCAGTGAGCTGAGATTGCACCACTGCACTCCAGCCTGGGCTATAGAGCAAGACTTTGCCTCAAAAAAAAAAAAAAAAAAAAAAAAAAAATCTCCCTACAAAGAAAAATCTAGGACTTCATGGCTTTACCGTAAATTCTACCAAACTTTTAAAAACAAATAAATATCAATCCTTCTTAAACTCTTTCAAAAATTGTAGAGGAAGGAATACATTCAAATGTACTTTCCAAGGCTGGCATTTCCCTGATATCAAAGTCAGACAAGGACACTGCAAGAAAAGAAAATTATAGGCCAATATCCCTGAATAACATAGATGCAAAAATCCTCAACAAAGTATTGGCAAACCTAATTCAACACAACACTACATAATCAAGTGGGATTTATCCCTGGGATAGAAGAGTAGTTAGCATATGCAAATCAATCAATGTGATACACCACATTAAGAGAATAAAGAATAAAAATCATATAATCATCTCAATAGATGCAGAAGAAGCATTTGAACCTCCTTTCATAATAAAAACTGTCAATAAATTAGGTATATAAGGAATGTTCCTCAACATATAAAGGCCATATATGAAAAATCCACAGCTAACATTATATTCAATGGTAAAAAGCTGAAACTTTTTTCTCTATGGTAAGAAATAAGATAAGGATGCCCATTCTCACCACTTCTATTCAATATAGTACTGAAAGTCCTAACCAGATCAATGAGGCAAAAAAATAAATAAATAAATAAATAAATAAAAGGCATCCAAATTAGAAGAAATATGTTAAATTGTCTCTGTTTGCAGATAAAAATCTTATATAGAGAAACTCTAAAGACTGCACCAACAAAAACCCTGTTAGAACTAATAAACAAGTTTAGTAAAGTTGCAAGATATAAAATTAATATACAAAAATCAATTGTTTCACTATATTAACAACAAACTACTTGAAAAAATTAAGGAAAACATTCCATTTACAATACCATCAAAAATAAATAAAATACTTATGAATTAATTTAATAAAGGGAAAAAATCTGTATGCTGAAAACTATAAAAAATTGATGAAAGAAATTGAAGAAGAAACAAAAGGAAAGTGATCCAGTGTTGGTGGTTTGGAAAAATTAATATCATTGAAATGTTCATGATACCCAAAGTATTCCATAAATTCAATGCAATCCCCATCAAAATTCAAATGACATTTTTCACAGAAATAGAAAAAGGAATTCTAAAATTCATGTGGAACTACAAAAGATCCCAAATAATCAAAGCAATCTTGAGTAAGAAGAACAAAACCGGAGGCATCACACTATCTAATTTCAAAACATACTACAAAGCCATAGGAATCAGAACAGTATGTTAATGACATAAAAACAGACATGTAGGCCAATAGAACAGAATAGAGAACCCAGAAACAAATCCACACATTTACAATCAATTGATCTTTGATAAGCTGCCAAGAATACACAACGGGGAACAAATAGTCTCTTCAATACATGGTGCTGGGAGAACTGGTTATCCACAAGCAGGATAATGAAATTAGACCCTTAGCTTACGTCATTTATAAAAATCTATTAAAAATGGATTAAGGGCTTAAATATGTGACCCGAAACTGTAAAATTATTACAAGAAAAACATAGGTAAAAAGCTCCATGACATTGGTCTGAGCAATGATTATTTTGGATATGCTCCAAAAGCACAGGCAACAAAGGAAAATATAAACAAATAGGATTACATTAAACTAAAAAGCTTTGGCACAGCAAAGGAAACAATCAACATAGTGAACAGACAACCTGTGAAATGAGAGAAAATATTTATAAACCATACAGCTGATAAGGAGTTAATATCCAAAATATAAAAGGAGCTCAGTATTAATACCAAATATCAAAACAATACTCAATGCCAAAAATAATAACCCACTTAAAAAATGGGAATGCACCTTAATAGACATTTCTTTAAAAAAGATATATGAATGGCCAACAGGTATATGAAAAAATGTTCAACATTACTAATCTTCAGGAAAATTTAAATAAATACCACAATGAGATATCACCTCACACTTGTTAGAATGGCTATGATAAAAAAGACAACAGATAAGTGTTGGCAAGAATGAGAATAAAAGGGAACACTTGTACACTATTGTGTGAATGTGATTTGATACAACCGTTGTGAAAAAAAGTATAGAAGTTTCTGAAAAGGTTAAAAATAGAACTACCATATGACCCAGCAATCCTACTTCTGCGTATATATCCAAAGGGAATAAAATCAGTATCTCGAAGAGATATCTGCTTTCCGGTGTTTATTACAGTGTTATTCACAATAGACAAGACATGGATTTAACTTAAGTGTACACTGATACATACATGGATAAAGAAAATATGAGATATATATGGATTTATATGTGTATGTGTGTGTTTGTGTATATATATGTGCATATGTGTGTATGTATATAATATAATACTATTCAGCTTTCAAAAGAAAGAAATCCTACTATTTACAACAACATAAATGAACCTAGAGGATACTATGCTAAATGAAATAAACTAGTCACTGAAAGACAAAAACTGCATGATCTCACTTATACATGGAATCTAAAAAAGTTGAGCCAGAGAAGCAGAGAGTAGAATGGTGGTTGGCAAGGGCTGGAGGGTGGATAAAATGGAGAGATATTTGTCAAAAAGGCCAAAAGTAATTTAAAAAAAAAGAAAAAGGGAAGGTATCCACCCATATGAATAGACTTTAAATAAACAAATGCACACATTTTAAAAAATAATTCATGAGTCAGAAAATAAATTATAATAATTAGAAAATATTTAGAACTAAATCGTTCTAAGTAAGCTACATGTCAAAATCTGTGAGATGTAGCTAAATTATAGAATAAACAAAACCCAAACATTAGTAATAAAAACTTTTCTGACAAGATAGAACAAGGAAAAAAATGAGAATGAGAAAGTATGAATGTAAAACGCCACAAATGACAATGCAGACTAAACAATAAATCCAATAGAGATATAGGAAATTATTTAAAAATACAAACCCCACTATGACTGTCTGCATGGCAAAACATTGGAGCACTAGGTCAGTGGTTCTCAACCCTGCTACATTAGATGTATTGGAGGCTTTTAAAATTAGTGATTCCTAGACCTCTCCTAAATGAAATAAATGAGAATCTCTGAGGGCAGGTCATTAGTGCCAGTAGGGAGTTATAATGGGCAGCCAGGGTCAAGAACCACACTGCTCTTAGTTGTTACGGGCTCATTAGACAAGCTCCTCCCCTGCTGGGATGTTAGCCCTTGGAAGTAACAGTCATGGAAGGGTCCCTTTCCTCCCTCCAACAAGAGATGTGCAGCAGAGTTCACAGAACTCTAAAATCTGTCGTGTGTCCTCCCCTCATCTCCACTATGGTTCAATCCAATGTCACCATGATGCTTAAACAACAGGAGGCTTCTCTTCTATGGCCAAGATTACACCCACACAAGTGAACATCTTTTGCCCACTAGTGGTCCTGGGACTGTTTTCTCTTGAGTCAATAATATTTTATTTTATCTGTGTGATTCTAAACTCTTTTCAGAATCAGAATCAAGAAGACAAATAGTGCTTTCTTCAAAATAAGTTTAATGATATTTGCTAAGACAGGCAAATTCCAAGGACCTTACAGACTAATTGAGTATAAGGGATTCACATGCACACAAATATTAAGTTGTGTAAGACAGTCTTTGACTAAATCTGACTCTGAGTAGTGGAATCAGTCAAGGTTTGGGGGTGGAAAACAGAAACCATTCTAGCTATTTTAATTTGTGGGGTTTTGTTTTGTTTTGTTTTTTGCTTTTTGTTATAGAGACAGGATCTCACTATATGTTACCCAGGCTGGTCTCGAACTCCTGGGCTGAAGTGATCCTACCCTCTTCAGCTTCCCAAAGTGCTGGGATTACAGATGTGAGCCACTACCCCCAACCCCATTCTAGCTATTTTAAAGAGAGAAATTTAATAAAGGAAATTGGGTGTTTACAAATTCAGTGGAAGGGCTAGAGGAGTAGGCTCCAGGTGGGCCTCCAAAGATGATTCTAGAGTGACAATGCCAAAGTGATCCACTGAGAGAACTGTTCTGTCTGCTGTGTCACTCAGCAAGAAGAAAAGTCAGGAAATTATTGGGCCAGTTGCCAGCCCTAGGCTCATACCCATAGAGCAGCGATTGTGGGGCATAAGCCTTGGCCAGGAGTGTTGGCTCCAAAGCCATGCTGTGGCATCCAGGTCCATTCCAGAAGAAAATGGATGCTTCCCTGCCATACCTTTCCCCCTGCTTAACTCACTTCCAAATTCTAGTCTTGCATGAGTGCATTCTGCTGCTGGAAAACTTAGCTTCAAGATAGTCTGGGACATGCAGTTGTTAGTTCTGCAGGCCGCTGAAGTACAGGAAGATACACGGGAAGGAGGCTGAGCCAGACAAGCTCCCTTAGGGTGTCAGATAAAGAAGAGAGCATGTGAACTAAAACACTTTGTCAGCCTTTACGCCTTCCTCTCGCTTCCCCTCAGGAGAGATCACGCACCAAATGGCTCATCAAGGCCTGTTGATTTTTACTGTATAAAAATATTTCACGTGTCTCCTTTTTTCATTTTCTTCTGCCAGCACCTTAGATCAAGTCTTCATCGTATTTCAACCTGGGCCACTGCAGGAGCCTTCTGACAAGTCTTTCTGTCTCCAGTTTTGTTACCTATAAACAATTTCTTATAGTATTTCTACATGAATCTTTAAAAAATATACTCCCTTTATTAATATACTCATCTAACTGTATTGTAATTTCATAATGATATAAAAATAATCTTCATAGTCTCTAATGCTATTTTATCATCTCTTGGCATATAGTAGATACTCAAAATTGTTGTTAGGTGAATGAATGGATGAATTAATGAATGAACAGTAACAGCATTTCCCCAGAGTGCTAAGTATATGCAAAGTGGGTTAAGGTGTTACATGAGCAAATTATCTTTATTTTAATAGGTATATTATTATAGCAAATATATTGAAAGGTATAACTAGCCTATTAAGTCTATGATATTTTATTGTTTATGATCAAGTTAAATATACAGTATTTAAATTTAAAAGACTGAGTTCATGGGTAAAAAAAGGAAATGTGGGCTACAAATATAAAAATTCATGATAACACAATGTGAATAACCAATGTAGGAAACAACTACCAGGGTCCCTCTTCTGCTAAAAGATGTTCTTTACCTTGAAGATAACATTCAAGCTCCTAAGTGAAACTTGTAAGTCCTCTCTTCTTACCTGATTCTAACTAGCTATCTTTTGCTATTCCCATTCCATTCCCCAAAACGTACAGCCTACACAGCCACATGAAGCTCCTTACCCCTCTCTACAGTGTCCCTTGAATAAAACCTTTTGTCTCTGCAAATGCAATTCTCTGCCAGAAATGCCTGCTCCCCAGTGCTTCTCTATTGAACAGGAGAACTCCTATTCACCCTTCAAAACCCAACTCAAATGTCAACATTGCAACTGCAGTGAGCTAAAATACAGATGTCATAGATGGGTACAAGCTGGTATCCCAGAGAGTCCCACGGTGTCAGGTAATATCTAAATAAGTTCACCAAGAACTGATGAAAGCTCTTCCCTCTTACAGATCCCTGAACTCAATTTTTGTATCTCTATTAGAGCTGATTGCATTCAGATGGAATGCCCAAAAGAACTCAACAGAATCAAATTTTAACCAGAATTAAATATCATATCCATATATGTTATAATTAATGTTCTTTCCTTCTCAGTATCTTTGGTGCTGCTCATTATGAGGATGAAGCACTGGTAACTCCCTAAAAACTCTAAACTGCATATCACAGCATGGGTTCAAACAGGCCCTGGCCCTCTCTGCACTGAACCAATGGCTCGAATACTCCACAAGTATCAGAGCTAAGAATCCGAATCGGCATTTCAGAGCTAGAATAACAGTAATTTTCTTTTGTTATTTTTTTCAGAATGTGCAGGATACTTAATTGCAGAAAAATGGTAGTATAAAAAAATGTAAGAAGCAGAAAAAGAGATCACTCATAATCCCATTACCTACAGGCAAAAATATCTTAATGTTTTGGCACGTTTCCCCTCAGCCTTTTTTCCACTCCTCCCCACACCCTAACCTTATATACTGTCCTTGTATTCTACTTTGCTCACTTACCATTACTCTTCCATGTTATTAAAAATTGTTTTCAAACATTAATTGCATTAATTAACCATACCTTAACCACCAGGTATTTTGACTGTTTCCAGGTTTTTTATTGTACACAATGCTGTAATAAACATTTTTGTGCATAAATCCCTGTCCACATTTTAGCTTCCTTCCCTAGGACTGATACCTAGCTATGAAATCATTGGTTCATAAGTTATGGCTATTTTAAGGCCAAACTAGGAATACTGCTGCCTCTGGGCTTCTATTTCAGGGCTCTTTCCACTTCAGCAAATTATTACTTTCCTTTGTCAAAATCCACGTGAAAAAAATCATGGGAGGTTTCCTTCCCTGGCCTGTCACAATATCCTCAGAAGCACACAGTTGAAGCCATAGACACTCTATAAAAGTCTCTTTAGAATTTCCCATAATGTACCTACTGAGACTCACATGTCCTGATTTGGAAAACACAGGTGTCCATGCTATACCTAGATTTTACCTGCCTCACCCCTTTGCATTAATACCTTGGTGAAACTGTTTATTTTTTTCAGGTAAAATCCTGCAGGAAGCTTTGCAGTCAGGGCAGGGCTTGTGATGTTTTAATGTCTGTGCGAATATTTGCAGAACTTCATTCCCTGATTTCCACTGATCTCATTGGAAAGAGTTTATTACTAATAGCCAGTTACCCTGAGAACCTGGGTCATAAGGTGGAGTAAGCATGCAGCTGATACAGCACCAACTTTATGCAAATTACAACAAATACCTCCTCTGTCTGGACACATGCTTGATGAGTGAACAGCACCTTTTGAGAAAAAGCAATGCACACCTTTTTACAAGAAGATGCAGCCCTGCAACACAGCACACATTGGAGCTTTGCCATCACTGCCTTCTCAGCTGGGCACCTCAGGGCTGGGACAATCTACACAGGTAGATGGGAACCTTGACACTGTCTTCCTAGCCAGAGACTTTTCGTGGATTGTCAATATGAATCTACATTTAAGAACCTCCTCTCAATAGTCCATTGATGCAAGTGATGGTATGCTTCTCAGAGGATATCTCTGAACAGCAAAAAAACAACTGGATAAGAAAGAAGGAAATAAGATGGCAAATGTAGAGAAATAAAGTTCTTCCCCGTTTGTCTGCCAAAGAATTCTGCTGGGATTATGAGAGTAGGTTTTATCAGTGCTTCCCCTCATTCCCCTGGGCTTTACATTATCATACCTGACAGCCAACCACCAGCAAAATGCATCTCTGTGCCTGAGGGTTTTCCTTGGTGACTAAACTCTATTATGCCCATGTGCTCATTGGGTCAGAAGTGCTGGAGAACTAATGCTCCTTCTCCAGCAGTCCTTAACTAATGAGTAATGAGGATTGATGTAAAAGTAGCGCAGGCGGTTGGCCTCTCAGGTGGGATAACTCTGCAGGAGGTGTTCTACACAGGCTCCCAGAGTTCCCCAGCAGGAATAATTTCAGTTATCTACAGTGGTTATCTACTTGGTAACACACCTTTTATTGCCTCTTCCTTTCCTTGTCTTACTTCCTCAGTCCTTTACTAGTATTTCCTGGGATTACTTCCCAAATAAACTACTTGTTCTAAATTTTTGTCCCAAAATATGATGCAGATGAAATAGCCGCTCTAAATCAGTGGATAGAAGAAGCTTTAAATTAGAGAGGAGTGGGGAGGGACCAAAGCATCTTGTTGGAAAAAGGAAGGACCAGGAGGAAGCCCATGTTAAAAATGTCTCAACAATGTCTGATATTCTAAAGAAGGCTGGGATGAGTAGAGAATTTACTAGCTTTATACACTGAGGAATATTGTGCATTTTGAATAAATATTTGATTACTGCAAAATATTCTGCATTTTGACTACAAATCTTTCTAATATAATTCTGTTGCAGGAGTTCTTGCAAGATATGTGCTGGGCAAAAATCACCACTTGGTTTAGTGTAATGTATGTTTCCAGGTAAAAACTGTATCCTCCACAAAGCAGTATAATTCACAACTTATTCATCTAAGCTCCTTGGAGACCCGCAACAGATGACACAGACAGGACAGGTAGATGGTGTTCTTGTGATTTTAACAATGTTTAAAACTAGGATGAGCTCAACCAATAAATAAAGTTGGGGGTCTCCTGAAAGATCCAAGCCTTGCTGCCCTTGCAGTAGTAAAAATGCTGTGGACCCTGGGCAAATTCTCACAAATGGCAGAAACATACAGAGAAAACCAAGATGGACCCAGAATTCTGGAGCCAAAGGGGCAGCAAGCGGGTAAGCAGAATTAGTGGCTGTGGCTGGTCAGATGCCCCTCCTGTCTCACTGGACCCTGACCCTGTCTTCCCTGTGTAAAGGCTGAGTCCTGAAGGCCAGGCTGAGGTGCCATCCTTGCAATCAACGAGCTCATTACCCTGGGAAATGGTTTCTTCTCCTTTCAGCTCCTTTACAGGTTTCATTTGCATTTCCCCAGACTTGTTTTGATTTCCATCAGCCTGGGCTGTCAGTCGGTGTGGGCTGGGGCTGGAGCTGCCTCAGAGTCAAGTTCCCCCCGCTTGATGTTGCCTCTGGTTGGGCCTGTTTGGGCTTGCTTTGGCAGCACAATCCCGAGTGTCATTCAGGCAATTAAATAAGGTATTTTATTTTATTCAAGGGGGCTGTATCATGCCTATTTCAGGAGCTATTTGATGGGAACTGGGGCAAAAAAAGGTCCCTTGAAAATGGCATCCCATCTGTAGCCCGATGCGAAAGGATCACAGAATTAGCTTTTCTTTAACACTATTATATTCTTTCAATAGGGTGTAAAGTTTTAGGAGATGAACTTTCATGCTCCATGTCACGGGAGCAGATTGGTTTTGCATGTGTGACAGAGCAGGCCCTGAGACTCCAGCCGTGGGGGGACGATGCAGAAACACAGAATTCTTAAGTGAGTCAAATGTGTTTCCAAGGCCTGTGTCTGCTTAAAAACTTCCTGTCTTCCCTGTATTTGTTTTCCCTAACTTGTTCACTTTCTTTTCACACCAACCTGTGGAGTAACATTGAGCAACTGTTCCCTGTTCTTGTCTAGAAATTCACTTCTTCATTAAAATCCAGGTAGGACTGTAAGTCTGTGTATGTTGTGTGCCAACTCCACATGTGGGCCATTCTAAGTCATTTTGTCTTGCCTTGAGTTTCCTTGGAAATGATTCTTGTGTTGGCTTAGGCCCATTTTCTGGGACACTGAGGTCCCAGGCCTCCCTGTGCTTAATTTCACAGTGACCAATCTGTGAGTTCATGGTCCCAGCAACTATGAAGTCATGGTTAGAACACAAGAGGCATTTATATTTCTTCCTGGCTCCCCTTTGCCTTTCATCTTTCCTGGGATACTAAATTAATTTTTAAACTACAACTGAAGGAGTTTTGATAGAGACAGTAGTTGGGAACATGGAAAAAGCCAGAGTACAATATCTGGAATGGTTATTTGTTCAACCTTCTGAAAAGTGGAACATCAAACAATAATTTATTCATAAAACAAAAACCATAAAATTTTCTTTCAAAACCAAATATCAGACACAAAGCCAATCAAACAAAAAATTTCATCAGTATACAGGGTGAACAATATTAAACCATCATCTTAGGTATCAAGGGTGACAATGAGAAAATATTCTTACCAGTCTTAAAAATAGAAATTCTGGTACTATTTGAAATCACTTAGTTATCATGCATAAAGAAGTAGAAAGGGCTTGTTTTCTTTCTTTTCCAAAAAATTACATAGCATATCCTGTTATGGCTAACATTTTGTTGGACTTTAAGTTCTAATAGATTCATATTTGTATGAAGCAAACCTCTCAAACAAGCAATTCATGGTGAAACACAGTCTAAGTATGAATGTAGCCCTACTATTCCACAAGCCTTTACTCTAGAAAGGAGCATTGTTGGAGAACCTCCGGGCACCCAGAATTCAGCAGGAGAAATGGGGAAGTGAAAAGACCTCAGACAAGATCTAAAAAGATTTTTAAACGTAGGAAAAGGCCAGAAAATGGTAAACTAAGACAATAATTTCTTTTTCCTTTATGCTTTTCTCTAGTTTTTCTTAGTGTAGCAAGAGTGTAATTCAATTATTGGACATTTCAATGCGTGCATCCAATTAACTCCACTACTTCACTGTCTCTAGTGGGTTAGATGCTCTCTGGGGACTGGTTTGTGTGTTCTAGGCACCTGAGAGTCCTTCCCATCCCCTGATGCCTTGGATACACCACCAAAACTGACCTAACTGATCACACTTAGGAACTGTCAATCCATCAATAAGAAACATTATTGAGATTTCATTCAAGGAAAAGCATTGCTAGGGATAGAAAGACAATGTTACTGTGTTCTAAGGGATCGTAATCAACTTGAGGAGATAAGACATCACCATTTGGAAAGTTAAATATGAAAAAAAAATCATAATGAGTTACACAATAAAGTACCAGAGAGTGGTGGATAGAACATTCCCCCTCTCCTCATCAGCCAAAGTGACCAACCATAGGAATCAACGTTGCAATGTCAAAGGTGTGAAAGCCAGATGGCCCACATCCTTCAGAAGGCCCGTCTTCAAGTCCAAATTTGCTGCTGCCCCATCACTTATTGGCAGCTAGCTAATTGTCTCTTCTGGGGTAGGTTTATTAATATTTTTGAGCTTTTGTTTCTTTAGGTACAAAATGAATTTATTTTACCCATCACCTAGAAATATTGAAAATTACTAAAATAATATATGTAAAATCCCTGGTATTAAGTATGACATATAATACATATTCAAGCAGTGTCATTCACCTTCTTCCATCTGCGCATATGTTGTCTTCCAAGCTTCAGGACCACAGAGACTTTACATAGAATTAAAAGTCCTAAAAAACAACAGGCCAGAATCCAGCTACCAGAAATTTTGTAATTCCTCCTAGTCCTGAGATGGAAAATTCTGACTTTTAAAAAAATCCACATTCCATCCAAGTAAAACTAACCTTCACTGACTCCTACCTTACACTCACTATTTTCACACTTTTAGCTGAGTTCAGGCCAAGAAGAAGTGCATGTGACCTGACAGCTGAAGTAGGGACATAGGCACTACCTTGGGTATCTACCCCTAATAGACCATAGGATAGAGCAGCTCTGGGAAATGTGCTGCTCCCAGTAAGAGGATGGCAATCTGCTCTTAGTTCTTGCCAGAGAAGTAGGCTCACTATAACACTTCCCTGGCCTGTCTCAGCCTCCAGCATTGGATTGCCTGGATTTGCCTCCTGGACAATTCTAGGTTGACCTTTGCAAACTAGTACTGCCCACAGACCTATCCATGACCTTCTTCTATAGCCACCCTCTTCCCTGCATTCCAGTCAGCAGTCTTCCTTAGTTTTGACTCTCCTCTCTGACTACATTCCTCTCTGAAGATTTTCTGAGCTCCAACTGAACCCCAGCTAATGGACCACAGTCACCACCGACCGACGTGCCATGGTGACAGCATTGTAATAGTATAGGTTGGAATGAATCACCAGCCCTCCTTGATGATACCTCTATTTACTCCTGTCCATATATGAAAACAAGCCACTGTCATAGGTTGAGTGCAGGGCATTGGAAATGCTGGTACCCTACAGGCTGAATGGGGCAAGGAAGTCAGTAGGTAGCTGGTGAATCAGATGCACCACTTTTCTGTGTGGAAACTCCCTCAAACATTTCCCATGGCACTTGAGAGAAAAACCAAATTTCTTCCCATGGCCTGCATGACCTGCCTTAGCTGACCCCTCCAAACTGATCTAACACACTTTTTTCTGCACTTCATTGGCTTCAGCCATGCTGCCCTTCTTTCTGTCCCTCTAACTGCTTTTGTCTCACTTGCAGATCAGGGCTTTCACTTCTTGTTTGCTCTCCCTGAAATTCGCTTCTCGTGGGCCCTCTCATAGTTGAGTTGTTCTTGTCACTCAAGTTTTGGCTCAAATGTCATGCCTCTTCAAATGGCCAGAGAACTTTCCTGATCATTTTATTAAATGTTACCTACCTACTCCATCACTTTCTAAACCCTTAACCAGTTGTGTTTTCATCATAGCACTTATCCCTGTGATGTGATCTTATTTACAGTGATATACTTATTTCATATTTGTGTCCTCCACTAGAATGTCATCACAATGAAGGCTGGAACTTGTATGTATTATTTACTTTTGTGGTGCTAGGGACTGGACAAGTGAATGGCACACAGAGGGTCACCAAAACATTATCTGGATAGACAATTCACAGTTTGAGAAGCACAGCTGGTCCCTTTAGGTACTGGCTGACACTAAAGGGTGAATCAAACAACTAAAATAGTAGCAAAGATTTCAAATGAAGTGATGGAGAATTAGACAGGCAAAGGTTATCCAAGGAATTTTGTCCTTTGGCAACAAGATTTCAGCGCCTTGGATTAGTCTTGGGGTCTTGAATGGACCGTGCAGGGCAACAAGACTCTCACTCTGAAATAAGGATGACAGTGGTCTCAGCCCACAGGAAGACTGGTATTTAGCAAGGGAGTCAATCAGAACAAAGATGAAAGAACCAAGGTTGAATCATGGAATAAACAGGGCTATCTAAAAGAGGAAAAGAAAGATTTGTCTTAGGCAAGACAACTAACCAACAACCAATGTGAAAGTACAGGTTTCCAGATTTGGTGGCAAGTGGCAATGGTATGAAGTGAACAATGTGGAATCTCATCAGTCTTTTTTTTTTTTTTTTTTTTTTTTGAGACGGAGTCTCGCTCTGTCGCCCAGGCTGGAGTGCAGTGGCGCGATCTCGGCTCACTGCAAGCTCCGCCTCCCGGGTTCACGCCATTCTCCTGCCTCAGCCTCCCGAGTAGCTGGGACTACAGGCGCCCGCTACCACACCCGGCTAATTTTTTGTATTTTTAGTAGAGACGGGGTTTCACCGTGTTAGCCAGGATGGTCTCGATCTCCTGACCTCATGATCCGCCCGCCTCGGCCTCCCAAAGTGCTGGGGATTACAGGCGTGAGCCACCGCGCCCGGCCATCTCATCACTCTTAACTCAGAGAAGAGAGTGACTTAATTCTCAACCCTATCCAAAGGGGTTCCGGGTTAAAGTTGGGTATGAGGGATCAGGAAACCTCATGCTAGTGAGAAGCTAGGGAGAACAGAGCCACACAGAGATAGGAGCTGACAGTTTCTCCCAGCAGCCAGCCTTTGCAAGAGTTAATTAGCTCCCTCACAGCTCTCAGAGGCAGCCGAAGATGAATAGTGTGCGCTGTGATTACTCTGCCTTTTAAACCATCCTGTGTCTCCACGTTACAGGCAACACTTTCTGGAGTAAGTAAATCATGCCCAGCATTCATCTCACACATACAGACAAATATGAAATCAACATTTCTCCATGGTAAACAAGATCCCGCTGTTCATCTGCTGCTGGTGGGCATCCAGAATGTCACTCCTTTTCTCTAAGAGAATGAATGTCTCAGAAGAAGAACCTGTTTTCTGGGGACTCAGTTTAGAAATGGTTAGGGGCAACCATCTAAAACAGAAACAGACCGTTGTGAAATTGGATCAGATATGCCAATTTTGCATAGTTTTAACTAGTTCAGGTGCAAGTCTCTCCATAACAGTACCTGCAGTGAATCTTTATTCAAGCTTTACAAGAACAGTTTTAACCTAATAGGCTTAAAATGATGAAAAATATTGAAATAGTAACCAGTGTTGGCTAGGGCATTAGTAAACAGGCATTCTCATGTACTTTGGTACCAAATTCAACCTGGTACAACAAACTTTCTAGAAAGTAGTTTGCTAGAATAATCCTCATAACAAAATGTCATCTCATTGATGTTTTAATTATGTTTCCTTGATAGCTAGTGAGGTTTAGCATGTTTTAACTGCTAAAACCTTATATATAGTAGTCTATGAATTGCCTGATCTATCCTTGGATCATTTCCTATTGGAATATCCTTTTTATCTTACTGGTTTGTATGAGCCCTTAAAAGATTAAGAAAACTAAACCTTTGTTTATAATATTTCTTGCAAAAAATTTTTATAGTTTGCGTTTTAATGTTGTTTATGGTATTCAGATGGATAAGTGGATCAAGACTTGTTTTTGCCATTCACAAATTATAGGATTTTATATAGTCAAAGACATTATTAATCTTTTCCTTTAAGCCATTGGGTCTGTACATTTTAAGTTCTTCAACATCACAGGATTACATAAATACTTATTTATATATTCTGGCATTGTAACAGTTTCTTTTTTTGGTTCAAAACTTTGAGATATCCAAAATTTATTTTTGTAGCTGTTATGGGTACAAAGCTTGAATGTGTTTTTTTTTTAAAGGCCTGTACACTTGCTACCAGTCATATTTTATTGAATAATCCACTTAATAAATAGGTGATTCTTTCCCTAATATTTTAACTGCCACAATTAATGTATACCAAATTATTACACAAACTTAGCTCAGTTTCTGGACTATTTTTTAGCTTTATAAATCTGACTACTTTGGTGCTACACCACAGTGATAATTTAATTTCAAATAGGAAAAGTCAATCTCATTACTCATTTTTCTTAGTCTTTTCATGACTATTCTAACACAATTATTCTTCTAAATGAACTTTGGAGTCATTTGGTCAAGTTCCAAACAAAAATCTCATCAAATTTTAATTGGGATTGTATTAAATGTATAAATTAATTTGAGGAGAAATGACATCTTTAAAATATTGAAGCCTCTAATCTAGAGACTTGTAATGCCTCCTGATTTATTAACATCTTTTATGTCCCTAAGTCAAGTTTGTGATATTTCTAAGATAGATAGATATTTCCTTTTAAGATTAGTTCTTATTATACTTTCATTGCTATTGTTAATGTGATTATATTTTCTTTATGTATTTTTTATTATTATTTTGCCTCCTCCCCCCTCTTTATATAATTCTAAGTAGCTATCTCTACTGTATAGAGAAGCTACTGATTTTTATATTAATTTGATAACTGGATACTTTAGTAAATGCCTTTATTAGTTTTATTGTTTTTTGAATGATTCTCCTGTTTTTTCTAGATAGACAATCTTAATCCTCAATAAACAATGTTAATTTTATCTCCTTCATAATACTTGTAGGACTTATTTTACTTAAATAATTGCTTTGACACATATGTCTAATATAGGAAACCTTTAGGAGCAGGAGAATTTTTGAAAAACTCATATTAAAGTGGTTCTAATAAAATATAAAATCATTGCTTTTTTGCTTTTTTTTTTTTTTTTTGAGACAGAGTCTCGCTCTGTTGCCCAGGCTGGAGTGCAGTGGCGCGATCTCCGCTCACTGCAAACTCCGCCTCCTGGGTTCACACCATTCTGCCTCAGCCTCCCGAGTAGCTGGGACCACAGGCGCCCGCCACACACCCAGCTAATTTTTTGTGTTTTTAGTAGAGACAGGGTTTCACCGTGTTAGCCAGGATGGTCTCGATCTCCTGACCTCGTGATCCGCCTGCCTCAGCCTCCCAAAGTGCTACGATTACAGGCGTGAGCCACCGCGCCCGGCCAAAATCATTGCTTTTTTAAAAGTAAATATTATTTGTAACAGATTCAGCTGCCCATTAAATTGTCCCTATCTCCCACTCTAATTATCAGGGATTTAGTTCATGCTGAATTTTATTCTTAAATTATTTTAAAATTGTAACAACGAGGAGGAAAGAAAGAAATTGAGATTAAAGTGGTTCAAATCATAGACTCTGAAGCCAAATAGCCTAGGTTCCAAGCCTGTCTTTGTTACGTATTAGTCATTATTATTTTAGGCCAATTATTTCACTTGTATGTGGTTCTCAAATATGTAAAATGGAAGTAATAATACACATAGAGCCTCCCTAATCTGAGAATCTGAAATCTGAAATGCTCCAAAATCTGAAACTTTTTGAGTGCCAACATGATGCTACCAGTGGAAAATTCCACATCTTATCCTATATGATGGGTGTGCAAAAATATTGAAAATATTGTATAAAATTATCTTCATGATATGTGAATAAGATATACATAAAATGGAAATGAATTTCGTGTTTAGACTTGGGTCCCATCCCCAAGATGTCTTATTATGTATATGCAAATATTAAAAAATCTGAAATCTAAAACACTCCTGACGTCCAGCACTTTGGTTTTTTTTATTTGTTTGTTTTTTGAGAGGGAGTCTTGCTCCTCTGTCACCTAGCCTGGGGTGCAGTCGTGTGATCTTAGCTCACTGCAACCTCCGCCTCCTGGGTTCAAGCAATTGTCCTGCCTCAGCCTCCTGAGTAGCTGAGATTACAGGCACCCGCCAAATTTTTGTATTTTAGTAGAGACATGGTTTCACCATGTTGGCCAGGCTGATCTCAAACTCCTGACCTCAAGCGATCTGCCTGCTTTGGCCTCCCAAAGTGCTGGGATTACAGGCATGAGCCACCACGCCCCACCAGCACTTCAGCTAAGGAATATTCAATTTATAGTACCTACTAGTCTTCATCTGCTAAGTCTGCTATAACAAAATACCATAGACCAGGTGGCTTAAAGGACAGACATTTACTTCTCACAGGTGTGGAGGCCAGGAAGTTTGAGATCAGGGTGCCAGCATGGTAGGTTTCCGGGGAGGGCTCTCCTCTCAGCTTGCAGAAGGCTGACTTCTCCCTGTGTGATCTCTCGCTTTCTCTTTGTCTTCTTATAAAGGCACACATTCCATCATGAGAGTCCCACCCTAGCAACCTAATTTAAACCTAATTACTTCCCCAAAACCTAATCCTCAAATACTATCACACTAGGGGTTAGGGCTTCAGCATACAAATTTTGGGGGAACACAAACATTCAACCCATGATATTACCTAACACAGTTGTTGTAAGGGATTACTTTTTTTTTTAATGGATGATTTTCCTCTCTCTGCAACCTCACAGAGCAGAAGAGATGAGGGATCTCTGTGGGATTCTTTTATATGAGCACTAATCTCACTCATGAGGGCCCCACCCTCATAACCTAATTACCTCTCAGAGGCCCTGTGTCCAAACACCCTCACATTGGGGATTAGGTTTCAACATCTGAATTTGGTTGGGGAGGGCACAAATAGTCTATAGCACCGTATTTTATTATTTTTTAATGCCAATGCATTCATTTTGTTAGTGTGCTGTAGGATTTCTCATCTGTAGCCATAAATATAATTGTACTCCAGGGTTCTGTGGTTTTATATTTGTGTTACATGTACTATTTTTGTTCAATTTTATTGTCAAGTTTATGTTAGCTTCATAAAATGAATTGAGAGGTTTTCTATCTTTTTCAGTGCTTTGGAGAAAAGTAATACATTTCCAATCATCTATGCTCAGTGTGAAAATATATTTAGAACACATAAATATTTGATTATTTTAAGTTTGATAGACCCTACCTGGGAAATTATTGGCTCCTGGAGTCTCAGTTCCTACTATAGTGATTTAATCTACTCTATTTATTTTAATAAACTATTTTTTTAATGGAATTTCACTCTGTCACCCAGACTGGAGTGCAATGGGGCAATCTCAGCTCACTACAACCTCCACCTGCTGGGTTCAAGTGATTCTCCTACCTCAGCCTCTCAAGTAGCTGGGATTACAGGCATGAGCCACCACACCCAGCTGATTTTGTATTTTTGGTAGAGACAGGGTTTCACTATGTTGATCAGTCTGGTCTCGAACTCGTAACCTCAGGTGATCCACCAGCCTCGGCCCCCCAAAGTTCTGGGATTACAGGCGTGAAGCCACTGCACCCGGCCCAATAAACTTATTTTAAGAACATTTTTACATTTACAGAAAAATTGCTAAGATAGTACAGAGAGTTCCCATACACCCCACACCCAGTTTCCACTACTATTAACCCCTTATATTTGTATGGTAAACTTGTTACTATTAATTAACTAATATTTTACATTATTATAAAGTCCATTTTTAAGTCCATATTCATTCACATTTCCCTGATTTTTACCTGGTATTGTCTCAATGTCTCCCAAAACCTATGTGTTGTAACTTAATTGCCAATGTGATCGTGTTAAGAGGTGGGTCTTTTAGGAGCTGATTAGACCATGAGGGCTCCACCTTCATGGATGGAATTTGTATCCTTATAAAAGAGCAGGAGAGAGTGAGTTTGGGCCCTGTTTTCCCTTCTGCCTTCAGCCATGTGAGGCCACAGGGCTCATCCCCTCCCAATGATACAGTAATAAGATGCCATATTAGAAGACACAGGGTCTTCACCAGACACTGGCCTGCCAGCACGTTGATCTTAGACTTCTCAGCCACCAGAACCGTGAGAAATAAATTTCTGTTCTTTATAAATTACTCTGTCTGTGGTATTTTGTTACAGTGGCACAAGTGAACTAATGTCTTTTTTCTCTTCCAGAATGTTTTCCAGGATATCACATTAAATTTGCTCACTCTATCTCCTTAGGCTCCTCTTGGCTGTGACAGTATCTCAGATTTTCCTTATTTTTGATGACCTTGACAGTTGTGAGCTCTCATCAGGCATTTTGTAGAATGTCCCTCTATGGAGATTTGTCAGATGTTTTTCTGATGATTAGACTTGGGTCATGGGTTTTAGGAGGAAGACCCTAGAGGTAAAAGTACAATTTTGATCACATCATATCAAGGGTATATAAAATATCAACATGATTTATAATTGTTGTTATCAACTGTGATCATATGGCTGAGGAAATAATCTTATCAGGAGAGTACAATGCTATGTACAGTTTATTTTGCCCTCGGTCTTATAGACTCCACTTATTTCCAAAACTAGTTAGATCAGCACTTTTTTTTTTTTCCCTATCTCCTTCAATGCAGTTGTTTCACATATTTGTAAAACAGATTTTTTCATCACATTCTGTGTTCTGTCCTGGGTTTTCAGACCTCCTAAGTAATTTTTTTAAATGTGCATATATTAAGATTTACTCTTTGTGCTATCAAATTCTATGGGTTTTGGCAAATGCGTAGTTTCTGACATCCACAATTGCAGTATCATATAGAATAGCTTCACAGTCCTAAAACATCTCCTCTGCTTCTTCTATTTAGCCTTACACTTTTATCCTTCCCTATGGCAAACTGAACTTTTGACAGCTGCTATAGTTTTTCCTTTTCTAGACTGTCACATAATTGGAGTAATACAATACATAGCCTTTTCAGACTGGCTTCTTTCACTTAGCTATATACATTTAGCATTCAGGTCTTCTCGTGGCTTGATAGTTCATTTCATTTTATTGCTGAATAATATTCTATCGTATGTACCACAGTTTGTTTATTCATTCACCAATTGAAGGACATTCTGGTTACTTCCAGCTTTTGTTGATTATGAATAAAGCTGTTATAAACATTTGCATTTAGATTTTGTGAGGACATAAGTTTTTAAATCAATTAAGTAAATACCTAGCAGTGAGGTTATTGGATAGTGTTATAAAGCTATATTTTGATTTATAAGTACAGCCAAACTGTCTTTCAAACTGAGTGTATCATTTCACATTCTCACAAGCAATGAATAAGAATTCCTGTTGTTCCATATCCTAGCTAGCAATTGGTATTGTCAGTACTTTGGGATTTTAGCCATTCTAATACGATTGTAGTAGTATCTCATTGTTGTTTTAATTTGCAATTTCCTCATGACAAATGATGTTGAACATCTTTTCACATGTTTGTTTGCCATCTGTATATCTTCTTTTGTGAGGCTTCTGCTGGCAGTGAATTTGCTCAGTTTTTCTTTGCCTGACACAGTTTTATTTCTCTGTCTCTTTTGAAAGTCAGTTTCACTAACTACAGAATTCTATACTGATGGCTTTTTTCCTTTCAACATTTTAAATATTTTACTCCATTCTTTTCTTGATTGCATGGCTTTTTGTTTTTTGTTTTTCTGTTTTTGTTTTTGTATTGAGACAGTCTTGCTTATATTGCCCAGGCTGGAGTGAAGAGGCATGATCTCAGCTCACTGCAACCACTGCCTTCTGGGTTCAAGTGATTCTCCCACCTCAGCCTCCTGAGCAGCTGGGATTACAGGTGTGCGCCACCATGCCTGGCTAATTTTTGTATTTTTAGTAGAGATAAGGTTTTACCATGTTGGCCAGGCTGGTCTCAAACTCCTGACCTTAAGTGATCTGCTCACCTTGGCCTCCCAAACTGCTGGGATTATAGGCATGAGCCACCGTGTCCGGACTTGATTGCATGGTTTCTGACAAGAACTTTATGATCATTCTTACCTTGTTCTTCCATAGGTAAGGTAGGTTTTTTTCCCTCTGGTTTCTTATAAATATTTTTTTTCTTGTCTTTGGTTTTGTGTAGGTTGAATATACTATGTCCTGGTGTCAATTTTGGGGGATTTAGCCTGTTTGGTGTTCCCTGAGCTTTCTATATTTGTGGTTTTGTTTACTGATTAATTTTTGAAGCTACCAAGTCATTACTTTAAATATATCTTCTTTGATTTCTCTTTTTTTTTTCCTGTTATTCCAATTATGTGTATGTTACCCTTTTTGAAATTGTCTCACAGTTCTTGGATATTCTCTTCTTTTTCATTCTTTTTTCTCTTTGTACTTCAGTTTGGGAAGTTTCTATTGACATATCTTCAAGATCACTGGTTCTTTCAACAATGTCCAGTCTACTGATGAAGTATGGCAATGTAATGATGATCAAAGGCAGCATTCTTCATTTCCATTAAAGTGTTTTTTATTTCTAGAAATTTTTAAAATTCTTCCTTAGAATTTTCACTTCTCTGCTTACATTACCCATCTGTTTTGTATGTTGTCTGCTTTTTCCATTATGGTCCTAATGCATTTATCATAGTTATTTTACATTTCCTGTCTGATAATTCCAACATCTGTGTTATATCTGAATCTGGTTGATGATGCTTGCTTTATCTTTTAGACTGTGATTTTTCTTGCTTTTTGGCTCGTTTTGTAATTTTTTACAGAAAGTCAGGCATATTATATGTTAGAAGCTGAGGTAAATCGGCCTCAGTTTAAGCATTTGCGCTAATCTGGCTAGGAATTAGGCTGTGTTTAATGTAGTTACTAGAGGCTTCAAATTTCTTTTATGTCCTTGTTTATGTCTCTCCCATTGTCTTTGGGTTTCCCTGTGAACACTTCCTCAGTTGAGTCAGTTGTGTACAACCCTTTTATCTATAATCCATTGTTATTACACTAGGGAGCCTTGTTGGAGTGGTCATACAGTTTAGGGGGAAGGGGAAGTTTTCTGTTATCAAATCTCAGTATGTTGGTGGACCTGTGTTCCTAGCAGTGACCTTCATAAGTGTTTCTTAGATTTTTCTCCCCACTTATGTGAGATAGGAAGCCTAGAAGTGGGAGAAATGCCTTTCCCCAGGTTTGATAAAAGGCAAATTCCTTCCCCATGGAGAGGAGGCCTTTGTTAAGGAGAATTCACTGTGTGTTTCACAGTGGTTACTCTTCCCTCCCTGTGCGAGAGTCAGGAGATCTTTTTGGTTCATCCTGAGAATCTTGTGGAGTTGCTGGAAGTAAGACTCAGAAGC
Organism: Homo sapiens; assembly: GCF_000001405.40. NCBI lineage: Eukaryota > Metazoa > Chordata > Mammalia > Primates > Hominidae > Homo > Homo sapiens. The sequence goes on from NC_000011.10 coordinate 15,552,779, forward strand.
ACATCAGGACCCCTAAGACTGTGACCCCCAGGAGTTTCTCACTCTCTAATTAGTTCACATTCACCTCCAGAAATTCATCAAAATTATCATTTTACTGTTTTTACCAGTTGTTGACTCCAGCAGCTTCTGCTTCAGGTAAGCTGATCTCAGCTTTGATTCTCTGGATTTACCTGTCTCTCCAAATTTTGAGGCAGCAGTTTCCCCTGCAACTTTATTCCCTGATTTATCTGAGAAAAGCTGTTGATTTTCAGTTTGTTCAACTTTTTTCTCATAAGGGTGGAGGGTAGCATCTTCCAAGCTCTTTACACATTAGAGCTAAAACCAAAGTCTCTATCCTGTTTTTTTAACTTACTCTTGGTTCAATCTTGTATCTAAATGTTTTGTGTCTAAATGTTTTTCCATGGAGATGTACAGGGTATTATTAGTTCTTTAAAACTGTTTTGTATATTTAGTTTTACCCCCTTTTCTCATGCCTACTGTTGCACATTTTTATTTTCTACCTTTTTTCCTCCTGATTTGCATTGCCAGAAGGATGTCAGTATTACTGAATGAAAAAAAATCTGTTAAGTTTGTCACCTCTGTTTTATCTCCTATTTATTTGATTTCTTATTTTCTATACCTTCAGTTTTTCTTAGGTTTTATTCGCTACTTATATGTTTTCTCTACTTAAGTTGGATGTGTAGCTTCTTTGATTTCTTCCACCATTATTTAACAATATACTAATAATACTCCTCTCTCTATTACTGCTCTTCCTATTTTCATACTTTTGCAGTAATTTTATTGTTTTTTAAATAGTTTGTAATTTCAGTTTTAATTAACTCTTTGACATAGAAGTTACATTGGAGAGGAGATTTTTGTTTTCCATTTTCAAGTGAATTTAAGTTTTTCCTCTTTGCCTTTTATGTTAATGTCTACTTTTATTGCACTGCATTGTTAGACTGTAGAATGTATGGTTTCAAATGTGAAGAATTTTTTCACTATTTTTTATGGCCTAGGATATAAATATTTTTGTGAAAATGTCATGAACTTTGGAAAGTAATGTATTTTCTGTTTGTAGTGTATGCAATTCTCCATTTGATCATTTAAGGCAAATTTTCAACTGATTTTTCACTTTTTTCACTTGCTATTTGTGCCGTGAAAAATAAGATGTGTCTTTAAATCTGTCAATACAATTGTACTTTCATCAATTTCTCTAACAGCTTTTTAAAGTATTTTAATGCTTTGTTATTTAATAGATTAGCATTAGTAATTATAACTTTATTTTAGGTAATCTTGTCTAATCAATATTAAGTAACATTCCACTTCCTTTGTGTGCTGTTACATGAATTTTAATTTGAGTTCCGATAGTACTATAGGCATTTCTGCCTCTCTTTTTTTGGCATTTCCTTAATAAATCTGTACTCCTGTGAACCTTTCTAGACCAACTTAGTTTTAAAACATTTGCTATGAACAGTATGCAGATAACTTTATGTTTTGCATATTATATGCTTTTTAAAAATATTATATTAATTAGAAAAATATCTACTCTCCTTTATACTGATGATTACATGGTTTGTTCTTAAAACATATTAAACTTTAATTTTCTCTGTTACAATGAAACACATAAGCATTATCTATCCAGTCCCCTACCCCATCCTCACTCAAAAACCCTAGTAACCATGAGGAGAGGGATCGACACATAAGTAAAGAACTATTTGTTTAACCATTGAAACATACATGTTTTTTCATGCTATTTCTCCTTTATACCACACATGTTTGTGACAGATTATGGGTTTTTTAATTTAGATGCTAAAATTGTAATCCATAATACATTATACTTCTACCCCTTTAAGAATTTTTTTTAATTAGCATTAGGCTTTATATTTACCTTTTACAAATATTAAGATGCTAACATTTATATTTGAAACACTACCATTGTTATCATTCATTTCCTTCTTATTACATTTTTCCTATAAATAAGAGTTTCATTTTTCTTAATTTCTCAGACAGGCAGAGAATTGCTTGAGGTTTAGTTCTTTTAGTTTTTTTTGTTTTTTTTTTCTTAATAAATACATGCAGTAGTTTTACTTTCTAAGTCATTTTTCCAGCCCTTTTATATTGACAGTTTTTCCAGGTTCAGAAATTTTTGATCACAATAATTTCCTTTGAAAATTCTATAGACATTGCTCCATTGTCTTCTGGCATTTAGAATTGCAGAAAAAGAGACCGTTGCCAACTTAACTATTTTTATTTTTACATAAAAATTTTATTTTCCCCTCCTTAATTATTTAAAGAGCTTTACAATTAGGTATTCATTTTTTTTCACCTTATGCATAATGATAATTTGAAAAGCCAAATAGTTCTAGAAGACTTGTAACTTAATATAAACCCTCTCCCATTTACTGCTCCACAAAGGCAACTACTTTCAAATTTTTTAGCTGATTTTGAAAAACGTACTTCTGTAACTCTAAATAGCAGGCTTATACTGCTATTTGAATTCTCAACACAGTTTAACCAGTCCTTACTTTAGCTTCTTAACACCATCCACCCAGCCCCCATAAGTGTGGGAGCTACTGATTCCTGAGAGTTTGAGTTCTGTGAGGGGAATGTGTTCTTCTTGGCTTTTCCTGCTGGCAGCTTAGAATCCTGCTTTTGTCAGTCAGCTGTGTCAGTTACACTTCATCTACTGCTCAGCTTCCCAATTTTTTTTTTTGGCTACTGACATTCTATTTTTCTTTGCCATTTTCAATTATTGTCTTCAAACATTTTTTTTTTACTATCATTTTAGTGAGATTTTAAGGGAAAGTGAAACTAAAGGCATGTGTTCAATTACCCATTTTTAGCCAGAAATTCTGATGTTTTTGATCCTTGAAATTCAAAGATGTTACTAGATATATCTAGGAACATATTTTCTTCTATCAGCTTTACCTCGCTGCTCAATCAGGGATTTGGTTCCACAAATCTTAATTTTTCCTTTGTACAGGGAAGTCTGTTTATATTTTGTATTATTCTTCCATATGTTTCATTTCACTTTCTGAAATTCTACTATAAATGGATTATATGTTCTGGATCTATTCTTCACTTTTATCATATTTTTGTTCATCATTTTCATCTATACAAATTTCCTCTGAATTCTGGGATAATTTATCTAAATCAACTATTCACTACTTCGTTATGTTTTCTGTAAATATTTCATAACCATATTTTTTATCTAGAATTTTTTTCTGGTCTCAGAAGTTCTTTTATTATTATTGTAATTTTATTTTTTAAGATAGTCTTGCTCTGTCACCTAGGCTTGAGTGCAGTGGTGCAATCATATAGCTCACTGCGGCCTTGAAATCCTGAGCATAAACAATCCTCCTGCCTCAGCCCCCTGAGTAGCTGGAACTACACAGGCATTCACCACCAGGCCTGAGTAATTGAAAAAAAATTTTTTTAGTAACGCATCTCACTTTGTTGCCCAGGCTGGTCTCAATTTCCTGGGCTCAAGTGATCCTCCTGCCTTGGCCTTTCAAAGTGCTGGGATTACAGGTGTGAGCCACCCCACCAGTGCAGATGTGCCTTTTTGATAGATGCATTGTCCTTTTAAATCTTAATAAGAGCATGGATTATAACATTTTCAAATTCCTTCTTTGTTAACAAAAATGTATCTATTTAATAGGGAAATATTAATTCTAATTCTTAGGAACAATCTCCTTTTATTTGGACCAGTAAATTTTTATATGCATTTGATATTTCTTTAATTTATTAATTTTTGAAGAATTGAGGTGTATTTGGGAAGAGTACACTATTTGGAAGTCACTTGGAATGAGTAAAATGCACAGAATCTTGGGGCACTACATTATAGCTGAGAGCAAAGCCATGATGGGGGAACAGGATGGAAGAATAAAAGTGGCCAAAATTATACCACACCTTTCAGCAGAAAACCACTCTAGCCTAGCCCCAGACCTGGCTGCTCTTGAACATGGCTTATCATTATGGTCTACTTATTTGAACCCCTTCCCTCCTTCATGGCTTAGCTCTAGGTCCTTTGACATGTTCTCTAAAAGTTTGACTCTTTCCAGGATTAATGCAAATTCTCAGTTTTCTGTTAGTTTTTGCAAGACAACTGCTATGGTTAGAATGTGTCTCAAAATTCTGATGTTGACAATGCGATGGGATTAAGAGGTGGGGCATTTAAGAGGTCATTAGACCATGAAGGCTTCTCCCTTCTGAATGGGATTTAGGCCCTTATAGAAGAGGTTTTACAAAGCCAGTGTTAGGCTATTGCCCTTCCACCTTCCACCATGTGAGAACAAAATGTTTCTCCCCTCCAAAGAAGTCATCATCAGAGTGCCATTTTGGAAGTTGAGAGCTTCCCTCACCAAACACTGAACCTGCCCACCCTTTTATCTTGGACTTCCCAGCCTCCTCAACTGTGAGAAATACATTTCTATTCTTTATAAATTATCTTGTTTCAGGTATTTTTTTAAACCAGCGTGAATAGACTATGACCACAACTCAAGGTAACAACTGTCTCCAATGTCATTACTGATACTTGCATTGCTATTAGTTCTAACAAATACTACAGCATTTTAATTAGCATACGTGTAGGCCAGTTCAATCTTCCAGTTTAATTCCAGAAAGAGAATATCTCATCATCTGAAATAGATGGTTATTTGCCTTCCTAAAAACAAAAATGTTAAATGTAAAAAAGGCATATTAGTCTAAAGATTCTTTAATGAAAGTAATATTGAGACTTGTTGTTGTTTACTGTTGTTCAGAAACTCACCAACTTTGTGTCTCTCTCTGAAGATCACATAGCCCAAATCCACAAACTGTTTTCTTAAACATTTGGGACTAGATGTATTCAAACGAAACATATTTTGACCATATGATCCAGCAATTGCTGTCCTTGGTAGTTAGCCAAAAAGGGAAAAATTTATATTCTACACAAAACCCATACATGCATGTTTAGAGTAGCTTTATTCATAATTGCCAAAACTTGGAAGTAACCAAGCTGTCCTTCAGTAGGTGAATGGATGAACTGTGGTATACTTAGATGATGGACTATTGTTCAGTATTAAAAAGAAATAAGCTATAAAACTACACAAAGACATGGAGGAAACTGAAATGCATATTAGTAAGTGAAAGAAGTCAATCTGAAAAGACTGTATATTGTGTGAATCCAACTATAGGACATTCTGAAAAAGGCACAACTATAGAGACAGTAAAAAGATCAGTGGTTGCCAAGAGTTAGCAGGAAGGAAAAGATTAAGTAGGTGGATCACAGAATTTTTAGGGAAGTGAAACTATTTTGTATGATACTATAATGGTGAATACATATCATTATACATTTGCCAAAACCCATGGAATGTCCAACAACAAAAGTGAACCTTAATGTCAACTGTGGACTCTGGATGACAGTGACGTGTCAGTGTAGGTTCATCAATTGTAACAAATCTACCATTCTGGTGGGAGATGTTGGTAGTGGGGAGGACATGCATATGTGACAGCAGGAGGTATACAGGAACTACGAACTTTCTGCTCAATTTTGCTGTGAACTTAGAATTGCCCTAACAAAAATTAATCAAAAAACTCTCATATCTATAGATTAAGAAACATATATATATGTTTTTATATATATTATGTTTCCTAATATGTATCTGTTAGAAAACATTGTCCTATTTGTTTGAATTGACTGTTTATTTCCAGAAACAGTTTGGAATGATATTGTCCATTATATTCCAAGGATGTGGGACATCCTGATTGTGTTATTGGAAGGGCTTTGATCTTTTTGGATTAACAAATGTGTTACTAAGTAAGATGGGGCATGGAGGAGGCTACACTTTGAGTCTGCAGAGACTTTTTTACTGCTTTACCTTGTCTCTTCTTCAACACTTCCAAAATAATCCTCATTGTTAACAGTTCTAGCTATTAAGCCTGCAAGAAAGCTCAGTTCAATTTGCATTATAATTCATTGCCATCCCTGGGGAATGTTTTCCAACAATCCTCATTAAAGCTGTTATTTACAGGTCAGATGGTGGAGAAATGATTACACATATTTAAGAACCCCAAATGCAGATTGTCAAATTATCCGTGTAGCTGGAGGAGGAGGAAAGTTGGGAACGAAGGAAGAAAAGAAAGAGAGAGAGAGAGAGAGAGAAAGAAAGAAAGAAAAAGAAAGAAAGAAAGAGAGAGAAAGTCAGAAAGAAAGTGACAAAGAAAGAAAGAAGAAAGAGAGAGGGAGAGAGAGAAAGAAAAGAAAGAAAGAAAAAGAAGAAAGAAAGAAAGAAGGAAAGAAAGAGGAAGGAAGGAAGGAAAGAGAAGGAAGAAAGGGAGGGAGAGAGAGAAGAAGAGAGGGAGAATTCACAATCTCATTTATTCCTTTCTACAAACAAGTAAACAGAGTCCTGGAAAGTTGAAGATTAAGTTCTGTGGTTTGGGTTGTGAGCTCAGGGACCAAGTCTTGAGCCTACAGCTTGCTCTCTATCTCTACTCTCCCTTTACAGATATTTCCTTATTTTCTTCTGAGAGGTTAACAGAGGTAGGGCAATGGAAGGACTTTCTTTTGAGATGTCTCACTGACTCCTGTTCAAATAAAGTTTCAGGAAACAGAGGAGTGGCTTGGGGCTTCAGCTTGCATAAATGAGTTGTTTGAATCTCAGCTCTAACATTTCAATCACGTCACCTGACTGCAGGGATCCTCAATAGTTCCTACCATGTCCAATACTAACACCTCAGAATTAGGAGTCCTCAGGAACCATTCCTGCAGGAAGGGACAAGAAGGAGGACCTTGGCATTCATCTATGTCCTCTTGCAGTCCATCTTGGTCCAAGGGACAGCAAAAAAACTCTGGCCGTAGGGCTGGGCTGGGCATGTCCCGCGGCTGTGTGGCTGTGTGCAACAACCAGTCTTTGCTCAGGTTTCTTATTCCTGTCCTGTGCTTGCTCCTGTCTCAAGTTCAAACCCCAGCCCCTAGACCTCTGGACACAGACCCTGCACACAGACCCTGGTTTGTGGTGTTTGGTCTCAGCTCTTCCCCGTAGGCTCTGCCTTAGAACATCGAACTCCTCCCTCTCAGGAAGTCCTTTGCACCCCAGTCCTGCCTATGGGAGCCAGAGGCAGAGCTGGCAAGGAGCAGAAAAGACAAGTGCTTCCTGGAGCACATTCTCCAAAGGCAGAATCTCAGAAGACCTCATGGTTGAGGAAAAGTGTTAAGAGGCCTGCCCCTCCCCTCACTGCACCCACTAGGATGGAAAGCCTGATGGTGCTTCCCACCTGGAGCCTGGTGCTCCTGTGACCTGCCTCTGCCAGTGACAGGGAAATCCAGACCTTTTCCTCCAAGTAGCACCTGCTGTCAGAAGCGGGAGGGGAGGGCAGAGGACAGGACGCTCTTCCTTCTATGGCTACAAAACAGAGTCGGATGGCTTCCCCCTTCCCCGAGAGAAAGCACAACTCTAAGTGGCACCCTCACACCTGCCTGTATTTTAATGAATATTATCCCACCATCTATCAACAGCAAGTCAACAAGCTTCACACCAGGGGAGAAAAACAATCCTTGCCTTGTCAGCCCTGCCTCTCCGGGAGCAGCTGAGGGTCTCAACGCCCCCTGACTCTCTGCCACCTCTTTTTCCCTGGGGGCTGTTGACAGGGTGCAATGCAGCATGGAAATGGCTTTGGCCTCAGAATGTGGCAGAATGACAACGTGGCAGAATGGCTTGGGATTGACCATGGGCAGGCACAGGCACTCTGTCCCAACTGTCTCAGGACTTTCCAGTCCTCAGAGCAATGCTCTGTGATGGGTATTTCTATCCCCATCTTAACAGAAGGGCCACCGGGGGTTGGAGACATGCAGGGACTCCCTGAGGCCACACTGCTAACATGGGGCAAGGTTAGGCATATGAATGCAGATCTGACCCATGGATCCCTCAGGGTCTTTCTGCCTTGCTTTCCCACAGCCTCTGCCTGAGGATGCTGCTCAGCCCACTGGACTTTAGATGTTGAGAGGTGGCAGCTTGCTGGCAGCCCTAGCAGCCCTCGCTCCCTCTCGGTGCCTCCCCGGCCTGGGCGCCCATTCTGGCCGCGCTTGAGGAGCCCTTCAGCCCGCCACTGCGCTGTGGAGGCCCCTCTCTGGGCTGGTTGAGGCTGGAGCCGGCTCCCTCAGCTTGCCGGGAGGTGCGGAGGGAGAGGCGCCGGCAGGAACCCGGGCTGCGTGCGGCACTTGCGGACCAGCTAGAGTTCCAGATGGGCCTGGGCTTGGCGGGCCCCGCACTCGGAGCGGAGCGGCCTCGGGCAGTGAGGGGCTTAGCACCCGGGCCAGCAGCTGCGGAGGGTGCGCCAGGTCTGCCAGCAGTGCCGGCCCACCGGCGCTGCGCTCGATTTCTCGCCAGGCCTTGGCTGCCTCCGGGCAGGGCTGGGGACCTGCAAGCCGCGATGCCTGAGCCACCCTCCACCACCCCCTCCCCGCCCCCCGCCGGGCTCCTGCGCGGCCTGAGCCTCCCCGACGACCGCCGCCCCCTGCTCCCCGGTGCCTGGTCCCATTGACCGCCCAAGGGCTGAGGAGTGTGGGTGCACGGCACGGGACTGGCAGGCAGCTCCACCTGCGGCCCCGGTGCGGTATCCACTGGGTGAAGCCAGCTAGGCTCCTGAGTCTAGTGCGGACTTGGAGAACCTTTATTTCTAGCTAAAGGATTGTAAACACACCAATCAGCACCCTGTGTCTAGCTCCTGGTTTGTGGATGCACCAATCGCATTCTGTATCTAGCTAATTTGGTGGGGACTTGGAGAATCTTTAAAATATCTAGCTAAGGGATTGTGAATACACCAATCAGCCCTCTGTATCTAGCTCAAGGTTTGTAAATGCACCAATCAGCACTCTGTATCTAGCTAATCTAGTGGGGAGGTGGAGAACTTTTGCGTCTAGCTCAGAGATTGCAAACGCACCAATCAGCACCCTGTCAAAATGGACCAATCAGCTCTCTGTAAAACAGACCAATTGGCTCACTGTAAAATGGACCAAACAGCAGGATGTGGGTGGGGCCAGATAAGAGAATAAAAGCAGGCTGCCTGAGCCAGTAGTGGCAACCCGCTTGAGTCAGCTTCTGCATTGTGGAAGGTTTGTTCTTTCTCTCTTTGCAGTAAATCTTACTGCTGCTCACTTTTTGGGTCCACACTGCGTTTATTAGCTGCAACGCTCACCGCTATGGTCTGCAGCTTCACTCCTGAAGCCAGCGAGACCACGAACCCACCAGAATGAAGAAACTCCGAACACATCCAAACATCAGAAGGAACAAACTCCGGACAGGCGGCCTTTAAGAACTGTAACACTCACCTCGAGGGTCTGCGGCTTCATTCTTGAAGTCAGTGAGACCAAGAACCCACCAATTCCGGACACAATGTTACTCCAGATAATCAGCGCCATTTTCTGAAGCTTGAGATGCAGGAAAAGAGGAGTGCTATCCATTAGATGGAGACAGGAAGTAGAAAAAGGTAAGACCTCTGAGAGGTATCCCTGGTGTGGGAGCATGTTCGTACCTATAAGGCTGTGTGTGCTCACACACCCATGGCATCTGTGGGGGTCGGAGCTCTATGTGACTGCAACCGAGAGTGTGTTGATTGGTGTTTGTCTGTGCATGATGGAACAGTATGCCTTGTGAGCATACATGGGCATGCTTCATTCTAGCCTGCAGACAAGTGCTATAGAGAGATGGCAGAGATGCTCCCAGGCTCCCCTAGTACCTTGTGAGCATACATGGGCATGCTCCATTCTAGCCTGAAGACAGGTGCTATAGAGAGGTGGCAGATATGCTTCCAGGCTCCCCTAGGCCTAAATGTGTCAACGTCTCTGAGCCACTTTACTCATCTGTTTAAGGGGAATGAGGTGATTCAGTGATAGGATGTGTGAAAAATCCAGTATGGTGCTTGACAAATGGTAAGCACACAATCAATTGTAGATACAAACCAACTCCAAATTCACTTAATTACCTTGTCACCTATCTTTTCCACGAAAATAAAGACTTTGTCAAATGCTTGAAGTCCAGATTTGCTTGCTTTCCAGTGTTTCCACAGTCTCCCAGCCTAGAAAGCAGTGAAAGAAGTGTTTGGTCCTTTGTAGCTAATTCTTGGCAAACCCTCGCCAAGTCTTAGGGATCACTTTCTCCCTCCCAGGTGCTCACAAAGACTGTGCCTTTAAAAGGAGAGCAGGAAATAAATACTGACACATGTGAAATGCTTCCTATCCCTGTAAGAAAGAACCCCACTCCTGGCTCCTCACAAGGATGTTAAAAGATGCCCTTTCCTGGGCCTACTTCTCTCCCCTGCTTCTCTTCATGAGCCCCTAGGTTCTGGAAAATCTCCATCTGCCTTTAAAGCTGGTTTCTATCATCTCTATTAAAGAAAACCCCACTCAGCTGGGTCCTCAGCTACTTAGTAACAATTGTCCAATTTCCAGCCTCACTTCCTTTTATCATAGAATTGCCTGAGCAGGTGGTCCTCCTCAGCTCCTCTCCTCCTCGCAGGATAATGCCTTCCTTTGTGCTCTGCCTGGCAGGAGAGGCCCTTGTGGGGATGCTGCTGCCTGAGGACTCCAGGGATTGAGTCTTTGCCAGCCCTCGGATTTCTCTCCTGGGTGATTCCAGTGGAGGTGCTGGGCTCCTCCCAAAGGACATAAGCCAGGGAAGTGGATCTAAATGCAGCCCCAGACGAGACAGAAGCCGGAGAATGGCAACAGGGAGGGTAGGGGGAGAACGGGATGATAAGCCAGGACATCGAGAGTCAGGGAAAGGGGGATTCAGCTGTGTCCTGGAGAATATCCCTAGGTTTCCTGATCTAGGTAACAGTGGGCATCTCCCTCTTCAGACTTCTTGAACTGTCCCCTTCAAAGAATTAGATCGTAACTCTTATTGCCCATTACCTTTGTAGACAGAATTCTGGTTTCCTAAACTTTGCAATACTCTCTCTGTCTCTCTTTTTTTTCTTTCCTGTATTCCTATTGATCTAGCTTCCTTGGAAATAGCTTCTCAGTTCAAGGGAATAAAAATTCTTCCTTGAGTGGGGAGATTATCACAATGCCCCTTGGCAGTGCTAAGACAGCTCTGTGCTAGAGCCCAGGATCTGAAAGGACAGAGGCCGTCTAAATGGTGTAGGAAAATGGAATAGAACAGGGGCAGAAATTTCATTACAGATAATGGAAACAAGAACAAAGCACCTTTTCTCTCCACTCAACAAAGAGGCTTCTTTGATACGGATCGTGGTGGTGTGAATGATGGCGGGAGTGGGGCTGGAACAGTGGCTGTCAGGGGGATACTGACAATGGTGGAGACAATGAAGGTGGTGTCAATGGTGGTATTGGGGAGAGGAGTGGTGGCAATAGTGATAATACTGTGGTTCCTGAGGTTACTGAGGATGATGAGAATGCTGTAGATCTTTCATCTGGAATATTCTCCACACTTCATTTCTAGTCAAGTCCTACCCATCTCACTGCATCACGGAAAGAAGCGGGATTTGGAAGCGAGAATTCCTACTGCTCTTGCAACCTTGTAAATCTTACCTTTTTTGGTCTTCAATTTTCTTATCTATAAAATGTGGGGATTGGAGAAGGTGAATTCAAATAATCCTGCCACTTCTTAAATTATAGCATTTCAAGATTTCAGGCTTAGCTGTAGTCCTACTTTCTCCCAGACACTCTAGGCCACAAATTTCCTGTTTCTCTGTGTTTGGAGGATGCTTGATGTCTAAACCATCCTCTTGGTCATTAGCATTGACTATTATGCTTATTGTGGTGTCTTGGACTTGGGATTGGGTTCCCATATGAATTATTTTTGGTTCAGCACCTGGAACAATATCACACATTATAGACATTCAATACATGGTTGATGTTTCCTAGGAATGAAGAATTACTCAACTAACAATTGCTGAACATTTCTACATTCCGAGCTCTGAGCCAGGTCCAGATATAAAGGCACATTTTCTGACTGTGAGGCCTTGCTAGTGGAAGCAGTTTATCTCCCAGTGTGAACCATTAAGTAAAGGACAATATGACAAGTTTTCATAATGTACATATGAACAAAGTGAAGTTGCTGGGGAGGGGACCTGTGTAAAGTATAAGATAGGATGCAGTGTTTCAAAGGGAATCTTGAAAGATGATTCTTGTCTTTCCACTGACAAGAAGAAAAAGGCATTCAGGCAAAGAGAATTGAAACACCATGTGTAAAGGGTGAAAGTACATGCCTAGGGAATAGTGGTTTGGCATGAAGGCTGATGCCTGACTGTGAAGAGAGATGAGCTTTATCATCTGGCCTCTATGGAGAGGTTTTAGGCAGGAGTTTCCAGCATTTTCAGAAAAGCCCTATGATGGCAGGGTAGGAAATGGACTGCAATCCAGAAAGATGCAGGCAGGAAGGTATGGCAGGAAAATCTTACAGACTTCGGCTTTATAATGAGACCTGACAGAGGTAGGACATAAGACTGATGGGGCAGAGAGCAGTACTCATGGGGGCTTCAGGAGGAGGCATCTATAACTTGCAATGACTTACTGGATCTGCAGGGTGAGAGATAGGGCGAAATCTGGAATGGTTTTAAAATTTCTTGCTAGGGTAACAGGTCCTATTAGAAAGGATGTAGGGAGGAGGGTTGATGATGATGAGTGGACGAAGATGAAGAGACCATTGTCTTTGCGTCTTTGGTATCAGTGTGGTGCATAAGTGAAGTGGACATTTGGAAAATGAACCTCTGTCTCTCCCTGTCCCTCCCTTGCCCACATCTCAGTGGCTCATAAGATTCTACTGACCAGAGCTCTGCAGAGCCCAGGGTGCAGGCTGGGAAGGAGAAAGCAAAGGGGACCTCACAAGTCAGAGTCATTGGTTTCATTTCCCAATATCCAAATGCCTCTGTCCAATAAGACCTATAACCAATTTCCCAGAGAAGGCCCCCGAAGAGGCTGAGCTTGATGGAGTTGGGTAGTGGGCTTTTTTTTTTTTTTTTTTTTTTGGCTTTTTTTTGGACTAAAAGCAATTTCCATTTTATGCCTTTTGTCTCTTCATCCAAGCAAATGCCGGTGGGATCTGGCAACCTGAGTTCAATAGCCAGTCCTTTTGGTCTTTCAAAGGCTATGAATGTAATAAGAGCACTCAACCCTTCTGAAGATATGCAAATCCGTGCATTTAAAAGATTTACATTCATCCTTCACAGGCCCTGAAATATAAATATGAAATACCCAGAACCTTGTCACTTCAGTAATAATTAAGCTGATGGCCTATTATGTTCGATTGCAAATCAATATAGTATCTTTTGGTGCCACTTGAGTTCTTGAGGGTTGGCGCGGGGCCAGCTCCAGTTATACAATTGAATTGCTGCAGCTGCCTGGGAAACTTCGCTGCCGTTCCCATTCAGGAAGAATAGGCGGGTAACAATGGTGACCAGCCTCCCTACAGTAATTGTGTACGAGGACACATTTCCAATGGGGTTTTTGTTCAGCAGGTGCTGTTATTTTAGTTTAATTTGAATTCTGAAATATGGAGGAGAGAAGGAGACCAATCTTAACAGCATCTAACCTACAGCTGTTCGAAAGAGGCCAGCAAACAGCATATGTTGCTTAGATGGAAATCATAATTGCTCATTCTCCCTGGGATGTTGGCCCACCAACGTGGAGCCTCTGAAATTAGCTGGCATTTTTCTGGCATTTTCCTCAGTGGTGAGGCCTCTGCAGAGCTCAGGAGGAACTATTCTAGAGTGGCTCGCTCCCTGGGAGGCTTTGGTGGTGGCGGCTGCTGCGTCTCCTTTTTCTTCTCCTTCCCTCTTTCTCCTTCATGGTAGGCTGAGGTGAATTCCAAACACTACACAAAACACATCCAGGGTTGGCCTCCTCATTGGAGGCTGCCATGGGGCGCACAAGGAAACAGGCAGTGGCGAGGTCTGGTGGAGCCCCAGGGCCAGACTCTCTCTGAGAGCAGCGACCAACACCCCTGGGTCAGGGTCAGGGCAAGAGGAAAACTCAGATAGTAAGGAGAATAGCATCAACACAGACACCCTGATCTAGGTAAGAAATAATATCCACAAGGCACACTCCCATCCACAAAACACTTTCACATGCTCTGTGTTTTTCTTTACATCCTCACAACACTCCCTGGAAGGAGGTGATAGTGTTCAGTTTCATAGAGAAGGAAGCTGAGGTGCAGGGTTGTCAGAAGACATACCCAATGCTAAAGCCTGCTGGGATAGAATAAGTCCTCGAATGTAAAATTCCATGCCCTTCCCTATACCACTGTCTCCTTTTTTGTTCCAGTGATTTCCATCAGCTCCCAGATTGGCAGGAGGTCCTGAGAGATCTACTTCCATCAGCCTCTAAGTCTATGGTAATGAACTAAGCCTGTGACAAAGACCAAATTCTTGTGGTCTCTGTATCGGAAACCCATGTTTACATGATTTGGGGCTGGACTTAGGAAAACTCAGAGGTGTGGCATACTGAATGCCTAGCTTCTGTTCTTCTTCCCTTTCTTTTTTTGTTTTTTCCTTCCCTTTCTCCCTCCTTCCTTCCGTTTCCTTCTCTTTTTTTCGTTCCTTCCTCCTTTTCTTTCTTCCTTCCTTCCACATTTACAGAGCCCCTACTATTAGGCAGGCATTGGACTAGATGCTGTGGGGCATGCAAATATGAATAAGGTAAGTTACTGGTCTTCAACAAGCCTAGTCCAGAAGAGATACGCCCTCAAAAATAGAAGAAAGAACTTGATTGTTGCCGTATGATTGGGATTTACAAAGTGCTTGGGTCCTGGAATAGACAGTGGCTTCACAGGGAGGTGCATATGGAGGTAGATCATGAAGGATGTGTAAAATGCTTGTAGGCGGAGAAAAGGGGACAAAGATCCAGACCTGGCTTGAGTCACTGGTCTCACCCTGTCATGGGCCCTTTTTTTTTTTGAGACGGAGTCTCGCACTGTCGCCCAGGCTGGAGTGCAGTGGCGCCATCTCGGCTCACTGCAAGCTCCACCTCCCAGGTTCACGCCATTCTCCTGCCTCAGCCTCCCGAGTAGCTGGGACTACAGGTGCCCACCACCATGCCTGGCTAATTTTTTTGTATTTTTAGTGGAGACAGGGTTTCACCGTGTTAGCCAGGATGGTCTCGATCTCCTGACCTCGTGATCCACCCGCCTCAGCCTTACAAAGTGCTGAGATTACAGGCGTGAGCCACTGTGCCTGGCCTGTCATGGGCCCATTGTTAATAGGAAATGGGGGTTACAGGATTGGGGAAAGGACTGAGGTAGCTTGGCGCCCTCAGTAGCATTATGTTAAGGAGTAGCAGTGCTGGAATGGACATTTGATGTGAGACATGGCATTAAGAAGATGAAGGGGGTATGTGGCAGGAGTCTGGCCTGAATGTCTGTTGTTAGTCCTTCCTGGCCTGAGATGCCAGGAACTTGCTGGCTTCTCCTGATGTGGCTAGAGCAGTGCCTTAGTTCAGATGCTGCTGCCATTAGAACTCTGGGCACCTCCTAGAACTCAGTGATCTGAGGTTCATAGTGGGCCTCTGCTCTCTGTCAGAAATCTTTGCCCTGTCTTTTTTGTCAGATGCTGTTACTTCCTCAACCTAACCTTTGTGTTCCCTGTTGAGGGATGTTCCTGCTGGGAGGTATAGAGTAAGGATGTCCAATCTTTTGGCTTCCTTGGACCACACTGAAAGAAGAAAAATTGTCTTGGGCCACACATAAAATACACTAACACTAACGATAGCTGATGAGCTAAAAAAAAAAAAATCACAAAAAAAAATCTCATAATGCATTAAGAAAGTTTACCAATTTGTGTTGGGCCGCATTCAAAGCTGTCCTGGGCCGCCTGTCCTGGGCCCACAGGCTGCAGGTTGGACAAGCTTGGCGTAGAGCCATCCTTGAAGCCTTGAAGCTATACAAGGGTGAGAGTCAGCTCGCAACACCTGCATGTCTCATAAACCTGCCTCGCTGGAGTTCAGAGTGTTTACCAATCCCATGGTTAGGAGCATGGCTTTGGAATTACACACATGTGAGTGCTAGAAATGGATCTAGAGGGGAAGTACGAGATGGTGGTTACGGTCATGGACTTGGAAGTCAGACTGCCTGGGGTTGGAGCCTAATTTTGTCACTTCTAGATGTTTAACTGTCACTTTATTGTCTCATCTGTAAATGGGAGACAATAATCTCTAATTGAAAGGGTTAGTGTGATGTTTAAATCAATTAATGGATTTAAAATATTAGTAGAGGGCTTGACACTTACAGCCCACTAAGTTTTAGCTGCTCATAGAAGTAGCAGTAGTAGCAGTAGTAGTATAACAGTAGTAATGATGATGTAGTAATCACAGTGGCAATGGTAGTGTAGTAATAATAGTGATACTGGTAATACAGGATAGGGTGTGATGGTGGTAGTGATAGTATTAGTAGTGGTAATGGTCGTAATGGAAGTAACATTGAAATGCTCCACCACTTAAATATCTTGGGAAAGTTTCTATACCTCATCTTACCCAAAAACTGAGGCAAATGGTATTTCTTTCACAGCAGTGATGATGTTAACAATCAAATTCCACAGATATTTACTGAGCACTTGAAACACATGAGAAATTACCTATAGCTGAGTCTGTCACATGGAATTGCACCAAAAATTAGATAAGTTGAAATTTGAAACCCTCATGGGTTAAGTAACCAAGTGTTTTTCTTCAGGGTTCTTTCTTTGCAGACAAAGCAATGACCTTATAGAGGAAGAAAGTGAGACTATAGTGTTAACTGTACAGGGTAAACCAATGGCCAGGACCACATGATCTCTTTTGCCATCGGCTCCCTGTGGCCTAGCACCATGCCCGGCATAACAAGTGTTTAAGTAAGTAATATGTTTACTTATTGAATGCAGAATAAAGGAGTGATGTAAGTAAAAACCATGGGGATCCTAGAAGGCTGTCCCCCACAAAAGGTGATGACACTTTGGCTTTTAGTTAAAAATGTCCTTTTGGTTAGGACAGGAAGGAAAGAAACTCGACTCTGGGAGGGGCCCGAGGGTTGCTTTGGATGGAATTGCTTTGCGGCTTCCTTTGTGAATGTGGGAGAATCTGCTATGTAACAGCTCCTCTGTCTCCATGCTTTTACTCTAAGCAAGCCAGACAAACTCAGGATATCCGTGGGTGGGAATTTATTTTGGCAGCTCAAGTTGTGTAGGAAAGCCAAGAGCCTGGGGCTATTCAGTTGAACAACACGTGTTAATCTCATTCTATTTTGCATAATCTCAGCAAACATTTTGATGTCAAGAAAGTGTAATCCAAGAACAAGCAGCTTCTGTGAGAGGCTTGTTCTTGGCATGGCTCAGTAATACAGGAGGATAGAAGTGAGGTCTGCAGACAAAACCGTTTGTCCAGTACAGGCATGATCACATGCAGAAGCCCATTCTATCCACCAAATTATGATGTTATGGTGCAGAGGATGGGACCCCCAACCTACTAGTGACTGGGGTACAGGGTGACTGCTTTGCCTCTGTAGATTTGAGAGCATGGTTGCTATAGTCGGAATATGTCTTCCAAAATTCATGTGTTGGATGTTTAATCCCAAATGCAACTGTGTTGGGAGGTAGGGCCTAATGGGAGGTATTTAGGTCACAAGGGCACAGCCCTTCATGAACAGATTAATACCACTATAAAAAAGGCTTATGGAAGTGGGTTTGCTCTCTTCTGCTCTTCTGCCATGTGAGAATGCAGCAAGCAGGCCAACACCAGATGCTGGCACCCTGACCTTGAACTTCCCAGCCTCCAGGGATGTGAGAAATAAATTTCTGGTCTTTATAAATTATCCATTCTCAGGTATTCTGTTATAGCAGCACAAAATGGATAGTGGGCATTGGAACTCGTTACAAAAAGAAAAAAAGGAAAAAGCTGATGTGACCGGTAAGAAAATGGTGAAGATGTCATGGAGGAATACATTCCCTGCTACGCCCTGATGGGGTGGGGTCATAAAGATGTGGTTTCTGAGAGCAAACTGTCTACAGTGGGAACGAACAGCCAACTCAAGTCCCTGGCCATAGCTCAAAAACCTTAAGGTGACAAAGGTGGATCTTAGGAGGCGTTGGCCCTCTGCTGATTGCTGTCTCTTGTGCATTCCGATCCTCTACACCATCATCTCCTCTTCACAGGTAACAAATCATGAAAGAATCTGTAATTCTGGTCGAGGTGGGTTTACTCACCAGTAGACGTATATGTGTATATATCTCCCAGTTATGGCATTTTCACATTAAAATGATTTTAAGTGTCACCTAAGAACTCCCTTTATTCCAGTCCCCCCCAACACACACACACACAAATCCCATTGCCCCCACCAGATACTCATTCCATTTGATAGGTAGGAAAACCCAGTTTCATGGAGGGGGATGTGCTTTTTCCAACGGATTCACAGCAACTTAGCGTTAGACAGTGCTGGGCTATGACTTACATCTGTCCGCTCCAGATTCTCTGCTCTTTATGCTCTACACGCTGCCTCCCACACTCAGACTCTCTTATTTCTTGATATTTAGGAAGCATGGCACTTCCAAATCATCTGTATTTTCTCCTGGATGATTTTTACTTGTATCTAGTGGGCTGAGAGTAATGTTAGTCTAGGAGAGAAATCATCACAGGCCCAAGATAAAGGGGATGTTGTTACCATGGACTCCAAGGAAATTAGGCAATAGGATTAAAAAGTATGTGTGTGTGTGTGTGTGTGTGTGTAGATATATATATAAAGAATAAGTATATATAAATATATATGTAAAAGTACATATAAATATATAAAATGTATGTAAGAAATTAAATATAATACAGATATGATATATAATATCTTAATATATGTAATATATTAACTTCTTGTTTATTTGGTATGGGTTTGTGAGTGTAGCATGAAAAGCTTGAAATTAAATCCTGATTCTACCACTCATACGATTAATGACTTTTGTATAGTCAGTTTCTCCCAACTTTAATTTCGTCATGTTTAAATGAAGGATAATTATACCTATTTACCAGGGTTGTGGTAAGGGTCATATGGAATCATGCACTGTTTCAGGGATGCTTTTGACTTTAGTGACAGAAATGTTCACCCATACTGATTTAGACACATACAGATTTAATGTTCTCACACACCAAGATATCTGGAGGCAAGTAACTGCTAGTGTTAACTTAGCAGTTCAATTCAATGTGGGTTGATGCCTTTGCAATTCTCTTCTCCTCTCCTTTATGGTTGTATTATGGCTGCTGCAGCTCTTTCCATCACATCTGTAATCCAGTAGGAAGTGGTAAGGGGAAGCAAAAATGTCTCTGTCAGAAAATCAAAAGCTTTCTCAGAAATCCCACAACAGACTTCCAATTATCCTGTCCAGAGCTGTGTCATATGGACACCTTTGGCTGGAAGGTGGCAAAGAAAAAGAAGTTGGGAAATGGTCCGTCTACTATGTCTGCCAGCAAAAAGCCTTTCCATAGGGCACAATTGTATTAGTATGGAATGAATGCTCTCATTTCTCTTCTTTCAAGAGATTCATGTAAGTGTGCCAGGAGCTCTAGAATAAAGGAAAGATGGTGGGGCTGGTGAAATGACAAAAAGCAGGCTGAGTTTCTGGTCATTTTCTGGAAGACGATTATTTGTTGCCAGACTCGCTTATGCAGGTGACCTCAGTGGTCTGGAAGTCAGCACTACCTGGTGAGTAAGGGGAGAGAGGACTATTGAGGACTAGATAGGAGAAAGACATCCCACCCCACCCTACCCCCACCCACCCTGGCTGGGCTGCTGGACACTTCCATCTGGATATCAGCCCTCAGTCTGGTCGCACTCAACATATCCACAAGCAAATTGGCATTTGGGGGACATTAAACCATCTTTACCATTGGATTTTACTGTCCATCAGGGGCTGCAACAGCTTCTTTCTTGTTGAGGCTCTAAGGTTCAGAGCCCTCTTTTGATTGTGAGGACTGAATCTTAGCAGGCAACTGGCTGTATCACCCAGAAACAAGGCAGTGCTGGTGACAGGGACAGTCAGACAAGATGGAGGGCAGCAAACTGGAGGGGAGCCCTGTCACTTTAGAGGAGGCAGAGTAGAACACAGAACCTCTGTCATGGGGGTATCATCTGGATAAAAGCAAAATGGGCTCTCATCTCTGTTGCCTCCCCTCTCTACTCCATTTCTGGTCAGGCCAAAGATCTATTGCTTGATCTTCTCCAGTCTCTCTCTTTTTCTCAGCCCTTGCCCCTCTCACATGGATTACAGGGTGATATGGTTTGGATTTGTGTCCCTGCCTGCATCTCATGTTGAACTGTAATCCCCAATGTTGGAGGAGGGCCCTGGTGGGAGGTGGTTGGATCATGGGGGCAGATTTCTCCCTTGCTGTTCTCATGATGGTGAGTTTTCATGAGATCTGGTTGTTTAAAAGTGTGTAGCACCTCCTGCTTTATGCTCTTCTTCCTGCTCTGGCCATGTAAGATGTGCCTCCCTCCTCTTTGCCTTCTGCCATGAGTGTAAGTTTCCTGAGGCCTCCCCAGCCATGCTTCCTGTATAGCCTACAGAACCGTGAGCCAATTAAACCTTTTTTCTTTATAAATTACCCAGTCTCAGGTAGTTCTTTATAGCAGTGCAAGAATGGACTAATACACAGGCATAGCCAGACTGGGGATCCTTGACCACAGTCTATCCTCTTCCAACCAGGTGATATCCTGATGGTGTGGAAGGAGCCACTCACCTTGTTGTAGTAAGGATAGCTGAGTTCTAATCTAAGCCTGACTCCTCTCCACTTCCCAGCCATGTGACTATACTGCTTTCATTCTCACTTAACACATTGGTAAATAATATCATCATTAGAGAGTTGCTGCCAGGGCTGAGATAGGCAATGTTTGTGAAAAGGGCCTCATGGGCTTCAAGGACTAATTTGATGGGAATTTGAGTAAGGAAGGGACAAAAGGAATAGGTGGGCTTCAGATGTCTCACCTAAGCTTCGACAAGAGCGGCTCTTCTCTTTTTTACATGTTGGGCTTCTGGAGAAATATCATGTGAAAAAAAGTTTTTCTGAATAAATAAATAAGGAAACCACCAATTTATGTTAAGTGCATAACTCTTAATAAATACTGCTCACTTCCTTTCCCCAACCGCTTCTTCAAAAAATGGCAATTGCCATTTCCAATGACTTTTGCTCCATGCAGTTTTAAAAGTTAAAAAAAAAAATACACTAAATGTTTGCCACTTGCATCTAATTATGAGAATGACTGGTCCAGTGATTCTGTGTATTGAGATCACAACTCCGGTGCTTATCTCTTAATCCATCAGTCCCAGATCACCATCCTGGGACTCATTTTTCTTTGGCATGACTTCTTTCTGCAGCCAAAATTTCCTGGACCTGCCTGAACTGCCGTCTCCATGCAGCTCCCCTTTCACTTAGCTGACCTGATAAATGGCCAACAAGGTCTGGTTTCAGCAATGGGCACGTTTCACTAGAAAACAATTAAAGTGACCAAAACCTGCTGAGATCTAATAAATATTCACTCATCCGCCTGAACAGATGCCAGTTACAGCAGAAGGAAAAAACAGTGTCTGGAGTCAGGGAATTCGCTGTGGTCTGGAGCTCCTAGCACAGGTGTCAAAAGAAATACGATGAAATGAAGATAATCTTGCTATAGAAAGGGCATCAGGGAACAGAGAAAGATGGGGTGCAGGAAGGTAGGTGTCTATGTGAAAGTGACACCCAGAGATCCCACAAGGATTTATCTCCTTTTAGCAGAGATGGTGACTTGAATATGGCTCCTTAATAACGTTTGTATAGTAAATCTTTGGGTCCCTTTGTAGTCCTCAGAACAGGGCCCTAAGATTCAGGGATACTTACAGAGCAAGGCTTAGAGTGCTCAGGCTATAGGAGATATGGGAATGCATGACTCACACTTCTGTGATTAGAGACTTTAGTTCCTGTAGGAGGAATGGCAAGCTCTAGGTGAAGTTCAGGAAGATCTACATGGGCTAGTGGGTCTAAAGATTCTGTAATTTCAAAGGGGAAATCACCTCTGCCTGGAGGGGATTAAGGAAGCTTCATGGATGAAGTGGCATTTAAGATGCATTCTGGAATATGGAGGTGGGTTAAGGCCATTTGAGGAAGAGTGGATTCTGTGAGCAAAGGCTCGGGGAGAGGAGGAGTGGATTGTGCCCAGGGTCAGCTTGAGGTCCTGTAAAATCCTGTGGTTTGGAGACAGAAGACCAGGTTCTGGTCCAAGCCTCCATCTGTTCATAAGGAAACTCAACTTCTGAGAAAAGAGTTATGTGTCCAAATTCACACGGCCAATTAAAGGCTTCTTATGAAGTTCCAGAGTGACAGCTTACCAACAAATGAAGCATCAGTGGACAATACAAGAAGTGGTTTGGTTAATTACTAACTGTGAAAGAAGTTTTTGAGCTCAGAGGAGATAGAGTGCTGTAGGTGACAGAAGAAGCCTTCCTGGAGAAGGCACAGAGAAAGTTTATCAGAGAATAGGGTAGAAGAGCAGAATGAGGGACAAGGAACTTCTAACTGTGGAACCCAGGCACTGGGTCAGGCACAATATACATCTAATTGATAAAAAGGCTAATTGCAGTTACTATTTTTGGTGACCAATTATGTATTAGACATTTTATTTACATCATCTCTAAAATGTAAAATGATCCTGCCAGGTATGAAAAATTATTCCATTTTGCAAATTAGAAAACAGAAGGTCGAAAGAATTACCCAATCCACCCTGCTGTCAGGAATCACAGCCAAGAAATAAAAAGTGATCTGCTCCCTATACCACATTGATGCCAAGGTTGTTTTTGTCTATTTATTTACCTAACAATTACAAAATAATCACTATCCCACTTTACATATGAGAAAACATGTTCAGAGTGGCTAAGTAATTTACCCAAGGCCACACAGCAAGGATGTGGCAGGTTCTGTCTAAGGGCAGAGCTGATGCTTTTTGCCGGATGACACATTCTTTACCATTGTGGATTTGGATGGGTCTAAAGGGAATGGACAAAGTGAGAGTACAAAGGTGTGGAGGCTGGAACAAGCACATGAACCTATAGAATGTTGAGGCCACCTGCCTCCTGTCCATCTGGATCTGTGTGAATCTGAAGGGCACAACATCTTGATCTTGGCTCCACCTTCTGTTCTCAGTTCAAAGACTTCTCAAGCCAGAGTATTCTTTACTCTAGCTACATTGTGCTTTGGGTAATGAAAGGTTGAAATTGTGAAATTCTCTAGTTTCACTCTCCCTGCTCACTATATAGACAAACCTGGCTCCCTAATTTCTGGGTAAGTTATTTCTTCTGTTCGAGCCTCAGTTTCCTCCTGTGTTAAATGGGAGCATCGATCTTCACTTCAAGGATTGTGTGAGTAATAAATTAAACAATGTTGATTAAGAGTTTGTAGCAGGCTGGGCGTGGTGGCTCATGCCTGTAATCCCAGCACTTTGGGAAGCTGAGGAGGGCAGTTACTTGAGTTCAGGAGATCGAGACCAGCCTGGCTAGCATGGTGAAACCCTGTCTCTACTAAAAATACAAAAATTAGCTGGGCATGGTGGCACACACCTGTAATCCCAGCTATTCAAGAGGCTGAAGCGAGAGAATTGCTTGAACCCAGGAGGCAGAGGTTACAGTCGCTGAGATTGCGCAACTGCACTCCAGCCTGGGTGACAGAGCGAAACTCCGTCTCAAAAAAATAAAAATTTAGAACAATGTCTGGCACACATTTGGCATTTCATACAGAGCTGTGGTAGTAGTACTGTTATCAGTAGACGGTGTATTGTTAATATGACCATTTTCATCTGCCCCAGCCACTCAGTCCTCAGCCCCCAGGATCCATCAGACCTGAGCCAGCCAGCCAGTATCAGTATCCCTCCTGTTCTCTCCCAACTGATATGGGCTTTCAGCAAGACTCTTTTTTGCTATATGGCAGGAAGGACTGAGCTAGAAGAATAGGAGTGATGTGGGGTATAACTGGGCAGGGCAGCCAGGAGTTTTTAAAAATAATTCATGGAAGTGATGGGGAGTCCCAGGGTAGGGGACAGCACATAAAGCAGGCATTGCCCCATGGCTAACCAAGACTCCCTAGGGAAACCAATTTCTGAGAAGAAAATGAATTCTCTCCTCTCCAGTCTCTCCTCATTCCTACCTCACCCTCCTTTGCCAACTCTGGGCTCCAGCTGGTCTGGGACGCAGCTCACCTCTGCCCGGTCATTAACAGTTCGTTTGCTTAAATACCCATCATCATTACTGCCAATGGCTCCTCAGGGCACCATTGCATCTCAGGAACAGCAGCAGACATTCTCCTCTGACTGATGGCCCCACGCTCAGCCCTGCTACCTGCTAATGACTCCTGGGCTGACAGCCCAGTTTGGGGGCAGCAGGATGTGGAACACTGAAGGAGGTCTGTACTTCTCCTGTGAGTTCCTCTGACCCTCATAGTCCTGGAAAAGACTTGGCCCTGAGAATGACAATGCCCCAAATCCTCAAGGAAGAGGGTACAGGAGGCATCCTCAGTGACCACTGTCTAAAATCTCACTTCCTGAGAGGTTGTCTCTGCTCATGTCACAGGGTATCTCTGTTTTCCTTTTGCTTGGAGGGTGTTTCTCCTGAGTATGTCAGGACATGAGATCCAAGAGGAAGGAGACTCCCCTGACTTGACTACCACATCGTGCCAGCCTATTTAGAAAGACTCTCTCATCTCTGCATTTCCAGGCAGGTGGGATTGTGCCCACTTTACAGATGAGGGATCTGAGACTCATGGAATTTGAGTGAGCTTCCCAAGATCACACAGCCAGGGTGTGGCAGTGTCATTTTCTAAATTCAGTTTGGTCCAAACCCAAAGGCCAAACTTCTTCCTCTGCCCCAGATGTTCAATGTGAGGCAAGCACGAGGATTCTGCAAAATTGAGAAGCCAATAGGCATGGATAAATTGAGCAACTGCCTACCTTACAAAAGCATTTTCTGTTAAAAATGTTACTTAGTTATGAAGACATTTTGTGGTTTTGTTTGAGGGGAACACCACTAATTTTCCCCTTCCCTGACTCACTGACCCCTCCCCTTTTCTGCATTATCTCATAGGATGCTGTTTCTGTTTATTCCGGGCACAGGAGACTGCTCTTAGTAACAACACTGTCTAATTTTTCAATATGCCAAGGGCTTTTTAAAGCTTGACATGTGTTAAGTCATTGAATGTTTACAATAAACCCATGTGGTGGGTCTTGTTCCTATAAGCATTCACAGATGAGGGAATTGAGGACAGAGAGGCTAAAAAAACTTGCTCAAGGTCATCATAGCTAAGTTAGAATCCTTAAAGGGCGTGGTGAGAGGCATATCTCTTTAAGGGCATCATTCCTGTGCTCATGTGCTCCTATCTTTGTCTGACCCTCTTTTTTTTTTTTTTTTTTGAGGCAGAGTCTCACTCTGTCACCAGGCTGGAGTGCAGTGGCACGATCTCAGCTCACTGCAACCTCTGCCTGCACGGGTTCAAGTGGTTCTCCTGCCTCAGCCTCCCGAGTAGCCGGGACTACAGGTGCCCATGCCCAGCTAATTTTTGTTATTGTTTTTGTGTGTGTGTGTATATATTTTAGTATACACAAACATGGGGTTTCACCATGTTGGCCAGGATGGTCTCAATCTCCTGACCTCGTGATCTGCCCATCTAGGCCTCCCAAAGTGCTGGGATTACAGGCGTGAGTCACCATGCCCAGCCATGGTCTGATCTTCTTAAATCACCTACAGTTTAAGCTATAATATCGGGAGTTGAGGAACAGATTGCTGTGGAGTGAAGCAGGTTTAGAAGGGCCTGAAGCCTGGACATGCTTTGTGGTGGGGTTGGGCATGGGGGCTGACCTGGTGCTGGCAGGGAGAATACATCTTGCTTAACAGGAGAGAACAATCTCCAAGCCCCTTGTCAGCAGGAGGAGATATCAGGGCAGGGACCAGGTTCTATAATAGGTCTGGAAGCTGCTAGGAAGCTCAGCCAGGAGCTGGAGGGTAGGCTTGAGGGAGGCATTGATTGTGGGACCAGAATCAGGAATGTATTCAGAAGAAGGGCCTTGGGCCCTCAGGATGAATTTATGGTGTGGCTCTCAAACCAGGCAGAATGAATCACCCCCTCCTCTGGCTCCCTAGCATTTGACCACATCCCTGTTGTCACACTTATTTCTTTGTCTAAGTTGCAAAGCTAACCATGTCATTCCTCAGCTTAAAAAATTTTTAATGGCTCTGTAAGGCTACAGGATAAATCCCAAACACCTAAAAATAATTTCCAAGGACCCCCCCGACAATGCAGTCCTGGATGACACCTTTGGCATCATCTGTCACCTCCCCTTGTGAGCTTTGTTTCATCAGAACAACACAACTGTCAGTCCACATCACAACAGGTTTCCTCTCATCCTCTTCTATCATGTACCTGTGATTCCCTTTGCTGGGAAACTATCTCTACCTTTCTGGCCACAGCTACACCACATACATTTACACCTATGCCCTGTTGCCTGGAGAATTATTCATTTTTTGGCTCAGATATTGGTGCTGCTGGGAGCCCTTCTTAGCCAACCCCACTCCAATCCTAATGGCCAGACCACGTTTCAATGCCCTTGCTGTATTTCCTCTTAGCAACCGGTATTTTCCTCCATCATGCACTTGCCCTCTGGACTGTGATGGCTTTTTGGTCTGTGATGGACCTTCGCTCTCACCCCATGAGGGCAGGCACTCTGTCGTTTTCATCATTGTATACCAGTGTCTGACACGCAGTATGTGGTTAATCCACATTGCGGAATGATTGAGTGGCCTCCATGTTTTTGCCCTGAGACTAGTTCCTTTCCAGAGTGACTCGGACACTATATCTGGGTTATCAGTAGGACTCAAGAGCCTCCCTCAAGGTGGGCACAGAGCAGACAGAAGTAGAATCTGACTTGACTGAAAACAACCTAGGAAATCGTGCAGTGGGACCAGCACCTGTTCCCAGACTTCAGTGAAATAGTCAGTCAGGCCCAGGTCATGAAAATGGGAACCAGCGAGTGCTAGGCCCTGAGGTTAGTGTCAGGTTGCAGCCAGGATGGCCATGCCAAGTCACCCTGTGTCCCCAATAATAGATACTTAAAGAACCACAAGCTGGTGACAGGACTGGTCCCTGAGGCTTGTTTGAAGCTGACCTCTAATTAGTGTCATGTGGAAAAGCTGGGACTATGGGAGCGGAGGAAAGGCAGTGTGTGCAATGAGTCCCCGTGCATGAGCAAGAGAGGGCAGTTGGAGAAAGGAGAGACTGAAATGTCCCCTCGCAGGCTGAGTTAGTGGGAGGCTAAGAGCCCCTCTTCCTCTTGGCTTTCTGAGGCTGAGGCTGGACTGGAGGGACCCTCAGCAGGAGAGGTCCCCCAGAGAGGCCCAGTCCTAGGAGAGGTTCACATTGCAGTGTGGCCCCAAAATGGGCAGGGACCCTGACTGAGGCAAGTCCCAGGAGCTGACTCAGCTGAACAAAGGTCTAAGGTCAAGTTCTGGCTCAATTAGTTGGCCTGTGTGAACCTGATAAGTCACTTCCCATCTATGAACTTCAATTTCCTTCTCAACAGAATGCAGAAGTTGAGCCTAAGGTCTGCAATTACCTAACCCACTTAGTCTAGCATCTAAAACCTAGCTGTGTATGTGCCAGCTTTATCCAGTTTAATCCACTCAACCTCAGTAAATACTTGTCTGCATAATATAATAGCATAGTCCCTGGAGTCAGATTAGTGGGGTCTGAACTCTGATCTTGCAACTTGCTAGATGCGGGACCTTGGAAAATATTCTTGACTTCTCCATGACTAGCTTTCTTCATCTCTAAAAAGGGAATAGCATTTGTCATCAGACTCTTAGGAGGGTTACATGAGACAGTGCAGGTAAAGCAGAGGCTGGCTCATGATACAAGCTTGATAAACATTGGCTAATATTGTCAGTCAGGATCCTCCAGATTTTGTCAACACACCCAATTGATTTTCACTCACTTTCATTTGCCCTTTTCTCCCCAATTCCTCTCTACTTCTATCCAAACCTAACCTATCCTTCAAAGGTGGTATATTAGTCAGACTTCTCCAGAGAAACAGAACCAATAGGATTAATTAATTAATGAATTCCTTATAAGAAAGTGACTCACATGTTTACAGGGCTGGCAAGTCCCAGGGTAAGTTAGGCAGGCCGAACACCCAGGAGAGTCAATGGTTTGGTTCTAGTCCAAAGGCCAGCAAACTTGAGACCCAGGAAGAGCTGATGTTTCAATTCAAGTCCTAATGCAGGAAAATGTCAGCATCCCAGTTTGAGAGCAGTCAGGAGGGAGGAATTCTATTACACCCAGAGGGTCGGCCTCTATGTTCTATTCAAGCCTTCGACTAACTGGATGGTGCCCAACCACATTAGGGAGGGCAATCAGCTTTCCTCAGTCAAATGCAATTCTCACCCAAAAACACCTTCACAGAAACATCCAGAATAATGTTTGACTAAACGTCTGGGCATGCTGTGGCCCAGTCAAGTTGACACATACAATTAACCATCACAGGTGGCTCAAGGACCCCTCCTCCTCCTGATAGACCCACTCACGTCTTCCATTGCCTGGGATCTTGAACTTGTCTTTTTCTGAACTACTAGAGGATTATTTCTGGTTGTCCTATTTTTTTTTCCTTTTTCTTTTTCTTTTTTCTTTCTTTCTTTTTTTTTTTTTTTGCCAATCACTTGCATTATGATCTTCATTATAAAAGAAGAACAATTAAGGCTGGGCATGGTGGCTCACGCCTGTAATCCCGGCACTTTTGGAGGCTGAGGCGGGGGGGAGCACCTGAGTTCAGGAGTTCAAGACCAGCCTGGCCAACATGGCAAAACCCTGTCTCAACTAAAAATACAAAACTTAGCCAGGCATGGTGGCACACACCTATAGTCCTAGCTACTTGGGAGGCTGAGGCAGGAGAATCGCTTGAACCCCGGAGGCAGAGGTTGCAATGAGCCAAGATTGTACCACTGCACTCCAGCCTGGGTGACAGAGTGAGATTGTATCTCAAAAAACAAACAAACAAACAGACAACCAAAAAAACCAATTTATTCAACACCTACTGTGTGCTAGCCACAGGGTGGTAGCAGTTACTATTCCCATTTTTAAAGATGAGGAAACCGAGGCTTTGAGGGTTTAAGAAACTTACCTAAGGGACATTTTGTAACTGAGGGAACCGGGGTCCAAATCTAGATCTTCTTGACTCCAAACTCATGCTTTTTCCAATACACCAAGCTATCTCTCTCACTATTATTTAAGTAATCCACCAACAGGTGTTTTCCCTTTCTCATTGGATTGTAAGCTGCTAAAAGGAAGTAATTTATGCTTCTCTGGATCTTTCACTGAGTTTAACATGGTAACTAATTGCTTGATAAAATGGAGACGCATCTGGTTGTGATTTTTTTAAAACAAAAGTATGGCTGTGGCAAAGGACCAAGTGTCATTTGAGCTTGAGGTAGGGAATTTTGAGGGAGTCTCAAGGTGTATTACTTTCATTTCTCAGTTACCATGCACCATGTCTTTGCATTTCATCTGGAGTGGGCCCATTTCCCAAGAGGAGGAGAAGTCATCAGCCCTGCAATCCCCACCCTGCAGTCATTCTTTCACTTCTCCAGTTTCTATCTTCTCCAGCTCCTCAGCCCCCTGGATATTTTCTTTCAGGCTCATTCTTGTCCTCTATATGTGTCTCCATCTTTACCCCTTCCAGTGTCATCCTAATTGGGGCAAGAAAGACTTAACCTGCACTTTCCCTGTTCATCCCCAATCCAAATGCCTAGCTGGTCTGGTCTAGATTTCTCTCATCTCCTGGGTTCAGTTCATCATAGGTTTGGAAGCACTTTGTGTCTTCATAGTCCATTAAATGGCTTTGCCTTCTTATTTTAAGATCTTCTTTTTCTGCTAGGTCCTAGTTTGAGTGAGATTCTGTTACTGCAACTAAGAGATCCCTATCTGAGACATCTCAGTGACTCAAGAGGTATTCTAAATTCTACTTCAGTTCTAAGGTAACTTTTGAAAATAATGATGAGTAAGAATAAAGCTTCTTTATTTTCTTTATTAAAAGCAACACAAATGATTTAAAGATTTTTTTTTTTCAAGTAAAATGGCCTCATTGTGTCCAAAGACATTGCAAATCACATTGCAAATAGGTCAGTGGGACTGGATGGAGTAAGCAAGGTGAACTCATTGATGATTCAGGGAGAGGGACAACAAGGTAACTGTGGAAGGGGGTGGCTTGAGGAAGGTAGAGATTACGTAGGGCTTTGTAATTAGTAAGTTTTGCCTTTGTTTTTTATTGTGGGTTTTTAAAAAGATACCTATTTATTGTTAACTATGAATAAGATAGAAAGTCATTAGGGCAGTCTGAGCAGCAGAGTGACGTGATCTGAGTATACTTTTAACAAAACCTGTCTGGCTGCTGTATGGGGAATTGACGGTTGCGGGGCAAGGCAGGAGCAAGGAATACTGCAATAATCCAGGTGAGGGGTGGTGGCAGCCTGAGTGGTAGACACGGATGTGGGGAAAGTGAATGGACTTGGCAGTGATGATAGCATCTAATGGATTAAACCATATCTGCTTTGTGAGGGCAGAAGAGTAAACTGTGATATCCTAAAGGCCTGTCCCAAACAAAAACCACTACCACTTTATAAATCCGGCAGCTCATAACAGGGGGTTTCACTGGAGGTTGAACTTAAATATGTGTGTGTGAAAAGGGTTGACAATTTTCATGAGGACTCTAATCATCTTCTTGGGAGGAAAGGATTCAGAGCTAAGCCTCTGGATGCGGGAGATCATGGAAAGAGTACAGTGGATACATAAACGTGAGGGTGGCCACTGCACCCAGAACCAGCCTGGCTATCTATTTGGTGGCAGGCTTGTGCCCTAGAGAAGTGGCTGAGCAAGTGAATGTAAAGAGGGGAGCCCAGGCTAGGGGAATGCGCTGAGCAGATCTTAGCGATTAGAAGGTCATCTTCCCTGGCTCTTTGAAGAACCTCTGTGGCTTGGACAGGGCCTGCTCTGCTATCCATGGCAGACCTTGGAGTGGGCTGCTAGGCCTCAAGACTTCCTGCTCACCAGGCAGTGAGAATGCAGCTCAGCCAGGAAGGAATGGTCAGCAGCAGAGAGCAGTGTCTGTTTGGATTGCCCACATGTCTGCCTGGACAGCAGGAGACCTCCAGGTTTACACTTCCCTTAATGTCGAAAGGCTAATGCAGATCATGAAACAAATCTCACTCTCTATCCTCCTGAGCACAGCATAATGGCAGAGCTGTCAGAGAAGACACTTGGCAGAATGTATCCTTCTACTTGGCATGATATAATTTGCACCACCTCTACAAACTTCCTAACTCTTTCCTAAAAATAGTGCTTCAATTAGAAAGTGGCACAACTTCTGTTGGGGAAAGTGTGAACAGCCACAAAATGCTCCATAAAGGAAGGAACAGGTGAGACCCCAGTAGATCAACAAATGCCAAATGATATACTATAATGTATGGTAATTGGTTATTATTAAAATAGTCTATTGCTTATCACACAGTAGCT
Organism: Homo sapiens; assembly: GCF_000001405.40. Classification (NCBI taxonomy): domain Eukaryota; kingdom Metazoa; phylum Chordata; class Mammalia; order Primates; family Hominidae; genus Homo; species Homo sapiens. Next base: position 15,584,268 of record NC_000011.10, read on the forward strand.
AAATGGCCTTTCAGTTGCTCTATAATTACCCAGTGATGGGTGATCTGTTTTCTTCTTTGGGAGCTGGGTACCAAGGATATCAGAGCAGCATCTGTCACAACACAGGAAAAGAGCACAGAGAAGGGAGGGTTTCTGCCAAGGTGGGGTTGCGCCGGGTTGCTTCAGAAATCCCCCACAGGGCCAAATGCTCTTAGGAGTTTTCACAGGGCCAGGGAGCAGAGAATGAGGCGCCGTCTCCGCAGGCCTTCCTCTGCCTTGTATCCCTTCTTCCTGTCCTTGAAGCTACCTCTTTAGAAGTTTTCTAAAAGTTTTTGCTGCTGGTGGAGAAAAGACACATTTGTGTAGGGTGAGGCGGGGCTGGGAGATCCCATGCCCTGATTCTGCTCCTTCAGTGAAGCCATAGGGAAGCCTGGGCCTCACGGGACATTGCTAATGCTGAGGATCTGAGGCTAAAACATGAGATTCAGTGATCTCAGGGAGACCTAGATCGGATCCCTAGGGAGGTGGAGAGAGCAGCGGTATCTGAGATGAAGACTCAGCCCAGGAAAACATGAGGGAGAAGAAGGCAGGGCCAAAGGGATCCAAGAACTGGAAGGCACATGCAATCCGTGGAGGGCTGACCTTCCATTCCTCAGATGGGGAAGAAGGACTTAGAGAGGGAGCGGCCCCTCCAGAGCCACACACTGTGATGACAACCAGAGCTTGGGTGAGAGGTCTGGTCTTCCGAATTCATCCAGCAGGCCCCGAACTGGGTGCACTGCTAAGGCCATTTGTGCTGAGGCTAGGAAAACAGGAAGACAGGGAAACGCAGGGCCCCAATTCCTCTTCTCCATCCCCTCACTGTGCTTCAACAGGCCTCACTCTGGCCCTGGGGCAAGATGAGAGGAGGGGGCAGTTTTATAGAAGGATGAGGTACTCAAAAGTCCAGCTGGTTACAGGATACAAAAGGAATACCTGTGACTTCTGGGCTGGTTTGTTTGCTCCTGAGTCGGTAACAGGAGCTACGGTTGGAGTGGAGTGTGACCTTAGCAAAAGAGAAATACATGAATCAGGAGGGAATATCTCAGGAAAAGCCTCTGTCACCTCTTATTTATGGTTCTTTTTTTTTTTTTTTTTTTTAAGAGGAAGGGTCTTGCTACTGCCCAGGCCAGAGTATAGTGACACAAACATTGCTCACTACAGCCTCGAATTCCTGGGCTCAAATGATCCTCTCACCTCAGCCTCCCAAAGTGCTAGGATTACCAGCATGAGCTACCACACCCAATGACTGTCTTTTATGTCAATGGTATTAATAGTTATTTTTTTCAACCCAACTAAACCCAAAGCTTCGTACACTCTAAAATAGCTAATGAGTGTTTGCTGAATGAATTTATGAATGAATGGGAAGATGTATGAATACTTAACATTACAAACGATCCATTTCTATTTCCATTTTTTTAGAGCTTAAAGTTTTGGCTTGTGTTACTTCCTTGGGGAGATCTTGCTGGACCACATCAGGAATAGGAGGGGTGTGTCCCCACAGCACTGTGTACACGGTACGTTGCCATAGTGTATTGTAAGTACCTTTTGGGGAGTCTCTCTACCCCACTACACAGGTTTTTAACCATTGTATCCCCAGTAGTTAGCACAGGCCTGTCATAGAGATGTTCAGAAATGTTTGTGGAATGATTGAGTATTCAAACACACACACACACACACACACACTCACACATCTGTTCTAAATTATGGAAACATAGATAGAGAATTTTTTTTTGTCTGCAAAGCTTTTATTTTCCATTTCAACCAGATCTCAATTTTTTTGGAGAGATTAATTTTCCCCTGTTATTTGCAATCTTGGTTGAATGGTAAATCCAGATACCTGCTCTCCCGCCCATAGAAGTCAAAGGGGTCACTGAGGGCTTATCTGCCAGAACCAGGGGCCAGCTGGTGCTCTCTCTGAGGAGTCTGATTTCTGAGCAAATAATACAAAGATGAATAATACAAAGAGGTGGTCAGAGTTCATTTATTCCCACAGTTCCATGATCTGACTACTCCTGCTATAAAAATATACCTGTAGCTCCTCATTCTGCATTATTTGGTTCCAGCCTACTTCCAAGCCTGGTTCTCCAACTTTTCCAATGATTCATTAAGCTCCTGTTATCCTTCCAATAAATTCCCTTATACTTACATCAGCCAGAGTTAATTTTGCTGCTTACAATGAAAAACTTCTTACTGACACAGTCACAAATTATTTTCTGAGCATGAATACATGCTCAGCTGAGGGCCTGGCCCTTCTGTGGAATAAATGAATTATGTCTAGTAGATCCCCACTTATGGCTGCCCCTCAGAAATGTTCACTGAAAATACTTATTTTTCACAAATATCATAGAAGCTCAAGGGTTTGAAAGCAAATCCAGATTTCTCTCTTGGCATCTCCCAGATTAGGAGGAATGAAATATAAGCTCTGCAACTTGCCAGAGACATTTGAGTGGACATTTCAACTCTGGGGTGCCTAGGCCCTGCCAACTTAGATGGCCTCTTCTGCCTTTGCTAAGGGAAGGATGCCAGGCTGCTCAAACAGACCTGCCTGTGATCAGCACCTCTTCCCCAGTGTGGGCCTTGGTGACAGGGAAAGTGGTGAGTGAGGAGGTGCTCACCTCTGTACACACCCAGGAAAAGAAAAGGAACCTGAGCATAGAAATTTTCCTTAAGCCAGACCCACTTAATTTTCCAGCCAAGCACTAACAATAAAGGAGCTTGGAAACATATCTCTTCCAAGAGAAAATCTGTCCTGGCCTCCACTGTGGGTGTGGTATGGTGGCTGTTACCAGCACTAATGGAATATCTAGGGAAACACATTTCTTTGTTTGTTTTTTTAAAATATTAAATATGTTAGACAGAAGCATCCCATCCTTTCTGTGAAAAAGACGAGACCCAAATCAGATGAGTGTAGAGACAACATTGTTTAAGGGGCCAGCATGGTCTTTGTACCACACGCTGTAACCCACAGGGCTGATGCTGAGATTTGGGTTTCAAGAGCTGGATGATCACCAGGGCTCTGGGTAGAGGTTGGCTCTCAGTGCCCCCTCAAAGGCATTACTGGAAGCCAATTGTTCAGGGAAAAGCAAGTTAGCTTGGAACAGTGGAAGGAAATTATCTCATCTGCTATACCACAACCCTATGGAGTAATAACAATGGTTATCCCACTCTGTGCCATAAAATCTCTATGTCAGCTCATTAAATATAACAGTCTGCAAGACATGTATTCTTATACTTATTCAACAGAAGTAGAAGCCAACGTCCAGAGAGCTTAAGTAATTTGCCCAAAGTCATAACTGGTTAGTATGGTAGCTTAAATTTGAGGATTTCTTCTCTGAGTCCAAATCCTGTGCTCTTTAAGACCTGCCGATTCCCTGTGCTGTTGTAATTTTGGGGAAATTGTTTTTGTTTCTGGACCTCCATGGCCTCCTCAGTACAATGGAGAGATTGGTTCAATCATCTCTGATATCCCTCTTCACTAAAGTTACATCTATTTGGGACCGAAGATCCGGGACCACTGTACCCATAAAATACAAAGCAATCACCTCTGATTTGACTCAGGCACCAAAGGAAAAGCCAGCCTTTGACTTACAAATGGACAAAAGGGGGTCTGTCTGTACTCCTCCAAGAAGCAGAAAGGTACACAGATACTAGTCCAAAAGGCCCAGCAGTCTCTGATAGGTATTGCCGCAAGGAATTTATGGGAGAAAGAAGATTAATTCTGGGAAGGTTGCATGAGGGATAGAAATGAAATGTGGAAGTTTAGCTGGCTCTTAAATGATGGGTAGAAATTAGAAAAGGGAATCAAATTTAGCATTTTAGGCATTGATAGATAATAATAACTAAAATTGAACAAACAATCATCTAAGACTTTTCAATATGTTAATAACATTTAATTATCACAGCAGTCCTCTAAAAGACATAATACTATTGGCCGGGCGCAGTGGCTCACGCCTGTAATCCCAACACTTTGGGAGGTTGAGGCGGGCAGATCACGAGGTCAGGAGATCAAGACCATCCTGGCTAACACAGTGAAACCCCGTCTCTACTAAAAATAAAAAAAATTAGCCGGGCATGGTGGCACGCGCCTGTAGTCCCAGCTGTCAGGAGACTGAGGCGGGAGAATCGCTTGAACACAGGAGGCGGAGGTTGCAATGAGCTGACATGGCACCACTGCACTCCAGCCTGGGTGACAGAGTGAGACTCCATCTCAAAAAAAAAAAAAAAAAAGAGGTATATTACTATTATTTCCATTTTACAGATGGAGAAACCAAGTCTTTGAAATCTTGAGAAACTTGCTCACAGTATATATAGATGTTAAGTGGCACGTTTGGTGAATGAATCCACGATGATGTTCCAAGCTTATGCTCAATATTTGAATGATACAGGGGACAAGTGAAGAGGAGGGAGGCAGGTCATATACCCTAGGCCGTAAAGGAGGGGAGTGGAATCAAGGAAGATGCAGCAGAAAAGAAGACTTTGAAAGCACTTAAAAGAAGACTTTGAAGGATCTTAGGGAGCTTGGATGGTGGAACCATGAGAAGAGCACAGAGAAGTTGGTGAGGATAATTCCCCCCCTTCTCCATATTCTAGAGCTGACAACTCCAGCTTGTGTCAGGGTAATCAAAAGAAGAGACAATTTATTGCAGCTCCTACCATGTGCCAAGCAGGCACCTACCTAATACCCTAGGGGCATTAACTCTTTTAACCCTTGCAACAGCCCTGTGAGGTAGCTACAGTTACAAGCCCCAGTTTAGAGGAAGAAACTGAGGAACATAAAAGGTAAGTAGCTTACCCAAGGTCTTCAAGCCAATTGAGCGCGTATCCAGCTCCAGGGTTTGTGGCATGAGCACGCTATAAACTTCCTGGGCAGGCTGAGGAAGTGAAAGGGACATGATCTTGGGTCTAAATTCAAGCTTCATTACTTTCTCCATGGGGGTCCTCTTTGAGTCTCAATTTCCTTATCTGCAAAGCAGGGATGATACCATCTGTCAAGGGTTTATGTGAGGATTACGTGAGATGACTAAAGGAAACGCCAATCACGGCGGATTTGAGGTAAAAGGCCTCCCAGCCTTCAATTCCTTCCTCTTACTCCCCAGATGGTCTCCTCCCTGCGGAATCTTTGGATTTCAAGTCTCCTTTCCCAGAAAGGAAACACCTTTCTTTCTGGGACTGTTGATATAGAGCTATGTGAGGCATTCCAACCTAAATTTCTCTTCCCCAAACAGGCCTGATTGACATTTTCTTTCCCCACTCAGCTCAAAGACACTCAGAGCATTGAGCAAACATCTGGGATTTTTGCATGTTGCCATGTCTTTTAAAGAACATCCCTAAAATGTACTGGAGACTCCAAGGCTTAAAATAGGTCCCTGCAAATTCACCCATGCCTATAATTGAATAGCAGTTGGAGAGAAAAATAGCTTCAATAATGTTGCATTTTAAAATTATGGTACATATTAATTGCGCCCGAGTCTCCATTTTCATTTAAGAAAGTGGTCTCCTCATAAGTAAAGTGGGAAAGATACAAAAAAGAAAACCAAAAATAAGTCAGTTTTTTTTTCCCCCAAACCACTGAAGTGCAAGGCACAGTCTGTTTCCAGGCAGAATGTCTGAGGGAGGGACACTTCCCCTCTTTTGCCTAGGGAGATGAAGAGCTCTCATTGCAATTATTTTTATTTTGTGTAGAAATAAGACACAGAGAAAAAAAAAAAAGACCCTTCCAAGACCATAAATATAGCCAATTGTGCAATGAGACTCTCCGGCCCACTGATTTTAATTGTTCCAGTTCAGGTATCTCCTATTTTACAGATGAGGAAATTGAGGCTGAGGAAAGGAGTCACCCAGGATCCTCCTAACCATATAAACCTGAATTTGAGTTTGGGGGAATGAATGTGCCATGGGCCTGAAACTCTGCCTGTTGACCAAGGTCACTCTGGAAAATGGCCACAGGCTATCCTGAAGGCCACCTGTAGTCACCATCTGTTGCTAGTACTTAGGACTTCCCATTTCTCCTGCTTGTCTACAGTATGTTCACAGATATCTGGCTGACTGTCAAGTCCATGGTTAGACATGTGGGTAGCAGATGTGCACAGCATTGCATCCAGCTGTGCTTTTGCCAGCTGTAAGATACTGTATGCCAATTTCTTACCCATCAGACATCTGGAGAACAGGGCCCACACGAGAAGAAGCTCCTAGACATGGTGTCCCTCTGGGTGAGAGTCATAATGCCTTCAACACTCATCATGAGCCTAAGAAAAAGCTTGAAACAGAATTCTGGCCAACACATTCAGGAAATAATTATTGAGTGCTAACTCTGTGAGAGGCACCATCCTAGATGCTAGAGAACTGGTGGAAACAAGACAGAAGAAAGGACTTCACTATGGAGGAAGGGGGAAACTGTGATTCCCAAAGCAGTCAGGATGATCCTTTAGAAAACTCAAGAGAGTCATGGAATTGCTCATTCAAAGTAAAAGCCACAGTCTCTACCATGGCTTTACATGAACTGCCTTCCTCTTCCTTTTTAATCTCAACTCTTAACACTCTTCCTCTTGCCCTACCCACTCCAGCCACACTGGCCGTTTTGCATTCCTGGAACACACTAAGCATGTTTCTACCTCAGGGCCTTTGCACTTGCTATTTTTCTTTACTGTTGGGCACACTACAGGGATTCGTAGTTCTTGTTTCCCTTTCTTTTCCTATTGTTCCCTTCTCTTCCTACCCCCACCAAATATTTTAAAAATTCAGAAGCTAGTCATCACAGGCGGTTAAAGAAGAAACCATGTTCTTCCACAGATTGTCCTGGAATGCCCCACCAGCATCAATGACTTGGTTCTCTTCCCTGGCCCTGAAGGAGTGGGCCACTTTCCAGACACGTCCCAGGCAGCAGTCCTGCTCCGTGACACTGTCAAGAAGAGAGGAGCCTCAGGAAAAGTCACAGACATAAACAAGATAAAGCCTGTGACCTTCTAGGACACTTTGGCCTGTGGACCACAGAACTGTCAATGGCCCAGCCCTTGCTCTGATAAGGGAGGGCAGGAACATTCCAGGAGATGCATTTGTCTCAAGCCCTCAAAGGCTGAGCATCCCCGAGAATCTGGCAGAGAGAGAGAGGACGGGGGAGGCTGGTGGGAGGATCTCTCCAGGGCGTGGAGCCAGCCCCACTGCCCTTGCTATCCCTTCAGCCCAGATATGGGGCAAGAAATTCAGGCCAACTCAGCAAACATGTACCTGGCAGCTCCTTCCTGCCTGGCACTGCTAGGGGCAGAGTGCTGGAGGAGATGGGAGGGCAAGGATCCCAGGTTGCAGGGGCTCAGAAAGGTGGAGGGAGATGTGGATATCAATTGCCTGCATGGAAAATGAGGGGACAAAGGACAGGCTTTAGTGCTCTGAGGAAGGAGGCAGTCATTCTGTCTGAGGTTGTGGGAGTCTAGGAATATTTATTTCCTAGAGAACGAGGCCCCTAAGTAGGCCGTAAAGTTAACCATGACTTTGACAGGTGGAGGGGTCAGAGGAGAGCATTCCTGGCACAGATTGGTATGTTCAAAAGCATGGAGGAAGACAATTGCAGATGTGTTTCAGTTCATGCAAAGGCCCCTGGAAGGTTGCAATGGAAGATGAAGCTAGAAAGATCAGGGCTGCAGTAGGAGGGGCCTTGACTCCCTGGGAAAGGGTGTGAAACTATCCTATAGGAATAGGAGCCAGGGCTGCCTCTCCGGTAGGGCAGAAACAGTACCAGCTGGGCTTCACATGGAGGAAGGAGGGGTGGAAGGGGAGCAGACAGGGCCAGTGGAGGGGATGTAATATTCCAAGTTAGAGGTGGTGAGGCCTGAATTCCGGTAGCAGCCATGGGATTTCTGGAAAAAGTTGCAGATTGTTTTCTTGCTCCTCTTTTAAGACAGTTATTAGCAGCTGTGGGGCCACCTGAGTGTGTACTGAGCACTTGGGAAACAGGTCCTGAACCAGAAAGAGTGTCCAGGTACAAGTCTACATCCCATACCTTGTCAGGCAGAAGTTAGTAGGAAACCCTGCAGCCCAGCCAGATAAAGGCGTGGCTTCCAGAATGCCCTGGAACTGCCTGGGTGATCCTTTTAAAACATGAATATAAACATGTCTTCATCCTCCTTAAAACCCTTCGCTGTTTCCACGTCACTCTCAGAATGAAGTCCAAGCTCTTTGGCTTGGTGTTTAAAGCTTCATCAAGCCTGTGCTTATACCTCTGTCATCCCATCTCTGTAGTGTAGGGCAGGGATCCAAACACTTGTCTGCATGTTCAAATTCACCTGGAGATCTTTTAGAATGTCTAAAGCACAGCCCAGCACCCAGACCAATTAAACCACAATTTCTGGGATGGGACCTAGTTGCTCAGGTGACCCCAGAGAAGCTAGAAACCCAGGTATAGGGCCTACATCCTAAGCTCCAGTCATACCAGATGTATTAGCTAGCTGTTTCCATCACAGACCACTTCAAATTCGTGGTGGCTTACAAAAAATATTGATTACCATGCTCACAGAAATGCAGATCATCTGTGATTTGGCAGGTAAATGCTGGTGGCAGTTCTGCTTCAGGCTTCGGGGTCAGCTGGGGTTGACTCTAGGCTGACTCTAGACATTGCATTCTAGACATTGCATTGAGGGAATTCTACAGATCTCTCATATTTCTGGGAGCTACATCTTTCCCTGCAGCAAATTTTCAAGGTATTGATAGAAGTGCACGTGCCCCTTAAGATCTTAGATTTTAGCTGGCAACCCCTCACTTAACTCACATCCCATTGGTCAAAACAAGTCCCATGGTCAAGGCCAACAATGATGGGGCAGGAAAACAGACTCTGCTCACTCTCCTGTTCTGCAAGTCACATGGCAGGAAGGAGTGAGGAACTAGAATAATCCACTCCATCTCACAGGTAATCTTGTGACCTTGAATGGGTCGCGTCTATGAACCCCAGTTTCCTTACCTGGAGAATGAGATAGTTGCCCTGGATGCCCACTTACATGACCGCCCCTCCCAGCTCTTCTCATCCACAAAGACCTTTGCACATGTATGCACAGCCACCCACTTGTGCCCATACTACACATTTAAATCATGACTATTATTTTTAAATACTTGTTGATTTTCAAAATGCTTCACATACTCACACAGGCCATATACTCATCTGCAGATACAGATCCTTGCATTCTCAGTCCTACACATACATATATACTTACTTTTCAAACACACACGTTTATGTGCACATGTTCCCACATTTATACAAATGCACACAGAGGCACCTATGTGCCGGTGTGCACTCGCTCAGCCATACTCACACATGCCACATGGATTCTCAGACATGTTTAGTTACAAACAGTCTCCCCCACCCTTCTCACCCTCACACACTGGCTCACTCACACATATATTCTATACCTCTCCGCACAGCTGTTTAATCAGAATCAGGGCCTGCTGATGAGGCTGTTGTCTGGCGCTCAGGGAGCTGCTTTAACTCTTTGCTGCCCCCATAAAGGCTGGCTGTACTATGTGCCCTCCATCTGCAGACCCCGGGGAACAAAAAGGCCACAGAAGAGTCAGGCGGAGATGCTTAATCTGCAGGATTGGAGCTCATCTGGTGCCACAGGGCCAGGGAGAGGGTGCAGAAGACACAGGGACAGACAGCACTCTGGACCCTCTGAATTCACTCTGTGCTTTCTCCTCCTGGCTGCATCTCCCTCATGTCCCAGGTATCTTCAGTAGGATAACCAAAAAAAAAAAAAAAAAAAGAATCATCCAAACCAAGACAGTGTTGAGAGCGAAAGGGACACTAACAACAATTACACTGAATTACCTGAGATTGTCACAGGCAAGCAGCAAATGCCTGGTCCCTACTCATGAGAGACCAGATATTGTGGACTTGCCCTGAGCTCCTGTTTCAGCCCAACTCAAGGACAGTCCCGGTTGAAAGGAACTTTCAGGTAGAATTCCCTCATTTTGCAGTTGAAGGCCCAGAGAGAAGCTGGGACTTGCCTGAGGTGACACAACAAGTTAGTAACAAAACAGTGTATAGAACTAAGTTTTTCAATCTTCCAGGCTAGAGTTCTCCGTGGTCTTAGGTGCAGCTCCTGGGAAACTGGCTGAAACTGTGGGATTAGCATGCAAGGGTTCACTGAGGAGTACTTGAGGAAAGAAAGCAGGACAGAGCAGAGGGACAGCAGCCTCAGCAGAGGTCATGGGGAGCTCTGGAGCTGAGAGGGTTCTTCAAGGTTGTCCCAAATGAATCTATGGGCCGAGGCTTTGTGCCTCCAGCGAGAGGACGTGATGTTGGGTGGGGCAGTACCCTGCAGCTGAGAGCAACCCCCAGGGAGGGATGCAACAGCCTGTCAACTAAGGGAGACAGTGCCTTGGTCCTCCAGGGGAGGTGGGCAGCACACCATGGCATCCACCACATCCTGCTGTTAGCTTGTGTTAAACAAGCTACCTGCAGCCCCAGCCCCCCAGAGGCCTGTTTGTACCTGGGCAGCAGTTGTATTGGCATTCATTTCACTGGCTCCACAGGGGGTCCTGGAAGGAAATTGCTGGGGAGGAGGCCACCTGGCTGAGGCTGCTCCTGAGACTGACCAGTGCGTTCCTTGTGGAGCCCGAGCTTCCTGCCAGCCCCAGCACGGCCATCTCTGCAGCTTTGCAGCTGCATTCTTCACACCCATCAGAAGTCACTGTTGCTTACTTTATTTTTCCACTTCTTCGATCCTTCTACATGTGGTCCAAGGGAGTTTCCTGTCTAACTCAGCCAGGGAACAGGGGCAGCTAGCAGAGAGCCAAAAGGGGGCACCTGGGCATGAGTTAAGAGGGCATCTGTGGCAAGCCCATTACACAGCTAAAGAGAACAATCTCAATGAGAAGACTCAGGCTTCTTTATGAAGGAGGGACACATTTCCCATGGGCTGTGGAGTCCAGCAATCCTGACTTCCAGTCTTAGCTCTGCTGCCTACCTACGGAGGCACTTTACACACACTTCCAGGCGTGAAAAAAAAAAAATTTCAGCAAATTAAATTTAACAAAGTTTAGTTGAGCCAAGAACTATTCGCAAATCGAGCCCCCTCAGAACCAGGAAACGGAACGGAAGTGAGGCACAGCAACAGCTTCACTGGTTACAGCTCAGCATTGGCCGTATTTGGATGTGGTGTGATGAGTTGACTGCCCGTGATTGGCTGAACCTCAGCATCTTGTTATTGGCTGAGACACAACTACTTGTCACAAAAAATGCATACTCCTAAATTAGGCTTTTATTCTGTTTACGTACTAAGTAAGGTGCAGTTTGTTATGTAAATACTCAAGGTACTGAGGCATCTTCAGGCCAACTTTAGTTAAATTTAACACAAGCTACCTAGAACTTAGGGATGGCTCTCTATATACAGTAGAGCATTGTAAGAATGTAATGAGGTAACCTGGGAATAGGAAAGGGATCTGCAACGTGCCAGCACTCTGCTAAGCACGCAGCACCCACAGCCTCCCTTATCCCTATCACAAGCCTGCAAGGTGAGTACCCAGGATCCCATTTTACAGATAAACAAGCTTGCCCCAGGGCCCAGATCCAAGCTCAACCTGACATTGTATGATTGGTTGCCAGCATTCTCTGCAGATTAGTCTTGACAAGGGCCAGTTTCTTACTCCAGTAAAGCAGGAATTAAAAAGAAAATAAAAAAAGAAAACACTGGAGCAGTGCTTGACATTTCACTATGTTTCCATCATATTGGGTGAAGGCATCAAGAAGAGCAAAAATCCTCCTCCTTAAAAACTCAAGAATTTCAGTGCCAAAAAAATGACTGTGGAATTTTTCCATAAACACACACACACACACACACACACACACACACACACACACACACACACACACACACACACCGTGTTAGTTTTTTCCTGAGGATCCTGCAGAATTGCTTTTCACAAAAGACGGCTAACAGCACAGAGCTCTTCTGGAGAGCAGATTAAATGAATTGTCCAGTTTTGGGTGGAAGGCTGTCCAACTTTCCCAGTCATCAGTGGAATGCTGGCTGGGTTGATGTAGGGGTTACTTGGGGGTTATTGACAACTCCCCAAATGAGTCTAGCAAACTCGTTTGTGCCAGGCTTCAACTAGGGAGCTCACAGTCTCCTGGGGAAAATGGACATAAAAACAGGAAATTACAATATGTAAGTAATATTATAACAAGAAGTAATAGAATCAAATACAAAGTCCCCAGATAACTTGGAGGTGGTGTCAGCTCTGTCGTGGAGGCTCAAGGAAGATTTGCTGAAAGAAGTATCACAAATCCAGGTTTTGAAGGATGAACAGGAGTTTTTAGGAGCTACCACCTACTTTTAATGATTTTTCTATTTAGAGAGTGGAGAAAAGAAAGAAGAGGAAGGGTGCTTACATGTACTACATGCTATTTGCCAGACTGCATTCGACACTTTGCACGTTTGCACATTTAATTCTCACGATAACCTTGTCAGATGGGGTTTTCACAGGCAAGAAACTTAGGATCAAAAAGGGTAAGCTGAGCAATTTACTCAAGGTCACACAGCTACCAAGTGCTGGGGCCAGAAATCCATCCCAGTTCTTTTGGCTCCAAATCCCTGGCTCTTTCCCTGCTGCTGGCTTCTGTAGCCCATAGGAGCTGTACATTCATGGAGTTTATCTGTGGCATACTGTGCAGTTTTTGAGTTGGTTAGAATAATGTAAAATCATTAGGAACTGATTTAGCAACTGGTCATATCTACAGTCAACCCTACAAAATTCCCTCATCTGTTCACAGAAACTATAAGTCTTCAAAGTACTGTCCCATCTACCCATTCCTCAGCCCAGCCCTGCAACTTGAACAGGAAGGTCCATTGCCTGGTAAGTCAAGAGCAGAGCCAGGGGAACTAGAATCTTCAATTTCTTGGTTCCCACTGCAGGGCTCTATGAGTGACACTATGTTATACGTATCTTGTCCCTTTCATATCTCTGGTGCTGTAAGGAAGTACCTTCAGGTACTCCAGATCCTGGGTACCTTCTGTATCCTCCTTAACATAAAGTCACTTAACATAGGACTGAGATTGAGTGTATTTCTTTTCATAAAGAGGTGTGGCTTGAATTCCTGTGCTGACCACTCCTGACTTGTGTGACCTTGAGCCAAGTTACCTAACCCTTTAGACTTTAAATCATCTGAGAAATAGGGCCATAAGTTTGGAGAAGTCCTACCTTTGTACAAAATAACTGGGGCGATGTTTCGGCACTTACTGGGTACACAAAATACCTGGTACTTACTAGGTGCTCAGTAGATGTGAGTTTACTTTCCTTTATCCTTTGAAGAGCTGTACCTGTGTCCAGGGTTAACCTCACTCCATCAGGACCTAGACATCCCTACAAAATTAGGGATTTTACTTCCCTTTGTGGTAATTAACTATATATTGTACATTCTATATCCAAAGTCACAGAGCAGATCCACAGTTTTCAAACTGGGTTCGAAGAAGCCCTGAGGTCCTGCGAGGCGGTTCAAGGGTGATGGATGTCAGTGGTCAGGCCTTCAGACCACCCCCTCCCAATTCAACAAAGGCAGAATCTCTTTTATATCTTTTATATGTTGGGCTCTCAAGTAGAATTTCATTTTAAGAATGAAATTGAGTGTTGAAAATAGAAAATTGCAAACCTCTGTTGGAGAGTAATAGAAAGTTTAATGTGTGATCTTTGCATTGCAAACCAGGTTGCTTTCTCCCTTATGTCTCTTCCCTCCTCGTCTTTTTTTTTTTTTTTTTTTTTTTTGAGAAGGAGTCTTGCTCTGTCCAGCAGTGGTGCCATCTTGGCTCACTGCAACCTCCACCTCCCAGGTTCAAGCAATTCTCCTGCCTCAGCCTCCTGAGTAGCTGAGATTACAGGCACATGCCACCACCCTCAACTAATTCTTGTATTTTTAGTAGAGGTGGGGTTTCACCATGCTGGTCAGGCTGATCTCGAACTCCTGACCTTGTGATCTGCCTGCCTCGGCCTCCCGAAGTGCTGGGATTACAGACATGAGCCACCACGCCCAGCCCCTCCTGGTCTCCTTAATGACAAAAGCCCAGCTTCTACCCTGCTCACTGCCCCACCCCCAACATTCAGACCAGTCACAAGAAGGAAAACCAGTTAACAAGGACCTGGAGAAGCTACAACGTACTTGGACTTCCAGTCTTTAAATGGACCGTTTTTGTCTCAGCCTGGCTAGGAAGTCTTGGCTGATGTGGTCTAGAGACAGGAAAGCAAGGTAATTTGGGGCCTAAAATGACAAAATGAGGGCAGAGAAAAGTGTTGAAAATGAATGACTGCGGAAAGGAAAGAAATATTCTGACATGCTCCTCTTCCTATCTGACACCCAGTGAGATGGAGAACACGTTGACTTTGGAGCCAAGAAAGCTGAGTTCAAATTCTGAGCCTGCCCAATGTGTAACTATGTGATCTTGAACAAGCCATTAACTCCTTCCAGTCTTATTTCCTCATCTACAGAATGGGAATAGTATTGCTGTCACAGGACTAATATGAGTGTATATCACATGTATGTAAAAAGCATATGTGAGATATTGAATGAAAAACAATTGATGCCTGCTAGATGTCACTGAATAAACATCAGTCCCCCTTCTCCATCCAGCTACCATATTTTCCAGCCCATACATTGAGACACTGGGTTATGGTAAATATTGAATTAAATGATGTAAATCAATTCCTAATGCAACTCCTGGCACACAGTAGGTGTTTAATAAATGCTATCTTCTCCACAAGCTTCCCTCCTTCTGCACAACATATTTGCAGCAACTGCCATCCTGATCACCTCATGCTTGGGTTACTAACTCAGCCCCCCTAGTGGGGTCCCCTGTCCCAGAGCCCTGTTCCTGTCTCCCTGGCATGTGCAGTCACCCTAATCTTCCCCTAAACAAATGAACAAAGCAAGACAAATGGCAAAGCTCCACTAACAACAAGCTATTCAGTTCCAGCATTATCTGATTTAATTCTCCATTTTTGTTTCAGATCAATCTGTAAGATCAGTGTTAATAGCTCTCCCTACCCCTTGTAATGATAATCTCAGGCTCAAAGAAGTAAGCAATTTCAGCTCCTCACCTTTGTGGGGGCGTAGCTAAGGTGTGAGATCCCATCAGATCTGTCTGCAACCAAAGACTCTTCTGCAACATTAACTGTTCTCTGAAGTGGTCTGGCTGGGCACTGAGAGTGGAGAGACCTGGATTCTAGCGCTGGCTCACCATTGGTTCATGGCGCATGAGCCCATTTCCTCCTCTAAAAATGAGGAGAGTCCCTTCCTTTCTTACCCCATATGTCTGCACTCAGGTTTCAGGGCCAATTTCAGATGGGCCATATGCTCTCTGTCCTCTGTACCTTTGCCCAAGCTGTCGCCTGCTCCTCAGTCACCTCCCTCATTGCCCTGTGTCTACCTGTTTAAGAATTAAGCTCTAAGATTCTACTCTATCATCCCTCACCTCCTTCAGAAAGCCTTCCTAGACCAGCCCAGGCAGAATCAGGTGCTCCTCCTCTAGGCTTTCATAGCCCTGCATCTAAACCACAACTGTGACCTTTTTTTCCTGGTATATACCTTTGATTATAGGACTGTCTCCTAGTAGATAGACTGGGAGCTCTCGTTTATCTCATTTATCTTTATACCCATGTCTGTCACAGAATAATTGCTCAGATAATACTTGTGGAATGAATGCATTAATGAATGAATGAAGAGAGAGAGCAAGGGAGATCGAAAGAGCATCATTGAATGAGTTCAGGGTTTTGTTCGGTCCCAGCTTCAGAGTCCATTTCTTAAGAATAATTAATTCTTGCAGTTCTTCCACTGCTGACGTTGTGCCTCCATGGGGGTCAATGGCCCTATGCCCTAGCATCTTATCCCTATACCATGTAATCTGGGTCTGATGCTGGAATTTGGGCTTAGAGCTTGGCTCCAAGTCTCTGTGACAGGGCTCTGCCCTGCCTCCAGCCCCCATCCAGGACATGGGCCCTCTCTTACCCTGGCCAGCCTGTTTCAGGCCAAGGAACTCCATTCCTCTCCCCAGCTCCTGTTCTCTCCCTCTCACCTGCTTCCCTGGCTGGTGATAGGGCCTGCCTCCTGCCCATCAGGGCTTCTTAGATTACAACTATCAGCCTAATTTCCCCACTTCTGTGTCCCACCCACTTACTAGGTCAGCCTTCCCACTATAGTTGGGAGATGGTGACATCCTCATGTGTCAGGCTTTTCCTGATATCGGGAGCCCCTCATGTCAGCTCCTATCCCTGGGTCAGATGCCCTGACATATGCCCAGCCCTTCAGACAGCTCCAGGTCAGTGTCCAATCCCTTTCTGCCTGCCAGGGAGCATCTGGACATGCCTAGCCAAATCCTGAGATGGGCTGGGAGGAGGCAGTCAGCCCTGGAGATCATTTCCAGTGAAGGCCCAGCCTGCAGGTGGGCACACATGGTGGGTGTTCAGGTTTGAGGAGGCCTTGGAAAATGAAAGATCGCATGTGGTGCAAACCTCAGGCTATGTGCCTTTGGACAACTCATTTTATCCCTCTGTGCCAAAGAGTTTTTGTTTGCAAATTGGAGATAAGAACACATAATAGCTACCTCAGAGGACTGTTGTGAAGAATAAATAGGATAATGCATATCAACCTCAAGGCCTGGTACATGATGAGCCCTCAGTAAACGTGAGCCCTTTTCCATGTCACTATAGCTGTTGTCATTATTGCTCTTGTTGCTGCTATTGTCATTAAGAAGAGTGGGCTGCATCCTCAGGTACATCTCCTGTGCTGTTTCTTTTCCTCAAACCACTCATTAATATTCTGAAGACTAAGTCAGGGAGGCAGTAGCAACACACCAGGCTTAAAATTAATCAAGTTCCCTTCAGTCCAAATGAACTTTTCTCACCGATTCTCAGATCTTCGGCATCTTGCTACTGGGTGCATTTTTTCTACATAATGAAGTTTGGGCAGTGCTGGCTCCTGCCTAGTCCCTGACTGTGACCTCCATGCAGTCACAGCTGTTCTCAGGCGCTGCGCTTCAAGTTCCCCACCCCACATCGTCTGGCTGCCTTCTCATCTGGGGTGATGCGACCCCAGCAGATTAATATGATGTCCTTGTAATTCTGCATCCAAGACACATGTCACTTTCCTTCAACACATTTGGAAGGAGGGCAAGTTCTACTTTGTAAGGACCGTCACTTATTTTGAACTGGAAGAAAATAATTTATTTGGTCAAAAGTTGTTGTGCTTTTCCATTAAGGGCACATATTACCCTTTTGTAATTGGAAATGGGGCCATTTAGATCCCACATCGTCTAATCTCCAAAGTCACTCCAGCACAGGGCTTTCTTCCTCATTTGATTTCAATCAATCAGTGAATCCAACAACGAAGAAAATGCATTCAAAAATTAACCATACCAAGTGAAAGCAGAGGAACGTATGTTAGCAGGAGTCTCCCAACTCAGGTGTTTCTGTAAGAACCATTAAAATACCCCTTATCTGAGTGGAAATTCATTTCTTTCTACTATAGGAAGACTCCAAGACACTCACTCTAAGACTTGGGCCTGGATCTATGTGCAGAAACCCTGCTGAACTTTGCAGTGTCACCCGCCACCCAACTAAGAGGGTCTCCCAGGATTGTTTTCTAGTTCCCAGTCTGGGCTGTCTGACATGGCACCCCAACCTGGGTACACATCTTAGAGGCTCGGCTTTTTGTCAGTGGCAAACTGGAAATTTCACCACTTAAATGGAACCACGAAATCTTAGGCCTTGGGAGAGTATGTCTGCAGGGCCATCTTGGTGTGCACCTCTCACTGACCATTTTCAACAGATGCCAGATTCTTGGATCTGGGAGGGTGGCCCTAGTCCCCATCTTCAGGCTGTGTTAAATGGTGAGCTTGAAGGCCAAAGAAAACTGCTTCAGACTTTGATACCTTATCAGTATGACTCAGGGAAGAGAGAGGTTAAGTAACTTGCTCAGAATCACACAGGTAGTAACTAGCAAAATTGGACTTTGAATCCAGGTTTGCATGACTTTATATTATGCTTTTCTGCAATGCTGCTGCCTGGAAGGCAGGCTTAGTGCTGCTGAGATCCTGGTAGATATCTGCTTTCCCCAAAGCGGTGAACTTTGCAGGCTACCGCCAGATCTATGCCATCTGCTCACTTCCGAGGGGCTTCTTCAAATCCCACCAGGTGACCTTAATGTCCCAAAATATTCTTGACACTGAAGCACTCACTTGCAAAGAAAAGCTGGACCCCAACCCCTGTATTGGACAGACCCTACAGGAAGTTTCCTTAATAGCCTAAGGAGCAGAGACAGAAAATGAAAAATCACTAAGGTAGTGGTAGGCTTACATCCCAGGGAGGGAGTGCCATGGCGCACACCTCCTGCATGGGCTAGGGTTCGCATTTGTGTTTAATAACAACTTTGATCTCTCTGCCAGCAGCAGCGGTCATTGAGAAATCCTGACATAAAGAAGGTATCTGGGAGATAAAGTTCTGCAAGCGATGATTACTAGCACTTAAGTTCTCTTTTTGTTGAAAGGAAGAATCCCAGATTGAACAGTGCATTGAATGATATGACAAGCAAGTACTTGATCCCTGTCCAGCTGGAGGGGGGATTGTACCCATCAGCAGCTTTTTAGCTAAGGACGTCTTTATATTTCCCTTCTTTGTCTGGGCCTCTCTAGTTCCTCCTTTTACTTCATGTCAGCACTATATAGTAGGTATGCCAAGTGGTTTTGAAATTTAAATTACAGTCTCTTTTTCAGATGTTATTGGAAAGAACATGTAATTTATAACCACGTGTTAGGAGTACAGGATGTTCATGGTCCACTGCCAATTTTTCTTTTGTAAAGTTAATAAAACTTTCATAAAACACTTATACACTTGTATATTTCATGGTAAAGATTTTTTTTATCTCATAGGCTAATGTAAAGATTTATTAAAACCATTTTTTTGTTAAGAGGAGTGTCAATAGTTTGCAGCTGAGTGTAATTTTGAATCCGTGGAAGATGACGGTCTGATGGAAAATGACAGTAACAGCTTTGTTGATTTAGCACTAAAAATAAAGGAGCCTTTCAAATGAGAGAATGCTCTAATATCCAGAGTGGGCTAGGACGCACTCAGGCCAATGGAGGCAAGCTGGAGGAGCCGGCCACCAGCACTCCAGCCCCTGGCAAGAGCAGAGCAGGATTGGATGGAGCCCAGGTGGGAGGGTGAGCAGAGCCCCAGGGGTTAGTGGGAAGGAAGGCTCTTCTTGCAGGGGAGGGAGGGAGGGGCCAGGAGTAGTGTCTGAGTTTACTTCTTGTGGCAGAAAACCCTGGAATCTGCCTGCCCCCACAGACACTCCTAGCCCTTTCTAGGCTTTGGTGGATTCAGTTTTTGCTGAATATAATGAGCGGGTAAGATCTGTCACACCTCCTTTGCCCCACTCTCTGTCACCTTTACCAATCCACATCTACCCCAAACTGGTTCCCATTGAAGAATACTTTCAAGGAAACTCACTTAACTTTTTTTCTGAGTGTAAACCCCAGCTTTTTTTTTTTTTTTTTTTTTTTTTTTTGTAGCTGTTAATTGGTGTGCTCCCCTGTGTAGAGGTGAGGAGTAGATGGGTTATGGATTCCATGATTTGGAGAAGTAAATAGACCTTTTTGAGCTTCTGTTTTCTTCTCCAGGAAATGCAGATGATAACTCCTGCCTCCAGACCCCTCTCTGAGATGATTCTGAGACACATATAAATGGGCTTTGCAAACTGTGGGCAGTAGATGTGAGAACTCTTCATCTTCCAGACAGGATCCAAGGTCCTTTGGAAGGGACAGTGAGCGGACTGCATCCTGCTTGCATGAAGACCCTGATTCCCTCAAATGTTGAAAGAGGTTGAATTTACAAATAAATTAAGAAATTAAGAGCAAATGAAGAGGAAGGAATGGTTATTAACCGTGTGCCATAGATCTTTGCATTAGTAAGCCTTATGGTCCTTGTTTAATAGATGATGAAACTGGGACTAAGAGAAGTGAAGTAATCAACTCAAGATCACAAAATGAACGGGACAACCAGGTTTCAAACTTAGGTTTATTCTGACACCAAAGCTTCCATATTTTTTTCCATTCTAGAATGTTAGAAGCAGTGGACACTCTGGAGTGTTCCCACATGCTAAGCACTACGCTCGGTGCTCTATAAGCATTCTCTCTCTCAATCCTCACGCCACACCTGGGCAATCACGATTACCTTCATGCAAGGTGAGAAGTGCTGAAAGTTATAATTCCTTGCAGGGGAGGGATTGAATGTGCTTCCCGTGGAAGGCTGTGGTCTAGCAGTGCCTTTGGTTGGAGGGAGCAGGAAGCTTCAAGCTCTGCCTGGGGCCACTTCTCCCGCAGTTGAGAATTAAGGGTTAGCACCTGGAATTTGACTTAGAAATGGGATTGGTAATTGTCTCATTCCTCTTTACAGGGGTCATCCCCATCTACCTCACTCTGCCCTCTACTCCAGCCCTGCTCTCTTTGGCCCCTCTTTCAGTTGTTCTTTCTTCTCTCCATCTGCCATTCTCTTCTACATTCCTTTTTCAACCAAGTAGTCACTCTTTATCGCAGCATTTCTCCTAGTGACCCTCCCTGGTGCCACTGAGGTGAGGGCCAGCCACATGCCTGGCTTAGGGTCACTGTTTTCTTTGTAGGCATCCTCTCCAGCACCTCCCTCCACCCACTTTCTGGCTAACTCCTATTCTTCGCTGAGGTTTCTGCTTAAATGTTACTTCTTCAGACCATGCCTGACACATCTGACTGGATCAGGCCATCTGCGTGTACACTCTCTAATCATTTTGCATTTCCCCATTACTTTTCACAATTATAATTAAGTGATTGTTTGTAAAACTTATTTGTTTGCTATCTATGTTTCCTGCTAGACTACAAGCTCCAGGAGGGGAGGAGCCACATCTGCCTTACTCATTGCTGCATCTTCCATTCCCAGTAGAGCTCAGGGTCAGTCCTCTCAACCTCACACCATGGCAGTGTTCCTCCCCTTCTAGGCAAAAGGCCAGACAGCCTCCTGACTTCACACCCTAGTCCCATTTGTAATTGTGCCAAGTATCACCAAGTGTCATACAAGTGTCACAGAGTCTAGTTAGGAGAGATTCTGGTGGCAGCCTTCCCCTTTGCCCTTTGGAGAGTGAAGTTGCACATTCCCACCTTGTGAGAGGTGAAGAAAGAGCCAACAGCCTAGCCTGCTTCTACGTCTCGACAACTCTGAGATATGGAGGCATAGGAAGCTCTGGGATCCTGGAAGAAAATGTAAAAGAGAAATTGGGACCCCAGGACAAGAAGTCCAAGAGAAATGGCAGAAGACTCCTACGCAATCTCTGTCACCACCGTAGGGGCAAAGGCAGAGCAATTGGGACCAATGACCCCAACTAGGAACATAGCCTGGAGTGAGTGAGTATGTGAGTGTGTGTGTGTATAAGTACATATGTCTCCTTTTCATCGGGTCTGGGAGAGGGCTGTGGTCCAACTGAGCAAGCCATTTCCAAATATGCAGGTTTGTTCATTGCTGTTGCTGTTGCATTTTTAACTATTGTTGCTTTTGTAGCTACTGTTGTTTTTAGATGAAGCAACTGTGGTTCAGCAGAAGTTGCTGCCTCTGGAGTCAGAGGGTGCAGGCTTGGGTGCTGAGCACCAGGGGCTGGAGCCCAGGCTATTCACTGAGCCTCCCGAGTGGTGGACAGAGCTCAACCAGGCTGAGGCCCCTTAAGTGGGATCATCTGGCTCCTCCCAGTTTTGCCTATTCAGGAGAATGTGGGCAGGGCTTGAGGATTCACCCATTATCCAGCTATCTAGCTTGAGACAATTCTGCAGAGGGGTTAAGAGTTCAGGTTCTGCAGCCAGAGCCTCAGCTTATTAACTTTGTCATCTTGGGGAAATTATTTCATATCTCTACATCTCAGTTAAAATTATAAGCACAGCCTGTTTCATGGGCATGTGACCTGTGTGTTCCCCCAGGGCTCCATCCTCATAAAGGCCCTGCAGTTGGTTTAACACTCTGTTCTTACCGTCTTGAAATTCCCAATTATATTTTTTTAAGTAGCTCTGTATTTTCATTTTGCACTGGACCTTGCAAATTAAGTAGCTGCTTCTTATTATCAAATACCAAATAAATATTTATTAGCAGAACATCTACTCAGGGAGAAAACAGTGAGATAAGGCAGGTCTGTACTTGGCACACATTCAAGGCCTGACATTAAGGGACATTATTATTATTGCCTCTTGGGTTACCTACCAAGAACTAGACACCTCCCCAGCATTCCAGCAGCTAGTTGGTTAGAAAGGACAGTACTAGTCTTCGACGACAAAAACAAGGCCCCTTAATGCTTGAGTAAGACTTAGACTGAATAAAGAATCAAGATCTTGGATGACTTCACGGCACATTTTTCCAGAAAGCCTATGGGGTGTGAAGTAGGATCTACATGTGGTAGGCTGCAGAGAGGTGACCAGGGGTGACTGGCTGCCCTACAGTCAAGTTCACCTTCTCCTCTCCTGGGTAACCCAATAGCAATGCCACTCTGCTATCCCAAAGAGTTTACCATTTCTGATGCTGGTCTGATTTGGTCAGGCCAGTTGCTCATTAGTGGTCTCCCATGTTCCAACCAGTGACTAGTTAAGCTTCCAAGCTAGGCACATGCAAGGTAACAGACACAGGCGACAGAAAAGTTGGCTGCACTCTTCATTCACCTGATGAATACACTAGATTGGCTCTATCTCTGTCCAGACCTCTTCGATCACCTCTGGCCCTTCTAACACGTATAGCCATGGCCAGTGCTGACACCTTCCTTCGCTCTCCCCATCTCTCCTCAACTCATTCCTTCACCTCTGTCTTCATCCAAGTGCTGGAATACCTTTGTCCATCTGGTTATAAAAATATTATCACCATCCCATTCCTTTAACGTGTCCTCTAGAGAACAAAACCCCCTTGCTAAAAAGAAGCATTTTCTATTATATTTGACCAAAATCTATTTTTGAACATTTATTTGCAATAGCTGGCAGCATAGTGCAGCCCCTAAAACTTCTCATAACTCCAGATATTAGGTAATGGGGGATGGGCCAGGAGAAGCAGGAGGTCTCCTTAACCCTGGGGTATCTGAGGAGCCAGGGAGGCATAGCAGGTATTCGCAAAGTGAAGCTTTGAAATAGTGTCTCTGAAATTCAGCCCAGTGCTCTTTCTTCCTGCTGTGTAATGTTGTCTCTATTGAAAGATTCTCTTTCCCCAAACATAGAGTACAATAATCCCATTGAATGCATTGCCAATGATAAACTATGTATGGACAAATAACAACAGTGACAAAACCGCGTATAGAGACAAGGCAGTCTGTGTCGGGGAAGAAAGAAAAAAAATAAATGAAATTAACAGTGGGAGACAAAAACAGAGGAAAACCCAGCAATTAGATTAATCATAGACTTCCAGGAAATTGGCCCAAATTTCTTTAAAATCTTGTTGATTGTTATTCAGATTGAAGGGTTCCCTGCAAGATTAGCCAGAGCCCACTAAGCTTGCATACCAATCTGCTACATCCTGCATGCAAGCTGCTCAGATCCCAGGGCTGTGCTCCCGCTACAGTGGATCACCTGTGTAGCGGTGAGGTCCAGTAGACAGAGCCCAGGACTGGGGGTCAGGGAGTGGCATTTCTAGTCCAGCCTCTCAGCCAACTCACTTTGGGACTTTGAACAAATCATGTAACTTTCTGGACCTCAGTTTCCTCATCTGTTAAATAGGCAATTCTGCCAGCCTTTCTTAAGTCAGTGGGTTTTGAAAGGTTGAAGAGAAAATACAGATGTGGAAATCCTTGGACAGGCTGAAAATGCGATGCAAGCACAACATAACTTTTTGAGTATTTTCAGGGTCAGAAACGAAGTAGGCTATTGCTCAAGGTTCACATATCCCCGCTCCGAACACCGGAGTAGAGAAAATGCAGTGGAGCGCTAGTCATTGCTTACAAAAATGTTTCAAAGCCTTCAGATTCAGAAAAAAGTTCAGTACATCTTTACCCAAATATTCCTCCCTCTTTTATGATCTGCATTTAAAAGAAAATTGAATGACCTATCTCTGGATTTATTAATGCTTAAATCATTAGTATCTTGGCTTCAGAATGCTCCTGGGTTGCCAGCAGGATGTCAGAGCTTTCAAATGCCTGGAAGTTGCCCCTCACCCAGGGTGAAATAATCCAAGCATAAAATGGTTTGGGTTTGGTTTGAAGGATTGAATGCCTGAGTTCCTCTTAGAACTGAACTTTTCAAATATGACCATTTTTGGCTCAAGGTTAAACAAAGTTACTGGCTGACTACTAGGTGCTAGGCTCTATGCTAAGAGCTTTACATGCATTTTTTAACTTAATCCCTACAACAACCTAGTGTGGGAAGTTCTATTAACGTTCCTATTTTAGGGATGTAAAAAGCAGGACCCCCCCTTCAAGTATTATGGAAAAGATTTTGACCAATTTTTCTCTTGGCTTCTGTCTTTGAATCTGTGAATCATATGAAAAGAATAAATCATCAGAGAGCCGAAGTAAGCCACAACAACCATCTAGTATTACATTTCCCAAAATATGTCTCTGCTAGATTTGCTAGGTGTTA
This sequence comes from Homo sapiens, assembly GCF_000001405.40. Taxonomy (NCBI): domain Eukaryota; kingdom Metazoa; phylum Chordata; class Mammalia; order Primates; family Hominidae; genus Homo; species Homo sapiens. The sequence goes on from NC_000011.10 coordinate 15,608,873, forward strand.
GCATTTGGGCATCAACTAAGCTTGAGGACAAGAATCAAGGAGGCTTCTTTGCTGCAAGACTTCTCAGGGCCTTTGAAATGGATGTTCATTGTGACTCTCAAACGAGAGGATGATGCAGGCAGCATTTTCCAAACTTAATTGGTGACAGATCTTTTTCTATAGGATCCTAATATTCTTCAGAAAATTATTTTAAAAAATTATTTTTTAAAAAATTCCATATTATATTATAAAGGAAGACACCAAGGCCCAGTCAGGGACAGTGGCTTGCTCCCAAGTCCCAGGATGTTAATAGCAGAGACAACAACCCAGTTGTGCTGAGTTCAGACCTAGGCCAGGTTCCATGTTTCACTACAACAAAGGAAGGTGTGGTAAGAGGGCCAGTGTGGGCTTTCCACAGATTCATGCCACAGGGACCACACCTGGGATCACAGATCACAAACCACACATTTGCAGAATCAAATGGTCATGGGTGCCTTAAGCTAGAAGAGAGGGTTTTATTTCAGTCAACTCTTTTATGCTTGAAGGAGCTGTATTAGTCAGGATTCTCCAAAGAAACAGAGCCAATAGGATGTGAAAGGAGAGAGAGAAAGTGATTTAAGGAATTGGCTTATGAGATTGTGGGGGCTGGCAAGTCCAAAATGTTCAGGGTAGACCAGCAGGCTGGAAACCTAGGGAAGAGTTGATATTGCAGTCTTGAGTCCAAGCAGTCTGGATACATAATTCCTTTTTCCTCAGGGGACCTCAGTTTGTTTTCTCTTAATGCCTTCAACTGATTGAACAAGGCCCTCCCATATCATAGAAGGTAATCTGCTTTACGCAAAGTCCATTGATTTAATGTTAATCTCATCTTTAAAATACCTTCACAAGAACATTCAGACTTGTGTTTGATCAAATATCTGGGTATTGTGGCCTAGCCAAGTCCACACATAAGATTAGCTATCCCTGGGTCCATGTTCCTTCCTTCCCTTAAAATGCTATTGACATTTCTCTACATTTTCATCCTCAGCCATAGAATGGGAGAAGTATGTCCAGAGATCACTCACTGCTCTGAGTTTCAGCCTGCACCTTCTGTGGTACCATGGAAGTGCCTTGTGAGTTCCCTCATCAGTGAATGAGGCTAGAGGCAGGGGCGAGGGAGGAGGGCTGAGCTGGATAGATTCAAAGTTCTACCACACTCCCCTCCTTCATCCAAAACAATTCAATTTCTCTCTGTTACATATGAGACTTCCCTTTAAACTGATGTTAAAATCTGCTGGAAATTCTCCTGATCTACACAAGAACACTAGCCCTTCCAACACTTTTCTACTCAAAGTGCATTCTCCGGACTGACAGCATCAGCACCACACAGGAACTGGTTAAAAACGCAGAATCTCAGGTCCCACTCTTGACATATTGAATCAGAGTCTGTATTTTCACAAGATCCTTAGATGATTAGTAAACATTTTCGAGACTGAGGAGCAGTGCTCTGGAGCTCAAGCTTCTAGAGCACTAACCAGCACATTGCCAGACACATCATAGAAAGTTAAGAATTGGTTTTTTTCCTGAATGATGGCTTGACTTAAAAAACTGAGGCCCAGAGGGAGAAAAGATGACACAATTAATTACGAGAGTATTAGTTAAATCTTATTAACAGAAAATAAGATTCTCTGATCATATATGTGTTCTTTGTACAAGAATATGCCTCTTTTCTGGAAAGCCCAAGTCATCATTGAAAATTCTTAAGTTTCCAGTCTGAGCATTTCAGAATTTAAGAAGTTCCACAGAACCATCTAAGTTATTTGTGTTTATAGGACAATTTCTTACAAGGAGTTTTGTTCAGCAAACAAAATCACTTCGCCAAAATGAGCAAGCTCCCTTGAGAGGTCCCGTTGGAGTGGATGAAAACTGAACTATGTGTTTACCTGAAGGTACATTCAAGCTGAAATAAAAATCTCCTCCTATGCAATCTAGGTTCATTTCAGCTGCCTTTTCTGAAAGGATTTGAAAAATTCTGAGCAAGTGATCAGTCAAGGAGTTAATTTGCTGTTGTGCTAAACTGCTAGCACTGAGGCTGTCATAGGAGAGAAAGAGAAGCAAGTGGAGAAATCTTTGATCCTCAGTTCAGCCAACTTCTTCCAGAAAGTGGAATGAGAGATCAAACATGAAGAGCAGTGTGGGCTCTGGGATCTGTCCAGAGCTATAGGAATCCAATATTACAATAATCATCCAACTTCGACAGAAGTCATCCCAGGAAGCTTGCCAAGAAAAAAGCTTGACGAGGAAGACGGCTGAAACAATGACAAACGAGGGAGAGGGAGTAAAGGTTGCAGACGTCCTTGGGTTGTCTTCATTGGAGAACTCCTTCTGTGCATCTCCTCCCTTATGCAGCCTTTCTCACAGAACCCAAAACAAACAAAGATGAAGCTGAATAATCATCTGCATTTCTGTACTCGCCTAAAAGTTCAAGGGTTCGGTCTTGGTTTTTCTGGGCTAAAGATTCACACAATCTCAGCCCAGCAGAGGAGCTTACTGTTCAAATAGCACTGTGTACCAAGGGTCTCACCAGCACTTCTGTTCAGATCCTGTGTGATATTCACCATAAAGGCCCTCACATCTGTGTAACACCTTGTTACAGAGTGTTACAAAGCACTGTCACATTCAATTCATTTGTCCCGAGGTGGGGTCTGTGTGCTCTGGGATGCAGGACTGATTGCTGGCTGCTTCCTCATCCCATTTTCTCTCCAAGAATCCTGGTCATAAGTGATGCACAGGACAACTTGACCAAAGTCCAGCAAATCCTACAAGTGTAGTCACTTGCAGCTACTTCAAATGCAAAATCTCATTACAGTAACTGGACTATAGCCCGTTACACTGATATTTGGCAGAAGGCTTGGCAGATAGTCAGAGCAGCACCCCTCATAATTTTCTGAGTGCCCAGACTATTACCACTTTACCTTGACTCGTGGCATGGAGCAGATACTATGTAAAAGCTGTACCTTAGGACATAATCTACTCACAGGCTTGGTCTTGAACCATGCCCTTCAGCTCACCTAGCTTTCAAATACCGTGGCCACCTGCTGCAACACTGATTTCCCCTTTCCTTCCTCCCTGAAAAATACTCCCCCTCACCCTGCCAAGATGTGCCTTTAGAATCCTGACCTCTTAACATCAACCACAACCTCACTACCCCGTACTTCAGTGTTATTGTCTTCTTATTCAACCTAGTCCAAAGGACACTGTGTACCAAAGGATAAGCAAATCAGTCTTTTGGGGAAAAAAAACAAAAATCTGAGAAAAGCTTCATAAATTCACACTGTGCTATAGTTCACTGCAGAGCCACCCAGTAAAGGATGCTGCAATCTGGAGAAGAGAAACTAGCAGAACCCAGTGGATTCTAGAGCTGTTGAGTGTGGTAGGGTACAGTTCACCCATCATCAAGTGAGTTGATAGAACTAATACTTATGGGTAATAAAACATAGTCCTTTCCCTCAAGAGGTTTAGAATTCATCGAGGAAGACAGACATGAAACATTCAATTACAATCCGGGGGGATGTTGTTGTGATCCAGATTTCCCAAATGCTATCGGAGGAAGTTACTGGTAACTGCTGCATCCAACAATTTCACGGGGGTGTATTCACATTAGGGATAGCTAAGAAAATCCACTGATCTGGAGAAGCTTTTGGCATTAATTCTATAGAAGCTGATCGTATTATTAATGTTTATAACACACGATTGCCTCTGACAAAGATTGAGATTTTATCCTTTCATAATGAGGCTTCTCAGCCCAGCAAGGGCCCCCAAGTCTCCCAAACCCAGGGTAGCTGCAGGGTGACTCATAGAAAGCAATAGTGGTCCAACATCTGAAGGAAGTGGTCTTTGCACCACAGGCACAGCTTGGAATTGATCTGATAATCAATCATCAAATCATTCCAAAAACAATACTGAGCAACTATTATTATCTGCTTAAATTAAATCATTCTTAATATATAGATGAGGTATAATTGTCCAATAGTTTTCTCACCCATGAAACAAGGATAATAATTCTGACCCTAGAGAATGAGTGTGAGGTTTAAATTAGACACTATAGGTAAAGTATCAATAGTTCTGTTATGTTTTAAGCCTTGTTTAAGGTTTCAGCCTGCCTTGAACAAGAGAAGGAAGAGAAAAATAAATTGCATTTGTTCTATCTAGCATTTTAAAACTCCAGATTATTTAGAGTGGATAGCCTGAAAGTGTTCAGAAGTCTTGCTAGAACCCTTTTAGAATAGCTAAAGACGTCAGAGATAGGGAAAACTTTCCTTTTGCACCAGGTGATGAGGGGCTAGATGTCTCAGAACTAAGGTGCAGGCCACTGGGTATCTATTCCATCTTTCCCTGCCCACCCTAATGAGAAGAGGACAACTCAGGGGTCTATTCAGAAGAGACAGAACTGATAGAAGGGGAACAGAATGTTCAGTTTATGAAAATTTTGCCTTCTGAGTCAAGTTTAAACTGGAGCTTTATCTGAGTCCCATGTCAAGAACCTCTTGAGATCCTATCTGTTAACAGTTTACATTTCACTTTAACTCCCTCCAGGGGGGTAGAGCCATAAATACTAGTGAGATGGTTTTGTATGATAGCCTGGAATTCTTATAATTATTATTGTTGGCAACAGTGTTTGGTTTCATGGCAGTAGGCTTTGCTGGTTGCCTGATATCAGTAGATAGAAAGACATCTTTAACTTCAACATGTTAATGTTATGATTATTTAGTTCTTTCTGCATATCGAGTGCAACCCATGCCTTAACAAACATCCCAGAAAGGAACTAGAGTTCCAGAAAGACAGCTTTGAATTAAAATCCTGTAGTTGCCACTCATAAGCCATGTAACCTTGGCCAGTCTATTTGGGCTTCTGTTTTATCTGTTGAATGAGAGGCAAAATTTCAGAAGGTTCTTCAAAGGTTTAAATGAGAAAATGTTTCTGGCACATTAGGGGACTAGAAATACATCTTATCCTTCCCATTGTCAAAAGCAGACACTCTGGGGTGAGTCTGGTTTATATCCCGGCTTCTTGACTATCTAAATATAGAATCTCAAATGTCTTTCCACTTTGTAAAACAGAATAACAATAGTATTTACTTCATGGGGTTGGCTAACCCCCATAAGATAAATTGGATGAATAAGTACAAGTTATTAATATATGTAAAGCACTTAGAATAGCACCTGGCATGTAGTAAGTTCTGTTGTAAGAGTTAGCTATTTTTATGATTTCTTTCCTTCCTCCTTCTCTCTCTCTCTAGTTTCTTCTCTTCCACTGCACTAATATGACAGAAGAGCTCTTCCTGACAACACAATCCATTTGGAATCATCAGTTTTCAGACTACTGATCTCCTTTCAGCATCAAAAGAGTTAAGATTCTTTCAGAACCAGACGCCTGAGCCACATACTGCTCCCTCTCCTTTATAGAGGCTAAGGCCTTGATCATTTCTTAATGTAACTACTTCAGGAAATTTGTTGCGCTAATAATGTTAATATGCCTTATTTCTACACTGCTCACGCCCTGAGCTCTCAATCACTTCAAAACACAGTGATTGAAATTTTTCAAAAGTCTTTGATTTCGAAGTTGTTATGTAGAACACTAGTCAAGTATAAATATGGCAGAGTGATTTAAGGCGGTTGGAGCAATCCAAATGTTTAAGCTTGTTTCAAATAATTATCAATCTTTCTGCTCTGCATTTTCAATACCTCCCTTCATTTCAAGGAGTGGCCCTCAGTGAGGCCTGGAGCATGCTGTTGAGGCTGCTGAGTGCCTCTCTGTTTCCCACACTATGTCACCTTGTCATAATCATGTTATTAAACCCTTAATGGCTTGTGCCGCTCCTGGTGTCTGATTCGGGTCACAGAGAGAACTGGTCACCTTGGAATCAAACACTCACTCCATGACTGGATTCATCCAAGCATAGTCCTTTTAGGCCACAGCTTTGAGGATGTGCAGCCTAAGGGATAGTGCCTTCTGATAGCCTTATATCAGTCAGTTCAGATGCCCACAGGGATGCAGGCTCTGGTGAACATTTACCTTGAAGTCATGAGCTCCAGATGGACCAGATGATGCTTTTATGGCCCGGACATCTCCTGTGCACTGCTGTTTATCTGCTCAGTCCCACTTCTTATTCTACTCCAGCCCCTCCCACCTCTACCAGTTCTGCTTGGATCTTGACCAGATTCTCTCCAGGGTTACCTCACAGTGCTTTTTTCACCTGGGTGCACATCATGTACTCCCTCTCCTGCCTTGGGGCTTCTCTGATTGAAGGGGAGAAGTAACCATGGGCCCTGCTTAGCCATATGCATGTGCAACTGTAAATGCAGGCAAGTAAATTACCCAAGGGCTACCCTTGACCAAAGGAAGTGATAGATATGTTCTCCCTTCATACTCCTAGTTGACAGTTTCAAGACACATTTCATGCAGCTTCTCCAAAGGCCCTGTGAGATGAGCATCAGTTGCTCACAGCAGCAGCCAATTCCCCACAAAATACTTGCACTAGCCTTCTCTCCTTTGCTATTCTACTCTGTCACCTCTCTTTCAAGTGTCTTCCACTCCTAAATAAAATGCAATTGCATTTGCTTCAGACTGTTTCCAGGGAAACTCAGGAATTGCCTGCATCCAGGAGCAATGGGCTCAGAAACATTCCAGGCCCAGAAACATTGACTTAGAGGACCAGAGCACATGAATTCCTGAGAACAAAGGGAACAAAGCCAGGGATGCCTTTGTGCAGAAGGACAAGGTGACCCAGTTACCCAAGCACAGACTAACCAGGGGGCAGAGCTATCTCAGCACAAAGTGTTTGCTTGACACATTATTTTTTCAGTGCCAAAGAACCAGTGGACAGGATTACTTTAGTAAAATTAGTACAGATGACAGTTACAGTACAAAGGACTAGGGGCCTGGGCACAATAACACCAATGAACACAATTACTTAAGATAGAAGCTTCAGGTATAGACTGCAGTTGCCCCCGTGTAGATGGACCAAGGCCTGGGGTTTGCTTGGCACAGAGTAACAGAGCCCCACGTGGCTGGGGTGGAGACTGGCCAGCCTTTTCCCTTCTGCCTTCTGCATCCCCACACACAGTGGCACCAACCATTGCTTCCACTGTTACTTGTGGAGTGCACATGAAGAACAGCATCAGATTCAGGCTCAGAGGATGGGAGTTAAGGCCCCTCTCTGCTCCTTCACTGCTTGTGTGACTTGGGTGATTCACTAAAACTGTCCAAGAAACACTTTCCTCCTTTATAGATGGGAAATAATAAATATGAGAGGATGGCTATTGAAGTCCTCTGCAAAACTGTAAAATATACACTTGAGGTTGATAATACCATTCAGTATGAAATAGCTGTTTTATGGAGGCTAAGAGGAACGTAAATTGATGATTATCGTTATTATTAAATAATATTTGCTTTTGCATAGCTCTGCTTTACAGTGTTTTCACTTGATCCTGTCCAAAACCTGCCTGGCAACTTGTGTCATTACGCCTCATTCTACAGAGGAGGAAACTGCCACTCAGAAAGCTCGACTCTTCCAAAACACTCAGGCAATGAGTGGCAGACCTGGGGAACAAAGCAGGACTTCTGGGCCCACGTCCCTTGCTGTGTTTCTACCCTGACATGCCAGAAAGGAGAGTTGGGCACCATGGTTCCATGTTTTCCAGCTTTAATTGGAATGATGCCGGGAGATAACTCCGCTTAAGAACGCTGAGATGATAGTGTTCTGTCTCCCTCTTCCCCGGGGCCATTCCTGGGTAGCACTCACATCACGCTGTCATGTAGAGAAGCTTCTCAGGCCTATATTTAAGTAATAAGACATGACAGGCTGTGTATTTCTGGGACATTATTACATGCCTGGGGTGGTGGTGGGAGGCTGAGGCTAAGGAAATTTCTTTGAGTGTTGCTTTGGCTATTATAAAATATCATGTATAAATCAAGATGGGGTGAGGGCTAGTCAAAGAGGCAGACAGTCACTTACAGGCGGTGCTGGCATGGCTGTTACATCACTGCCAGCCAATCCCACTGCTCCTCTTTCTTGCCAAATCCCCCAAGCGATTTGGTAATATGAGACTTACAAAGCATTCAAGTTCAAAGTCATCCTCAGGATTCTGAGATTGTCAGGGTTTGTGGAGCTGAAGGGTCAATCATCCCATGGGTGTCCATCTCCATTCAGTGGAGGGTGACCCAAGTGGATCTAGATGTAGAGGTTCTGTAAGAGACGGCCCTTCAGCAAACCCATACTTGCCATTGGGTAATTGCTGGATTTGCACGTCTCAACGTCTTATGGGTTGTGGTTGTGGTTTTACACTCTATTTGGGGGATAGGCCTTTACTCTCTGCCAGTCTAAATGACTAGCAGGCATTAAAGATGGCTACCAGGCTGATCAGAAACAGACTTCTAGGCTGTTTTGCAACTAGATCCCTGAGCTCTGATGTTTCAGCCAAGGTTAGGCAAATCCAGGCCACAAGCCTGGTTTCTGTGGGGCGTTCTCGTGTGCGGTGACCAGGCTGTGATTAGGAACAGCAATATTTTCCAGAGATTTTGCCCTCAGGGAACTGACAATCTGGAAGAAGGTATAAAACAAATATACTCAGATAAATCCAGTATGGGTAATAAAAAAATTACTAAGACCAAGTCATGTTTAGCTATATCCTTAGTGCATGATACAACATTGAAGATAACAGACTCTCAGGCAATGCTTGTTGAAGGGATGAAAGTGCCATAAGAACCCAAAGTGCTAAAGATGTCCAGCTGCTCTAAGCTTCAATTTTTTAGGCTGAATATAAAGAAAAGTGAGGCTTTCTTTCCCAGCCTTGCTTGTAGGGTTAGAGTGAGAATTAAAATAAGAGACTTTTATTGTAAGCTTTAAAGCACTACCCAGTTTTAAGTGAATGCAATGTAGGATGTGATCACACATCTGTCTAGCAGTAAGAGAGACAACTCAAAGAAAGGACTCTGGATAGTTTGGGGGTACATAAACACATCCAGCCTCTTTCTCCTATTCCCTCTCTGTCAGTGACTTGGACTAGACCTAGGCTGCAAAGAGGCTTCATCTATTGATCTTTTGGAAATGTCTGCCTCATATACTAAGTTGGGTAGGATGGTGAGATTTCACCTGGATCCAGATGGATCCATGATCCAGTGGGGCAGTGCCATGATCAATTAACAATATCTACCATGGACTTTGTTCAAGAAATAGCAGCATGTGTGCACTTGTTTTGCCATTTTTCACCTGGACCCTCATTTTCTCATTCCAGGTAACAGCCTCCTAGTTGGTCTTCATCTTCCATTGTCACACATTTCAATCCATTCTTACTTCTGCCACTGAAGTGGTCTCCTTCCAAAACATAAATCTGACCATGATATTCCCCTACTGAAATCACTCAGGGATTTTCTCCTTGTTCCAAGAATGTAGCCGAACTCCTCAGCAAAACCAGTAAAGCCCACAGTAACTTGATCCCTACCCTGCTAAATCATCTCTGGCCTGGAAGCCCAAACCTTACCCTCTAACCATACCAGGAAGGCATAGCCAGCTTTCTCCCCAGCACACTCTGAGCAGCTTAACCAGCCTGAGATCTTCTACTCAACCTTACTCTTCAGTGCATTTATTTTCACCTCTGTGAAATCTTCCGTTATCACCTTCAAGTAGAATTGATCTCTTCTCTTTCATCCCTGTAGCACACTATACAGATATCTGTTGTAGCATTTATCCTGTGTAAAAGGTATTTATTTGCTTGTTTACCTCCCTCACTAGACTGTGAACTTTGCAATACAGGAGATTATGTCTTGTGTATACATCTTTGTATTTATTCTAGGTACTGTGCTTGGCATAAATATATGCTCAATAAATATTTGAAGAACAAATAAATGAGATGAGGAATGTACTGAACTGGACTGCCATACATAGAGCCCTTTCTATGGGCTCTTTCCTCGTAAGTCACCAGCCTCGGATCTAATTGAATCTAGGGAGGGCACAGACCCAAGACAGCCATTCTGGAAGCTGGATTGTACCTTGTGAACTGCATAGGAGGAGAACTTTGATAAACAGAGTTCACTAACATGTTAGTCATGAGCAAACAAATATCTGAACTTGAGATATGGAAAGTCAGTTAATAGCAAAAGATAAAAGACAAAAGGAGAAGGCCAACTTGGTCACCATGAGACGTGAGAAGCTATGAGTAAACAGAAATGAGCAAGACAAAGATGAAATTTGCATAGAGTGCAAATAGGGTGATTAGATGGCAGCAGCAAGAGGGTAGAAGCAATCAACTCTGGTCTCTGAAGGACAGTCTCTAGAGCCATCTTGGATCCCGAACAACTTTCTGGTTTTCACATTTATTGCATTGTTCATTATGCCAAAACAACAGAATGTGTTTCTGCTAAATCTAGAGGGTCTATTCGGTATGGTCTAATTTAAACTACAAAGTACATTATTCAATCAATGGTGCAGATAGGATTCAAAGGCCAGAGCTCTTTCTGTTCAACAGTTGGACCTCAGAACTAACCAACGTTGGTCAAGAATGAAGCCCACTGGCTTTGGCCCAAAGTAAGGCCCACAGCGGCAGCAGCAGGGGTCAAATATTGGTAGAGACAGAACTACTGCCCAGTCTATAATGCCAGCTTCTCCAAGTGCTGGGCCCAAGCCTTACTCATGCAGAACTCCTCCAATATGCAGACATTGCTTTCTACCTGGAGGTTCTACCTCATCACCAAACTGGCCTGGAGAAGAAAAGATTAACCTCAAAAAGTTGAGTAGCTATTCAAATAACTGAAAAGCTGCTGTTTATGAAATGAAGAGCAGACATACACTCTATAAGTACTTCTGAAACTTAAATGGGCACACAAATCACCTGCAAATCTTATTGAAATTCAGATTCTAATTGAGGGAAAATGGGATGGGCTCTGAGATTCCTTATTTCTAACAAGCCTCCAGGTGATGTGATATGCTGGCCTGAGGACCATACTTTGTGCAGCTAGGCTCTAAGTAGCCCCTGAGGGAAGAAAGAGAGCCCTTTGGCAGATGCTGAAGTACAGGAGTCCTAGCTAAAGAACTTTCCACCTGCTCAGAGTTGTGTGGAAAAGAATGTGATGGTTCAGTATCATGACAGACCAAGCAAAAATTCGGCAACAATTTGGCAATTGCACATTATAGAGGAAATTTTTGCTCTGCATGGCAGATAGACTATCACAGTAAACTTCAAACTTTTTCGTTTATGTATGCCCTAAAATATTTTGATAACTATGTACCTACTTGACCATTTCTACGTCAAATGTTTAAAAGTATTTATTTATTAATAAAAGATAGAAAATGTTAGTGTATTTAAAATGAAATGAAGATTGACTAATTTAAACAAATGCTGCATTAGCACCAGCAGGTAAGCTCCAGAAGGCAGGGAATTATTTTGCCTGTATTGTTCACTGGCATGTACCCAACAGGTAATAGGTACTTGATCAATGTTTGTTGAATGAATGAAGGTACCCCAAAGCTGAAAGCAGACATGTGAAAATTTTATCCATGAGACTTATCTATAGTATCTCAAAATTTGGTAGCCCCACAAAATATTCCAGTTATATTTAAAAAGTGATTTTCTAAAAAATGTATCTTAACCTACACTGCTCAGGCTCTTCTAAATTCAGTGCATCCCAATCTTGGACAAAATACCAATGTTTTAATGTTAAATTTCATATAATACCTAACAGAATGATGATCAAGACAAAAAAAGATTTTTAAAAACCTAGAAATGTAAATTGTCTTCCTTAGTTTCTTTTTTTAATAACAACTTTTATTTAAACAGCATTAGACATCTCAGGGCTGCCTCCCTGATCAAAATCTGTCTGAACCTCCATCATCTTGTTCCATTTACACATCAGAACATTCTGGGGTCTGGGTTAAGACCTCAAATGCCAACTACATCTCTGAAATACCATAGAGTGCCTATTTTCATACTTTCTGGATGCCACATTATGCCCACCAGTGGAATTTCTCCTGGTGTCCACTCTACCTACAGTGGACAGACCAATCCCAGCTCTGATAACAACCAGCACTTTTCTTCCAGGATGGGCAGGCCTTTGAGCAGTGGCTGGTATCAACATGAGGCAGTGTCTCCTGGCCCTTCGAACACAGCAGCTTTTTACTGCCCTCTGACATCTCTCAGGCTCTTAACCTCCCTTTTTTAGGCCATCACTCTTACCTTTGGTAATCACACTGGCTTTCTGAACCCTGACCCTTTGGCCAATAGACCTATAGGTGGGATCTGCCCAAGTGGTCTTCTTCCTGCCTCCACCTGGACCCACGTCCAGCTCCTGTCCTATTTACATTACAGTGCAAACCCACAGCTCCAGAGCTTCCTTCACACTCTCCTCCCCTGTCATCCTAACGGAGACCCCGCCTTTGTCCTCTCTCTCCCCAGCCTTCCCTAAAGTCAGAGTTCCAGAAAAGCATCAGGAGCTTCCTGGACCCAGCCTGCTCATTGCAGTGTTGTTAGAGGGGAGATCCAGCCAGCCCATCACTGCCTTTCTTTTCCTCATTTATAGCCCATTTTTCTAGGCAACAGGTCAGACTAAGACCCTGATGGAGTGTTCCTCTAATAGACGGAAATGGGACTGAGACTGAACCTTGGCCAAACAAAAAATATTTTTGACTGTGCTTTAAAAAATTTTTTTGATACACGCCATAACTCATCAGCCTAAAGGAAAGTGGTGATATTCCAGTGTCCGATAAGCACATTAGACCAGCCCACAGATCATGGGAACCAAGAGAAAATGGCACTGCAGGGTTACATGAGCCTCAGACGTGTTCCCGGACAGAACAAGTGTTATTGTGGGATGACACAGACCAGACCTCAAAGCAGATGCTAGTTAGTCCTGTTCTCAGAGGAAAAGCCGACTGGAAATGGAGCTTTGAGACAGGGTCAAAAGCAGCAATGCTCTTTCTGGCTGGCAGCCCTCATCCCAGCCTTGTCTCCACAGAATCTCACTGGGAAAAAGACAGAACCCAGAAACATCTATGTGACTGTCTTTAGATTTAATCATGATTGATATTTGTCCAAGGAAGTGAATGGATCCAGGACGGGTAGAGAGATGTCTGATCAGAAGGCTGAGTAGGATATTTCCCAAATTTGCTTTCTGGCCCATTAAAATCTCATCAGGATAAATCTTTTGGGAGACCTAAGACAGTCACCCTGGAAGCATTTGGAACAGCAGATAGCTGGGCAAGAAAGAGGGTGTCAATTTAGATGTCTTCCATTGGATGGGGATAGTGGCAAGAACAAGACAAACAGAATCATCAGAGCTGATAAGAACCAAGAGGTCATCAAATTCAGCTTCTTGATTTTGGTGAGAAGGGGAGTGGGGCACAGAGAGAAAGGGGGGCATGCCAAGGTCACACTGCCACAAGGCATGGAGGAAGGTGAACAAGGACCAGCACTCAGCTCACCTGATGTCCAACCCAGGTGTTTTTCCTTGCACTGAGCCTTGAAGGACAGCCCAGGTATTGGCGAGGACGCTGCTTCCCTTTGCTGCTGCTCTGGAGCTGGGGAGAACGGGCCAGGTCCTAAATGCAGCTTTTAGGGAAGTCTCTAGCAGGTTGTCAAGTGCTCCTGCCAGTGCTGAGCTGGCAAAGGAAGGTGGGGAGAAGTGCTTAGAAATCCTGAGCACTGAAAGGTGGCCTGTAATTGTAAAATTCCATTTCCTTTCAATTAGCAGCTGATTGCATTTGATGAGCTGCAACATTGTTTCCTCGGTGTAGATTAGGAGTCAGAGCAGTCAATGAGCTGTGAAATTCTCTCCCTGCTGAAACAATAGACAGTGATTAAAGCGCAGCTAATCCGATCATTATAGCCAGAGCCCACTGATCATTAGCTGCTAACCAGATCCCAGAGAGCAGCTCCAACCCAGCCCAGGCGGACTGGATGCAGCAGGTAAACACTACCAATATGCTGCCTCCCTCCTCCCCATGCCCAAAAGTCCCTGGTGGACCCGAGGGTTGGGGCAAAAAACTGGATGCCACAGTGGATACAGGGAATGAGACTGCCAAGGGCAGCTTGATATCAGAGAGGCAGCCAGGACTTCAGAGGCAGAGGTAACAGATTTGGGATCATGTCCCAGCCCACCCCTCACCTCCACTCCCCAGTTTGTGTTTTAACCCTGCAGCTGGCATCAGTTATTTACCCCAAATCCTTTATAATGCCTTCCTTGTGTGGCTGTTCTGAGGATTAATACCACAGCCTAGGTAAGATCACTGGCATAATGCTAAAAGTCAGTAATAATGCTAACTAACATTTTCAAGTGTTTGCTACGTGCCCAGCACTGTTCTCAGGGCTTTGTATAGATTAACTTGTCTAATTCTCATAACAGCCCTGATACAGTAGATGCTATTATTATCCCTGTTTTTTCAATGAGGAACACATAAGTTCAGTAACTTGCACAAGATCACTTAGCCGTAAGAGACAGAGCTGGGATTTAAACTAGGCAAGGCAGCTCAGAGACCCTGCTATAAACCACCCCACTTGGCTGCTTTAAAAAAAAAATGCTAACACTCATTGTCTCCCTTTGCTAGCCCTGTAGTTTTCAAACTTTACTGTGCAGAAGAATTAGCCAGAGAGATTGCTAAAAATGCAGATCACCTGGCCTAAGCCCCAGAGATTTGGATTCAGGAGGTTAAGGAAAGGGCCCAGGAAACTGTGTGTTAATCAGCACCACCTGCAATGCTGATATGGTGACCCAGGACTTACCTGCGGAAGTGCTCTAGGTTCTGGGGAGCAGCCGTTTATCGTCCAGGACCCACATCCTCCTACCTCACCCAGGGCTACTGCCCAGCGCCTGATGAGGAAAGCCACAATTGCACTCACAGAGGATGAGAAAGAGGCAAAAAGCAGAGATTCTGGAACCACATGAAGTAGGATTTGAAAATCTGTTCCTTTTCTTACAGGAGTGGCCATATAAATTATCCAAAGCAGGACACTTCTGAGAGTAAAAGGGAAATTAATAATTATTCCCAGGCAATAGACATAAACTGAGACTGTCCCAGGCAAACTGGATGTGGGATCATTGTAGCAGATGCTGATGGTGACCTTAGTTCTCTGGTGCTGAGAGCTGCTTACCGCAAGCACCTGTGGAGCATGAGCAGCCTGAGCACAGGACAAGCAGGAAGGGTGGAGGGTTAATGTCCCTGAAGCAGCATCAACCAATGGCAGATAAGGGATCTATATATGAACACCGTAGTGTTCTTGCCTCTAGGATGGAATAGTAACTCTTAAGAGTGTTCTGCTCTATCTCCGAGAGTTCCCCAGCAAGACAGAGCCCCAATTGCTCATCATGGTAAGTAGCTGGATAACTCAATGTTTATCTTCTTTCCATTCTGTATTTCATGTTTCTCATCTTTACTGGTTATTTCATGGAGTCACCTTGCAAATGAATTGACACCCAGATCCTTTGCTCAGAGTCTTCTTCTGCACTCAGAACAGTCGACTTACCACTTAGGAGCCATGTGACCTTGGGCAAGTACTTAAATTTCAGCTTTCTTAAGAGTAAAATGGAAATAACAGTAGAGAATGCGTGTAAAGCATGGCATATGGCAAACACTTGATAAATGTCCAGTTCCAGTATTGTTATTATTGAATTGTTATTGCTCTGACTCACGTCGGAAGCATTTTTTCTCTGCTATCTTGCTGTTGCCTCTTCATCTCTCCTCCAGATTGTTGCAAACCTCTCTCATCCGAGGTGGCTTCCGCACCATGGCCAGGGTGCTGACCCCTTATTTCACTGCTACCATTGGCCTGCTGTATACCAGGCAAGTGCCAGGCTTTGAGAAATGGTAATATTGTGTTTTTTTTAATTTGTCTTGAAAAACGATTCAGAGTGGCTACTTCTAAAAGAGAACACATAACTTATTTACCAAATACAGAAGTCCAACACTTATATTGAAGAGCAATACCACGTAAACAGTCCTGAGCTAATCATCACTTCTCCTTTCAAATACCTTCCTTTGCCTGACACTGAACAAAGTCCAAACATAGCATTCAAGGATACGTCATAACCTTTAGCCTCCTGACAGGTAGGCTGACACTGCTTGCGCTCAGAGGCCTGTGCCTACAGGGAAAATGCCATGGAAACCCCTTCTGCCTAGGTCCCCCTTCTTCCTGCTTTTCTTTCAAATAAAACAAATGTGAGGTAGATTACCTACTCCTTTTAATTTTTTGCCAAGCACAGTTGAACAGCTGATTTTAGTCATTTCTACCTATGGTTTCCTCCTTAGAGCTAATTAGTTTCTTTTCAAGTAATTGCAAATAGTACATTTTCCAGGCCCTTGGAGTAGAGGCTGACAACTAGCTCGCTGGAGTGGGCTCTTATCAATAGCTCACGGAAATTAGACACACAAACATCACACTGGGGCCTCTGAGGGTTGCTCTAAGTTGTTTAGAAGAAATAGCTCATGAAAGTCCCACGGTTCCTTTATGAATGGACTCGCTGATACAAAATCTCTGGGATGTGGTGGGCAACAGGATAGTCGGAAGCTTTCCTAAGCATCAAAATGGGCTCAGCTCTATACGAGATCACAATTCACTGTGCTCCAGGTACTGTGCTTGGTGCTGTGAGTGAGTCAGGAACAAGGGTTGAGGCTAGAGGCAAGGGGGAGAGAAGAGAGAGGGAAGGGCTCTCTCTGCAGGTTTAAAGAAGTGGGCAATGATGTTCACTGGAGGAGGAGACACGCACAGGATTCGTGGGATTATCATCATTATTATCAATCATTCCCCTGCACCAGAAAGCCAGTCCCAGTATCCTGTCCTCCAAGAACCAACAAAGAGATCATGCTTATAAGGTTCTTACTTTGGTCTTTAGAACACAATGAATGCTTACTTTCAGGTCCGTGGTTTTCCATGGAATATGGTTTTATATTTTCAGAGTGTTTCTTTTCTTGTTCTCTCCCTTCAATTTGAACATTGTTGTTGTTGTTGCTGCTGCTACTGCTGTTGTTTTGAACCTTAGAAGAGAAGAGCTGAGTCATTCAGACTCCTTGGTTCATGGCATGTTGGTTACCCCATCAGTCCGTGTGACTCCCTCTACCCTTGTATGAGTTTCCTGTTGCTTCTGTAACAAGTTGCCACAAACTGAGTGGCTCAAAGCAACACAAACATATTACTTTACAGTTTTATAGGTGGGAAGTCCAACTCAAATCTCACTGGGATAAGATGAAGGTATTGGCAGGGTGCACTCCTCTGTGGAGGCTCTAGGAGATGATCTGGGGCAAGGTGAAGGTATTGGCAGGGTGCATTCCTTCTGTGGAGGCTGTAGGAGATGATCTGTTTCTTTGCCTTTTCCAGATTCTAGAAACTTCCCACTTTCTTTAGCTCATGGCTCCTTCCTCCAACTTTGAAGCCAGCAACTTCGGGCCTAGTCCCTCTTACACTGTCTTCTCTTAGTCATATCTTCCTTTGACTCCTGTTTCCTTCTTCCATTTTTAAGGACCTTTGTGATTACATTGAACTCATCTGGATAACCCAGGATATGCTCTCTGTCTGCTGATTAGCAACTTTAATTCCATCTGTAACCTTAATTACCACTCGTCATGTAACCAACCAGCTTCACAGTTTCTGGGAATTCAGACGTGGACATTTTTGGAGGAGGGATGTTATTCTCCTTACCATAATCCCTAATCCTACACCTATTCCCTGTCCTCATTGACATCTACTCTAACGTGCTTGACATATGCCCTGAAATATGCACGTTTCCTTGTAAATATGCCATTAGTGTATATGTTTTTAATTGACATATTGGTATTATTCTATGTTTAATCTATGGTGTTCTCACATGCTTTTCATTCAACACTATGTTTTTAAAGTCTCCCATGCTGTTCTGTACACATGGAGTTTGATGGTTCTAACAACTGCATATTATTTTGTAACATCTACTTCATTTTACGTATCCAGTTTTCCACTGATGGACTCTTGTATTGCCTTCACTCTACTCTGAGCTTTATCCTGACAGACTTCCTTGCTCAGGGTCCCAGTTGGACCCACATAGGAATTTTTCTAAAAACTGAACTAAGGCTAGGATTTCTGGGTAACAGGGTAAAGACTAGGATTGCTGGATCACAGGATATATCCCTACTTAGTTTCACTAAGCTCTCTTGACTGGTTGTACTAGTTATACTTGGACTAGTAGAGTTGTTAAATCTCATTACTGTGATGGTGATGCAGTGTCTTCTTCTGTCCAACCTCTTGCCTGGGAGCAGAGCTGAAAGCCTTTTCTGGATCTCTCTCCTGTATATTTTTGCTTCCTAGACAAGCTTCAGAGCCACTAAATAAACTTTCCTCCAGCTAGCACTTGCATCTCCCTCCACTCCTCTTTTCTATGTGTTAGCACCGTGCTGGGCACAGGCCTCCATCAGAGGAGTCTGTTCTTTGGCTATGCAGGCTCAGAGTTTTATTTCCATTCCTTCCCCTCCATCCTCGTGCCTCTGGACTCTGGTTTTATTAATTTAACAAGGAGTTCTGGAGCACTTACTGGCTCAAATACATTACCCCCTTCTCCCCACCCTAGATATTTGGGATATCAAAAGAAAAACTAAGGGGCTTACATTCTGGTGTCCTGTCAACTCAATTGCAAAAACTTAGCCAGGATCCATTCACTTCTCCCCAAAACCTACCTAGTACAAGCAAACAGCATTTTTCACCTGGACATTTGCATTTGTCTCCTACTTGTTGGTCCACCTGCTTCCACTCTTACCCCACCTAGTCCTTTTTCCACACAGCAGCCAGAATAAACATTTAAAAATGTAAATCAAATCCCATCACTCCTTCATATCTGCTAATAGTCCATTGCCTAGAGAATGAAATCCACATTCCTCAGCCTGGCTTACTAAGCCCCATGGCAGCTGGCTGCTCTTGGTCTCTCTGACCTCATCCCTTGTCACTCTTTCCTTCATTCACCATATTTCAGCCACATTGGCCTTTTTCCATTCCTGGGATAGGTCAAGCCTGTTTCTGCCTCTCAGCCTTTGCAGTAGTTGTTCCCTCTGCCCAGAATGCTCTTCCCTCCAAGTTGCTGAGGACTGGCTCTGTCCCATCATGCATACATTGATCCTGTTTTAATTCTCTGGATGGCACTTTTTATTTGCTAGCACTACTTATTTATTAATGAGTACATTGCCTGTATTCCCCTGTACTGTGTGAACTTCATGAGAATGATTTTCTCTCTCCCGTTCACTGCTCTATCAGTACCTTGTATACTACCTAGCACAGGGGTGGAGTTCAAAAATGTGTGGGTTTTTTTTTTTTTGAGGAATAAGTGAACAAATGAGTCTAAAGCAGTGGTTCTTGATCTTGACTACCCATTAGAATCATTTGCACAAAGCCAAGCTCCACATAGACCAATTGAATCAGAATCTCTGGGCACAGGGCTCAGGTATTGGCACTTTTTAAAGCATCCAGATAAGCATTCACCTAAGGCTCTGAAGCAACCCTTTGAAGATGAGAGCCCATCTCAAGCAGGGCAACTTAGAAAACTTCCTTGGGATTTTGTGTGCAAACTTTAGAAAGAAAAATTTTCTTTTTCTTTCTGGTGTTAGCCGAGATGCTGTAAGCCTCCGGCTGTCTGCCGCCATGTCAGCCGACACCACCACCATTCCTGGGTGCACGGAGGAAGGCAAGCTGTAGGAGGAAAGAATAGGACCAACTCAACAGAGGAGCTGAGCCAATTCAAAGGGGAGGGAAGGCATGGCAGGGAGGAGGAGGAAAAGTGCTGATGGTGTTGTGGGAGACCCTGGAGTCTCTGAGTCTAGCTCCACTTAAATTCTCTTCTCGGCTCAATTTGGCAGGGGTTAGGTTTCTGTCATTTGCAACTAAAAGGATCCTGACCAATACTTGATCAAAGCAAATAATTGTGGGTCAAGAAAAGATGATTTAAATGGGATCCAGAAGACAGAATATTAAGGCAGTGCCTTTATCAATAAATCCATAATTCCAAATATAGCCATTTGCTAAACCAGAAGGAATCCTTTGCTTCTCTTATTTCAGCCAGTTAGTCTGTTTACAAAGTGTCACAGTTAAGCACTTCCACAGCCGCATGAAAAGTATTAGATCACTTACTCTTCTCAATAAAGGGAACAAATTTGTGATGGACTGCACTGTGCATTCATCACGGGACACTGCATATGCCAAGCTTTCGGTCCTGAGGGGTTCCTCTCCCAGCCGGGATACTGAGAGAACTCAGCAAAAATGGTTGAATGCTGAGACCTCTATGATTTCCCTGTCCACCCCAATTCTAATCACAGGGCTCCTTTTGAGCCTTCACAGGGATGCTGAAAGGGTAGAAACTTTCGCTACAGAGGCCCTGACAACCCTGTAAGGTTGCACCTTGAGCAATGGAGAAATAGATCAGTAGGAAGTTGCCCAAGATGCCAGTCTTCAAGGGGTACCAAACGGAATGCTAAAAGGTTTTGAGAAATGGAGGGAAATCAAGGAAATTGTATTGGAGAGAAGTCCTCTCAAAGAGAATACTGTGTATGATTGAAAGGCACAAAGCTATACAGAGAAGATACGAGGCCTGGCACACACTCTTGGAAGTGCGTGCCTGAACTCTTTAAGCCTTCAAGACTGACAAGCCCTGCTCCACAAAATCCCACAGGCCAAGATGCTTTATTTCTGCAATCTTTCTGCATTTCCTGAAAGATAAGCTATATAAAAAAGAGAAATAAATGGTGACATTCCCGGGAAGATTTCCTGCTGGCTTTGACTTTGCATGGAGGCACTGAACAGAGATGGGGCACATAGAATCACACAGGGAAAGTATGTAAACCGGGTCTCTAAGCTGGAGGAAACACCCAGATATTCTATTACCATTTTGTTAGGCTCCTGCCACAGACAGCCGCTGTGTTGTTTAATAGAGTAAGCCCTAGCATTAGCCCAAGTTAGAAGGCAACTGTAGCTGATTTCTCAGACTTCTGAGGCTTCCATCTCTCTAGGGCAATAGTCAGTGGCTGTGTTGTACTATAGAGAGCTGTTGAATTGGATAGCAATCTGCAGGGGGCAGCAGCGAGACAGATATACCTTAGGATAGCTCCAAAACAAAAGAATATTTGATAAGCCTCTCAGTAAAGCGTAGGACCTTTCCCAATGCCCTGTGCTGAACAGCATCCTGAGAATAGTGGGTTTGGTTAGCTGGGGGGCTTCATTTTGCTAAGGGAGGTATGCACGTTTGGGGCTAGGCGGAATAGTTCAGTGTGGTAGAGGAGAAGCAGAGCCCCACCCCTGGTAGTCTGCACTCTTCACTCTTTACCCTGTAGTGATCAGCTTCCCCAGTAAGTGTTGAACGAATATTTCAAGTCTGTGGGTTTGAAGGAAAGTCAGAATCTTACCTGCCTGAGGAGCCCCATAATTTGTTCTGTCCTGCTCACAGACATTCAACAGCCTCCTCACACCTGAAGCCTGGTGTAGAAGGGAAGGGAAGGGAAGGTGCATTGTCATTCTTCCCAGGACAGACACAATGAAGAAAGTTGCACCTCAGCATATCTGATTGTTTCTTTTTTGCTTTTTTATTTCTTATATTTGAACCTGAAATTATCCCTTGTCTATTACCACTGCCTTCCTGTAGGTTTTCTATTAAAAAAAAAGTGGCCGTATTTTGTCAGGGCTAAAACCCGGGTAAGATTGTCCACCATTAAAGCCCTAAAACTCATCTAATATAGGACTCTTAATTTGATAAGCTCTTCCAGACCTAAACCCACATCATATATTCTATGATCAATAAACTGTAATGAAATTCCAAATAAGCCCCTCCCCATGGAGCACCAGCCTTCCAGTTTGGAAAGTAGTGATCTGGTGGTTTCATCATTCTCCATCATTAGCAGAGGATGCTGTAGTTCACTTCCCACATCCTGACACCATATCTTATGCTCACTCCCTTGTTTAACACTAGATCTCTAATGTGCACATATACACACACACTTGCATATATAAATCAGTACAGATAAAGATCTATACAAAACAAAACTATAAAACAACTAAAGAATATGAAATTATTGTTTAAAAATCATGGACATGCGATATTTATTTCCCTCTTTTCCCAGTGGGATCTAAATATCCTCTACCCCAGGTCTCTGGTGTTGGCCCTGCTACTTGCTTTCCAGTAGAATGTTAGTAGACACATAAAGTATTTTGTGCATCAGCAATCACCATGAAGATAACATGCCCAGCTAGTTCACTGATCCCAGGAGGACAAGGGCCACCTGGAGCAGAACTGATCCCAAGCTACAGCTTAAAGCGAAGCCCAGCCAAGCCCAAGTGGTATCAGCTAAAACTCAATCCTCAGACATATGAATGAGAATAAATGATTGCATTTTAAAGCCACTACACTTTTGGGTGGTCTGTTATACAGATTTATTGTGACTATAGCTAAATAAGACAGAATGATATTTTCTGAAGCAAGCTATGAAAGTTCAAAGTCAGAAGAGAAAATGCTGACAGAGGTGACCATGTCTATTTTTAAAGCTGTATATGGATGTTTAAGAAAACAGCACCATAAACAAGCTTAAAAATTAATCTGAGCCAATAATTTAAAAAGTGTCTTTAGCAGATGAAGGTGAGATGGAGGAATGGGAAAGAACAGGATGCGTAAAATATATCTGTAGTAATGAACTTTGTCCCTTTCATTCGTGGAACATCGTGTCGCTGGTAAAAGGAATGAAGTCAGTCATTCAGGACTCACCATGGAAAGATGTTCATGCTGAATAGAAATTTCAGGATATGTGATTAGTAAGACAGTATCTTGAAAAGGGATTTGGAGGGAAGTCCACTATATTTGTTGCCCCTAGGGACTGGAATTGGGGGAAAGACAGTGAGAATGGGGACTTTCAATTTGGCTATGTCTATATCTTTGCATTCTATTCTAATGACCATGTATTAGGTGGGTGTTTGGTCTCAGATATCCTTTTGCCTAAAAGCTCAATATTGTAATAGCACCATTATTATATGGTGATCCAGCCATATATATAGGATTTCCGACAGGGACAAGAAGCCTACTACCCTCTGACATAGACCTTTGGATGGATTTATTTTTTAGAAACACCTCCAAGTATTTTCATACATTTACATAAAATCTGCTGCTCTTTCTCCTAACTTCACTTTAACTTTCCTAAGATAGAGACTACATCTTATTTTTTCTTTATTTTCAACAAGTCAGGTATAGTTAAGTATATTTACTGGAGCACACAGATATGAGGGTGCATACCTTCACTCTATAACTGTTGACTCTCAGAGGTTCAGGGGAGATCATAGACTATCCCATTAAATCCCTAATGCCAACTATTTCACAGAAAAGGAAAATGAAGCCCCAGAGGGACAGGTCTCTGAGCTGTGAGATCAAAACCAGGACTCAGAAGAACTAAGCCAAATTGCAGCCCAGTCTTCTTTTCTTTCTTCTACCAGCTAGCTCCATAGTCCCAATTCTTTTTTTTTTTTTTTTGAGACAGAGTCTCACTCTGTTGCCCAGGCTGGAGTGCACAGACATGATCTTGTCTCACTGCAACCTCCGTCCCCCGGGTGCAAGTGATTCTCCTGCCTCAGCCTCCCAAGTAGCTGGGACTACAGGCACATGCCACCATGCCAGGTTAATTTTGGTATTTTTAGTAGAGACAGGGTTTCACCATGTGGCCAGCATGGCTGGTCTCAAACTCCTGACCTCAGGTGATCCGCCGGCCTCAGCCTCACAAAGTGCTGGGATTACTGGCATGAGCCAACGTGCCCAGCCACAATAGTCCAGTTCTAAAGACTGGTTGGTCTAGGGTCTGAGAAGGCAGCAAGATAGCAGGATATATGACAAGAGCATGAGCTTTGGAATTAGACAAACATAGGTTCAAATCTCAGTTCTGGGATTTGCATAAACTGTGCCATTGGCCAGGTTGCTAACATTTCTGAGTCTCTATGCTTTCGCTTATAAAATGGGAGGGTAATAGCTATTAAACAGAGTTATTGTGAAAAAAAATGACATAAGATTTATAAAGCACTCAGCTCAGGGCCTGGCAGAGAGTAGGAGCTAATTAAATGTGAATGTCATTCCCTTCTCTGTGGAATATCTCAGTAGCTAAAACACTTCTTTATGCATCAAGGAATTAATACCACTGTTAAGAGATTAATTCACAGCAATGCACATGAAAACAGTGATTCAGATCATGGCAAAAAACTATAATTAAAGTATCTGGTATTGTTTGATTACAGGGTTGGCTTCACTGACTTTAGCACTTTGTGGGCAGAGAGCAGGCAGCTGAGAGGCAAAGCGTGGCTTTGTTTTCTGGGAGGTTTCTGACCACTTCCCAGGTCAGGGTGGGGATTACTCTTCTGATCCTTGTTTTGCACTGAAGTGTCTAAGCCTTAATGGGTTGACATAGAGAGGGGAACTTACATTTACTAAACATCTACTATATGCCAGGCCCTTTAAATACGCATTCTCACTTTATTTTCCCAGAAATCCCAAAAGGCCAATATGTACAACTACATTTGATAACCAAGAATGCTGAGGCTCATCGGTAAATTCAATAAGTTGCTTACGATGTCATCCCCAGTTAAGGATGGAGGTAGGGTTTAATTCAAGTCTGCTCAACTCCAGAGGCTATGTTCAATTCAATACAGAGGCTACCTCCTATTTCGGGCACAAATTTATAGCTAAGTATGTAACAGGCACTGTTGTAAGTACTTTGAGTGGTACAGCTAAGACTGCTAGTTAACTATCCACTTCCATTCTCCCCTTCTTTACTAACAAAATCCCAAATTTTTATTGTGAGTAGCAAATGTCTAACCACAGATCAGCATTTCCCTGTTTCCTTGGCAGTTCAGGAGGACCCAAAAGATCTAAGGAAGTGTTGGTTGGAACTACCAGGAAAAGTCCTGAAATAACCCATGTGAGAGGTATGACTTCATGTCCTCTGTCCCTCCACTCTTTCTTTTTTTTTTTTTTTGGAGACGGAGTTTCGCTCTTGTTGCCCAGACTGGAGTGCAGTGGTGCGATCTCAGCTCACTGCAACCTCTGCTTCCTGGGTTCAAGCAATTCTCCTGTCTCAGCCTTCCGAGTAGCTGGGATTACAGGTGCATGCCACCACGCCCGGCTAATTTTTGTATTTTTAGTAGAGACGGGGTTTCATCATATTGGCCCCCCACCTTTCTTTCTGCATCTGGTCTAGAATGTGGACTGAGAGTTGGTACCTGGCAGCCATTTTGAACCATGAGGTGCATGAGGCGACCTTGAGAATGAAAGTCAGTGCTAAAAATGGTGGAGTAGAAAAGTAGAGGTAGCCTTAGGCTCCTGACAACCGTGGAACTGCCTTGTCAATACTGGATTGCCAATCTTTAAAATTATTTTAAATGAGGGAGGAATAAGCCTCTACTAATTTAAGTTACTTTTCTGTTGCTTTTGTGATTATACTTGAATATAATCTTAACTGCTACACCTATAATTTCTTATTTAATCCTCCAATAGTTTTATGTGGTAAGTATTATTTTTATTCCTAAGTTTTTCAGGTGAGATAATTGAAACACAGAGAGGTTAAGCAACATGCCCTAGATCACTGAGCTAGTATATAAAAGAGAGTGGGTTTGAACCCATTCCAACTTCTGCAACACTCATGCTCTTAATAATCGTATTAGACTGCCTAGTCAGACTAGACATCAAAGACTGTTTTCCCCAAGCTGAAGAACTTTCATGTCTCAGTGGAATTTTCCTTCAGAATCAAACTTTATTTCTGATGGCTTGAGCCCTATTTGCATCTGGCATGAGGTTAGTTTTTCACTTTGTAAGAAATAACATTCTAATGGGTTTTTAAGGGCCCAGAAGACTTGTTAGCCATTCCCTGGCTGCCGCAGGACAAACTCATTAAAAACATCTGAACAAAACCAACAGAACTTGAAGGGCAACAAGAAAATGAAGACACTCTGGGGGTGGGGTTAGAGAATCCTTATGGTAAATCACAGATATTAAAGGGTCCACTCACTCAACTGGAGGTGGAACTCTGTGACCAAGACATTTCACCCGTTTGCATTACAGGGTCTCATAGGTTGGTAACAAGAATTGCAGTCACTTACTCATCTTATCAGAATTTCTGTCAAGAAAACAATTTGGATATCCCTAGAGTTTTCTCTTAATGGGATTTTACCTCTGTGGAAAAGGGTTTGATAAGTAAATGAATGACGCAAACAAAATTGGAGGAAAAATGTTTACTGAGCTAAATTATTTTGCAACCCTGGAAAAGTACCAATTATAGGAAAATACGGTTTATCCAGAGTTCTATCAATTGGGGTTTACTATTAATTTGATCTGTAAAATGGGGATAATCACACTGATGTCTCAAGGTGGTGGCAAGGAACATGCGAAGTACACCATATGGAGGTGACCTAGCACGGCAACTACCACAGTGATAAAAATACGTTGAGATATGCTTGCATTCTTTTATGGGGCTCTGAGGACCAAGGACTGGCCACTGTGTTTCTCTTCCGGCCTTTGGGGAGCAGTCTTTAGAACATACAGAGACCGTTTAAAAAATAATGAACAGAAAAAAGCAATAAACTCTCCAATGCCCTAAACAACCCAGACGCAGAGCAGTAAGCACTGGCTCTAGTATCTGCAAATAACCTTGCAGATTTTCTGACTACCTGGTTTTCAGAAGCCCACCTAAGTAAATCTCCTAACCCCTGGATCATGTCAAGAGGCAGCACAGCACAGCAGTGAACATCTTGGCTCCAATACCAGTTGACCTGGGTTTAAATTCTTGCTCTTTACTTACTTGGCCATTTTAGTTAAATATTTGTAAAATGGGGTTAGTAATACCTATAGTTGACTGTGGTGAGGGTTCAATCAGATAATACACGTAGGGTGCTAGAAGAATGTCTAGCACGTAGTTAGTGGTTAATAATTAGAGGTCAGTGTTAATGATTATAATTATTAGTGCAGAGTATGGCATAATTTCCTTCTTCCCCTTCCTTCTGTGACAGCTCCATCATGGTGGGTCTCAGTCTTGTGTGGTGGTAGCAAAGTAGGCTTCATAAGGAAGTCAGGAGCCTAGCCCATAGGCTCTATGGAGATAAAGGCCCTAATGAAAGATCTGGTAGGCTTCCTAGAAAAGATTAGAGCGTAAACTTTGGAACCAGGCATACTTGGGTTTAAATTCTGATTTCTCTGATGACCAGCTGGCTCTGTGACCTTCAGCAAGATCTCAGGACCTTAGAATGGACATGTACTGTCATGTATTGCATCCATGGTCATGATGCATGGTCCATTTTGGTCAATGATGGACCACATATACAATGGTGGTCCCATAAGATTATAGTACTGTATTTTTTACTATACCTTTTCTATGTTTAGATATATTTAGATACACAAAACTTACCATTGTGTTACAATTGCCTACAGTATTCAGTATAGTAACATGCTCTACAGGTTTGTAGCCCAGGAGCATAGGCCATACCGTATAGTCTAGGTGTGTAGTAGGCTATACCATTTAGGTTTGCCTAAGTACATTGTATGATATTCCTACCATGACAAAATCACCTACTGATGCATTTCTTGGAATATTTCCTTGTTGTTAGGTGGTGCATTTAACATGGTTGTTAAATTTTTACTAATTGAAGAGTAAAATCTCAAGTAAAAGAACTCTTCCTTGTTCAGCTTTAAACTTTGTAACCAGTGGTCTTGTCAATTGCAAGGTTGTTCTGAGCTGACAAGCTAGTTAGAGAAATGGTCCGTATGCTTTTATTTGGAGGAGGACTGCATAAAAAACCATCTCAAACTTTAGTGGCTTAAACCAACAACCATTTATTTAGCTGATGACTCTGAGGGTTGCTAATTTGGTCTGGGCTCAGCTGGGCAGTTCTTCTGCTAGTCTCAAATGGGTTCACTCATGTGTCTGCAGTTAACTGCCAGTCAGTGAGGTGACTCTGTTTCTGGGGATTAGCTGGCTATTGGTGGGGCCATGGAGCAACATTCATCAAGCTAGAGCAGGCAGTCATGGGGTTATGGGAGATGCAAGAAAGGATGTCTCAATACACAAACACTTCTCAAGATTCCTCTTGCATCACAATGGCCGAAGCAAGTCACACAGCCACAACAATAGTATAAAGGGAACTTCCCAAGGGTGTAGGATGATGTGAACAATTCGAATCCATTACTGCAACAATTTACCACAATCACCACAGAACATGTTTTGGGAGAAATAATTCATTTCTGAAATAGGCATCTTGTACATACACATGAAGCCAAAGTGCCTTTCCTCTTAATATATTCCAAAGAGAAATTATTCACTACGACCCTCTGGACAAAGGCTGAATAAAGAATTTTCCGCTTACCAACCAACTGAAATGCTCTCTCTCGCATAGAGATTTCCTGATTTCCTGTGAATTAAAGCTCCAGAATAGGGGGTTTCTAAGTCTCTTTAAACGCTGACATTCTATGAATCTATACTTTTCAATTCCAATTTGAAAAGAGCTGAATCCCAGGATAAGAAAGCCCTGTTTCTTGTCCAGTGAGGCAGTCACAGGAAATTTCAGCCCAATGCAAAGAACAACTGGTCAACCATGAAGACTGTGTGACATGACCATGGATTAAAATGTCTCAAGAAGTAGTGAGCTCCCTGTTACTGAAGGTGATCAAGCACAGACTGGACAGCCATTTTTAAAAATAATCAAAAGCTGTGGTTCTAATTGTATTTGTGTAAGGAGACATCAGAATGTTTATATTGCTTCCAGGAATTCTGATGCCCTCCCCAAGACAGGCCATGCAGAAAAGTGGAATCTGTCCCTGTATTAGGCAAAAAAAAAAAAAAAATATATATATATATATATATATATATTATATATATATATATATATATTTATGCATTTAACAACAAGTGAGCACTTACTATAAACAAATTAAAGTACTTTCACATCTTATACCTTCCTTTATCTTAGTGCCAATAACTCCTTTATACAAAGGGAAATCAAAGGCTTACAGATTTTGCTCTAAGTCACTCCCAACTAGTAAGTATCTGAGTGGTTCCTTCACTTTCAACTCAGCAGTTCTTTTCATGTTCTTGGCGACCTTCTTTCTTTCCTTCCATCATTCGTTCATTTGTTCAGTCTGTCTGTCATTTGATCTTCATCCTTAATGAAATCTCTTTTAAATATGGGGAAGGATAGGCATGTACTAGCATCTCAACTTACAGACCTTAAGACTGGGTGAGAATTAAATTAGATAATATATGTAAAGTTCTTAGAGCAGCATCAGGTACCTGAAAAACACTCCATGAAGTCTAGTTAATATGATTATATGGGGAGAAAATACATGAAGCTTTTGAAATTGAGCCTGAGTTCAGAGAATCTGAGATGTCTGGTCAGAAAGAAACATGTAAAAAGGGTGAGAGGGCAATGACCACAGCCCCACATCCTTGAATCCTGTGGTTGTTTCAGGAACCCCAAGGAGCATGAGGACATCCTGAACAGAGGCCACCTCAGGAGAGCTGAAGGAGCAGGAGAGCAGCCCTGGTGCACCCTGCCCAGGCTCAACTCCTCCCGCAGAACTAAGCCAGGGCTGAGAAGTTCCTTGAAAGAGGCTGCTCTTTGGAAGCCTTGCACATTTCTGAAGGCTGCCAAGAGAGTGTGTGGCTGAAACCAGAGTGAGGACCCATGCTTCCTTGAGGTGGAGCCCAGGGTAAGCATGAGATAGAGAAGTTAATCCTTTCTTCCTGCTTTGTGCTCCCACACCCACTCCTGATGGCCCTCTTGGGCAAGAGCTAAAACAGCCCAACACAAACTGTCTCTCATGAGTGGCTGACATCTGGTCTCTAGAAAATACTCAAGTAATACTTGTCTGGCAAACTCCTGGAGTACAGGTCACACCCAGCAGCTGACCACTTTCTCCTTGGCTCTGAGGCCATGACAGCTAGCCAGTCTAGTGTAGGCCCATTTGAATTCTAAAGTGTGTCAGCCCTGGCCACCCTACAGCAGGGGATGAAGAGCAGGCTCTTGGCATGGTCTTCTTCAGACCCCTCTCCCTTGCCTTGCATGCATGTCCTCATGGAAAAATGTGCTGTGTGAGCAGGTTAGGGGTGGGTGGGGTGGGAGAAAATGGAATATTTTCTGAAAGAAGATCCTTTTCAGCAATTGTTTTAAAGTTGAGCCAGGCGTGGTGGCTCACATCTGCAGTCCCAGCACTTTGGGAGCAGGAAGATCGCTTGAGGTCAAGAGTTTGACACCAGCCTGGGCAACATAGCAAGACCCTGTTTCTAAAGAAAAAAAAAAGAAGAAGAAAGAAAGAAAGAAAGAAAGAGAGAGAGAGAAAGAAAGAAAGAAAGAAAGAAAGAAAGAAAGAGAAAGAAAGAAAGAAAGAAAGAGAAAGAAAGAAAGAAAGAAAGAAAGAAAGAAAACTTAGCTGAGCATGGTGGTATGTGCCTATAGTCTCTGCTACTTGGGAGGCTGAGGCAGGAGTATCACTTAAGTCCAGGAGTTCCAGGCTGCAATGAGCCATGATCACAACATTGCGCTCCAGCCTGGGTGACAGAGCAAGACTGTCTCTAAAGATAAATAAATTAGTTAATTAAAGTTATGTGGATAAGGTAATTCTTAAGACAATACTAAACAGAGATTAGAGGTAGTGAAATGAAATGTATCATTGAAGCATCCAATGAAAACCAAGAAAGAAGTGGAACAGGTGGTCTGCCTTTGAATGTGCTTGCACTTGGAATAATCCACAGTACTGGCACCCGCTGATGCTGAAGGCTGGCTCTTCCTGGGCCTGGACCCACATGTCCAGACCCAGGTCAGGAGAGAAGCACCTGCTGGAGTTTCCCCTGAACCTCTGCACTTGGCCGCCTTGGAGCCACTGCTATTACAGAGGCAGTTTTAAGGACCCCAGATAAAATATTTGACAGAAAGGGAAGAAGCATCAGCATCCACAGTTGAGCCTGTGCTTCCCAGGATGCCAAGGGCTTTTTATACAGAATTTCTTTTCAATAGGAAGGCAAAAAAGACAATTTCATGCCATCCTCAGTGCAGCTTGATGTCTTACTTCACCAGATAATATTTTTTGCTCTTCTCTCTTCATTGCTCTATCTGCCTTGAATGTCCTTTTCCTGGATCTCCACATTTCAAACCCCACTGTCCATGTAGACTTAATCCAAACCCCTACCCTCTCCATAAAGCCTTCTGTGGTTCCTCCTCCACCACTACTATGAGCCACAGTCAGAAATAACTTCATCACATACTTACTCATTCTGTGCCATAGCTTCCTCGTCTGTAAGATGGGCATAATAATAATGCCAATTCCATAAGATTATTGTGGGAATTAGGAAGAGCACTTAGAATTAAGCTTAGCATATAAATAAAGTTTAATAATGATAATGATAATAATAATTGTAGTTGTTGTCAATGGATATAATTTATCTCCTTTGCTGCACTGTAGGATTTTGGAGGCAGGGCATGAATGAGGTCTTATTCATCTCTGAATCCAGAGGCTAGCAGTCAGCCTTGATGCCCAACAGATACTCAGGCTCAGTAGAATGTTTGATGAATGAGAGTGGAGGAGTGTCAGAGGCCAGCGACAAGAGCGATCTTTGAGCCAACAGACTCCCCACTCATTAACCCTCCATCTGCCTCGCCATCTTTATGGGCCACCTATCACTATGCGGCTATTGTTTAAAGCCGGCCAAACTATCCTGGTGCTGGCTGCTGGCAGCCTCGGCTTCAAGCAGCCGCCAGAGAGGCTGCTGCGTAGGCTTACAGCATCATCGAAGCTGCCTTTGGGGCTCTGCTTCTCAGGGGCTGGTACAGATGAAACCTGTGCCCCTGGCAAAGTGGGGGCCTGGTCTTTCTGCAATCCCAGCCCTGCTTGGACACCCATTACGGCAATGAGCACAGTGCATTTGACTTTTTGCCTTGTCTCTCACGCTTCTCAACATGGACGGTTCGTAATGGATGTCAGACTTTGAATTTCTTATCATGTTGTTTATATCTAATAAGTGAATTGCCCTGTTTTTTTAAAAGTCAGCTTTTAAAAATACTGTGTTTGAACATCTGTCAAGGGCTGGGGATTAGCTGAATAGGCACTGGATGCCAGGATATTATATTCTCTCTTATCCTTTATACTGTAATTATCTTGATCCTCAAACAACTCAGCACCAGTTACAACCACTTTCGCAGACTTGTTGTTGCTGCAAATTCAAAAAATTATTTTATTTGAATCTAAATTAAACTGATATGTAACAAGGTTTTTTTTTCATGCTAAGTCTCAAAAAACAGTATCTGCAGATGATTAAAAAACAGTAAAACACGGACAATTTCAAAGTTTATTTCAAGAATAAACTCATGAAAATTCATCTAATTATGCAGCAGTGTACCAAAAATAATCTTTTCCAAACCTAAATTTGTTTAACAAAACACACAGTCAGCTAAGCCAAATGAAAGCAAACGTGTGTTTATGCCATAGTCACCCCCTCCCCCTGGCTGCTCCAGTGGGCACGAGGGCTTGGCAGGGTCCTGAAGCCTGTTGGCGGCTTCTGAGTCCTGACACTTTGCTTGCTGGTGTTTCCAACGAGCGGGCCATTGGCTCCACTGATCACAGAAATGGACCCTGTTGCTGCTTGTGTAAGTGGTCTCTGTTTCTGGAATGTGGAGAGCTGAAGCAGGGAGGACAGAGTATTTTACTCTCAACGACTCGGGGGGAAAAAGAAACTAGTAAAACATCATGCACGTAACTGCAGGCAGAGTAGTGCTGTGTCTGCCAATGATTAATAGTAATAGTGAGAATAGCTACTGTTTCTTGAGCCCTTGTGCTGCACCAGGTATTCATTTAAGAGTCTCACATTCTTCATTTTTTCAACTGACCCATGTAACAAAATAACTGGGAGCCGGTTGTCATGACCCCTACTTTACAGATGTAGAAACTGAGGTTTAAAGGGAAATAGCTTGTCTAAGATCACACAAGTAATTGGCTGAGCTGAGATTTGAATCTGTCTGACTTCAAAAGCCATGTGTTTAAACTGCCATAGCATACTGTGTTGGCTCAGCCCTGGGCCAGCTTCTGGGAAGGAGCAATCCAGCAATCCATGGGAATCCCAGCTCTCCCCTTCTAGACAAGTTCCTGGTTACTTTCTGGATCTCAATGTACTCATCTGTAAAGTGGAGAATGCAATACTTAAGACATAGTAAAAATTCAAAAAGTCATAAAATATGATTATTCAGTTAGATGATACACCCTCAGAGGACAGGAAGTATGTTTATTTTGTTCGTAATTGTAACCTTAGTACCCCCCATAATATCTCACAGTGTTTGGCATATAAGAGAGTAGGAGTGAAATCATAGCTTCCTTCCTATAACTTGTTTACAGCTTATTTGGAAAGAAAAAAATGAGTGTGAGCAGATGAGAGAATAACATGTGAACATGTCATCACAGAGATGTTAATTAACTGCCAGATTGGTGACCTAGCAGTAATGTCATATTGGAATTGTCCCCACCAGGCATTAGAAAATTGGGTTCTGGCCCCAGTGCCACAACTTCCTAACTGTGCAGGTTTTTGAACTTCTCTGAACTTCTGTAGGAGAGGAATCATAATGATCTAACTTCTCTTTTCTCCTGTACTATTGTCAAGTCCAGAAAATACTGTCACGTGCTTTATGAAATGTCATGACCATCATCATTTTTGGCAAGGAGAGCAGGGAAATGAGGCTGAACTCAATGGAGGAAATGGCTGAAGGTCCCAACCATGAACGAGGAGCCACATTTTGCTATAGATTAGAATGTATTCCAGAAGGAAAACTAAAATCAAGGATCTATGTCAAGTTCAACTCCTGTTTGCAGAGGCCTACAGCATCCTGGGGATTCTCTCACTTTCACTTGCCAGTAGCAATATTAGGCACTCACTAAATATTTTTAAAGTCAAGTTCATTTGCCCTAATTGGAACAATAGAATTGAATTGTATTGAATGCAATGGCTTCAAAAAGCCCTATTAAAATCCACCTGCCACCCAGTCACATAAAATCACCAAATAACTTTCTTCACTAAGTTCCATGGTCTGTGCTTCTGCTGTATCTTTTCTCTAACTGAGGCAGAGTGCATGAGGAAGGCATGGCTTCTGGAAGGGAACGGTAGGAGGGCACATGCATGGATATTAGGAAGAATTTTTCTCCCCCAGGAGCAAGAACCTAGAATTTCTAGGGAAACAGAAAGGAGGCCCCACAGCCCTCAAATTTACTGGCACGTGCTTCCCTAAATCACCTTAACAAGTGAAGCTCTTTTAACCTCAGCATTCATCTCTTAATTCACCAGACATTTTCGGTCCTTGCTGTGTGCCTGGCACCATTCTAGTCTATGGGTCTTAAGGCTTTTCAGATTTTCTATTTCTGTTACTTTGGCCAAGTCCCTTAAACTTTCCTATCCTCAGTTTATATATCTATAAAAAAATAGACATCATTTGTTATGCCTCCCAGAGTTTGTAGGAGGAACAAATAAGATGAAAATACTTCACAGGCTATCTGACATTTAGCAATTACTTTAAAAGAAATGGTCATTAAAGAACTAAAGATGTTTTTAAAAAAGAAATAAAGGTCGCTGGATCTAATAATGTGATGTCATGGAAAGAACTAGTTATAGTTGGAAGTTGGAAGTTGAAAGTAATGCATGCACGTGTAATAAAAGGACCTGATCATGCTAGTCCCCTGCCTGAAAACCATCCACTGCCCACCATCCACTCTCAAGGAGCCCCAAGTCCTGAGAGCCTAGCCACCTCTCCAGACCCATCCCTCACAGCCCTGCCCCCTGCCCCCAACATATACCCTGCTCTTCTGCCACACGTGGATTTGATTGGCTAGTTCTTGAAGAGAACATATTCTCTCAGGCTGCCCTGCCTTTGCACAGGCTATTCCCTCTGCTTGGAGAAGCCCCAGTAATTTGGCAAGAGCTCGCTCGATGTCAGCCCCTCTGGGAGACCTCCCAGTTTTGTCTTTTTATCAGGACTGAGTTTTGTTCTCTCCTCTGATCCCTGCAGCACTTGGGCAAACAGCTGATAGGAGTTCATTTTGTGAAGCTGTCACGAGTTTTCCAGTAGACCATGAGCTTGCTGATGGCAGGAGCCTGCCTGTCCTTGATCCTTGTTTCTGTGGGGTCTATCCCAGTGCCTGGCACAGTGGCTTTGGAGATGGAAGGAATAGAGGGAGGTAAGTGGATGGGCAGGAGTTCAAGTGCTCTATTCTTAGAGGGGGCGTGGGGGTGGGTCTAGGATTGGTCACTATGAATAACCTGGAGAAATTCTGAAAATGAAACAAAACAAAACACACATATAGTTCCTGCCTCCCAAGATTCTGCTGTCGTATGGGCCCCAGGCAAAAATGGATTTACCTTGCAGCTAGTGGAGTTTATACTTCAAGACCCTTCACTTGCACAGCTTGTTCCAGGGACTTGGGAGAAGCTCCAGCAATTCCCCTTTTTTTAAGACAGGGTCTTGCTCTCTTGCCCAGCCTGGAGGGCAGTGGTGCCATCTCAGCTCACTGCAACCTCCACCTCCCAGGCTCAAGTGATCCTCCCACCTCAGCTTTCCAAGTAGTTGGGACCACAGGTGGCAATTTCTTATTCATAACTTTATATGTATACTTTAAAAAGGACTCTCTATATGGAACGAGTTCAGGCCCCACAAAACCTGGATCAACCTCTGGCCCCAGGATCCACAGTTTCAATAAGCTTGTCAAGTGATTCTGATACACAGCCAGATTGGGGGATGACTTGCTACTCAATGGATAACTCACAGACCAGAAGCATCAGCAAACAACATGGGTGGGCAAGTTGGAAATGCAGAATCTCAGATCCCATCCCCGACCTACTCTCTGTGAATCTGCATTTTAACAAAATCTCTGGGCTGATTCATGTGCAAAAAATTCATATTCAAAGTTGAGAACCATTGCTGTAATGATTTCTCTGAGAGAAAAACTATTTCCAGCTGTAAAATCACAGAGGCCTTCTTGGAGGAGGTGATCTCTGAACTGAGACTTAAAGTAGAGGCAGTATTTGGGTATGTGTATTCCAGCAGAAGCAGCAAGCAGCATCAGTAGAATCCTGGAGATGGGGAGTATGATGAGGGGTTAAGTAGACCAGGGTCTTCGGGCTGGAATCAGAGAAGACAACCACAGGCAAGTTGACTCAGGTAGGAGGGAGAGAGGGAGGGAAGCTGGGGAAGAGCCCACGTGCTGGGTTAAGGCCTTTGGATTCTAATTAGGTAGGAATGTGGAGCCTTGGAGTTTGGGTCCAGAAGATATGAGAGATCCAGCTGCAAAAGCAAAACATCCCCTGGGAGAGGGAAGCCAGTCATAGTGTTTATTCATGCTCAGGTACAGATTATTTATGCCCAAGCCTTGCCTGGAAGAAGTCAAAGAAGGGAAGGGGCAGGAAGCCAGAAGCGAGACTGAGAATTCATGAGGGAGGTACTCATATTTTTTCCCACTCTGCAGGGTTGGTGAGAGTCTCAACAGCACTCCCATCCTTGGCACTGTGCAATCAGGATATTTGCTGACTGTGGCTTACAGAGGGGAAGGAGCTGGGTGTGGTCCAGGTTGAGTCCTGTGAATTCTGATCACTCCTGCTCCCTGCAGGCTCTACTTCTGCACCTTCCTGTGTTCAATTCATTCCTGCAGCCCCAACAAAACCTACCTACAGGATTGTTAGAAGGACTAAAGGGCATAATACAGCAAAGTACCAGAAATATATTGGGACCTGAAAAAATGCATGTAATCCTTTGAAGCTTGAGTCAGAACTCATAGTTCATCCGCTTCTCTATGCTATCATGAGGTTCAATTTCTAACAGATGAATGCTTAATCATAAAATGCCCCACATACCAGCTAATACGAAATTCATCATTTGGCCTTAGAGTGGGTTTTGTCAAGGCTTGATGTCATATACACACTTTAATAACACACATCAATAGTAATTTAATGAACATTTACTACATGTTGATCACTGTGCTAAGCATCTCATTTATTCCCATCATAAGATGACGAAAGGGAAGCTTGGAGATGTTGAGTGTCTTGCTCAAAGTCCCATTGCTATTAAGAGGCAGAGTAGGAGATAGAAGTCAGCACTAGGGTGAGATCAAAGCAAGTATACACCTGCGAAGCCTCGTATGGGTGCCACAGGTGAAACAGGTTTCATCTGGGAATGTACATTTGGCTTCTTCTATCCCCTTTTCAAATGCTAGGAAAAGTCAACATCACATTTCATATAGATGGAATTGTAGACTCAGAGTCAGAGACAGAGAAAACATAAGGATGATCTAGTTCAATGCTGCTCCCTTACAGATGCAGAAATGGAGGCGCAGAGAGGTTGCTTGACTTTCCCATGGTAAAACAGGATGAGAGTGTCTTACCTCTTATAGCTTATACATTAAGATAAAAACAAACATATAAAAACACAAGATTATCTTGTTTTGTTCTATCCTCATTTCTTCACATCCTGTGCCAGACATCAGCTCCCTCCTTCTCTTTCCTTTTTCTTTACTCATTTATGTATTGGTTCAACAAATGTTTATTGATGCACTATTGTGAAGTTACATTCAGGGAAGAGACAGGAATTTAGGAAGAATAAGTAATATAGAGCAAGAGAGAAAAAAGAAAAGTAAAGAGAAGAACAAAAAAAGTAACAGAGAAAGAAGTAGAGAGAGAAATAAATACAGAAAGAGAAGGAAGAAAGGAAGGAAGGAGGGAAGGAAGGAAGGAGAGGGAGGGAGGGAGGGAGGGATGGAGAGGGAAGGAAGGAAGGAAGGACAACATCAACTGGCCACTTTCTATTGGATAGACACTTTTCCAAGCATTTTACATGTATTAACTCATTTAATTCACCCAGAAACCCTATATGGTAGTCACTATTCTTATCTCCAATTTAGGATGAGGAGCCTGTAGCACAGAGACCTGAAATAAATCACCCAAGGTTGGAGGGCTGGAAGGTAGCAAGGCCAATATGCAAACCTGGCAGATCTGGCTCTAGAGGACTTAGTTGGGATCTATGCATGTAATCGTGTTGTAATGTCCTCCATTTGCCCTGATGGCCACTGGAAGTGGATTAGATACTTACAGTAAGAGCAGTATTGCTCCTGAGAGTCTTTATCATCTTTTCTCAGTGGAGAACCCTCATCACGATTTGTCATGGACCATCAGTGCCTAAGATGCGAAGGGAGAAATGTATTGCACATAAAACCATCAAGCAGAGGATCCTGTAAGGGAAAAGGATCATGGAATTTAGAGCCATGGGACCCAGGGTTTAGCTGTGTCCCTGCCACTCCCTAGCTATGCCATGGGATGAGTCAATCCATCTCTTCAACTGTCTGGCTCCTCATGTGGAAAATGGGAATTATAGTTGATCTGACCCTATCTACTTCAGAAAATCAAATTAAGGTGAAAGAAGTTTACAATATCAAACGTCAAAACCAGTGTGAAATCAAACACAACCACCAGTCTTTCTCTCCTTAATTTTGTGTAGATGTTTATTAAAATAGAAAGAAAGAAGCTCTGTGGGGTTGGGCGGTGCTGAATTTAGAATGAGGATGATGGAGAAAACCCAAAAAGGAAGGCTTAGGTGATGAGCTTCCAGTGGGTAAGGGGAAGAAGGTGGATTATTTAGGAAGAAGCAGAAAGGGCCCTGTGGATAGTTAATTGTCTTTGGATAAATGGATGGTTATAGTCATTCATTCATTCATTCAATTAGTATTTATTGAGTGCCTCCTATGTACCAATGACAGTGCTAGATACTGGGGTACAGTGGTTTAGAGAAGAGACACAGTTCTGGTCCTCATGGAGCTTGCAGTCTGCAGAAAGTCAGACACTGAACAAAGATGCACAGAATTTAAATGCATAATAATAAACTGTGACACATGCTATGAGACCAAGGAAAATAAGAATTTTCTATAAGAGAGAAAAACAGTATTGGGTAGGTGAGGACAC
This sequence comes from Homo sapiens, assembly GCF_000001405.40. NCBI lineage: Eukaryota > Metazoa > Chordata > Mammalia > Primates > Hominidae > Homo > Homo sapiens. Next base: position 15,647,802 of record NC_000011.10, read on the forward strand.
ACTGAAGGACTCAATGCCCTAATTAGTCAATGCCATAATTATGGGAATAATTCCCATTCTTCCTCCCCACCACTCACCAACTGCTATTTGAAAGGTCATAGGTCTCTGCTCCATACAGGCATGTACTATTTTAATTCAATAAGCAATCTTTTGAGTGCCCAATAAAAATATGTGGGTATATCCCCAGGCATCAGGTGTCAACCTGCCTTCATAGTCAGCCCTGGCTGCAGCCCCCTTTGATGGGATCCCTGCATATCATTTTTATTCCTATTTTACAGATTTAAAAAATGTTCACAATAGTTCAATGATTCATCCAAGACAACACAGCTAGAAAGTCCAGACCAGGGTTTAGGACTTTTGATAGCAAATCAAGGGCTTTTTCTGTTCACACAGAATAAAATCCTAACCCCACCAGGTCCAGGATGTCATGTCTTTGCCTCATCTCTTGCTACCTTCCCTCTTCTTTACCCTGCTTCATCCACACAGGCCTTCCTAGGATGCAAAAAGATTTTCCCTGCTTCAGAGGCTACGCATCAGCTCTTTTTTCCTATGTCTGGAATGCTCTTCCTTGATTTTTTACTTGGCTACCATCTTTTATTTTTAAATCAGCTTTATTGAAGCATAATAATAATAATAATAATTATCATTATTATTATTATTATTTTTGAGATGGAGTTTCACTCTTGTTGCCCAGGCTGGAGTGTAATGGTGTGATCTCAGCTCACTGTAACCTCTGCCTGTCAGGTTCAAGCGATTCTCCTGCCTCAGCCTCCCAAGCAGCTGGGATTACAGGTGCACACCACCAGGCCCAGCTACTTTTTGTATTTTTAGTAGAGACGGAGTTTCACCATGTTAACCAGGCTGGTCTTGAACACCTGACATCAGGTGATCCACCCACCTCGGTCTCCCAAAGTGCTGGGATTACAAGCGTGAGCCACTGAGCCCAACCTGAAGCATAATTTGTATGAATAAAATTCACTCCTTTTCAGGGTTCAGTTTGATGAGTTTTGACAACTTTATAAATACACTTAGGCAACCACCGTTACATTTCCATCACCTTGGGAAGTTTCCTCCTGCTCCTTTGCAGTCCATCTTTTGCCTATACCCCAGGCATCCTTTTCATATAAGATGCAGTCCATCTTTTGCCTATACCCCTTCCTCCTTTTCATCTAAGTTTCAGCTTAATTATCGCCTCTTCAGAGGCCTTTAGAAGCAATGCCTTCCCTGACCATCCAAAAGCTCTCTTCCATGCTCCTCCTCCTTCATTCTCTTTCAAAGAGTCTGGCTGTTCTCTTTCTTGCACTTACTACAAGATGTGCCCATTTTATCGACTTACTTGTTTGCTCTATTTCTGTCTTCTCCAAACAATATAACCTCCATAAGGGAAGGGTCGTTGTCTTTATTAATGCTTGTAACCCCAGGGCACAGTGCTTGGCACATAGTAGAATAAATATTTATTAAATGCATGAATGAATGCATGGATAAGTGGTACTGCATCCTTCTGTGTGCAAGTAGCTGAGGATTCATGGCTGAATCAGAGATGATTTCTATGCTTATGGAGTTCACAATCAAATGGAAGTCTTGTGACAGGCACACAGATAACACCGACACAGATAATCCCTAATGCTTGGATAATGCACTACTATGCACGTATAAGCCATTTACTGTGTGCCAGGCCTTGTTCTAATTCCTTTGTATATATATATTCACTCATTTTATCCTCATGGCAACCGTATATGGAAGTTACTACTGATATTGCTGGTTTAAAGATGAGGAAAACTAGGAGTTTTCCTAGTCAGGCTGAGTCACTTACCGCAGATAAGCTAGCTTGTGAGTGGAGAAGTCAAGATTTGGGACCATGCTATTTTGCAGGGCTGCCTGATCCATGCCCCAAGAGAGGGTCACATAAGGGATCCAGAGAATACGGAGAAAGCTGAAGGCAGGCCCAGCTCAGACTCAGGTCAGACTTGCAGGGCAGGCGAAGTTCTAACTCTGGAAACTGGAAACCGGGACAATTGTCTCTGGAAGCCCTACATCAGGTCCAGTTCAAGCAGCCAGAGACAGCCCTCCAAACCCAGGGGCAGGATTTTCAGGCCTCTAAAGGAGACTATAGCCGGATGGGGAGGGAGTGGCTTGCCCTCGTGCCCCTGTGTCCCCAGGGGTCCAGTTACCCCAGTGACAGTGCAAGCCAGAGCATCAGGGCTTCAGGTGGCCAGCTGAGTTGTTCCCACAAGGCTGCAACACGTATCCGGAACACATTGGGAACTGGGGCTCCAGGCCGAGAGGCCTGAGCGCCGCCTGGGGATCTGGTCCATCTGGGTGGCAGCTTCCCAGAGGCCTGCCGCGCTCGGCCTGCAGTTCTCCGCTGCGGACGGTAGGTGGCAGCGGGTCGTGAGAAATGGCCCTCGCCTGGCCCTGGCTGCGGAGACCCAGCCTGGAGAAAAACGTGGCTGGGCTTCGGCCGCCGAGCGAGGGAGAACCGCGCCCCCGGGGTGGGGCTTGGGGGCCGCCCTGGGACTCGGTGGCTTCTGCCCGAGCGGAGGTCAGCGAGGACCCGGGAGGCAGCGCCTGGATGGAGCTGGACGGGGAGGGCTCTGCTGGGGCTCCTGGTCCCCATGCGGCTGTGCTGTCATGGGGAGCCCTGGGGACCCTGGCACCCTCGTGAGGGCCCAGCCCGCCGACTCCTTAGCCAGAACTTGTGCCCAGCGTGGGAATTTTCTTCCTGAGCAAACAACTTTTTTTTTTTTTTTTTTAACTGAGGAAGAAACTGCCCTTCAGAGAGGTTAAGGGACTGGCTGTGGCCACATGGCTCTTGCGTGGCTGTGCAGTTATTAAAACCTGGTCCTGTCTGACGAGAATCGTGCTTTTTTCCACTGTGCCAATACCCAGTGGGGGATTCCCTGGTGTGAGCGCCTGGGGATAACGGGGGTGTCTTCTAGTCTGCATTTACAGTGAGGAACTCGGCTACGCCAGGGTGTGGCCATGGGCCCCCGCTCCCAGGCACTGTGCAGTGAGGGGGTGGCTGAGACGACCGCTGGATGGCCTTGGAGAGCCCTAATTCCCTCCCAAGCCCTAACTCTCCAGGCCCCCTGCCCTGGCAGCCTCTGAGCATTAAATCTGACCAGACCTGCCCCTGCAGGGTCTGAACTCCGGACGCCCCCCACCTCTGTCTACCTACTCTTATTGTACTGGATTTCAACCCGTCTCCCCACCTCTGACATTTGAAAGCACTTTTACTCTCGGGAATTCGTTAGCTCTTTACAACCACCCCGTAAGGCAAAAAAAAAAGAAGGGATGTTTACATTTACAGAAGAGGAAACCGAGGCCTCAGAGAAGTGATTTGCCAAAGGGTACCAAGCAAGTTCGCGGCTGAGCCGGGTCTTGAACCTTAGGTCTTCATAGCTGCCTCCTGCGACAAGGCGGGAGCAGCGCTGGTGCAGAGCTCTGGAGCGGCCGGCAAGCCGAGCAGCGGAGGCCCTTCCATGCCTCTTCCTCTCCCGGAGGCAGACGGGGAGCGGCCGACAAATTAATTCACGCTATCTTTACATTATGTATAATGCGGCATGATTTTATTTTGCTTCATTCCCGAAATCTTTTACAGTAATTAGTAGCGGAGTAAAATATAAAAATTAATGCAATATAACACTTTAATGGTAATAATACACTATCCTGTCTAATTAATAAAATCTGTTGTTTCCAAGCACGATTATTTATTTGACAAATTGATAGCACACATCCTGTTCATACCCTCTTTCCTAGCTCCCATCCTTTCAGTTTATCGAATAAAACTGTAGCAGGAAAATAAACAGATTGTCTTCTGACCTGACAAGCAAGTGAGAAATAAACCTCTCACTCATACATCCCTAATTGTTCTCAGCAATATCCTCTAACACATGTCCAGATTGCTTAAAAATGAATCTTGATTCCTCCCCCCCGCTTTTTTTTTTTTTTTTTAAATTGCGTCTCCTTATTTTAGAGAAAAGAGACCTTTCCTCCCTTTCCTCTGGGTAGTGTTTATATCGGGGCAGTTGGAGGGATATAAATTTTGTGACTGTGTTCAGAAATTCTGATGGCCTTGCTAACAGAGTGAGGCGATTGTTCAGGCCATGCCAAAGAGAGAGAGAGAGAGAAAGAAAGAGAAAGAGAAAGAGAGGAGGTCCGGGCTGCTCTGAGCCGCTGCCGAAGAACGCTGAACCCATCGCGAAGGCTGCAGGAGAGGATCAGCAAGGGAGCAGGGAGCAGTGAGGTTGCAGGATTGTCATTGGGAGTTGGCAAAAACGAAACTGGGGAAGGGGTTAGGGCAGGATACCCAGACCTGGCAGTATTTGCAGGTAGTACTAGGGAATAAGGAACAAGGTCCAGCATCATTATGTGTGGAACTTGGGATGAAACAACGATCTAATTACAAACCCGAATGCATGCTATTTTATGTAATACGGGGGCATTTTACATGCCAAGTGTGAAAATGCGAAAGCATTTTAAGCTATAAATAGGGCCTCAGAGATAGAGATACAGAGAGACATGGAGACAGATGGAGAAAAAGAGAGAGTCAGACAGAGACAGAGAGAGCACGCGAGAGCAGGACAGAAAGAGAGAGAGACTTACCATCTGCAGGTTATTTTGCAGCACTTTTCTCTGAAAGAAAAATTATGTGATGTGATCTGTGTTCGGGGAAAAGCTATGCTATCCTCAGCTTTCAAGCTACATTTACTATAATAAAAAAGGAAAAAAAAATCTCCAAGTGCACACAGGTGAAAAAAGTCACCCTCTCATGGAAACTGGCCTCAATACAGAAAAAGAGATACACACACACACACACACACACACCCCTGCTTGCACAATCCATGGATGAGTCTCCAGAGTCCTTTCTTTTGTATAGAAAAGTTCTACGATCTTATGGGCATTAGGTTCAACACACATACACACACACACAGACACACACAGGCACAATGCAGATATGTGCACATACCACCACTACACACACACCCTTTTGAGCCCAGGCCCTTGAATCAGTGCAGTCATGCCCCATTGGTGAGACTCCCCAGGCCACTTCCTGGGCCACCACAGTAATCCCTACCTTCCACTGAAGTCTGAATACTCTGATTTTATTACCCACCCCCACCTTTCTCTCTTGATCCATCTCCCCATCCCCACCACCATTGTGCTAGTGCATTATTTTAATAATAAAAATAATAATTTAAATAAAATTCTTCCAGGCTGGGCGCAGTGGCTCACGCCTGTTATTCCAGCACTTTGGGAAGCTGAGGCAGGTGCATTGCTTGAGCTCAGGAGTTCAAGAACAGCCTGGGCAACATGGTGAAACCCCATCTCTACCAAAAATACAAAAGATTAGTCAGATTTGGTGGCATGTGCCTGTGGTCCCAGCTACACGGGAGGCTGAGGTGGGAGGATGGCTTGAGCCCAGGAAGCAGAGTTTGCAGTAAGCCGAGATCACGCCACTGCACTCCAGCCTGGGCAAGAGAAAAAAAAAAAAAAAAACTTCCATAAAATAGGTGCTGACTCCAGTTTTTGCCAGCACACAGGTATGCAGAAGGTGACCAACAAGTTTGAATACTTTACCTTTCTGAAAGTGCTCCCCTATGAATTGTTTAAGGGCAAGGGTTACTACACTCACTTTATAGATAAGGAAACAGGTCATTTCTTTCTGAAGGGAAACAACTGGGATGTTCAGTGAAAAATCTTTACTGAACACTATGGGTGGGTCAGGTACTATTCAAATGCTTGATAGGCATTATTTCATTGAATCCTCAAAATAAATGTATGAGATGGGTCCAGTTGTTACCCTCAGTATTATAGATGCAGAGTCTGATATTCAGAAGGTTTATATAATTTGAGAAATTACACAATTATACAGTGCGTATATAATAGCACTGGAGTTTGAACCCACACCTGTCTGGATTTGAGGTTCCTAAAGCCATGTTTTAATTCCAGCTCTGATATTCACTGGCTGTATTACTTTGAGCAAGTAACATTTCTGAGACTCGGTTCTCTTAACTATAAAATGAAGATGAAAATTCTCACCGCTGATATGAAGGTTAAATGTGACATATATATACTGCCCAGCAGAGAGTCTCAGCAGGGATTAGGAGTTTAATCAAGTCTACTCTTCCTTTCATTTTTACTTTTGTCCATCTTGCATTAGCCACTCCCCAGAAGTTACCTGAAAGATAACTCAGTTTGTTGGGGCTACAACCAGTTGACAGCTTGGGGCTTCAAGCCTTTGTTTCACCATTTGCAAGATAAGGAAATAACAGCTATTCATGAGGATAAACTGAGTTAAAGCATAAGCAGCCAGCACAGTGCCTGGCACATGGACGGTGCTAAAATAAATATTTGTGAAAGAAAAGAAGGGAGGGAAGAAAGAACCAGAATAATGGTGCCCAGGTATTCAAGAACTCGCACTCAGCAGCTCTTAGGGCCCGGGGATTGGTCCCACCAGGCTCTGCCAAAGGTTGAGTAGGAATGTTCCTGCAGATGGTGAATGTCCTGTGGACCTGCTCAGTGCTATTGATCAATGTGTTTTATGATGGATCTAATTAAGCTCTCTAACGAGGGATCACAAGATAACAATTTATCCCGGAACCATCACTCATTAAAATGCCATTTCAGGAGATGACATCGTTCCAGCCTTAATTGGCAGAGTTTGCGTGACTGGAATCCCTTGGGAGCAGAGATGCCCCTTGTCGTTTGCTTGTCACCTCTGTGGTGAGAGGGGCTTAGAACAGCCCTGAAAGGCACATGAATTTGTCAGGTATTGCCATAGCCCAGGCTCCACCTACCCTGCTGCAGGTGGCTTTCTGGAGCGGGTGACTCAGCAGGTCACTGACAGGAGCCTGTGGCTGTGCAGAGGCCCGGTTTTGGAATAAGAAACCCAGAACTTTAGTCAGCTCCTGGAATGACAAGGCAGGAAGACTTAGGAAGTGACCATTCCCATCAGCCTCAGTTTCCTCTTCTATAAAGAGGCCTTCCCTGCCTGCCTCCTGGGTTGGTGGAAGATTTAAGGAGATCATGGAAAGGCTTATAGAGCAGTGGAAAGAGCACAGACTTGTAAGTGAGATTCTCCAGGTTCAAATTCTTGTTCTTCAACCACTGGCTGTGTGACTATAGACAAGCTACTTAGTGTCTCTGAACGTTGGTTTCTTCAATAATAGTGCCTAACTCAATAGGATTCTTGGGAGGATTTTAAGAGCTTTATAATCAGCTTGGTTTCTGAGGATCCCAGGGACACAGAGATGAAAAGGCATGGGGGTTTTCTGAGAGAGCCTGTAATGCCTTAGTATCAGAATAATAACTGTGTCACGACAGATTACAAACCCAAAGAGGACCAGAAAAAGCTATGGTGGCTATACCCACAAGGGAGGAGGAGGCATCTGAGCTAGATCTTGAAATAGAAGACCTTTCCTAGTTGCAGAATAGAGGAAAGGGCATCCCAGGATGAGTGAGCCCTCAGCACAAATAAGCAAAGCACCTGAGGTTGGAGAGAGTTCGTGCGTTCAGAATGCAGTAGTGCTCCCTTCTCCGTGGATAATGCCTGAAACCATGGATAGCACCAAACCCTGTATAAAAGACGTTTTTCCTATACATATTCCTATGATAAAGTTTAATTTATATATTAGACATAGTAAGAGTTTAACAACAACTAATAAGAAAATAGAATGATTATAACAATATAATAAAAATTAGGTGAATGTTATCACTCTTTCTCAAAATATCTTATTGCATTGCACTGTAAGTTAAACAAGGGTTACTTCAACACAAGCACTGTGACAGTCGGTGTGATAACCCAGAGGGCTACTAAGTGACTATCCGGCAGGTAGCATATGCACTGCACAAAGGATGGTTCATGACCTGGGTGGGGCCAAGATTTCATCACACTGCTCAGAACGGCATGCAATTTAAAACTTGGGAATTATTTATCTCTGGAATTTTCCATTTAATATTTTCAGACCACAGTTAACCACAGGTAACTGAACTGTGGAAAGCTGCTGCGTCATCCCATTGCGGAAAGGCGGAAGGGCAAGCAAGCAGGTGCGGAAGATATCGCAGTGCTCCAGAGCTCCCTTTTTACAGCAACCCACATTTCACTCCTGTGGTAATGGCATGAATCCATTCAGGAGGGCTCCACCCTCATGACCCAATGTCCATCTAAAGGCCCCACCTTGCAGCACTGCTGCATTAAGAATTAAGGTTCCAACACATGAACTTTTGGGGGACGTATTCAAATCGGAGCACCTTGCAAAGTATTTGGATTTCCTTATGAAGGTCACTGAAACCTCACATTGGGTGAGTTTGATGAAGTCTCATTATAGAGCTTGGACCTCAGAGGAGGAGAAGGGAGGAAGATACAGGTGCTTCTGCCAACAAAGGTGGCTTGGAGCCTTCAGAGCAGACCTCATGTTTCCCAGGACCAGGAAGAACAGGGCCCCCGTGTCCTAAGTGCCATAGACTTGTCAGGAGCATTTGCAGAAACCAAGATGGCAATGGTGCCTTGAATTTTGGACTGCTTTCCTCCCAGAGAAGGAGACTGGGTGTGAGGTGGAGGGAATTAAAACTTGTAGAGCTGCTATCATGCATTAGGGGATGTAGCATTCGATTCTCACAACACTCACCATCAGGTATAATTGTCCCCATTTACTAAATGATGTGTTTGGGTCTCAGAAAGGGTTAGTGACTTCTCCAAGGTAACCTGCTAATAAGAGCAAAGTCAGGATTTGAGCTGTGGTCAGTTGGTGCCAAACCAGTGCTTCTATCACTTCATGCTGTCTCACTAAACATTGTCACATTTAGGACCTCCATTCCTCAGGTTTGAGATGTGGGTGATTTAGCTCCATCTTTCAGAAGGGGAGCTTGAGACCCAAAGAATTCTTCAAGAAGCACCTTGCTCGTGGACACTCTACATGAGATAACTTTCTGATAGAAAACAGAGATGCAGTTTTGATCCGACAGCAATGGTATTGAGGAATGTGTTTTTCCTGGAACTCTGGGATGGATTTTATGGCCTGATTCCAATTTGCCTTTCCAGAGGCCATTAGCCTCTGCTCATTCCTGACTCCTGGGGCAGATGGGAACACTCCTGGGTCTTTAATTTTTGAGAGGGTGTAGGAGGGGGCTGATGCCATTTTCCTATTGCATAATAAAATTATTTCCTTAACAAAAAAGGGGGATCCACAGTTTCCAATTCAAATGCTTTTTTAAAAAACAGGGGGGAAAAGTAGCAAAAAATAGTCGAAAGAATGCACCCCTAAATGTGAAATTGTTCAGAAATACATATTTGTAATAGGATTCAAAGTGTTCATGACAGCTACTACTTACAGTGTTTAAAAAGTTGCAATTAGTACCAAAAGGCTTGGATGAAGAAAACATCCTATCATAGGCATATTTATAAAACAACTTCCATCAGCCAAAGGAAAAATGGACAGAACTCTATTACAAGCTTTTTATATTTGAAGAGCAATTTCTAATAATATATCTAGAAGCCATTTCTGAAATTGACTTAGTGTGCATGATCTGGGATTAATGTTTTCTGCAAAATCACATGCTCGTTTGAACGTAAACATTTTGCACTTCCGTTCCACCTCCTGGTTCAGAAGAATGCACCTCCAATGTGTAAAATGATCTATCAAAATTAATTGTGAATGCCCTAATCCAATCAAGTCCACCTCATTAGGCAAACATTTAAATTATTAAGTTAAATAGTGGGATATTTCAATATAATCTTGTTATGCTATTTTTATGGCAGTACAAATGCTGTCTACAGATGGGCTCTGCTTCCCAGCTTCCTTGCTATTGTTGATGAGCTCGCCACCTCTGTTGCTGGATTTCACACGTGTGTGATATTGGTCTAGTCACAATCCTGCATTCCCTCGCTACCTCAGCAATTACTGATGGAGCTCCTACTATGTGTTAAAATTTGAAGGCTAAAAAAGACCTTCAGGATAATCTAGTCATCACTTTTGCAGATACAGGAACTGAGATTCTGAGAGGTTGGGTGCTTTTTTATGGACCATGGAGCAAATTTGTGGCAGAGCTACTGGTAGAACCTTCTCTTCTTGATTCTGCATCCAACCATCTGCTTTTTTCTTCTTTCCTTGTCCATTTCTCTCTCTAATTCAAACATAAAGATGTAAATAAAATAGATCAGATTCGTGCTGTTCATATTTTATATCATTAGTATTTTGCAAAATTATTCTTTTTCCCACCATTTAATAAAAGATATATTCCCAACCTGGTTGCTCTTCACAGAGCTTTAAATAGCTTGTCCTTTCTAAATTCCTCCAGCTAGCAAACAGCTATTCATCATTCCATAGTTCCTTGAAGGCCAGCCCAACAGAGACATGTTTGGAAGAAATAAGATCTTGATGTCTCAGCCTCCAGCCCCTAAATTAGTCTCTGGGTATGTGGATATTGAGAGGAGGAAGAACAAAGGAGTAAACAAACAGGAACTAAAGCGGGCTTGAGGTCTAGCCATGACCAGGGTCCAGATGCCCATATTGGGATCCTCTTGGGAGCTAGAGAACACAGTCCTGTCCTCAGCAAACCCCTTGCCCTACACCCCAAGGGAGTTATGTCTATGCTGTCTAAAGATTCAGATTTCACACTGACTCTGAAGGCAGGTCTAAGGAACCTTTAGACTTTACCCTACTTTTGGGAACGAGGTGAAATGAAGAACTTCCCAGTGTTCCCCTTTTACTCTCTGGTTCAAATGTAGACAGGATTATTTATACCCCGAGGCATGGCTGAGACAGGGATAGAACTATCAAAAAGATATTCCGAAGGGGAACTAAACTTAGAAAGTGCCATGAATTCGAATTATCCGCTCTGCAGGTGGCTTAGGCCCCAGGAACACGGTATGACCTTAGTGGGCCCTAGGTACTCTTATTTTCTTGGGCTCTTTCTTCCATTTAGATAAGTAAATAAACAAATTATATTTTATGACTACATTAATATAATGAAAAAATATTAATAGTATAAATTAAAGCATTTTCTTTGACCTAAAATGTCCTAAAATTCTCTGATTTTAAGAGAATTAAAACATTTTTGTGGGCCCCCTAAATGTTTGTAGCCCTAGGCACTCAGCCTACTGTGAATAATAGAGCAGCCATGCCAGGCCCAAGGAGAAACAGCCTCCCATTCTGCCTCCATTTGGCAGATGGATTCTGATCAACACCAACACCCTGGAAATATCTAGCTTCCTCAGATCTGGGCAAGAGAGAAGAGCCTTAGCTCCTGTCCTCTCACTTTCCATAGCCTGGCTGGGGACAGATTGAAAACCCTTGGTGTAGGGAGAAGTCACCCTCCTTAATACCATTCAAACTCAGGTGCTTCAAGGTTATCACTGGAGGAGAATGAGCTTTGTTCTTTGTTCTAACAGTTTTATTCCTTCTGCCGGCATTACACTTGTCCTATGTGGAACCACATTCTTCATACACTAAAACATGGCTCAGTCAGGGTTAGAACTGTCAAAAAGACCTTCTCAAGGGGAAAGCAAATACAGAGAATACTGCAAATTCATGATGCAAAAGGGCCCTTCAGAACAGAGGAAGTGGGTACATGAGGCTCTGCAGAAGAACCTGAGTACCCCTTGTTTTAAAGACTGTAGAAATTGAAACTCTTACATGCTGCTGGTAGTGTCTGTTGGTGCAACCACTTTGGGAAACTGTTTGTCAGTATCTATGAAAGTTGAATATATTATATGTGCCTCATGTCCCAACATTTTTACTCCAAAGTATTAGATTGAGCCATATGAAATTATCAGTGTTTAACTTTTTGATCTACAAAAATGTCAACTTAATTTGATTCAATTTAATCTACAGCCAACAGAAAAACATACATATGCTCAGCAAAAGTCATGTATAAGAATGGTCTAGCAGCACTATTCAAAAGCTGGACACTACCCAAAAGCCCATCAACCATAAAATGCATAAATAAATTGTGGTTTGTTCCTATAATGTACATGCAATGAAAATAAGGAAAATAAAACTCCATACAACAACTTGGCTGGATCTCACAAACACAATGCTAATTGAAAGAAGCCAAACACAAAAGGATGTATATTGTATGATCCCATTTATATAAATTTCCAAGAGCAAACAGTACTAATCCATGATGCTAGGAGTCAGAAAGGATAATAGGTATGGCCCTAAAAGGCCATTGAGGGGCATTTTCTTGATCTAAGAGCCAGTTTTATGGGTGTGTTCACTTTAGAAAACTCATCAAACTATAACTTATGATTCGCACACTTTTCTATATGTATGTTTTCCTTTCTTAAAAAGTTTACTTAAAAAAAACAAGAAGGATGCAGAAGAATGCAGGCAACTGTTTGGGCAAAGACAACAGCAGGTGGCTTCAGGAGGGTCTACCCTCCTGCCCTCCAGTTTTTGTTGTGGATTTTTTGATCACTCACTAATATGGGCTCTCCTTAATCTCACTTACTCTCCAGCCCAACATCAAGGTGGAGCCTGTTGTTGTTCATATCCGGTGGATGGAGAAACTAAGGAAACAGATGCTTTGAGAGTCTAACTCTCCCAAATGCACACAGCCATTGTGTGAGAAGCCAGCACCTGACTCCAGAACAGTGTCTCTCCCAAGCTCTCACTCTGCAGGTCCGTGATCCAGACTCAAAGTAATTGGGATCATGTGGGACACCTGGAAGTCACAACTCCCTATGATTTGGATGCAGATCCCACCTCTCTGGATCCTGCCCATCTGTAGATAGCAATTGTACTTCTCTAGAAGAAGGTTCCAGTTCTCATCCCTGCCCACCAGCATGGCCACCTATGAACCTGTGAAAACTCTTGGTCGGGGACAGGGCCTGGTGACTGCAAGTTGCTCACTCAGTCTGGCAAAGACATGATTTTTTCTGTGTTCTCTGACAAGTCCAGGCTGGCCTGCCTGGGTGTTGCCATCCCTGTGGCATCTGCCGGGGACATCCCAGTTCTATCTTCTTGTGCTTACTGCTCTTTCTGACTTTGGTTCTGAATGACCCTGTAAAGGTGTCTGTGTGGGTTTATGTGGAGATAGAATATATGGAAAATGATGCAGCCCTAGGCCACAACAAAGGCGAAACTCAGCCTCTGCCTTCTTCTCTGACCAATAACTCGACCTTCCCCAGCCCCAGCTCTTCCCATAGCACTTTTAAGGTGAGTGTGGGAAGAAGTGCCAAGAAGAAAAGCAGGAAAGAGTGTTTTCTGAGGGGGCAGTGGGAGTCTGTTCACGTGCTCTTCCCCTTTCATGTATGTAACACCCCTGGGAATTGGGTATCGTCATCCTCGTGGTATTGCAAAGGCATCTGAGGGCCTAGGAAAAATAAATGCATGGGCTGCTGTTTTTCTTACGTGGGATGGTGATGCAGGCAGAGAAAACTAGTGAGCACCTAGGGGCAGCCAACCTCTCCTCTGTCATGGTTTGCATTCAATACTCTTGGGTGTGGACACACTCATAGATGGAGCTTGCTGTCTACTGATCTTTGTTCAGGTCATGGCCGCAATTAGTACCATTAATAAGGCACATGCTGCTTTTCTAGAAGAATGAAGAAGGGAGCCATTACCTTCTGTGAGGGGCAAAAGACATTGTATTAGCAGGTGAGAGTTCTGGTTCCAGCTCACCCATTTACTCTGTGTGGCTCTGGAAAAATTTCTCCCCCTCTCTATCCCTTAACTTTCTCATCTGTGCAATGAGGGAATGAGATTTGTTGATGTCTGAGGGTCCTCCCACCTCTAGTACTCTGGTGTCTTATAAGGAGGTTCTCTTTGATCTGCACCATGAGGTATTGACACCACTGAGGAATACTCTAACTTTCCCCCAGGACTGAAAAGACAGGAAGGAACTTGTCTCCTTGGCCTCTGGCTCTGGTGGGCATCTGAGTGACAGAGACAGGCACAAGCCTGGTCTAGAAGGAATGAGGGACAGCCAAGTTCATGGGTAGCTGAAAGGTTCTGTGGACCAGGAGCCACCCAAGTCATGGGGTGTGGACAGTTAGAAGGATCCAAGAAGGTAGATTCTGAAAGGGGAACTAGAATAGCACCGGATTCATGTCCAAACCATTGCTGCAGCCTCTTATTTTATGTGTGCACTTCCTGGCCCTCACTCACCCCAACTGTTTCCTATAACTCAGGGGTTCTTAATCTGGAATTCCTGCCCTTTGAAGTTGCTTGCAAAACAATATGTATAGGCGAGTATGAGCATTTTCCTGGGTGCAGAAGCTTCCATTTTATTCTCAAAAACCTTAGACACACACATATACACACAAAGCTAAGAGCCACTCTTCCAATTTAAACACATCCTTGCTCCATCCCCACACTGATCTAGGCCCTTGTCATGAGTGTTTTGGGCTATTGCAATCACTTCCTAACTGGTGTCTGTGCCCCCAACCTCATATTCCTCCAATCCAGCTTCCACAGAGCCCTCAACATCGCTTTCTTCAAACTTTGTTTTTATCAGCTGTAGATAAAGTTCTAAGTGTTTAGCCCAGTTGTGAGGTCCTTTGAAATGTGGCCTCTAATTCCTTCTCCAGTCTCACCTCCTGACAACCCACTTCCTTGTGCAACTTTAACTGTAGCTTCACCCCAGGACATCATGGTTCTATGACTTGCATGTTCTATTCTCTCTGAGAGGAATGGCCTTCCCTCCCTTCATTTGCTAAACTTTTAGGATATAAACACCATGAGAAAAAGACTTTGTTTTGTTTATTGTACTATCCGGATACACAAAGTGTGTCTGGTATGTGTAGGTACTCAGTAAATATTTGCTGTGAATGAGTAATTGGATAAATGACTCCTTTGGGATTTATACCAAGAGTCTCCACCACTTGAAGAATTCTCTGATGTCCCCAGTGGAGGTGGTCATTCTATTGGATCCATGTCTCACTGTATTGCAACTATTTTTTATATTCCATGTGAAATTATTAGGTAACATTATATGTGTCATTATTATTAATATATATCACTGAACTGTAAACTCTAACTTCACAGACCCAGGGTTTTTTGAATTAAAAGATAAATCCCCAGCATCTAGATCAGGCTGACTAGCATCTAGACCAGGCTGGCTGGCACCTACCAGTTGCACCAAATAAATGTATCTTAAATGGATGAAAAAGCAAATGAATGCCTGCTCAAAACTCAAATGCCAAGGCCATCTTTGCCCCATCAAAATCCTATCCATTCTTCAAGCTCTGACTCAAATTTGACTTCCTTTCATGAATCACTCCCTTCCCTTGTCCCCAATTTAGTGTGGTTTCTAGCTTCTCCAAGCCACCCCTAGCATTTTGGTGAACTCTTTTTTGTGGACTAATTTCACTCTTCCCTGAGCTAAGAACTTAGCACGATGCTCTCTCCTATTAGTCTTGCATACTCCTGGAACCCTGGAGACACATCTATTCTGTTCTGTGGCCACTCCTACCCTTGCCTGCTGACCCAGCCCTAGCACAGTGCTCAAAACTGTGATACATGACATGAGATTTTTGTTCAATTGAATGACTTCCCTACCTGCCAATTTTTGGCTAGATCTACAACTTTCTTTCATTAGACATGTTTCAGCTTCAGTTCTTCTTAAAATCTTCCTTTACAAAGAAGAAAAAGACCCACTGGCCAGTATGGGAGCTTCTGTGGAAGCATTCAGCTACTTGCATTCTTTCTGTGCATGTACCTCAAACCAAGACTGCTCAGAGGAGGGCCAGCCAACCCCCGCAGGAAACCCAGCACACTCAGGCATTCACACTTCAGAAAAAATAAAGATGCAGAACAGGAAAAAAAAATCATTATGGGCTACATCCATCGCACAGTAAGAAGCACTAATTATTCTGTGTAGCCTGAGTTTTTCTTGGTAGGCAAACTCTTTTGAATATTAACAAATATTTATTTAGGAATTAATAATTGACATCTATGAAAGCATAATTTATGGAGAGTGAATTCCTCTTGGTTTGGGTTCCCACTGCTCTGCTACATCTGGCTGCTCCAGAAGTGACTCTTTCTTTTGTTAGAAGCAAGACACAGGGGCAGAGCACAAGCCAGGGCCAGGGACGCGCTTCAGTGACTGCACACAACAAAGCACAGTGGGAGGGCGTCGGGTTAGGATTCGATTGGAAAACTGGCTGTAGGCCTGACTCTGCCACTCCTGTTCCTGTGGCCTTGGGAGAGTTTCTTACCCTTCAGAGCCTCCTTTCCAAGGCTAAGAAACAGACGTCTTCGTGTCTACCAGTATTTAGTTGGACATGCCTGGTTGCAAGTAAATAAACTATTTTGAGTTGGCTTGAGCAATAAAGGGGAATTTGGGGAAGGAGGCCAGGTCATCTTCTGGAGCACTGACAGGGACAGGGCTAGGCCTCAGACACCCCTGGGAGCCAGGGCTGCTGAGCCAGGGCTACTAAGCCCTCTGCACCCTCTCTGCTTCTCATCTCCACTCCTCTCTATGCACCTGCTGTTCTTTTCCTGTTTTCAGATTTCCCCTACTTCTTTGGTCCCCTGGCAAAAGCACAGCCTCCTCATAGCTCCTGAGCTTTTCTGACACAGGTTCAACCATAGAAGGCAGTGGGAATATCTTTTGTCTCCATTTCCATCTTGCTGCTGTGTGATGCTGACTGTTTAGTGGAGTGATACCAAACAACCATGGACAGGGTTTCAGGGTCACAGTTAATAAAATGCCTTCTAGGCACCACCATCAATTTATGTACTGATTCATTCATTCACTGAAGGACCACTGACTGAGAGCTCATTGTGTGTCAGGCAAGGTTCTGGGTGCTGGATATATGGCAGTGAGTGAGGGAGAAATGTGTGTGGATCACAGAGGCCACTCTTAGGACAGGTTGTTCCAAGAGAAGCAGCAATGCCAGAGAATCAACAGAAAACCACTGCAAGGCTGTGTGAAAAGCACAAGTAAAGTTCAAAGCCTTTGCAAAGTGCACGAGGTTATTATGATATTAGACATTTTTAGGGAAAACTATAAGAAGTTTAAAATGGAAGAAAAGGAGGGAGGAAGAGAAGAAGGAAGAGAAGCAGATAAGTCCACAGAAACAGAAACAAATGGAAACAACAGGGAGGTCAATGCTGAACCAATGTAAGAATTATTTTTGCTCTTGGAGGCTTTGAAAAATAAAATGAACAGTGGTGAGCCTTCTGTCATTAGAGAGTATTCAAGCCAAAGCTAGATGACCTCCACTCGGGGCTGATGTACCCATAAACCAGGCAAAAGATAGATGTGCCTTCCCATTTCACAGTTCTGAAAATCTATTTATATAGTCAAATTCAAAGGTTTCAGTTGATTCCACACATTTGGCCTTCAAGGGGAGAGGCAGCTTGTCACCTTTCCTGGCCTCCCAAGACAAGAGCTTATACCTCATTTTAACATTAAATAAAGAACAGCATTTCAACTCCTCTGGAATGCAAAACTGTGAATTTGAGTGAAATATGCAGTTTTCATTATGTTAAAAGATCTACTCATTACAATCAGGATAAGAGGATATGAATAAGACAAATTGATCACCACTTTAAATGTATTAATCAGCTTGCAACTCTTGTCACCAGTCAAAACAGAGCAGTCAGACATTTATTCTGTCTCAGTTGTACTGTAGAGCCCATCGAGGAGGTCACAGAGTCAGAGTGCCTCCCTGTGCCGTTTACAGGAAAACAATCACAACACATTGCAAAAGTTTTTGCCTGCTTAGAATTGGACTAAGCAGACACAATTAAATATTGTTACTCATGCCACAAATATTTATTGAGCATGTACTATGTGCCAGGCATTGTGTAAGGCACTGGAGATAACAAAGATAAGTCAAAGCTGGCCTTTGCTCTTCACATTCCCATATGGTTTAGTCAGGAAGCAGATGTACAAACAAATAGTGACAATAAAGTATAACTGGAGATAAGTCAGTGGTTTTCATGCAGTGCTATAGGACTAGGGACCAATCTGGAGACTGTGGTTGCAGTTGGATGGCCGGGCACGGAGGATACTTCATCCAGATGCTATCTAAGCTTAAAGTCTGGGAGAGAACAAAGAGTCTTGTGAGAAGAGAGACCTGCCCATCTCCACAGTCAGGACAGTGGGTACAGAGGGCACAAACACTATGCTTGGGAAGAATGTGTCTTCCTCTAGCCTGGTGGGGGAACTTGGTCTGACATCTATGTTGGCTGAACTACCACACTCAGCTCAAAGGAAAGCCATGAAACTACACCCAAAACCCTCCTTCCTCACTGTCTCTGTCATAATAGGGGCTCAGAGTTTTGTAGGGTGAGGGGCACCAAACTAGTTCGGGTCAGGGCTTAGGATAAGTATAGAGAGGATGATTGATGGAAGGATTTATTCAAACATCAGGAATAGACCGGGAGTGGTGGCTCACGCCTGTAATCCCAGCAATTTGGGAGGCTGAGGCAGGTGGATCACCTGAGGCCAGGGGTTTGAGGACAACATGGCAAAACTCTGTCTCCACTAAAAATACAAGAATTAGCCAGGTGTTGTGGTGTGTGCCTGTGGTCCCAGCTACTCGGGAGGCTGAGGCACAAGAATCACTTGAACCCAGGAGGTGGAGGCTGCAGTGAGCCGAGATCATGTCACCACACTCCAGCCTGGGTGACAGGGTAAGACTCTGTCTCAAAAACAAACAAACAAACAAACAAACAAACAAACAAACATCAGGGATAAGCAACTGTCTTCTGGAAAGTGAGCTTTCACAGGAAAGGAGGGCTTGGGTGGAAGTCCCTGTAGTTGGGCTGGTTAAGCCCAGGCAGGATTCCCATCCCCAGGACAGTCTCCATTCTCAGAGGGCACAGTTTTAATTCAAAGACTTGGGTGCAGCTGGAGCAGAGCCACTTGTCAAGCTTGGGGCACAGAAATAATGAGGCTCATTGTTCAAAACCAGCACCTTCAATCCTCCCTGAGAACAGAAGGGGAACATAATGCATGTTTTATAGGCCCATTCTCATTTTTAATCTGCTTTGATAAGATCACTATGCTGGAAGGATATAGAAACTCATCACCAGGCCCAGCCCAAGACAGAGACAATGATACTGGGTTGGAAAGGTTTTGCTCCTTTAGGTGATGCCCCTGGACAGTTTCCTGGATGTGGGCTCCTTAGGATCTGGCTCATTCAGGGAACGGTCTTGCCCCAATCTCTCAGACATCCTTTCCTTACGGATCGTGGGTGGCAAAAGTCACTGGAGAGCACAGACCTCAGACTGTGACAGTAAATTACTTTAACTTCCCCTTTATTTTCCAGTATTTTCCAATGAGAATGCTGAGAGAGACAAACATAGAGAATAGGAGAAAACACATTTTTTATGCTTAGAAACGGACTAAGTTCCAGGCACAGATTTCTGATCCTAGCTCTTAGAGTCAAAGATCTGACTAGGGTCTAGGGTCTAGGGTCTAGGGTCCCTGCTCCAACTCCATCGTCCTCAGCCTTGACCACCTCATCTCCCACTTGGATCTTCCAGTCCTCTTCCTTGCTTCATCCTTTCACCAGAAGAAGGAGACAGCACGAGCATTTGCTGAGTAAGCACAGAAAATGAAGCCTCACAGAATCTCTACATGCTCCCCTAGCCCTTGCCTGGCCTCCTTTGCAGCTATATTGGGATGCTTGCCAGATCAACAGGCTGAGAGTAGAAGTCATTTGTGTTGCCCCAGTTGGAAGCTGGTAAGAACAGGTGTGAATTCCCCAGTTTCTTACCAGTGGGAGAAGTGAAGACAGTTGACATAACCAGAGTTGAAAGATGAAAATAGCCCTGATCCCTGAGTCACTGTTGGAAAAATGCCTTCAGGAACACTGTCTGATTCATATGGACTCTGTTAAGTCACTGAGATTTTGGGATTGTTTGTTCTTGCGATCTAGTGCAGCCCAGCCTGACAACTGAGCATCTTCTATGTGCTCAGCACTGTATTAGGTTCTTTCCAATAAATTGTCTCAAAACAATCTTATGAATGTCTACTCTAGGAGAGTTTTGGCCCAGTAAAGTTTGAGGGTGTGAAGGGTCACTACATCCCCCAAGACTTAGCTTCTTCCTATGCATCTCCAGAAGTTATGCCAGAACCCCTAGCCTTTGGGACTCTCAGATTCTGCCCATTCTCAAGAACTCTTCTGAGAATCTAGCCTTCTCTCTGGACTTGGCATTCATCACATTTCCCCCTGGACTGGACAGTCTCTGGATACTGGAAAAGCCACAATTTTAATTGAATTCAGTTGACTGGAAGGTGATTGGATAGTGCATAAAATATTAACTTTTAAGTCAGGCAAATCTGAGTTCAAATCTTAGTATGATCACTTTGTTCATTCAGTCTTTCATTCACAGTGCATAAAATGTAATTAATACCCAAATGTACATCTCCAGCCTGGACTGCTACTCTAAGCTCCAGATTCAAGAATCCCACTGCCTACTTTGCATCTCAAATACAGCTAGAGCCCTTGATCCCCAGATCTCCCTCTAGGTTTCCCCTTTTCAGTAGGTGGAAGCTCCATGAGTCCAGATGCTCATCTCAGAAGCATCCTTAACTCATCCATCTCTCTTCCCCACCATAGTCTAATCATTACCAAGTTTTATAGATTCTACTC
This sequence comes from Homo sapiens, assembly GCF_000001405.40. Classification (NCBI taxonomy): domain Eukaryota; kingdom Metazoa; phylum Chordata; class Mammalia; order Primates; family Hominidae; genus Homo; species Homo sapiens. Next base: position 15,668,359 of record NC_000011.10, read on the forward strand.
AAAATATGCCCAGAGTTTTTGTCTCTATTTCTACATCCATCATGCCAGTCCAAGCTCCTCTTCTCTCTAACCTGGACTAGATCTAGAGCTTCTTTCTTGCACTCCTAATTGCCTTGCTCTATCCATTCTCTAACTCACCAGCCAAGGTCTATTCAGAAACTATTAAAGTATTTGTACTGACTTTAAAGGGGGAAATTCCAAAATCAGTTGCAGCCTTGAGTTATCAGTGTACCCTTGGTGGACTGCCCGGCCTTCCTGCTTTTCTCTGTGCCCCCCTTATGCCAGTCTTTCTTTCTTCCCTGGTCAGTTCCTCAGGTGGTCCCAACTGCCTCTGCCTGGGTGCTCTCTGGCTACTGACTTGGCCACCTTCTGTCATTCTTTTAAACCTCAACTTAAATTTCACTCTCTTAGGGATGCCTTTCTTAAACTCTCAACTTAGAATTGGTCCCCTAATGTAACTTCTAATCACACTCTGTACTTTTCCTTCATGTCACAGTTTGTACTTGCATATTTATTAGTGTGGTTATTTGTTTAATGTTATCTCTTGCAACTGACCACAGGGGCAAGGAGTACGCACAGTGACTAGTACAGAGTATGTGTTCCACATACACTGTTAAACAGATAAATACATGTTTATTGGGTGGAAGGCAAGTGCCTGTATTGCAGGGGTGAGCAGGAGCCCTAGCATTGGAATCAACTAGAATGTGCATATACAAGAACTCTACTGTATGAAAATCTCTGCGAAGTCCGTATTTAAAAGATAACAAGATGGGTGTATGGTTGATATAAAAATGGATTTTAACACAAGCTTTTCTTCTGGGAACTCTTCAATAGTTAAAATTTATACAGTGTGCCCGGGCGCAGTGGCTCACACCTGTAATCCCAGCACTTTGGGAGGCCGAGGTGGGCCGATCACCTGAGGTCGGGAGTTTAAGACCAGCCTGGACAACATGGAGAAACCCCATCTCTACTAAAAATACGAAATTAGCCGGGCTTTGTGGCGCATGCCTGTAATCCCAGCTATTTGGGAAGCTGAGGCAAGAGAATCACTTAAACCTGGGAGGTGGAGGTTGCAGTGAGCTGAGATGGCGCCAAAGCACTCCAGCCTGGGCAACAAGAGTGAAACTCCGTCTCAAAAAAAAAAAAAAAAAAAAAAAATTGTATAGGGTGTGTGCTATATCCCAAGCACTGTATATAATTGAAAGCACTTAATTCTCAAAGACTCTAGGAGGCAAGTTCTACTTGTGCAAGTAAAGAATGTGGGACATAGCAGGGTTTAGTGACTTACCCAGGGTCACACAGCTAATAAATGGCAGAGCCAAGATTCTAGCCTGGGTTTTCTGTATGCAAAGTCTGTGCTCTTAGCCACTTTGTGCTATGCTAGGAAATGCTCCTTAGTGGTCCCTAAGGTGGGACCAATGGATGACTTTTAAGTCCCCATCTTAGATAGACACCTAAAATGGGAATGTATCACAAAGACTCTCAGAGAGATCTTGAGACACAGCTAGGGCACAGCATTTCCTGGCAATGGTCAGGAAGCTGGGTAGACCTGGCTTCTAGTCCTGGCAATCACCAAGTCACTGTATGGTGTTGAACCAGTCACTTCACTCTCAGAGCGTCTGCTGCCTCTTCCTCCATAAAAATAAGGGCTTTGACTAGTTCACCTCTGAAGGTTCTCATATATAATAGTCCAGAATCATGTGCATCTTATCTTTGATAAGATCACTATGCTGGAAGGATATAGAAATTCACTGACAGGTCCAGCCCAAGAGAGACAATGATACTGGCTTGGGAAGGTTTTGCTCCTTCAGGTGCTGCCCCTGGGAAGCCTCCCTCAATGTAGGCTCCTTATGGCAATATAAATAAAGTCCTCTGTCCCCTCTCATTCATTCTGAGAAATTAACCAGAAGTGCCCTCTTCTACTTGATCATTTAGGTAAGGAGTGAGAGTTAACAAATGGATCAGAGAGGGAAAGACTGAGACAGAATGGAAGAAAGAGAAAAAGTTTAAAAAAAATGTGAAGAAGATAAGAGGGTGAAAAAGGACAAAGTGAGCTTGGTGAACAAGGCTCTCTCCACTGTGAGTTCCCAATGAACAAGAAGGCACATCAAAGTTTGCAAATTGACTCAGTTGCCTTTTCCAGTGACTATGGCCGTTAGAGGCTTTTGACTTGTTCTGAGTCAACAGAGAGGAATGAAAAGGATGAGTTAAAAGACACAAACACACAGAGCAGAGATTGCAGATACAGAACAATAAATATCCTCTTCAAATTGCCGATTGGAGTATCTGTATTAGGCCATGTTTGTAGTCTCTGCGTGTCGAGTGATGGAGAGCCCAGATTGTGGGCAGGGAAGTCACACAACAATGGGGCTTGATGTTTTGTTTCCACTTTTCAAAGGCGCTCCTTTTTTTCCTCCCAGTGATAAGGCCCAGGAAATGGTTAGTGACATGCTCGTGGGAACCTATGGAAAAGAATACACACCATATCAATGGAGCAGCCGCCGGCCCAGGAGCAGAGAGGGTGGGTGGGGGAGCCGCAGGCTCCCGGCGTGGGCTGTGGTGGTGAGATAGCATTGAGAGGCCGCCTGAAGCTGTGTGCCCCCAGTCTGGGGACCGAGCCTCTTTATCCAGCCAGAATGGGTGGAAGGCCAGACAATGTAGTGCTATATTTGGTTTCACAACAAAGGGCCCTAGAAAGATTTGATAGTGCAGGGATGGTCGGGAAGGCAGCGCAGGATGCAGCACAATACAAGCTTTGCAAAGGTATTTAGCCAGGCCCTTTATGCCAGGGACATGGCAAGGTATGGATGTCGTCATGATTTCTAATGGCTTTTGTCTGAGCCAGGGTTCTATTTGCTAGGGAGGTCCCTAGGCAGGGCTGAGAGCAGTGCCAGGGTGCTCCTGGTGCCACTACACTTCAGGGCCACCTGAAGTCACACTCCATGACTGTCAATCCACTCCTTCCACTGAGCCCAGGCTTCAGCAGGCCCAGAGAGCCCCAGGTCAAGGGGAAGGTGTGCAGGAAGAACTGGAGCAGGACCTTTTCAGGGAGTAAGCAATCACAGGAGGTGTCCTAACCAGAAAGAAGCAGCTCCAGTTCCATTTGGGGCCAGGCATCCCAGCAGGAAGTCATCAGGATGAGGGATGAGGGTGCAGCTTCAGAAGGGTAGAATAGAGAGCATTGAATGGCATTGGGTACCAAGCCTGGTGTTTCTGGGAATTTCAGCCAGAAGGAAGGCAACAGGCATGAAAGAAGTCCAGGCCTTCTGTGATAAGGCTGGCAAGAGTCTAAGAAAACTAGCCCCATGATGTGGTGGGGTATATACAGGACTTCTGTCCTAGGTCCTGGGACCTTCTGGGGAGGAGGCAAAGTGAGGAGAGCAACCCCAGAAATGTAGGGGAGTAGAGCCATTGAGTCACTGGGTAGCCTGGCTGTACCAGAGAAGTGTTCTGGACAAGGGGTGTGGGAAAGGCGGCTACCACTCAGTAACAATCCTCACACATTTAGGGCTTCATTCCAGGGGGAGGAGCATCAGTGACTATTTTCAACTTTTTACTGGTTTTTAAAATGTAAAAACCCTTGTTGGGCTGCCCCCGTACTGGTTCCAGGAAAGGAACATGGCAACAGGCAGGCTAGGGCTGGGACAGGATGAGAGATATTCTGGCAGGTGACCTCAGCAGTCATGGACCCATCAGACCAATCCTCCTGCTGAAGCTAGAGAAGTCCAGAACAATGCAACCTCAATTGGTGGAGTTATCTCTGGTATGGGGACACTTTTTTCTTATTGACTTCTTTGCGCATCAGGATTAACTTTGTGGACCAATTCTGGTACAGGGGATCTCTCTGAGAAGGCCTGTCAAACTGTTCTCTCTGTTGCCCCCTTATTCTCATCACTGGTGCCATGGAATCCTCCAGAAGTGTTCCCTGGGTATTGTCTTTACTTTTTCAGCTTTTATCAGTTCCATCCATCTATCTATGCACCCATACAACAGAGCTCTCCTTTACTCCTAGATGCCAAGTTTACCCCAGGTATTAGAAATAGAGTATTGAGCTCCTGCAGCCTCCTTGGAAGTTCTTGGACTGGTAAGGAAGATACTTGTCTAAACACATAACTACTACTACAAATTCAGAAAAGCAGTTGTCCAAGCAGTAGCTCCAAGGAGAGAATATCAAATTCTATCCAAGAAAGCTCAAAAGTCTTCATGAAGAAAGTGAAGTTTAGTAAAGACATGAACACATGAAATGTATCTCTCATAATACAGGCCTGGGCTATATAATGGGCTGAATTGTGTCCCCCTCTCAAATTCCTATGTTGAAGTCCCCAGACTTGGGGACACTGTCTTTAAGAGATAATTAAGTTAAAATGAGGTCATTAGGCTTGGTCCTAATCCAATCTGACAGATGTTTTTATAAGAAGAGGAAATTTAAACACAGACAGGCACAGAAGATGCTGTGGAGTCACAGGGAGAAGACCCCATCTTCAAATCAAGGAGAGAGGCCTGGAGCAGACACTTTCCTCAGGGCCCTCGGTATAAACCAATCCTACTGTCACCTTAGTCTCAACCTTCCAGCCTCAAGAACTGTGAGAAAATACATTTCTGTTGTGTAAGCCATCGACTCTGGGGTGCTTTGCTAGGCATCACTCCAACCCCAAACACTGTGACATTCTTTGCGGGGGAAGGACCCCTTCTTGAGTATCTGGCACAGTGTTTGACACATAAAAGGTGCTTAATCAAGGCTAAACTGAATGAAACAGCAGGTCATATTTAAATCCAACTCTATCAGCCTCAAGTAGAACATGCACATCAGAGAACAGCCCCTGTTCCTAAATGTTGCCACATCTTTTATCTCAGCTTATGTTATCTATATATTTTCAGCAAGTCACTCAGTAATTTACGACATATATATTGAGAACTATGTATTAGGCACTGGAAATCATAGTGGGAGGAAAGGCCCTTTGGATTAAGAAATTCCTCCTTAGCTACTCCAATGCAAGAAAGGCCTATCACCAGGGTCACATCTGTCTGTATTGGGGCCCAGGCTCCAGGACAAGTTTGGCACATGCTGGCCTGACATCCATGGCTCAGCCTCTCCTTAGTACAGGCTCACTGTAGGGCTGAGATAGGCACAGGAGTCTGATGCCTAAGGTGCCAAATAAAGGGCCCAGCTGAAGAGGCACTTAAGATGTGGAGTGACTAAACTCTGTGAATTCCCTCCTGCTGACCCTGAGAGGATTCCTGGCTCTCCACATGGCTGACAGGGACAGACATGCAGATTGCCAGGATACTGTCAGGAGTTTCAGCTTCTAATTGGCAGGCATCCAGATACTGGGACAGCCTAGTGATAGGAAGAATGTAGAGCAGTTGTGGGTGTTAATGAGGGCTGGGGAATCAGCCAAGAAGCAACATGGTGGCATCTGCCACAATATTTCCTATACCCATAGCTTTGGAGACAAGCACTGTGAGTCAAATCCACATATTCTCACAGGCATATGTGTGTAGACACCAGCATATGTACTCTCATATGCTGCTGGTGGTATTCACATAGATCACCATGTAAAATATGCATGTTGACGTGATACCTGCACATGTCACACTGGGCAAGAGTCATGGATCTGATGCACATACAAAGCCATGCATGCTCATGGGCACACACATGCACTTACATTTCTAAGTATGCACTGACACATAAAAAATTAAGTCCAATATGGGTGGTGAAAGTTATATAAGCACATGAAATGTATCTCTCACTGAAGAGGGTTTGTATCTTCTTCAACGCTTCAGAAAGTCTTCCGGGGACCAAAAGCCATCATAAGTGTTTCCACCATTTGGATTAGAGCTTCCTTGTCTTCCCTGCACATCTCTGATAAAAAATAGATGGAAACTGTCCTCAATTCCTTTGGAAGCTGTAAAGTGCCTACCAACATGTGGGATTAGCACCATTATTTATGAGTTTTAGAAACAGAAAGACAATGTGATGCAAGTAAAAGAGCAAAGAACTAGGGATTAGAAGATTTAGATTCTCATCCCAATTTTGCCTCTCTCTTGCTAAAGTATTGGTCTGGATCCAGGATGACAACTTTCTTCTCAGCTTCATCTCTGACAGTTCTGTTGAGGAGTGTTCGGAGGCTATGAATAGGCTCAAAAGGGAAGAGTGCCATGTTTGGCTAATAGTGTCTGACTTAAGCCCAGAATAAGGATGTTTCTGACCCTTCTGTTTCCAATAATCTCTAAGTGTGTATCATTATCCAGAAACTAGAGGAATAGTGCTCAGTCTTCATCAAGTTACTTTTCTATAGTCCAGTTAACTTATTAGTCAAGACAGGGACCACACATGCACCTGTTTCTCCTCCTCATCCTATCCTTTCAGCTCTTATTTAGCCATAAAATACCTTGGGGTCATTGATAATATTTTTTGGTGTTGTGACCCTCATGATTCCCATTAAGACTTTACTTATAGGGCTGAGTTCATCATCTTTATCTCAAATGGAAAGATGCCTTCAAGGACTCCCCAGAGCTGTGTATTAAGGCTCCAGCCTGTGGTTACCCAAAGAGGTTGAAAGCTGCCTGGTATGCCTTTTGCACAGTGTGGCTCCCACTGCAACTCTGTGAAGCAGCAGATGTGCAGTGGTTATGATTCAGACTGATGCGAGGAGGGGGAGTAGAAAGATTAGGAACCCTTTACCATTCTAACAATACCCACAGAAAAGCAGGGGAAATTCATTGGAGCAATTCAGCACTAGTTTTTAATTCTGCCTACTGACATACCAGCTCTCCTTCACTAGGTCAGATGAATTCTCAACAGTAACTGAGATCTTCCAATGTGTCAGACACTAGACTAGGCACTTTACATCATGTATCCCATTTAATATGTTCCACATGCCTGTTAGATAAATAATACCTGCATTTTCAAAGTGCAAAAGCTGAGGAGGGAGTCTGAATTAGACAGCTAAGAAAAAGTAAACTTGGAATCAGTACCACATTAGCCAGGTCCCACCATGCCACCTGGGCAATACCACTGTAGACTCACAAATGGTTTACCATTTTCCAGTGCAGAACATACAGGCATCCTCCACAGTCATCCTGGAAGTGGACTCCATCAATCAAAATTCTCCTTGAGGCAGTTCATCTGACCCTAAACAGAATACCAAAGACTTTAAGAACTGAACTATAGGATAGCCCACCATCCAGATCCAGGTAGGCTACTGGGTGGTGCTGCACACACAGGACAGATCCAAATATCATTGCAAGGTCTTTAAAAAAAGAACTCATATTAACACAAAAACTCATAAAATCCTGTTTGGAACTTGTGGCCTGAACCCAACCAAGCTGATTGGTAAACCTAAAATAAACACTTTCTCCATAGTCTTATTCAAGACCTAGAGTCTCATAACATAATGTTCAAAATGAGCAGGATACAATCCAAAATGTTCAGTGTATGAATAACTAGGAAAATCTAAAGTCACAGGGGAATAGACAAACAATCCCTTGCTGAGATAACATGGATGTTGAAATAATCAAAGTCTATAAAGCAGCGATTACAAAAATATTCCAAGAATTAAGGGTGAGTACTCTTGAACCAAGTAGAAAGACAAAAGTTCTCAGAGAAGAAATAGAAGTCACAAAGAACTGGAAGTTTCAGAACTGAAAAATATACTAAACAAAATTTAAAAACTCACTAGATGGCATCAAAAGCTTGAAGAAAAAAGTCAGTGAGCTTGAAGATAGATAGATTAAAAATTACCCAACTTGAAAAACAGAACTAAAAAAGAATGAATTAATTAAAATAAATAGATCCCTAGGGACATGTAAGATTAAAAACAAAGGTTCTGACATTTGTATCATAGCAGAAGGAAGTAGTACAACACTTATAAATTGCTGAGAGAAAGGAACTATAAACATAGAGTTCTATATCTAGTGAGAATGTCCATTAGGAATAAAGGAGGAATAGTGATATCTTTAGATGAAAGGAAACTGAGAGAATTTGTTGCCACCTGACTTGGCCTAAAATAATTGATATAAATAGTTCTTTGGACAGAGGATAATGATACCAGAAGGAAACCTGGAACATCCCAAACAAAGGAAGAACAACAGTAATGGTAAGTAGATTGTCCTCCTCTTGAATTATTTAAAATATATGATGGTTGAAAACAAAAATCATAAAATTGTCCGATGGGGCTTTCAATGCATGTAGATATAACACATAACAACTATAACATAAGTGAAAAGGGTAACGAACTTATATGGTGTCAAAGTTTCTACATTTCGTTTGAAGTGGAAAACATTCAAAGTAGTCTATGGAAAGGTATGTGTGCATATTTAAATTCCTTATAACTACTGAATAAAAATAGACAAATGTATGTAGTCAAAAACACAATAAATGAGTTAAATTGGAATAATGAAAAAATATTTCAAATGATTCAAAAGAAGGAGAAAAGGAGAAAGAAAGAAAATAAATCAGAAGGAACAAATAGAAAACAAATAATAATATATTAGGCCTAAATCCAAACATATCAATAATTATATCAAATGCAAATTTTCTAAACACACCAATTAAAAGCCAGGGATTGTCAGAATGGATTTTTCAAAAATCTACTTTTATGAAAGAGCTCTTCATATATAGTAATATAGAAAGGTTAAATGTAAAAAGATAGGAAAAGATATACCACACAAATACTTGTCAAAAGGAAGCTGGAGTGGCTAAAACAATATCAGATAAAATCGATTTCAAAGCAAAGAAAATTTTAAGAGGTACAGAAAGATATTATGCTATGATAAAAGAGTCATTTCACTGAGAAGTTATAATAATCCCCAAAGTGTACACACCTGACAACAGAGCTTTAAAATATATGAAGCAACAATGAACTAAACTGAAAATATAGACAAATTCACAATTATAGTTAGAGACATCAATACTTTTCTCTCAATAATTGATAGAGCATGTAGACAGAAAATCAGCAAGGCTATGTAAGTACTAAATAACACCATTGACTAGCTTGATCTAATTGACATTTAGAGAACATTCCACCCAACAGTACAAGTGCACAAGGATCACTTACCAAGATAGACCATATTCTGTGTCATAAAGCAAACCTTCACAAATTTAAAAGCACTAAAATCATACAAAGTGTATTTTCTGACCAAAATTAAATTAAACTTGAAATTAATAATGGAAAGATAACAAGAAAGTCTCTAAACACTCGGAAATTAAATAATACACTTCTAAAAGAAACCATGGGTCAAAAAGGAAGTCTTGAGAAAAAATAAAAAATATTTTGAGCCAGTTGAAAATGAAAATACAACATATCAAAATTTGTGAGATACAGCTAAAGCATTGCTTAGAGAGTTCTCTAGAGCATTGGATGCTTATATTAGCAAAGAAGAAATATCTTAAGTCAATAGTCTAAGCTTCCACTTTAAGAAGCTACTAAAAGAGCAAAAAAAAGAAATAAAAATCCCCAAGACAAGCAGAAGAACAAAATAAAAGATAAGAACATAAATAAATAAAATTCACACCAGAAAAACAACAGAGGATTTGAAATAAAAACCTTATTCTTTGGAAAGAGCAATAAAATTAATACACCTCTACTAACATTGACAAAAAACGTTAAAAGACTACAAGTTATCAACATTAGAAGTAAAAGAGAGGATATCACAACAGACCCTACAGACATTGAAAGGCTAATAAGTGTATTCTAAAAACAACTACTCTATCCATATAAATTTGACAACTTAGATAAAATGGACTGATTTCTTGAAAACCATAAATTACCAAAGCTCACCCAAGATGAAATAGATTACTTAAGTAGTCCTATAACTATTAAAAAATATGAATTTATACTAAAATCTTTGAAAAAAGAAATCTTCAGGCATGTATGATTTCAATAACAAATCCAGCAAATATTTAAAGAAAAAATAGTATGAATTCTACATGCTTTTTTCCTCAAAAACAGAAGAGGGTGGATTTACAACTCATTTTATGAGGCCCACATTACCTGGACAACAAAACCAAAGACATTACAAGAAAAGAAACTCAAAACTCAAAAACCCCTCATGAACAAAAATGCAAACATTTTCAATATAAAATTGTCAACTTGAATTCAAATAAATTATTAAACATGACCAATGGGGGCTTATCCTGGGAATTCAAGACTGGCCCAATATCCAAAACTCAAATAACATAATTCACCATATTAATATTCTAAATTAAAAACCTATATGAACTATACATTTGACAACATTCAACATCAAGTTATGATAAAATCTCCCAACTAACTAGGAGATTTTACTCCTCAACAATATAAAGGACATTTACTAAGAACCTACAGCTACCATCATGCTTGATAGTGAAAGACTAAACACTTTTCCTCAAAGATCAAGAACAGAGGAAGGATGTATACTGTCACCACTCTTATTCAGTATCACTTTGGAAGACTTAACCAGTGAAATGTGGCAATAAAAATAAATAAAACGCATACAGTTTGGAAAGGAAGAAATAAGGCTATCCTTATTCACAGGTGACATTATCATCCATGTTGAAGATGCATAAGCATATCTCCCCCAAAAAGAAAGAAAGTAAAAGAAAAAGATCTTCTAGTACCCTAGAACTAATAAAAGAGTTTAACAATCCACAATATACAAGGCAAACAAAAATCAATCAAATTTTTATACACTGGCAATAAGCAATGAATAATTATAAACCAAGTGTTAAGGTTAATAGCATTTACAATAGCTCCAAGAAAGAAAAATTACGTATAAATTGAACAATGTATATAATATCTGTGTGTTTAAAATTAATAAACACTGATGACAGAAATAGAAGAAAACATAATAAGTAGGAAGGCACACCAAGGTCATGGATTGGGAGAACTCAACATAGTAAGATGTCAATTGTCTCAAAATGGATAAATAGATTTAATGCATTCCAATAAAAATTCCAACAGGATTTTTTGTAACTATAAGCAAGCGAAGTCTAAAATGTATACACGATGCAAAAGACCTAGAACTGCCAGAACAATTTTGAAATGGAAGTGTTAGAGAAATCACACTATCTCTTTTTAAGATTTACTATGAAGCTATAGTAATTAAGATAATGTAGTATAGGAACTGACACAAAGATAATTAAGTTGCGTAGAGAGTCTAGAGATAGACCCACATAAATATGGTAATTTATTTTTGACAAAGTTGTAAAAGGTGCAATGGAATAAAGGTAGTTTTTTCAACAAATTGCATTGAAACAACTTCAAGTCATTTGCAAATAAATAAACCTCACATCTTACAGAAAAATTGCCTAAAATTGGATCACAGATCTAAATGTAAAAAATAAAACTACACAATTTTAGAAGAAAATGTCAGGGAAAATCTGTGTGATTTTTGTTTTGGTGATGAGCTTTTAGATATGACTCCAAACACTCATTATATAAAATAAAGATCGTTAATTGAATTTCACCAATTTAAATACTTTTTCTCTGTTAAAGATACTGTAAAACCACAGACCAGGAAAAAATATTTGAAAATCACATATCTGACAAAGGCATTGTATGTAGATTTTGTAAAGAATACTCGAAACTTAACAGAAAAGAAAACAAAAGATGAAAAACAAAATATAAAGAAAACAAAAGGTGAAAAATAAATGATAAAGAAAATAAAAAACATAATTCAAAAATGGGTAAAAAACCTATACAGGAAGCTGATGAGATTACAAATGACATGAAAAATATTCAATATCATTAACTATCAGGAAAATGAAAAATTAAAATGATGATGAGTTACCACTGGTAAACCTAATAGAATAGCTAAAATAAAAAATCCTGTCAATGCAAAGTGTTTGTGAAGATTCAGCACAATTGGAATTGTCATATATTGTTGGTGGGAATCCAAAATGCCATAGCCACCCTGGCAAGGTTTGGCAGTTTCTTATAAAGTTAAACATGCACTTACCTTATGACCCAGGAGTCCCACTCCTAGCTATTTACCATGTGTAAAATTATATTCACACACAAATTTATATGTTTGCATTTATAGCAGCTCTAGTTATAATCACCAAATCCCCATCCAAATATCCTTCAAGAGGTGACTGGATAAGCAAATTGTGGTACATCACTCAGCAATATAAAGAAGTGAACTATTGATACATGAAAAAACCGAGATAAATCTTAAAATTATTATGTTGAGTAAAAGAAGTCAGTTTTAGTAGGTTATAGACTGCATGATTTCATTTACATGATAGTCTGTAAAATACAAAAGTATAGTGATGGAATACAGATCTGTGGTTGTCAGGAGTTGGAAGTCGTAGGAGGGTGACTACAAAAAGGAAGCATGAAGGAATTTGGGGGGGTGTGATGGAACTGTTTAGTGTCTGATGGTGTGGTGTATACAAATCTGTGCATGTATGAAAACTCATAGAAATGTACACCAAAAACATGTTCAATTTTACTATATGTTAATTTTAAAAGAAAAAAATTAAAGTCTCTATTAAGAATAAAGAAAGATGTAAAAATAATGATCTAAGCTTCCTCCTTGAGTATCTAGATAAAGAAGAGCAAATTAAACCCAAAATAAATAGAAGAAAAGAAGTAAAACAATAGAATAAACTGATAAAATAGTTAATGTTCCAACAGTAGGAAAATCAACAGTCAAATTCTGGTTCTTTGATATAATTGATCATTCCTTAACAAGACTACTAAAGAAAAGGTGAAAAAAATCACAATCAATTTCATCAATGAGAGGGGAGATATCCCTACAAATCCTAGAGATAGTAAAGGATAATAAAGGAAGGTTCTGAAAAACTTTATGCCAGTAAATTCAAAATAACACAAACAGAAATGGACACAAGATGAAATAGAAAAATATAAATTGCCCTGTATCTTTCAAAGTAATTGCTTTCACAAAACAAAACAAAAACCAAAAAACAAAGCAAAGCAAAAAAACTTTTCATAAAGTAAACATCAACTCCGGAGGGCTTTACTGGTGAATTCTATGAAACATTTAAGGAATGCAGAAAAACTATTTTGCAAAAATTCTTCCAAAGAAGTGAACATTATCAGCTTCTTTTATGAAGCCAGCATTACGTAGATACCCAAACCAAACAAAGATATTACAAGAAAATTTTTTTAAAGTTCCTCATAAACATAAACACAAACATTCTTAATAAAGTACTACAAGTCCAATCCAGTAATATGTGAAAGGCACACTGCACTATGATCAAGTGGGATCTATCCTAGGAATTCAAAGTAGGGGTAAAATCCAAAAATAAATTAATATAATTCACCACATAAACAGACTAAAGAAGAAAAACCATATGTTGTCTCAACAGACAAAGAAAAACATTTGACAAAATTCAACACACATTCATGAAAAAATTCCCAGCAAATTAGAAACAGAAGACAACCTCTTCAATGATAAAATGAGTCTATAAAACACCTATGGATAGCATCTTAATGGTGAAGCATTGCCCACTTTTGCCCAAATATCAGAATCAGAGCAATGATATATGTCTGCTCTCACTACTTCAATTAATATTATCCTGGAAGCCTAACTGATGTAATAAGACAAGAAGTAAAATAAAAAGTGTAAAGTTTAAAAATAAAAAAGTAAACTTATTTTTATTTGCATGTGTAATAATTGTATACATAGAAAACATGATGAAATCTACAAACAAAACTACTAGAACTAATAAACCAATTTAGCAGAATTACAGGATAAAAAGTTAATATACAAAAATCAATTTTATTTCTATGCATAAGAAATAAACAAAATGGAATATAATTCTTAAGGTTTGCTGTAGCATGACAAGACATCAAACTTATAGTAATAAATTCAACAAAAGGCATACAAGACCTCTACACTAAAAACTACAAATAATTTTGGACAGATATTTGGCAATAAAATTATAAAAATCTAAATAAATACAGATATATACCATGTTCATAGATTGAAAGATACAATATTGTTAAGGTGCTTAAAGTCCTCATGTTGATCTTTTGATTCAATGTAATCTCATTTGAAGTATGAGCAGCCTTTTTAAAGGAATTAACAAGGAGACTCTAGCATTCACATGGAAATTCAAAGGCTCTAAAATAGCCAAAAAAGCTTTTAAAAGGAAAAACAAAATTGGAGGACTTAGAGTAGCTGATTTTTAGACTTACAGTAACCCTACAGTAGTTAAGACACTATGGCCTGGGCAAAATAATAATTTATTTCAGCAAATAGGCCAATGAAACAAAATATACAGTTCAGAAATAAACTCATATTTATATTGTCAATCAATTTTCAACCAAACTACCAAGTAAATTCAATGGGGGAAAGAAAAGTGTCTTTTTGTCTCTTTGTTTACAAACGATGCTGGAACAACTAGATATCAATATGGAAAAAAATGAATCTCAACTCCCATTTCAAGCCATACACAAAGGCTAACTCTAAATTAATCAGTGACCTAAACTTAAAAGTGAAAATTATAAACATTTCAGAAGAAAATTTAGGAGAAAAATATTTAAAACCTTGGGGGTAACAACATTTCTTAGATAAGACACGAAGTGTATGAACTTCAGAAGGAAAATATAACCCGGACTTCATCAATATTAAACGTCTGTTCTTTAAAAAACACTATGAAGAAAATGAAAAGGCAAGACATAGACTAGGAGAAAATATTTCTAATACATATATCTAACAAAGGACAGGTATCCAGGATGTATAAAGAACTCCTACAATGCAAATAATAAAAAATAAATAAACCAGTAAAAATATGGCAAAATATTTAAACATACCTTCACAAAAGATCAATATGGATGGCAAATAAACTTACAAAAAGCTATTCAGCAAATAAAATTGACAAGGCAAACCATAATGTGATTTCACTACATACTCATTAGAATAAATAAAATTTAAAAGACTGACTATGCCAAGCCTTGCTGAGGGTGTGGGCATCTGGAGTTCTCATACTTTTGTTGGTGGGAGTATAACATGGTACCACATTGGAGAATTGTCTTACAGTCTCTACTGATATGCTCAACATAAATGACTCTCAGAAATGTGTTGTGTGAAAGAAACCAAATGTAAAAAATACATATTGTATTATTCCACTGATAAGACATCTAAGCAAAACCAATCTATAGTGATAGAAGTTAGAGCAGCAGTTGTCTCTAGTGGAGGCAAGAATTGCCTGGAAAGCACCATGAAGAAACTTTCTCAGATGATCTAATGTTCTATATTTTGCTTTGGGTAGTGGTTACTAACATACACAATTGCCAAAACTTGTCAAACTAAATACTTAAGACCTGTATATTTTATTGTAAATAATTTATAATTTATTACATAAATTATACCTCATAAAATACTTTTTTAATTTAAAAAATGCTGATGAGGCATAGATCCTGATATAAATATATATGTACTTTGAGATAAATCTATTTCTAACTGTGCTTCAAAACTAATGTGAAATGCTTGAACTATTCTTGCTTTTGCAACTTCCCTGAATAATTAAAGCTTATACATTCTGAAAATGGAATGTGATTGATCTTCACCCAAGCAATGTTGCTACTGGGTAGGGCTGTGTCCAGCAAACATACTATTTTTGAGTTGGACAAGATTGCCCTTTCCTTGATCTGTCAGATTCTCATGCCAGGCTGCAGAAGCACCCTGGGGTGAAGGAGCATGTAGTATTTTAAAGTGAACACACACACACGCATGCACACACACCCCAATGCACATTCGTGTGTTTACCTTGTATGCCTCTATGTACTCAAACTCAGTGCATTGGAATTCTGTTGAATCCTCTTTCTATAATGTGAATAAGTGGTTTCCCAAGGGTGCTTCCAACTCTGCAATTTGTTAGCTGGGTAAGAGCTGAGGTAAGAGTGGGAATGCTCAGGCACTGGATGGGGCTATGCTTACACACCCTTGCACACATACACTCTTCTGTCCTACTGATATGGTTTGGCTGTGTCCCTACCCAAATCTCATCTTGAACTGTAGTTCCCATAACACCCACGTGTTGTGGGAGGGACCAGGTGGAGATAATTGAATCATAGGGGTGGTTTCCTCCATCCTGTTCTTGTGATAGTGAGTTAGTTCTCATGAGAGCTGATGGTTTCAAAAGGGGCTTCCCCCTTTGCTGGGCACTCATTTCTCTCCTGCTGCCATGTGAAGAAGGATATGTTGGCTTCCCTTTCCACCATGATTGTAAGTTTCCTGCAGCCTCTCCAACCCTGCAGAACTGTGAGTCAATTAAACCTCTTTAGTTTAAAAATTACCCAGTGTCAGGCAGTTCTTTACAGCAGTGTGAGAACAGACTAATACACCCACACATCTCCCTTTCACATCTTAGGAATGACAGCTAGACATCTACCATCCTCTCCCCAACCACCATTTCCCAGCCTCAGCATCGAAGCTCTCTCCCAGTGCAGGTAGGAATCAGAGCACTGCTGAGATGATTCTGAGTGAAAAGTGACAGTTAATCCAATGAAGACACTCCAACTACATTTACTCTGTATTGGGGTCCTTGCTTATCTCTTCAGTGTTTTATTGACTCCTCACAATAAATACTGTAATTTAGCTATAATAACTACTACAAACATCATATTTTATGAATAAAAAAAGACTGGAGCCCCAAGAGTTTACTTACCATTTTACCCCAGTTTACTCT